>NC_000005.10:60734807-61359807 GCF_000001405.40 Homo sapiens
ACTCAAAGGATTATAAATGATTCTACGATAAAGACACATGCTCACGTATGTTTATTGCGGCACTTATCAATGATAGACTGGATTAAGAAAATGTGGCACATATACACCATGGAATACTATGCAGTCATAAAAAAAAGATGAGTTCATGTCCTTTGCTGGGACATGGATGAAGCTGGAAACCATCATTCTCAGCAAACTATCACAATGACAGAAAACCGAACACCGCATGTTCTCACTCATAAGTGGGAGTTGAAGAATGAGAACACATGGACACAGAGAGGGGAACAGCACACACTGGGGCCTGTGGGGGATGGGGGGGGCTAGGGTAGGGATAACATTAGGAGAAATACCTAATGTTGGTGATGGGTTGATGGGTGCAGCAAACCACCATGGCACATGTATACCTATGTAACAAAACTGCATGTTCTGCACATGTAACCCAGAACTTAAAGTATAATAAAAAAAAAAAACACCAAAAATAAATAAATAAAAGAAAGCTCCATGTGCTGTTGAATAGAATGTATGTTCTGCAGTTGTTGGATGAAATGTTCTGTATATATCTGTTAAGTCCATTTGTTCCAGGGTATAGTTTAAATCCACTGTTTCTTTGTTGATTTTCTGTCTTGATGACCGGTCTAGTGCTGTCAGTGGAGTATTGAAGTCCTGCACTACTATTGTGTTGCTGCCTATCTATTTCTTAGGTCTATTAGTAATTGTTTTATAAATCTGAGAGCTCCAGTGTTAGGTGCATATATGTTTAGGATTGTGATATTTTCCTTTTGGACAAGTCTTTCATCATTATATAATGTCCCTCTTTGTCCTTTTAAACTACTGTTGCTTTAAAGTTTGTTTTGTCTGATATAAGAATAGCTACTCCTGCTCGCTTTTGGTGTCCATTTGCATGAAATGTCTTTTTCCACCCCTTTACCTTAAGTTTATGTGAGTCCTTATGTGTTAGGTAAGTCTTTTGAAGGCAGCAGATGGTTGGGGGGTGAATTCTTACACATTCTGCCGTTCTGTATCTTTTAAGTGAAGCATTTAGGCCATTTACATTCAATGTTAGTATGAGATGTGAGTTACCATTCCTTTCATTGTGCTATTTGTTGTCTGTATACCTTGGTTTTTTGTTTTTAAATTGTATTTTTGTTTTATATGTCCTGTGAGATTTATGCTTTAAAGAGGTTCTGTTTTGATGTATTTCCAGGGTTTGTTTCAAGATTTAGAGCTCCTTTTAGTAGTTTCTTGTAGTGGTGGTTTGGTAGTGGTGAATTCTCTCAGCATTTGTTTATCTGAAAAAGACGGTATCTTTCCTTCATATATGAAGCTTTGTTTCGCTGGATACAAAATTTTTGGCTGATAATTGTTTTGTTTGAGGAGGCTGATGATAGGGCCCCAATCCTTCTAGCTTGTAGGATTTCTGCTGAGAAATCTGCTGTTAATCTGATAGGTTTTCCTTTATGGATTACCTGGTGCTTTTGTCTCACAATTCTTCAGATTCTTTCCTTTGTCTTAACTTTAGATAACCTGATGACAATATGCCTAGGCAATGATCTTTTTGTGATACATACCCCAGGCATTCTTTGTGCTTCTTGTATTTGGATGTCTAGGTCTCTAGCAAGGCTGGGGAAGTTTTCTCGATTATTCCCCCAAATATGTTTTCCAAGCTTTCAGATTCTCTTCTTCCTCAGGAATGTTGATTATTCTTAGGTTTGGTCATTTAACATAATCCCAGACTTCTTGGAAGATTTGTTCATATTTTCTTATTCTTTTTTCTTTGTTTTTGTTGGATTGAGTTAATTTGAAGACCTTGTCTTCGAGTTCTGAATTTCTTTCTACTACTTGTTTGATTCTGTTTCTGAGACATTCCAGAGCATTTTGCATTTCTGTGTGTCCAATGTTTCCTGAAGTTTTGATTGTTTTCTTTATGCTATCTATTTCATTGAATATTTCTCCCTTCACTTCTCGTATCATTTTAAAAATTTCCTTACATTGGGCTTCACCTTTCTCTGGTGCCTCCCTGATTAGCTTGATGACTAACCTCCTGAATTTTTTTCAGGTAAATCAGGGATTTCTTCTTGGTTTGCATCTATTGCCGATGAGCTAGTGTGATTTTGGGGGGTATTAAAGAACCTTGTTTTGTCATATTACCAGAGTTGGCTTTCTGGTTCCTTCTCACTTGGAACCAGTGGCTCTGTCAGAGGAAAGGTCTAGGGCTGAAGGCTGTTGTTCAGATTCTTTTGTTTCCCTGTTCCCTTGATGTAGTATTCTCCCCCTTTTCCTATGGATGTGCTTCCTGAGAGCCAAGGTGTAGTGATTTTTATCGCTCTTCTGGATCCAGCCACCCAGCAAGTCTACCAGGCTCTGGGCTGGTACTGGATTGTCTGCGCAGAGTCCTGTGATGTGAACCTTCTGTGGGTCTCTCAGTCGTGAATACCAGAACAGTGTTTGGGGTGTCTCCCAGGTCCTGCAGGAACAATCCACTTCCTTCAGAGGGTTTGTGGGTCCTCTCGGGTTTCCTGATTTATTCCTGCAGTCGTTCTGGTTCCTCCACATGCTGCTCTGTCCGTCCGAGTCAAAGCTGCAATCTAGTCCTGCCACCTATCTGTCACGATCCCTAATGTCGAATGGATTTTAAAATGTAGTATTTATGGCCGGGTGCGGTGGCTCACGTGTGTAATCCCAGAACTTTGGGAGGCTGAGGTGGGTGGATCAGCTGAGGTCAGGAGTTCGAGACCAGCCTGGCCAACATGGTGAAACCCCCGTCTCTACTAAAAATAAAAAAATTAGCCAGGCACGGTGGCAAGCACCTGTAGTCCCAGCTACTCGGGAGACTGAGGCAGGAGAATCGCTTGAACCGGGGAGGCGGAGGTTGCAGTGAGCCGAGATCATGCCACTGCACTCCAGCCTGGGTGACAGAGTGAGACTCCATCTCAAAAAAAAAAAAAAAAAAGTAGTATTTATATACAGTACTATTTGGCCTTACACACACCCACACACACACACACACACACACACACACACACGGAGAGGAAATTCTAGGCCAGGCACAGTGGCTCACACCTATAATGCTCTGGGAGGCTGAGGCAGGAGATCCCGCGAAGCCAAGAGTTCAAGACCAGCCTTGGCAGTACAGCAAGACCTCGTCTCCACCCTCTACTGTCTTTAAACACCTAAACTACATGTTTCTGTCTTATTTTAAAAACAGTTTGTTAATTGTAAAAACAAGAAAAAGACAGACTGTGAAAGATCGATATGTTATTTAATCATCAACTAATTACAGGGAAAAGATTGAAATGTAGCTCTCATAATAGGGAAGAATCCCACCCATCTGTCTACTTTTAAACCATGATAATACTCTGTCCCATTTTCTTATTTCATGTATCACAGTAAAAGTTATTTATCTATACAGCTAAGTTCTTTTTCCATATTAGCTCACATTGCCTTTGATTATAAGTGAGTGTCCATGTTTGCTACCTGGCTCTTTTCAGCCATAAAAACATATCCTGGGGAGGCAGAGCAAGACAGCCAAACAGAAGCCATCGTCCTCCCAACAGGAATACCAAATTTAATAACTATCTACACAAAAAAGCACCTTCATAAGAACAAAAAAGCACCTTCATAAGAACCAAAAATCAGATGAATGGTCACAGTGCTGGTGCTGAAGAGGGTAGAAAAGACAACCGTGAATCACCAACACCACCCCTCCACCATTCCCCAGTAGCAGCCATGTGGTGCAGATAGAGAATCTGTGCACTTTAGGGAGGGAGAACATAGCGATTGTGAAACTTTGCATTGGAACTCAGTGCTGTCAATATTAGGCAGAACTCAGCCAATGTCCACGGCAGAAGCATTCAGACCAGCCCTAGCTAAAGGGGAACCACACATGCCAACAGTCAGAACATGAGTTTCAGCAAGCCTCGCCACTGCAGGTTAAAGTGCTCTAGGGAACTAAATAAACTTGAAGTCTAGGCCACAAGGACTACAACTCCCAGGCAAGTCTGAGTGCTGTGCTAGGTGGGCTCAGAGCCAATGGACTTGGGTAGCATGCAACCTAGTAAGACACTAGCCAGGGCAGTTAGGCAGTTATGCACCACCCCTCTCACAAACTCAGGCACTGTAGCTTACAACTCTTAAAGATGATTTTGTCTTGCAATTGGATACCAGCTCAGCCATATTACAATAGGGCACCGGGCAGAGTTGAGAGGCCCCCCATTCCAGGCCTTAGCTCCCAGATGACATGCCTAGACACACCCTGGGCCAGAAGAGAAACTGCTGCCTTGAAGGAAAAAACCCAGTCCTGGCAGGATTCATGACCTGCTGATGGAAGGCTGCGCCCTGAATAATCAGCAGAGTAACCAAGTAGTACAGGCCATGGGTCTTGGATGAGACTAACATGTGTTAGTGTCACGTGTGACCCATCATATTCCCAGCTGTGATGGCCATAGGGAGAAACTCCTTCTGATTAAGAAAAGGAGATGGAAAAATAAAGGGGACTTTGTCTTGCAGCTTAGGTACTAGCTTGGCCACCCTGGGGTAGAGCACCAAGCAGGGCTGTGGGGTCCCTGATGCCAGGCCTTGGCTCTTGTACAGCATTTCTGGACCTACCCTGGGCCAAAGGGGATGTCATTGCCCTGAAGGATGAGTCCCAGGCCTGGCAGCAGTCACCACAAGCTAACTGAAGAGTCCTTGGGCCTTAAGTGAACATCGTTGGCACCCTGGCAGTACTCCCTGTGGATCTGTGGTGGTGGTGGACACAGGGAGAGATACCTCTGCTTATGGAAAGGGCAGGGAAGAGTGGGAAGAACTTTGTCTTGTGGTTTTGGTACTACCTTAGCCACAGCAGAATAGAGCAGTAGGTTGAGTTCTAAGGTTTCTGACTCCAGGCCCTGGCCTTTAGACAGCATCTCTGGACCTGCTCGGGACCCAGGGGAACTAGCTGCCCTGAAGGGAAGGACACAAGCCTGGCTGGCTTCACCCCTTCTGACTGTAGAGCCCTAGGGGCTTGAGCAAACATAGGTAGTAGCCAGGTAGTAGTCACAGTGGGCCTTGTGCAAGACCTAGGGTTGTGTTGCTTTCAGGTATGGCCCAGTGCAGTCCCAGTCATGGTGGCCACAGGGGTCCATGTGTTACCCCTTTCCCAGCTACAGGCAGCTCAGCACAGGGAAAGAGACTCCATTTGTTTGGGAGAAAGTAAGAGAAGAGAACAAGAGTCTCTACTTGGTAATCCAGAAAATTCTTCCAGATCTTATCCAAGGCCACCAAGGTAGTACCTCTATGAGTCTGCAAGAACCACAGGTGCAGTGACGAAAAACTTAGATCACAACACCCAAGACCTTTCAAATACCTGGAAAGCCTTCCCAAAAAGGATGAGTACAAACAAGCCCAGTCTGTGAAGACTACAATAAATACTTAACTCTTCAATGCTCAGACACTGACAAACATCCACAAACATCAAAACCATCCAGGAAAACATCCCCTCACCAAATAAACTGAATAATACACTGGCGACCAATCCCGGAGAGATAGAGACATGTGACCTTTAGACAGATAATTCAAAATAGCTCTTTGAGGAAACTCAAATAAATTCAAGATAACACAGAAGAGGAATTCATAATCCTATCAGATAAATCTAACAAAGAGATTGAAATAATTTAAAAGAATCAAGCAGAAATACTGGAGTTGAAAAATATAATTGAGACACTGAAGAATGCATCAGAGTCTCTTAATGGCAGAACTGATCAAACAGAAGAAAGAATTACTGACCTTGACAACAAGCTGTTTGAAAACACACATTCACAGGAGACAGAAGAAAAAAGAATAGAAATGAATAAAGCACACCTACAAGATATACACAATAGCGTCAACAGGACAAATTTAAGAGTTATTGGCCTTAAAGAAAAGGTAGAGAGAGGAGTAGAAAATTTAGTCAAAGGAATAATAACAGAGAACTTCCCAAACCTAGAGAAAGATATTAATATTCAAGTACAAAAATATTTGACCCAAAGAAGACTACCTCAAGGCATTTAATAATCAAATTCCCAAAGGTCAAGGATAAAGAAAGGACCCTAAAAGCAACAAAAGGAAAGAAACAAATAACATACAATGGAGCTCCAAAATATCTGGTAGCAGACTCCTCAGTAGAAACCTTACAAGCCAGGAGAGAGTGGCATGACATATTTAAAGTGATGAAGGAAAAAAAAAAAACTTTTATCCTAGAATAGTATATCCAGCAAAAATATCCTTCATGCATGAAGGAGATACAAAGACTTTCCTAGAAAAACAAAAGCCACAGGATTTCACCAATACCAGACCTGTCCTACAATAAATGCTAAAGGGAGTTCATCAATCTTCAAGAAAAGGATGGTAATGAGCAAACAATAAGTCACCTGAAGGCACAAAACTCACTAGTAATAGTAACTACACAGAAAAACACAGAATATTATAATGCTGTAATTGTGATATGTAAAGTACTCATATCTTAAATCGAAAGATGAAAAGATGAACCAATTAAAAATAATAACTACAATAACTTTTCAAGATATACACAGTATAATAAGATATAAATGGAAACAACAAAAAGTTAAAAAGTAGGGAAATGAAGTTAAGTGTAGAATTTTTATTAGTTTTCTTTTTGCTTGTTACTTTGTTTGCTTATGCAATCAGTGCTATCATCAGTTTAAAATAATGGGTTATGGCCGGGCGCAGTGGCTCACGCCAGTTATCCCAGCACTTTGGGAGGCCAAGGCAGGCGGATCACCTGAGGTCAGGAGTTCAAGACCATTCTGGCCAACATGATGAAATCCCATCTTTATTAAAAATACAAAAATTAAGGCTGGGCGCGGTGGCTCACGCCTGTAATCCCAGCACTTTGGGAGGCCGAGGAAGGTGGATCACAATGTCAGGAGTTCAAGACCAGCCTGGCCAATATGGTGAAAGCCTGTCTCTACTAAAACTACAAAAATTAGCCAGGCACAGTGACAGGTGCCTGTAATCCCAGCTACTCAGGAGGCTGAGGCAGGAGAATCGCTTGAACCCAGGCAGCAGAGGTTGCGCCACTGCACTCCAGCCTGGGCAACAGAGTGAGACTTTGTCTCAAAAAAAAAGCTGGTGATGGTGGCAGGCACCTACAATCCCAGCTACTCGGGAGGCTGAGGCAGGAGAATTGCTTGAATCTGGGAAGCAGAGGTTGCAGTGAGCCGAGATCACTCTATTGCACTCCAACCTGGGGGATAAGAGCAACTTTGTCTCAAAAAATAAATAAATAAATAAATAAATAAATAAATAAATAAATAAAACAAAAGGGTTATAAGATAGTATTTGGAAGCCCCGTGGTAGCCTCAAATCTAAAAGTATACAACAGATGCAAAAAAAAAAAAAAAAAAAGAAAAAGAAAGAAATTAAGACATACCACCACAGAAAATAACTTTCACTAATAGGAAGTCAGGAAGGAAGAGAGACTACAAAACAATTAGAAAACAAATAACAAACTGACAGAAGAAAGTCCTTACTTATCAGTAATAACATTGACTGTAAAAGGAATAAACGTTCCAATTAAAAGACATAGAGTGGCTGAATAAATAAAAAAATAATGTCCAACGATCTGTTGCCCACAAGAAATACATTTTGCCTGTAATGACACACACAGACTGAAAATAAAGCGATGAGAAAAGATAATCCATGCAAAGGGAAACCAAAAAAGGGCAGGAGTAGCTATACTTATATCAGACAAAATAGATTTCAAGACAGAATCTATAAGAAGATACAAAGAAGGTCATTATAGAATGATAAAGGAGTCAATTCAGCAAAAGGATATCACAATTGTAAATATATGTGCACTCAACACTGGAGCACCCAGATGTATGAAGCAAATATTATGAGAGCTAAAGAAAGAGATAGACCCCAATACAATATTAGCTGGAGACTTCAACACTCCACTTTCAGGATTGGACAGATCTTCCAAACAGAAAATCAGTGAAGAAATGTTGAACTTAATCTGCCCTACAGAACAAAGGGACCTAATAGATATTTACAGAATATTTCATCCAACGGCTGCAAAATACACATTCTTTTCTTCATCACATGGATCGTTCTCAAGAATAGACCATATGTTATATTACAAAACGCATCTTAAAACATTCGGGAAAAATAACATCAAGCATCTTCTCTGACCACAAACTCACCATTCACCCGGCCCCTCCCATCCCTCCTGGTCCTGCACTCTTAAAGCCGAAACACTGGGCTCACCTTTCACATTTCCCTCAAGCTTAGGCCAGGGTGTTTCTTTCCTTTTCTCATCTGGAATTACCTGTTGGGCACACTCTTCTCCCTCATTTTCTGTCTGGCAAACATCCCCTTATTGTTCATGAGGCAGCTGATATTATCTCCCCTTTAAAGTCTCTGCTTAAGTCCTACCACAGCCCAGATAGAGCTATTTCTCCTTTCTGTCCCTTCATTGTACAGGCTAAAAACTTCTTCCTTCCTTTCTCTCTCTTTCTTTCTTTCTCTTTCTGCAGAGCTAGCTGAGGTTTTATTTTGGACCATAAAAAAAAAAAAGCAATTGAATTGTTTTGTAGCTGGAGACATGGGCATGGGGGATCCCCAGGCAGGAAACTCCCCTGAAGGTGGGCTGAGGGCTAGGGCTGAGCCTCAGGTGGGTCTCCCATTCCCTGTGCTCCCCTGCACAGCCGCCTCCCTCGCGTGCTCTGGGGCAGCCGCAGGACGGACAGGCTGGGAGGGGCTGCCGCCTCCGCTGTTCACTTGAGCAGGACGTCAGAGGACTCGGACACCAGCTTCCCATCGTGGGTCTCAATCTTCTTCACAATCATGGCCCTGATGGAGCAGGTGCGGCTGAAAGCGCAGGAGCCCGCACCAGAGCCAAAACTGGAGCCCAGGCCGTAGCTGAGGCCGGGGCTTGTGAGGCCCCCATAGGTCGAGCTCAGACCACCTGCATAGCCGCTGGTGGTCTTCGTACGGATACTCATGTTCTGCATCCCAGACTCCAGCCGGCTCTCCTCGCCCTCCAGCAGCTGTAGGTGGCGATCTCGATGTCCAGGGCAGCTTGACGTTCATCAGCTCCTGGTACTCACGCAGCTGCCGCCCATGTCCTGCTTGGTCCACTGCAGGGCGGCCTCCAGCTCAGACAGCTTGGCGTTGGCATCCTTATCGGCCAGCTCCCCACGCTACTCGGCATCTCTGATGGCGGCCTCCAGGGAAGCCCTCTGGCCTTTGAGGCCCTCAGTCTCAGCCTGGAGCCGGCTTATGTTCCAGTTCATCTGGGAGATCTCAGTCTTTGTATGCCGCAGGTCATCCCCGTGCTTCCCAGACAGCGTCTGGAGCTCCTCATACTTGATCTGGTACATGCTCTCAACCTCAGCCCAGCTGCGGTTGGCGATCTCCTAGTACTGCGCCTTGACCTCAGCGATGACACTATGTCCAGGGAGCGGCTGTTGTCCATGGACAGCACCACAGACGTGTCCGAGATCTGGGACTGCAGCTCCTGGATCTCCTCTTCATACAGCTGCCTGAGGAAGTTGATCTCCTCAGTCAGCCCTTCCAGAAGAGACTCCAGCTCTACCTTGTCATGTAAGCTTTATCCACATCCTTCTTGATGAGGAAAAATTCATTCTCCATCCCTGTACGCTTATTGATCTCATCCTCATACTTGTTCTTGAAGTCCTCCAGCAGCCCCTGCATGTTGCCAAGTTCCGCCTCCAGCTTCAGCTTCTCCTGGCCCAGAGTTTCCAGCTGCCACCTAAAGTTGTTCATTGATGTAGCTCTCAAACATGTTGTCCATGTTGCTCCGAGCCATCTTCTCCTGCTGCAGGAGGCTCCAGTTGGTCTCCAGCATCTTGTTCTGCTGCTCCAGGAACTGTACCTTGTCTATGAAGGAGGCAAACTTGTTGTTGAGTGTCTTGATCTGGTTCTTCTCCTGGGTGTGGTCTCCTGGATGCTGGAGTCCATCTCCAGTTAAGGGAGTTCAGCAGGCTCTGGTTGACCGTGACAGCGGTGATGCCTTCCATGCCACTGGCCCCATTAAAGCCTCTGCCCAGGCCACCCCGGAAGCTGCTGCTGCCCACTTAAGAGAAGCTCGAGGAGTTGATGCGGGCACCGGGCCCACATGGTGGACACCTTGTAGGACTTCTGGGTCATCCTGATGGACATGGTGGAGGCAGGAGTGGAGGCAGGTGGCCTGAACCAGGCAGAGATTCCAGAAGGAGAGGACAAGCTGCTTCTTGGTATTTATTTATTTATATTTTAAATTCAAGGGAACATGTGCAGGTTTGTTATACAGGTAAACTTGTGCCACGGGGGTGTGTTGCATAGACTGTTTCATCACTCAGGTATTAAGCCTAGACCCTTTCATTATTTTTCCTGATCCTCTCCCTTCTCCCAGACTTCAGCCTTAGACCCCAGTGTCTGTTGTTCCCTCTATATGTCCATGTGTTCTCATCATTTAGCTTTCACTTATAAGTGAGAACATATGTTGTTTGCTAAGGATAATAGCCTCCAGCTCCATCCAGGTTCCTGCAAAGGGCATGATCTTGTTCTTTGTTATGGCTGCATGTATTCCATGGCGTTATCTGTGCCACACTTTCCTTATTCAGTCTACCATTGGTGGGCATTTAGGTTGATTCCATGTCTTTACTACTGTGAATAGTGCTGGAGTGAACATACGTGTGCACGTGTCTTTATGATAGAATGATTTATATTTCTTTCAGTATATACCCTGTAAAGGGATTGCTGGATCAAATGGTAGTTCTGTTTTTAGCTCTTTGAGGAATCACCACATAGCTTTCTACAGTGGTTGAACTAATTTACACTCCCACCAACAGTGTATAAGCATTCTTTTTCTCTGCAACCTTGCCAGCATCTGTTTTATTTCTTGACTTTTTAATAATAGTCATCTGACTGGTGTGACATGAAATCTCACTGTGATTTTGATTTATATTTCTCTAATGATCAGTGATGTTGAGCTTTTTTTCATGTGCTTTCTGGCTTCATGTATGTCTTCTTCTGAAAAGTGTTCATGTCCTTTGCCCACTTTTTAATGTTTTTTTTCTTATAAATTTGTTTAAGTTCCTTATAGATGCTAGATATCAGACCTTTGTTAGATGCATAGTTTCTAAAAATTTTCTCTCATTCTATAAACTGTCTATTTATGTTCTTGATAGTTTCTTTTGCTGTACAGAAGCTCTTTAATTATATCCCATTTGTCAATTTTTGCTTTTGTTGCAATTGCGTTTGGCATCTTTGTCACGAAATCTTTGCCTGTTCCCATGTCCAGAATGGTATTACGTAGGTTGTCCTTCAGGGTTTTTATAGTTTGGGGGTATACATTTTAGTCTTTAGTCCATCGTATGTGGTATAAGGAAAAGGTCCAGTTTCTACTGTCTCTACTAAAAATACAAAAATTAGCCAGGTATGATGGCAGGTGTCTATAATCCCAGCTACTCAGGAGGCTAAGGCAGGAGAATTGCTTGTACCCGGAAGGCAGAGGTTGCTGTGAGCTGAGATTGCGCCTCTGTACTCCAGCCTGGATGACAGAGCGATACTCCGTCTCAAAACAAACAAACAAGCAAACAAACAAAAACTATTTGTTTAACAGCAGAATATCTGACTTGACTTGTTTGCATGTTTGTTGCCCTCTATCCAAGCGAAAATCTCTGTGGGGATTGGTATTATTTGACTTCATTTTTATATTCTAGCACAGCAGTTGGCATATAGTAGGAGTTTAACAAATTGTTGAATGATTGACTAAACCACTAAAGAGTGAGCAGAGGAAGAGAATTTATAACAATAGCACATACTTATTCAGTGCTTCGTTCATTCATTCATTCATTCAACAACAGTTATTGAACTCCCGTAATATGCCAGCCATTGTTCTAGGCACTTGCAGTGAACAAAATAGACAAAATCATCTACCCTTGAAGAGATTACTTTCTCATGAGGAAGACAGTCAATAAATAACATTAATAGTAACTAAATGCATTGTATAGCATGTTAGAAGGTAATAAGTGCTGTATAGGAAAAAGAAAGATGAGGGTGCAGGCTGCAGTACTGAAAAAGTGAGATTTGAACAAAGGAGGGAATTGAAGGGTTTAGCCAAGCAGTTATTTTGGGAACAGTCCCTTAGGCAGAGAAAAATAAATGAAGAACCCTAAGATGGAAATGCACTTACAATGGTCCAGTGACCAGCAAGGAGGCCAGTGTGGCTGGAGCAGAGGGAACAAAGTGGGGATTGGTAGGCGGTGAGGACAGAGAAGCAATGACAGGGTTTTTACGCTCAGTGAAACCAGAAACCACTGTAGGGTTCGGAATAAAAGAGTTACATGATCTGATTTATATTAAGAGATGACTTTGGCTGCTATTTGGACAAGAAGTTTTAGGGAAGCAAAGGCAGAAACAGAGAGTCACACAGGAAGCTATTCCAGGAATCCCGGCATGAGATGATAAGGGCCCAGGATTGGTCAGATTCTGGTTATACTTTGAGAGGAAGCCAGCAGGATTTCTTGTTGGATTTGGCGTTGAGTGAGACAGAAAGGACCTGAGGATGACTCTGAGGTTTTTAGCCTGAATAACTGGAAGGAAAGCACTGCTCTAAAAGTTTTCCCTGTTTTAACTCATCTAATATCCCACAATAACTGGATAAAGAAGTATTGTTTCCATTTTCAGTTGGGACACTAAGAGACAGAGAAGCTGTCCAGGTTATAGCGCTAGCAAGAAACAGAGTCAGGATTTGACCAGGCAGGCTGGTTCCAGAGCCTGTGCTCCCAACCAGTGCACCACGCTTCCTCTCCATGACAGCATCTAGTAGGATGAAAGGCTTTTTATACAGGGATAATATAATAATATTATAATCTAGGCAAATATTATTATAATATAATCTAGACTATATTATAATCTAGGATAATATTATAATCTAGGAAAAATTATTCGGGTCTGAACAAGGAGGGTTGCCACAAGAATAAAAAGAAAGGCATACTTTCATGGGCAAGATAACCCAAAATGGGCAAAAGACACACTGACCAGAATTTGTGCAACTTTTAAGATAGAAGGCACAAGAGGGCTCCTGTCCGTAATCCCAGTGCTTTGAGAGGCTGAAGTGGGAGAATCGTTTGACGCTAGGCGTTCAAGACCAGCCTGGGCTACATAACAAGATCTCGTCTCTACAAAAGATAAAAAAAATTATCCAGGCATGTTGCCACTCCGGAAGCTGAGGCAGGAAGATTGCTTGAGCCCAGTAGTGTGAGGTTACTGTGAGCTATGAAGGTGCCACTGTGCTCCAGCTGGGGCAACAGAGGAAGACCCATCTCTTATAAAAAAAATAAAAGGAACACAGTAGCTCCGAGTTTACATCTCCACATTCAAATACTCAGATGCTTATATCATTCTTATTTAAGTTGTAAGGACTATGTACAGAGTGTCCTTTTGTGTGGCCTGGGCACTTAGAGATACTTACCTCATATCAAGCTTTCTCCCTTTAGTAACCAGAGTACATCCCAAACTAATTGAATCCTGTAGGTCCTAGAATACAAACAAGGTGCAGCAATGTTTTAATAATGCTGTAGTTTGAATATAGGCAAAAATGTTCATATTTAGATTTGAAGAGTGTTATAGTTTGTAACTTTGTTGAGTTATAGGTACATGTGCAGCCTGACCTGATACTGGCTGTCAATAAAAAGTATGAACATGCCCAGCCAGTGCCAGGAAAGTAAGAGCCCTTTGGCCCTCTCTCTGGGGCAGCCTGGTATAAAAGACATGTTTTGTGTCCTGTTATATTGTGGTTGTATCTGCTAGAAACATCTGGAGGAATTTCTATCTCCACCCCGTCCCCAATCATCATGTATCTTATGCTGCCTGAAACAAAGAGAACCATAACCCTTGCTCTCATTTAATCTAGGGACCTACCTTAAACTCCACACTCAAATCTGAGTCTATTTCTCTGTGCAAGGGGCCACTTTCTTAGTGAAAAAATAAAACGGCACTTACTTTCACCTACAGAACTAGTCAATACAAACCAGAACTGTGTGAATTAAAGATAGGCTTTAACTCTTCTAAAGAGAAAAATAAGTATTCCTGTCTATTTTAGGTAATACTTTGTGTGGCAGACTGTATTTTCCAAGTACAATATTTCTCCCATCCTACATGTACTTACGAGGTAGCTTTTACACTCTTCCCATTGAGGGACATGGTCTGTGTCCTCTCCTCTTGAAAATGGGTGGGCTTTTGTACAGGTGAAGTGATATTCCCTGACTTCTATGGCTAGGTTATAAAAGGCAATACTGCTTCCATTTTGTTCACTGGAATGCTTACTCCTGAAGCCTTTGGTCTGACTTCCCTGAGACTGCCATGCTGTGAGGAAGCTCAAAGTAGCCCAAGGGGAAAGACCACACAGAGAGGACTTGAGACTACACAGAGATCTCCAGCCATCCCCCACTGCCTCAACCTCCTGGTTCCTGGTTAAGCCACAGTCTGACTGCAATTGCGCCAGGGACCCCAAACAATAACCACTCGGCTTCTCAAATCATTGATCCTTCAAAGTGGTAAGAGATGTAGCCTTGATGTAGCTGTAAGTCATCAAATTTAGGGGTGATTTGTTAGTCAATAATAGACAAACTGTAACAGCTTGAGAAACAACAATACTATTTATATAAAGATAACAAAGGCTATACAAATAGTATACTGATGGAAAAATATATGCTAAATATATACACTGAATTATAATATATAGACTATATATTTTAAATTATATTAGTGTATCAATCATTTTGAATGAATCTATTATATATAATACATTATATATAACTTATGTGTATATATATTCATCCAGAAGTAATGATTTAATCATTTGCTGATGCCAGGCACAGTGCTGGCCCTAAATAAGAGTGTTCAATCACTTTTCCATTTAGACACTTGAAGAATTATATGTACTTCTGTGCAAAATAATGGCCCATCATGGTGATGGATTCTCAGTGGGTGAGGTTACATCAGGTGCTTACTCAAACGTCATCTTACCTTCTTTCTTACTAATAGAATCTAATTTTGTTGGAGATGACAATGTGCCCATCTAGAAAATTAGTTCACAGCTTCTCCTGCAGCCAGAAATGGCCATGAGGCAGTTTTGACCATTGAGATGTAAGTGGAAGTTGTTGTGTGGGACTCCTGGGAAAGTCCTTTAGAAGGAAACAGACCTAGACTCTATTGTATTTGGTACCCAAGAAGGCATACAAAGACATCTTCTTCCCTGGTGGTATATGGTATATGCAGATTTTCTCTGTATCCCTGCCCTTCCCCAGAGTACTTAGCTACATGGCATGATGCTTTGGAATGACAGACAATAACTACAGTCTATTACACCCAACTGCTTCCTACAAGAAGGAAATACTGGAAAATGCTGGTGACAGGGAGCCTCGGGCTCCATGGAAGGGATTCTTTTCCAGAGGCTCTCATAACCAGGCTGATCATGTTACTCCTCCATCAAACATCTTCAGTGGGTCCTGGTGAACATTATATTTTGTTTCATCAAAGGTAACTACTTAATTTTAGGATAATATATATTGCAAATCTGTAATACACTTTTCACTTGTCAACAGGTATGCCACTTTTGTTTTTATTAAAATTTGATGTAGGCCTGTCTTTTTAAACTGTACTGTAAATTTTTTAAGGGCAGGGACCACATCCAGTACATTTTAAAGTTTCTCATGACACTTAGATGCAGTAAGCACCCTCAATACTGACTGACTACCAGTGAAAATCATGTCAATTCTGTCATTTTGGTTCCTAACTTAAATAACATCTATACAGAACATTATAATACATACATTGCTTTTTAAAAACTGGACAATTTCAAACATACACAAACGTAGACAGAAGAGTATAATAAACTCTTATTAAGTGAACCCATTACCCAACTTTAACAATTATCAACACCCCCTTTTCTTTTTACTAGAGTATGTTAAAACGAAATCAGACAACCTATCATTTTACATATACATACTTCAGTGTATGTATCTCACATATAAGGACTTTAAAATATATACATCTGCAATACAGTAATAATATCTAATATTAATAGTTTGTCTTTTAAAATTTAGTTCATGTTCAGTTATATCTGATTGTTATAAGAATGTCCTTTTATGATTTGGTTTGTTCAAATCAGGATTCAAATGACATTTGGTTAGTATATCTTAAGTCTTTCATCTACAAAAGTTGCCTTCTCTGGTTTTCTTTTTTTTTTTTTAATGTCATTTATTTATTGAAGAAACCAGGTCATTTGTTCTATGGAATTTCCTACATTTTGGACTTGGCTGATGGTATCCTTTTTGTGTCTTTTAACTCTTATATATTGTATTTCCTGTAACTAGTAGTTTAGATACAGAGGATTTATTAGATTCAAGTTCAAAAATTTTTTTGCCACGAATACCTCAGAGTATTATAGTGTATTATGAGACAAAACATCTGGTTGTCCCACTTTGAATGATATTAAGATTGATCACTGGGTTCAGTCATATCAGCACAAGCCATCCCCATCAACCTTTCATCTAATTGTTTTAGCAACCAGTGATCATTAGCTAGTCCCATTTATTAGAGACAGTGGGGATGGCAAAATATTCTTTTTTGTTAATTCTTTCCACTTAAAAAACCTTGCCTACTAACATACCACCAATTTTGAAATTCTGTACAACCTAAACACATAACTCAAATTCAAATTCCTTCATAGAGTCTTCCCTGTCTGCTAAGTGGCAGAACTGTCACTCATCTGGCACCTATCATCTACTGCCCTGTCACATAATTTCATCTGCCAGTTGGTAAGCTCCAGGAGATCCCAATTATGTTCTAAGTATCTTTGTATCCCAAAGATGAACACAGCACGTATACAAGAAATATGTAAAATAACTTTGATTGGTGAGTATTCAAATTAAAAGTCACCAACCCATGCAAATACATGCAGCTAGATTCCAAAATGAAAAATATACACACGTATACATGCAATACCACAAATTTATTATAATACACAGGGAAAAACAAACTCAAACTTTGACAACATCCACAGAATGTTCCAGTCTTTAAAAAGTTAGCAGAAATAAAGGGTAATGGAAAGAATATAATCTCGTAATTTTATACTTAAGGCTGTAAATGGCAAAGTCCCATAGATATTTAAAAATCTATATTTGTATTTATTTATAATATAGATATAGGCCCTCAAGGATTCATAGAGATTTATGTAATAAACTAGATTTTGGAACTATTTATTTTGTTGTTGTTGTTGCTTGTTAGGTAAGCAAACCCAAACAAATTAAGTCCTGAAAAGTGGGATGAAATCCCAAAGGAACTCTATGTGACCACACAGAACTCTTTTAATAAATATGGCCCATACAAATTCCATATCCAGTGAAAATCATTTTGATCCACAATCATGTTGATGTTTCTATGGAGGATACTTCTAGCAGCTGTGATTTCTTTTGTAGCATTCTGGCTCTCCACTTCTATTCATATAATTGAGTATGTGTTTTATTACATGTTAGCTTATAGGCAAGTTAAACATTTTAAAGACTACAGGGAGGTTAGGAGAGGTTGTATGATGAAGGTCGGAAAGTATGCAAGAAATAAACTCTCCTGTTTCATCTCTTTTATTTTTGCCTCATTTTGGTCTCTATACTACTTGGGTTCTTTGGAAATGGTGTGATTTCTAACAGCACCTAGCATACCTTCTCATTTTAGCACAGGTTAGATATGAAGAGCCAAACCTGGAAAACAGTTAAGGAGTCCTGAGACCTTTCCAGTGGAATAAATTAGAGCAGCAGTTTCATTTAGCTGTGCTCTTTTGTCCTTCATTCTTTATTTTCTAAAAATATAAAATTATGGCCGGGCACAGTGGCTCACCCCTGTAATCCCAGAACTTTGGGAGGCCGAGGTGGGAGGATCACCTGAGGTCAGGAGCTCGAGACCAGCCTGGCCAACCCTGTCTCTACTAAAAATACAAAAATTAGCTGAGCATGGTGGCGGGCACCTGTAATCCCAGCTACTTGGGAGGCTGAGACAGGAGAATCACTTGAACCTGGGAGGCAGAGGTTGCAGTGAACCGAGATTGTGCCATTGCACTCTAGCCTGGGCAACAAGAGTAAAACTCTGCTTCAGAAAAAAAAATAATAAATTATATATATATATGTAATTACTCCCATTTATCAACCTTTACCTTCTCATGCTGTAATCAAGTAAAATCACAAAAGATCACTTAAAGGCAAATAACCTTATGAATCTGGTAAGTGTAAACATAAAAATACTTACTGTACACAGAGTACAATAAGTATCTCTGTGTGTTCAAAATTAACTGGGGCTTTAAGTACTAATTGTTTAAAGTCCTACAAACATAAACAGTGCTTCAAAATTGAGTATAAATAAAAGAAGAAAAAAAATAGGGAAAAATTCACAAATGTCCAAATATTATTTCATGGACAAAACTCTACTGACTAATAGTTTTGATTCTCTGACAAGAAAATGTAAAAATAACAGAAAGAAACTAGCAATTTTAAAGAAACAAAGTGTATGCCAAACGAATTTCAGTCCTTCATTACATGGTTTATAGGTCTGGAAACAGAAATCCAGGTTGTTAATTAATTCATAATTCCAGAAAATGTTTTATTGTTCAGTGTATCTATAACATTAATTATATAATATATTACTATTATGTAGTCTGTCTGTCTCTCTCTCAAAGTAGAACAGCCCTTGCTTACATAATCAATTTTCCCCTGGATATTCTCTGTGCCACAATTTGCCTCTAGTTGCTTCACAGCCACTCTAACTCATATCTGGAAACTGTGTACAATGGGTAATATTATTTATGATTTAAGGGTAGTACCTGTAGTGTGCTAATAATATGAACATTTAAGTATCTAACCTATATATTTCACCAAGATAATAATTTAAACCATGACAATGTAAGAAAGTGATGTGATACTATAACAGACAACAGGTTTTTCCCACTGAACTACACAATACTTTTTTCATTGACAAATTCACCTCTTTCCAGAGATATACAAAGTTAATTGTAAAACAGTAATAGCAAAGTATTCATTAACCCATTAAAACAAATCACCTTGTTTTGAAAATAATCAACTGAATGAAACTTGGTATCAAGTGTACTAACCCAAAGGATTGCTACTTTGAAACAGTTTGTACAACAAATGGGTTGTGAGGAAGTCTTATCAGCAAAACTGGTGATGGCTACTGAAAAGATCCATTGAAAATTATCATTAATGATTTTAAATGACAAGTTATCAAAAACTCACTCAATTTTCACCTGTGCTAGCTTGCTAAAATGGGAGTTAACTCTAGAGCAAATATAGTATCTTCTGAATACAGTCAATAAATGACAAAGCCAGGGCCTACAGGTGGTTTCCAGACTTTCCAGACCCAGCAGAAGGAATCTATTTTATCACATGGATCTCCGTCTGTGCTCAAAATACCTAATGATATTTTTCATCTTTATTGGACTTCTTTGAAGAGTACTGTATTGCTTCATATCTTTTTTTCACTGCAACAAAATGTTTTAAACAAAACCTTTGGATTAGGTTTAAAAGCAGCTAAAAAAACAAAAACAAAAACAAAAACAAATTCTGGCTGCTGTAGGCTCTAATTATCAGAAGACTGTTATCTGGAAGCTTCGGGCTCTCAAATATCAGACATCCCAATAACTTACCATAAAAATACAAGCTCTTAGTTTTGAAAAATATACAAAATGCACTGCATAGGTAAATATCTCTTGATTGTCAAGGAAGACAATGTATCAGTTTCGATCATAGACTTATGTTGGGCTTCAATTATCTTTGTTTTTGCAAGTTCCATTTTTCACAGTTTTGGGCAACCTCTGACCTTTGGTGTAAGCACGGTACCAAAAATGGAGAAAGAGCAGCAGAAACATGAAACTGTAACTCATAATGATGCACGCAAAGACTGGAAACTGATACTTGCAATCCTCCATGAAAAAGAACTGGCTTATGTGGATGGCGACAATAACAAACTGGACCTAAGAAATGAAAACGTGAAAAAAAATTATTCAGATATGAAGAGTTAACAATTCTTTACCTACCTATGTTTATGCACTCCCAAAGTGCAGGGAGTGCACTATTGGGCAAAGAAGTCCATCTTTAAATCTAGCCTCCCTGAGAGTGATAATGGGTGGTATAATGTCAAAAGCCAGTTGGAAGTATGGATCCACTATTCAGAACCACAAAATTGCACAACCGCAGGGTCTATATTTAAATGTTCCCTGGAGCTGTGCAGTGCAGCAACCTTTTTACTACTCAGAGAATCAACAGAGCAGGTTTTCTCTAACAGTCTCTGACTTGAGTCCTTGACTATGATGAAATGACCATGCACTACATGTGGCCTATTTTTTCAGTATGATTTCAATTTCAAATATTCTGTCCTGTTATTGGACCAGATATTTTAATTTTTGGAAAATAATAACATTTTACTTAGAGCCCCTGGAATTTTTTAGTAGTTAAAGCATCTCGGAGTCCTTATACCTGCCACTTGTCCTCCACTGTCACAGATAAAAATGTGTCTAGGCCAGACACGGTGGCTCACGCCTGTAATCCCAGCACTTTGGGAGGCTGAGGCGGGTGGATCACGAGGTTAGGAGTTCGAGACCAGCCTGGTCAAGATAGCGAAACCCCATCTCTACTAAAAATACAAAAATTAGCCGGGCGCAGTGGTACGCGCCTGTAGTCCCAGCTACTCAGGAGGCTGAGGCAGGAGAATCGCTTGAACCTGGGAGGCGGAGGTTGCAGTGAGCCGAGATCGTGCCACTGCACTCTAGCCTGGGTGACAGAGCGAGATTCCATCTCAAAAAAAAAAAGTGTCTGAACTGCCAACTGAGGCAGAGAATCTACGAGGTGTGAGAGAGAACTGGTGGCCCTTCTAGTAGTGCTCAAGGGCTCTGTGGGGCAGAACATCTTACACAGTCCCAAGAGGGACCTTTTCTAGGCTAATATTCAGATTTTCTGGTTATCATGTTTTCCCTGATTAAAAAGCAATATGTGTTCTGTGGAAATCTTAGAAAAGTAAAACTCTATAAAGAAATAGACAACAATTACTCACAATCTGTCTAGTTAAAATCATGGTTAAGATTTTCATATAGTTTATTTTATTATCATTTTATCCTTGTCATCATCAACTTTCCTTGCATTATCTTAATGTATATTTATGACATTCCCACAACATAGCCACTTATTCCTCTCATTTTCCAAAAGAGAAAACAAAACTTTAGGAAGGCTAAACGATATCCTTAACATTCTATGCATGTGTATGTTTGTGTATAATAGACATATTTGAGAATATGATGAAAAAATGTCCATCCTATTCTTTCTACATCAGTATTTTTTCACGTTATTAAAAAGTTTGTACATTTAAGAGTATGCTGAGAAAAAAAAGCCTAAATACAAAATACAAAATTATATATGCAATACTATACAAAAAATGTAAAAGGTGTACACATATGCCTGAGAGAAAAACTGGATGAAAACCAAATAAAAATATCAGTGATTATCCCTGGGTGGCAGAATTCCATGTATTTTTTTCTCTTTGCTTAATTAGGTGTTCTCACGTATTTGCAATGAGCATATACTACTTTGAGAAAATAATATTTTTTAAAGAAGCAATGGTGAGTAATTTTCATGACTTCATAGTATTTCAAAGTATGAATTAAAATAATATATTTTACCATATCCTTATGATTGGTCATTTAGTTTGCTGCCAATTTCAAATACAACAAATAACTCTGCAAGGAAATACTCTGATCTTGATTTAGGATCCTTATCCATTAAAATATCAACCTCTCACCTGGAAGAACACATTATATGAATGTGCCAAATTTCATGTAGGAAGTTACAGGATTTTAATAAAAAATTAATCTTCACCACGCCATCTAAACCAAATTCATACTTTCTCATTGGTGTTACTGGCAGAATATGACATCAATTTATTATAGACTGCAAATGTGGAAATGCAAGGGTGGCAGATTTCTCCTTTTAATAGACACCAATAAAATGTAAAGCAAATCATCATCTCAAACCCATAATGAGTCTCCAAAAAAATTAAATATCATATATTTTGAGAATTAATGCTTAGAATGCATTATTAGGTCTAAACTGAGTGCCTCTGGCTCTTTCAAACATTGCTTATATAAGGGCAGTATTCAAATTTAGGTAATACATATATGTTGGTCTAACCCTCTACGTTTTTAATTCTCACAGTGCTTTTTATTGACTGGAGGGAAGATGGACTTATAAATGTTGGGACTATATAGGTAAGCACACAGGAAGGCTCATCGTTCCCTCAAAGTTGCATTCCCTCAAGGTCATTTAGATCTAACGGAATTTCTAATTTCTAATAGGTATTATGCCTATTGAGGGTCACATAACGTTGGAGTTATCTTAATCACAAATGTATTTATTCTTGTATAAATGCATAATATAAAGATGGCACAAAAATACACATGCTTGTTTAACTGTCTGAGCCTCTTGGTTACCAAAGTTCATCTAACATATTAAGAACCATGATGGCATATCATGTAGGGGCCAGACGCTCTACCCCTATTGTTTTGTCTTTCTTCTTTATTTAACCAGTATCCTAATTCACAGTGAAAACAAGTGACTCTAGCTGCTTCATATATGGTTTTAAAGACAATTAATTACTCACAAGCTGTAATGATGTCAAATATTTTTTCCACCACAAATACTTCTGGTAGGCTGGCCCCAATGCAGAAAGTCCATAGTAGGAATACATGACTACATGTACAGCTGTATTTAGAAGGGCATGGAATGTTCCCAAACCACCTGGAAAATAAAATTATTGTAACATGGGGCCATTGTTCCTTAAAATGAACCACATTTTCATCTGAACTGAGATTTTTGTATAATTATTTCTTGCATTTTGGAAAAAAATATATAAAATATCAATCCTGTTAAACAACTATCAAATTAGAGGGGGCTGGATAGTATATTTAGTAAAATATAAGATATGAACCTGAGAAAGTAAATTAGCGTATCTTTATTTTGTTATATCTTAGCTTAAGGTGGTCTTATGATTTGAATTTACTTACACTTAGTTGAGTTACCTTTTAAATATAATATGTTGCTAAATAATAGTAATAATGTTCATATTGTAGTGAGGTTTAACATATAAAAAGTATACAAAGTACATTAATCTTAACTTGATGATTTTTCATGTATGTATACACCCATGTCACTACCAAGATCAAGATACAGAACATTTCCAACACCACATAAGATTCCCATGTGCTCCTTCCAAGAATATACCCCTCCCAAGGTAGCTTTACTCTAACTTCTTATTACCAACTATTACTTTTGTCTGCTATTAAACTTCACATAAATGGAATTACACAGGATGTACTCTTTTGTACCTGGTACATATATTGGTAGTTTGTGTTTTTACTACTGTGTTTATACCATATAAACGCATCACTAATTACCCATTCTCCTATTGACAGACATGTGGGTTGCTTCCAATTTGGGCTATTCTGAATAAAGCTGCTAAGAATATTTTTTTATATGTCATTGTGTGCAATCAAATTTACTTTTCCTACTCTCAATAATCTTCATTAAATAATTTTGGCAGTAAAACCACTGGCTTTCACTAGCAAACTGCTGAATTTAATTAATTATTGTTTTCCCAAAGTAAATATCTACTAACTGTGAAACCATCCTTATTTACGGCTTCCAATTGATTATGCCTTCCTATTTTGGTTTTCTTCTTCTCATTTCGCCACATTTCCTACCCATCACCTTCAATTGAGAATAGAAGCAAAGAACACGTGGGAATGTAAGAAAAAATCATTTCAATTGTCTTTAGCTGGACCAGTAATACAGCAGAAGGGGAAACGGTGTTTAGCTGATAGTGTGGCGGGAGGAACACTCTCCCTGGGGTCCGTTTCCTAAGACGACAATCTGGAAGAATATGTGTTCTTTATGTATAGCCTGACTCAGCTTAGTAATGTTGACCTGGAATTTACATTTTTCTCTAAAACATTCTATTTTCTTAATTCCAGTATTCTTTAATTCTAGAAATAAAGCAAACCCTCATCAATTTAGATTATGGTAGGAGAAGAACTGAATTCATAAACACTATGAATTACAGAAAGTTTAAAGGAAAATACAAATTCATCACTTCTAATATGATCTGGAGAAAATCTAACAAAACTGTTACACAGTAGAAATTGCTTTTAAATAATTATTCCTAATTGCAGCAATTCTAGATATTTCTAGATACTAGCACTGCTGAAGTACTCTGTTAAAATAACCTGTTTTAAATAATTACTTTTAAGCAGTTAAGTATTCTCCCAAAGCCTCATTTATGCTATACTGTTCTACATAAACTTTCTCCTCCTGACAAGAGAAAGCCATATTTTAGCTAATCCCTCAATTACCATAAATTTCAAGTCAGAAGGAACTGAATTAATTAAGCGTATTAACAACTTTCCAGCTTGTATTATTTATATTTGGAATGGTCTTCTTTCCCAAAGGAAATTTGAATAAACACATTATTGTGGTATAAGAACACCTTTTCTAGGTTAATTTAAAAATAGAATAGTTGTCTACTTCTGATAGTTGAGGAGTCAAGGTGCTTAAAAGGAGGATAAGCCAAATACCTCTCAAATTCATTTGTGTTTCATAATAATATACACATAGGACATCTATTTCACCTTTGATATGGAACTATGTCAGAGCTTTTCTAACTAAGACACCTCTCCTGTTATTTAATAGAGGCGTGCCTATTTTCTTTTTTTTTTTAATTTGTCTAAAGTTTTTTTTATTTATTATTATTATACTTTAAGTTTTAGGGTACATGTGCACAATGTGCAGGTTAGTTACATATGTATACATGTGCCACGCTGGTGTGCTGCACCCATTAACTTGTCATTTAGCATTAGGTATATCTCCTAATGCTATCCCTCTCCCGTCCCCCAACCCCACAGCAGTCCCCAGAGTGTGATGTTCCCCCTCCTGTGTCCATGTGTTCTCATTGTTCAATTCCCACCTATGAGTGAGAATATGAGGTGTTTGGTTTTTTGTTCTTGCAATAGTTTACTGAGAATGATGATTTCCAATTTCATCCATGTCCCTACAAAGGACATGAACTCATCAATTTTTATGGCTGCATAGTATTCCATGGTATATATGTGCCACATTTTCCTAATCCAGTCTATCATTGTTGGACATTTGGGTTGGTTCCAAGTCTTTGTTATTGTGAATAGTGCCGCAATAAACATACGTGTGCATGTGTCTTTATAGCAGCATGATTTATAGTCCTTTGGGTACATACCCAGTAATGGGATGGCTGGGTCAAATGGTATTTCTAGTTCTAGATCCCTGAGGAATCGCCACACTGACTTCCACAGTGGTTGAACTAGTTTACAGTCCCACCAACAGTGTGAAAGTGTTCCTATTTCTTCGCATCCTCTCCAGCACCTGTTGTTTCCTGACCTTTTAATGATTGCCATTCTAACTGGTGTGAGACAGTATCTCATTGTGGTTTTGATTTGCATTTCTCTGATGGCTAGTGATGGTGAGCATTTTTTCATGTGTTTTTTGGCTGCATAAATGTCTTCTTTTGAGAAGTGTCTGTTCATGTCCTTCGCCCACTTTTTGATGGGGTTGTTTGTTTTCTTCTTGTAAATTTGTTTGAGTTCATTGTAGATTCTGGATATTAGCCCTTTGTCAGATGGGTAGGTTGTGAATATTTTCTCCCATTTTGTAGGTCGCCTGTTCACTCTGATGGTAGTTTCTTTTGCTGTGCAGAAGCTCTTTAGTTTAATTACATCCCATTTGTCAATTTTGGCTTTTGTTGCCATTGCTTTTGGTGTTGTAGACATGAAGTCCTTGCCCATGCCTATGTCCTGAATGGTAATGCTTAGGTTTTCTTCTAGGGTTTTCATGGTTTTAGATCTAATGTTTAAGTCTTTAATCCATCTTGAATTAATTTTTGTATCAGGTGTAAGGAAGGGATCCAGTTTCAGGAGTGCCTATTTTCTATTTGGATATTTTCACCATTAAATATCCTAAAATGAGGATCTTAGACACAGGGATTTAACAAAGCACTAGTGTAGCCAAGAGTGTTTAGTAAGGTTTACTGATCAAAATAAGCTATCAAATAAAAGTAACATGTTTACTTTCTCTAGTTATGATTATTTTCTGACAAGCTATTTTAATATTTACAAAACAACCATATTTTAATTAATAATGTTTTTTGTATCTTCTTTGGAAGGCTTTCCTAACAAAATATTTTCTAAGCCTGTTTTCTTCTTTATGATAATGGGTCTGTAAACAGACATCTCAGAATGAATTACGATTAGTACCATCACATTTTACTCCTTTGGAAAAAACAAAGGAATCACCTGGGTAATTATCACAATTCTCCATATCTCTGGAAGGGGATATATGCACAATTAATGTAAAAACCTACCACAGAAATATCTTCATCCTATTCAAAAGAATAGCTGGATTGCTATTACCCCATTGAGGAGTACAACAGAAAAATAGGAAATTAAATACTAGATAGAGATCAGCTGTGCTCAAGTTTTTGCAAAAATCAGTTTGGAATGGACAGTTTCATTCTAGGAATGGACCTCAGCGCCAAACAACATTTCTGGGAACAGCTTTTGTTGCTGTGCTTGTCACTGAAATAGGTATCAGGTCTGCTGAATAAACCTCTATTATTTACTCTATCAAAGTAACTCTTTTATCAGACATATTTCTTAGGTTTGGGGGGAATATTGGAGATTGTGACGGGTATTGAAATATACCATATGAAAAATGCCAGTGTGAGTGGCAGACAGTTTTTTCATAAAAGGTATATAAGCTGATCGTAGCAGAATTGGGGGTATGCTGTTTGAATTCATAAAAATAGGGAGGTTAGGAGGACAGTTTTAATAGTAAAATATATCGTATAGAGTTCTGGTGAATAAATAGTGCATAGTGCTCCTAGAAAAATTGTAGCAGTTAGGGCATTTATTATAATAATGTTTATATACTCAGCTATAAAGAAGAGGGCAAATGGGCCTGCGGCATATTCGATATTGAAGCCTGAGACTAATTCTGATTCTCCTTCTGTAAGATCGAAGGGGGCTCGGTTAGTTTCTGCTAGTGTGGAGATAAATCATATTATGGCTAGGGGTCATGATGGTAGGAGTAGTCAGTGTTTACTAGAATTCCACATGTAAGACTGAACAGAAGTGCCAATGCATGGAACATATGAGAGAGAAGAAAACTATCTTCTACTATTCTCATTTTGTAAAGAAGAAGAAGGATTAAGGTGTGGACAAGAAACCCGTTATAAAGTGACTGATGTCCATAAACATAGTACCACTTAAAAACTGAGGTATGTCGCTTGAACCTGGGAAGCGGAGGTTGCAGTGAGCCGAGATCACACCACTGCACTCCACCCTGGACAACAAGAGTGAAACTCTGCCTCAAAAAAAAAAAAAAAAAAAAAAAATTGAAGTATATCATATTTAAATTCTCATTATTGAAAGCACTGCTTGCTTTTGAAATGGAAACTACACTATCAATGAACTCAAACATAGAAGTTAGAAAAATGCTCAATTGTATTCATTAAATAAAATTTATTTCTCCCATTCTTGAACTGTCAGATATTCAATATTTAAAAATTAGAAAATATAGAGAAAGGGACGGAAATAAAGAGGGAGAAAAAAACCACTTTTTGTTTCAATATCTCCAAACCACCTCTGTTTATATTTTGGGATATTGCCTTCCAATCTTTCTTCTATTCACATTTAGTTTTCAGTGTGTATCCTGGCCTCATGGGAGAAATCAGAATAAATAAATTATAAGGATGTGAAAGCACCTTTTCTAGCATACTTTAAAAATAGAATAGTCATCTATTTCTGATAATTTAGGAGTCAAGACGCTTAACAAAGAAGATGAGCTTTGTTAAATCTTTGTGTATAGGATCCTCATTTTAGGACATTTAATACATCTGAATATCATTTTTGTTTCACAGTCATATAGACACAAGTAATAATAACCACTCTATTAGTGAGTGTTTAGGTATTTTCCAGTTTTTCACAAACACCAATAAGTGTCAATGTATATCACTGTAGAAAGAATGGGAAGGGACAATATGCATATAAGGGGAAATAGAAACACAGAAAGTAAGGATAAGTAAAATAATGGAGATTAATACAGTTACTGTTGATTTGACAAATGGACACCACTGAGACTATCTTGTTTTAATGTAAATGAAAGGTTTATACTAACAAACCTCATAAGAAAAAGCAGCTACATTTACTTAAAAACATTCTTCAGTAATAAATGCCAATTCTGAGTAAGGAGGTACTTTACATCCTGGAAAATCCGATGCCCATAAGCCATGGTAGCGACAGCTGTTTACTCATGATTCACAGCCCCTGTGGCTCCTCTGAGTTCTGGCATCCCCTTCCTGACACGGGCTTATCCATGTCCTCCCATGCTCTGAGACATGTAGATATTTTTCCTCCATGTTTAGAGAGTCTAGAACTCAAACAAGAGTTCCTCAATTGTGGTTCCCCCTTTCTTTTAGTCTAGCAGAGTTAGAAAGGCCAATAGAGGCAAGCTATTCACAGAAATGTTATCAGCTATAGGTCTATTTGAAGACTTTTAAAATTTAAGAAACTGGAACAAATAAATCCCCCAACCAAATTTTCCTAAGGTAAGAATATATCCTTGGGGATATCACCTATTTAAAACTGTATAATAGGATAAAATTATTTCTGGTTTCTCCAATGCTTGATGTTCAGAAGCCTAAAACAAAAAAGAAACGACCTGTTTTCCAAACTTTCCATTTAAACTATTTTGGACCTTAAAAACAGTATCAACACATTCTTTAATATGGTAGGATGCTTTAGGAAGTTGGGGTAACCACAATTTGACACATCTTTAAAGAGCTATTAGGGGTTAGAGTGTGTGTCAGCTATTAGAAATTTGAAGGCAAATAAGACATAGAATTTGAGATAAGCATTCTAACTTCCTGGGAGCATACAGGAAATTGTTCTCTATACTCCTATAAAGCCAAAGTTTTTACCATTTGATTTATTTATTATTTATTTATTTAAAGATATTTAATAAACCTCTCTGGGAAAAGAATAAAATACAAACAAAACAACTAAAGAATATGTGTAGAAGGCTGTGCCCAGAAGTTATGTATATCTAAAGAGTGGGGTAAACCTAGTTATTATGAGTCTTATGTTTATTTTTCAAGTAATAATTAATGAAATAAGTATAAACAAAGTGACTCTTTGATTTTTTTGAGTTTCTTATAAATCACATTTTAGAAAAATATTTTGTTTTTAGCATATAGAAATGTTGTTTATAACACATGATCCCAAATTTCCCTTGTCTACCTGCAGCAAATTTGACTCCAAACCACCAGGTCCACGGCATGATGGTATGATGGAATACATGAAGGAAAGTCACTTGGCTATTTTTCTTGCGCAGAACAAAAAAGATCTGAAATAATTTAAAGAATATCAAGTTCACAGAAAATCATTTGATAGTGTATTGAGTATTATAAAAAATATTGGCAAAGTGCAAAGTATTTCATATCATAATTTCCTCTAAAAGTGTTGCCTTATAGAATGCTTACAGAAGCAGCTAATTCCCCAAGGGGCAGCTCAAATCTAATTATTATGAAGTAACTTAGGTACGACGCCTATACATGGAAACACCAATAAAAAGGCAAAAAGAAACTTTATGTAGATTTAAAAATCAAAGATATAAAGTAAGGAATATGGCCAAAATTATTGAAAGAAATTGTATTGATAAAAAAAAATTCCCCTGGATTTTGAAGTGTATGGGAAAGCAGAAGACTTATGATTGAAATATTCTACATTGCTTTCTAATACATCTTACTGATATGGATAAGGGATTAGGCAAACGAAGAGGACTTGCAACAAATCAAAAGTTAGGAAATTATTATTAAAGAAAAATGAAGGGAGAAAAAGTTGAAAAGTTAATTTGAGAAATATGAGGGAAAAGAAAGCAAAACTGCATAGAAAAAAAATGAGAAGGCGAAGGAAGGTAACACTCAGAGTGAACGTTATCCAGTGGTTTGTAAAAACCCTGTCAACAAAATGGTAGAATTTGGGAGAGGGGGAAATTTTCAAAAAATATTCCAAAGTGAAATTAAGAATACGAGTGTTAAGATTTTTAAATACAAGACTAAACAGAATAGCACAAAGAAAAGTATTAAGAGTATTTGAGCAATGTAGTTTAGGGAAGGACACAGAAGCAGTGCAGTTTCCTTACGGAAGCTGGAACTGAGAACATGCAAAGCAACTGAGAATATGGAAATTTTGCACATTTCCAAGTGCAAAATGCGTTTGCTTACGCACATGGAAGAAGGCTGAGTGGTGCAACAGAAAAAGCCATACACTAACACTCTGGGTCCTAGTCCCACTTAGTAGCAGCATTCCTCTGGGTAAGTCATTTAACTCCTTGGCTTCAATTTCTCAGAGTGAAGGTTCTGGACTAATGCTTCTCAACCCTGGATGCATATTACAATATCCAAGAAGCTTTTTAAAAATAGCTATGCTTGGTCTCTGTTCCAGACCATATGGCACCAAATCTCTGGAGGTAGGGCTTGTTTTTGTCGTCGTTGTTTTCCCTAATGCAATTAATTCTATTGCACAATGTGGGCTGGAACCACCAGAATACAGGCTCTCAAAACATGGTCCCTGGACCAATAAGTATTAGCATCATCTGAGAACTTGTTAGAAATGCAAATTTTGAGCCCCATCCAAGGCCTAGTGAATCAGAAACTCTGGGGGTGGGGGTCGAGGCAGCTGTGTTTTAACAAGTCTCAGGTGATTCTAAATGCATGTTAAAGTTCGAGAACCACTGGATTGTATGTTCACACAAGTCCTTTCCAATTCTAACATTATGTGATTAGTCATTTCAAAAGGTGAAGCATATTGAGATTTCCTACAAGAAATATCATGGTATGCATTCCAAAGAAAACACACTTTTCAGTCTGAGCCAAAACTAGCTCCAAATAACTAAGATACACTTGCTGCAAAGATACAACAAATATTCAGCTTTCCTAAGCTCCTCTGGAAACAAAGGTTCATGGCTTTCTCCTCTAAATCACAGACGCTAATTTGTGACACGTGCTTCTCCCAAGACCCGGTCATCCAAGTTCAGAGGCGATCCTCACTAGGATCTGAAGTAGGAAGAGATAGGGCCCAGTAAGCACAGACTTCAGAAAAGCAGCTGAATTACCGACAGCCCAGGGGTAATGCAACATTCTCGTGAAAGTTTATTCATCCTCCTAAAGGAATATGGATGACTGTGCTTTGGGATAAAAAAACAAACAAACAAAGGTAAGATGTTTTCTGCTTTTTACTTCCTGAACTTGATTCATAAAACAACTGTCATCCATCTATATAAAGATGCAGTTTTGGAGTATATGACACAGTCACCATGCTTATCATAATCAACTGATAGCTATGTAACAGAAACTTTATAGAGTTTGCAAAATACTGAAAAAATAAGGTTATCCTATCTATTCTCTAAAGTTACTGATAATAAAAGGTAAAAAAGATAACAGTAGGTCTGCCTGAATAGGAGAAATAACCAAAGTTATCAGACAACTGAAACTACAGCAGTTTATTGGTTTCACTGAAAGATCAAACATTTAAGATCAAACATTTAAGATCAAACATTTACCAAATGTGGTGGCCATATACTCACCGTATCTAATAGCTCAATAAATTTGGAGAAGTAATAAAGCCAGCAGGTACGTGCCATCTGCAGAAGCACAAATAAATCTAAATTTATTTTGTATATGGAAGAAAAGCTTATATTTTTAAATTTTGGTAAAATATGCATACCATAAAATCTGTCATGTCAACCATTTCTTAGTGCACAGTTAAGTGGCATTAAGTACCTTCACACTGTTGTTCAACCATTACCACCATCCATCCATAGAACTTTTTTCATCTTGCAAAATTGAAGCTACACCCACTAAACTACATCCCATTCTCCCTCTCTAACCCCAGCTACAATTCTGCTTTCTGTGTCTATGAATTTGACTATGCTAGGCACCTCATATAAGCCAAATCATGCAGTATATGTCCTTTTGTGACCTAATTATTTCACTTAGCATAGTGTTCTCAGGGTTCATCCCTGTTGTAGCATGAGTTAGAATTCCCTTCCTTTTAAAGGCTGAATCATATTCCATTCTATACATATGCCACATTTTGTTTATCCATTTATCTTTTTCTTTTTTTGAGATGGAGTCTCACTCTGTCATCTAGGTTGGAGTGCAATGGTGCAATCTCGGTTCACTGCAACCTCCACCTTCTGGGTTCAAGCGATTTTCCTGCCTCACCCTCCCGAGTAGCTGGGACTACAGGCCCATGCTGCCATGCCCTGCTAAGTTTTGTATTTTAGTAGAGATGGGGTTTCACCGTGTTGCCCGGGCTGGTCTCAAACTCCTGAGCCCAGGCAATCCACCCGCCTCAGCCTCCCAAAGCGCTAGGATTACAAGCGTAAGCCACTGCACCTGGCCTTGTTTATCCATTTATCTATCCATGGACTCTTGGGTTGCTTCTACCTTTTGGCTGTTATAAATAATGCTGCTGTAAACATGAGTATACAAACATCTCTTCAAGTCTCTGTTTTCAATTCTTTTAGGTATATACCCAGAAGCAGAATTGCTGGATCTTATGGTAATTCTATTTTCAATTTTTTGAGGAACCACATGTGAATTTATTTTTAAATCCAAGAAATTAAAAAAGAAAAGCACCAATTTTCATTTTATAGAAAATTATACATGTGATTTTTTTTATTCTTGTAATTGTTCACTTTCTCCACCACAACACACACAATCTGATAACTGAGTCATCTGCTTATTCTAAGTTTACGTTCAGTGTTACAAACAGTTCACAAAATTTTAACATTGATTTTGAATTTCAAGTTTTTCCAAAGAGAAACTTACCCTCAAAGCTGTGGGTGACCGTGAATAGTCAACAATGTCACATCGAAATGAATAACCTATACCCCAGCCAGACATCACAAACTGCAAGAGAGCACATGCATATTAAGAAAGGAAAGCATTTTCCCAACAGCCACAACAAAGGTAGTTTTGATAGTGTCTCTTCATTACATTTTCAGCTAAGTCAATAGTCAGTGCAGAGGAAAAGGTAGCTGGAACAAATACAAAATGAACATGCTTGATATCAAAGCTTGATATCAAGAATTTTCAAAACCACAAACTCATATATTATTTATATAAACTGTGCTCTGACTAAAATGCTCATCTCTTGGGATGATTATTCTAATATGGTGAAGAATAAAACACTTGGAGTGTTTTGCTTAAACAGCAAATACTGGTAGGTGACTTATCTTAGGTTCATCTATGTATGTGTGAGTGAATGTGTTTGTGTACTCTTAAAGGGAACACTTGGATCTGAATCAGTCATTTCTAGCAATTTCCAGTCTTTCTACTTAGTCAATAACTAAACATGCAAACCAAAATGCCTCAATGTACTCATAAGATAGCTGCGACAACTGGGCTTTTCCCATCATTGGCTGGTGAGTGTGATGTGAGGTGGTAGTCCATGGCTCAGATATTATTAATAGTTTTACTGTGGATTCACAAGACAAGTAAAAGAGGAAAATGCTCGTTAACAATAAAAGTGCAATCTGGCAGGCCTTAATTCCAACACACCCACAAAGTGATCCAAGGCTGATGTGACAAGAAAGAGCCTATTGTTGATAAATCTGAAGTGTAATTCAAAGATTATAAAGATTATACTGACATTCTTTCAGTCTGATGGTGGGAAGGTCTTCTTTTAAAACAGTATCTGAAAAGGAAAAGCCAAGGGCTCTGATTTTAACTTAACACATATATGAAATTGTTGGCTTAATTTAGGGCACTGACAATATGATCAGTTCTTCTCATACATGCCAAATACCCCCTGGGAGATCTTCTCTCTCAGTATAATGGTTATATCCTTTTCTGCCATTGAACCATATTTTAAATTTCTAGTTTTAATTACTATTAAAGCTAAAATTAGAACTTTACAATTAATTAAATTCTAAAAACAAAAGCTTATGAGGCATTGTCAGAATAATATTCTGATTGTGTAAAGAAAAGAAACAAAGGAGAAGAACAATTATTAGACACTATAGTATTATAAAATGCAACATTCTTTTCTGAGACTAGCCTCTAGCTTGACTTATAAGATAACTTAATCACACTGTTAACTTGGTAAGTTATAAAATCTTGAAAATTAAGACTCAGAAAAGCACAAGATATTTCACGAATGAGAAAAATAGTTAACAACAACAAATCAATAGATTTTGCCAAATGAATAAGGGCACGTGACATAGAAATGGCTAATTCTGTTTTATAAAATCCTACTGTCAGTGAGTGTCCTCATATTCTCTTGTGCTCAGACTCATTTTTGACTAATGTAACGCTCTGTGGCCAGGAGCTATTTACTGGAATTGTGATGAATAATTCTCCACCTTACCCTACCCCAAACAAGCACTGTGTCGAATGAAAGTTGTGAGACTTGGCCTTCTGTTGGGTCTTAAGTGGTCTCTGCTAGTGTCTGACTGCTGCCAAGTAACTAGCACTTTCAAACAATCACTACACAAGAAGGCATCTGAGTTTCTTGAGTCTGATGTCCTTCCCTTTCAACTTCTTCAGATTTGGCCTAACATCATTGGTAGAGGTGTTTGCTTTGTAAACCAAATGAAATCATACTCCATACAATAAACCATGTGTTCGGATGTGCCATCAACAGATGGATGGCATGCTGTGTGGCTATCAAAAGCCTTTGTTTAAATAGAGTAGAAAGTTTAAGAACATTCCAACAGCTTGTGGAACTTTTTACATATATGTCTATATTCCAGGCTAGTAATAAGAAAAATTAGGCCAGGCCCAGTGGGTCACACCTGTAATCCTAGCACTTTGGGAGGCTCAGGCAGGTGGATCACTAGAGTCTAGGAGTTTGAGAGCAGTCTGGGAAACATGGCAAAACACCATCTCTACAAAAAATACAAAAAATTAGCTAGACATAGTGGCGCATGCCTGTAGTCTCAGCTACTTGGGAGGCTGAGGTGGGAGGATCACTTGAGCCTGGGAGGTCAAGGCTGCAGTGAGCCAAGATCGTGCCACTGCACTCCAGCTTGGGTGACAGAGCGAGACCCTTTCTGGTGAAAAAAAAAAAAAAAAGAATTCCCTGAATTCAGAAAGTAATAATTTATATTTGGCAGGTAGTTCCTGAAACTGACACATAAGTAACTCAAGTATTAGCAGTAAATGAGAGTCAGAAACTCTCAAATTCAGATATTTTAAAATCTTCTTTTACATTGTAATTGATCAAGTAGGAATCAAAGCTGACTGGCGATGACTGGATTCTTTCCAAGCCTGAGAAATATATTTGGGTACATTACACTCAATGACAAATCAGACATAGACCCTAAGAATATGAGAGCAAGGAGGGATCTGAGAGACTATTTGGTTCAATCCTATCTTTATAAAACGAGAGAACTGAGGCCCAGAGAGGTTAAATAACTTGCTAAAATTCAGGCAGCCAGTCAGTGGCAGAAGCAGAACTAACTAGTTCCTAATCTCCTGGCTTCCAGGTATGTTCTTAACACCTTACTACAACATGCTGTCCCCTAAGACCATGCTAGGACCTTGTGTTTTCTTTGCTCCCATCTCTATCACTCTTTTCCTCTCAGTTGCTCATACTCCTGAAGGGACATTAAGAGTGGCCTGTGAGTTAATTTTCAAAATAAAATAGAAGAAATGGAAAGCAGCAGAGTGAGTCCAGACTATAGGGAGGACTGTGAGAAATAAGGCCAGAGTATTTTTTTTATTTTTATTTTTTGAGACAGGGTCTTGCTCCGTCACTAGACATGATCACGGCTCATTGCAGCCTTGACCTCCCAGGCTCAAGTGATCCTCTCACCTCAGCCTCCCAAGCAGCTGGGACCACGGGCGTGCACCGCCACGCCTGGCTAATTTTTTTGTATTTTTTGTAGACACAAGGTCTCCCTATGTTGTCCAGGCTGGTCTCAAACTCCTGGGCCCAAGCAATCCTCTTACTTCAGCCTACCAAAGTGCTGGGATTACAGGTGTAGGCCACCACACCTGGCCAGCCACAGTAGATTTAAAGTGATCGATATGATGGATCTGTAGCAAGAGTCAGGTCAGAATGCATGTGGAGAAACTATGGTGCCAGGAGAGGTCAGTGGGCCCATATTGGGCCCTCGTGAGCCCTACTTATGATTAAGCACCAGTTATGCTATAGAGGAAGTTAATAAAAAAGGATAATGAAGCCAGCCAGAGTTGGAAAAGAAGGAAGGAATCTCAGAAAAGAACATACATGGGGGTGGCTGAGGCATGTTAATAGCACAGGGGAAGAGAGAGAATTCATGAATCTGTTTTAGGGTCCTGGAAGAGCCCCATCTCTCTTATTAACAATTAAGGGACAGTAATGAATTAATGAGTTAATGGGAAAAAAATTAAGGAACAGGCTCCCTCACCTACTGCTTTATATGAGTCTATGCTCTCTGTCCCCACAAAGCCCAGCTAAACTAACCAAAACAGTCTACCATCCCATAGTTCATCAGAGTATCCAGAAACCAAAGGTGCCTACCATGATGATGACAACTTTTTACTGAGTCAAGATGAACTCTGATGTCAGACAGACCTGGGTTCAAATATCAGCCCTCCACTTACCAGCTATGTTACTTTAAGAGTTTCCTCAAAACTAAAATTTATGGATTAATTCAATAATCCATTAAGGCAATTATGTACAAATCCATGGAATAGATGTTAGTTTTTCTCATTATCTGTGAGACAGATTATACTGAGATCCTCAAATGAGTTTATTATTTGGTCTATACCTAACACTATTTTGGCAAATACCTGCTCTAGTGAGATCAGTTTCTTAATTCCTTAAATTGCAAAGTTTACCCTTATAACAGAAAACATAATGACACATAAACAGAAAAACTCAGGCAAAATTCTCCCATTAGGAATACTGAAGACACTTGCCTCATAACACATATACACAGAAAAGAGTACTATGAAAAAATTGTACGTTATCATTGCTTTCTTGAGTTCAAAGGGCTTGCGATTTTCCATGAGCTTTGGTCCCAAGGAAGTGACAAAATAGACATAGAATCCTAGGAGGATGGTTTGTGGCAGAGGCGAGGACATGAGGAGCCAATCTTCAACTCTTGGATCTAAGAGAAAAACAATATGTGAGTACACACCTGCTTAGCCAAGGGGTAACTAACAGCAACCAACATTTCTTTAACTGAGCACCCAGATCCTACTATTAACTGTGAGCTATTTGGGCAGTGATCACTAGTATCTTTAGAAAGGTGAAAAAGAAATCAACAGGAATAAGGAAGTATCCTGGGGCTAGAAACAGTGGGAGAGGAGCTGTATTATGCACTGATCGCCTGCATGATGGTATTAGTGCCCTTATAAAAGGCACCCCAGGGAGCTCTCCTGCCCTCTTTCCCCATGTAAGGATACAATGAGAAGATGGCAGTCTGCAACCTGGAAGAGGGTCCTCACTAGTACCCGACCGTGCTGGCACCCTGATCTCAGACTTCCACCCTCTGAATGTGAGAAATAAATTTCCACTGCTTATAAACTACCCAGTCTATGATAATTTCTTAAGCATCCTGAGTATGCTAAGACAAGTTTTGACTGTCAGTTGAGGGATTCAGCCAGCCCAAGACAATTCTGTAAGTATGGCGCCAGAGGAATAGATACCCCAACTCCACTCTCCTCCCTCTCTCCACTGGCTGAATCTAACCAGAAAGCATACGGCAGGGGAGCAAACCCAAGGATACAGTCTTCATGGATCGTTCTCCAGGGCCCAGCACAGGGTGCAAAGCTATCTGGAAGAGAGAACACCCAGCAACATCCCACCATGTGTCTATAGTCATTATTAATATCTTGGAGTTTTTCCATCCATACATGCTTTTATATATTAAAAAAAGTTTGTGTTTGCTGCTTAATTTTTTTCCTTCCCCAGGAAAACTGGCACACTTCCACATATACTGTATCACAGGATCACAGAATAGAAAGGCTGAACATCCTCTAAGTAGCTAAAGTATGGGATTTTGGAGTCCATGTGAGCTAACAACTGTGATATTCTGAGCAAAAAAAATGCACGGTCTCACAATTGCAAACAAAAACTTATCTGCTTACTGCCAGCTCCAGGCCAGCAGAGATGGATGAATAAAAAATTACAACTCAGGATGAAATGTGATTAAGTCTATAATTTCTAGTAGTTCAGGTTTAATTTTACTAAATGGCCTCATGAAGCTAGAGTATTATGAAGGAAAGGAAGTAAGGACAAGTTCCCAGAAGGACCTGACTCAAAATTATGCCATGACTAACCTCAGGATGCTAACTACTGTCACTTTTATCAATTGGAAAAGAAGGGTAGGGAGAATGTAGCTCTTGCTCTTTTAAGCTGCTAATGATGTGGCCAAGCACTGACAAATTCTGAATACCCCTGCAAGTGTGACTTCCCACTCAAAATTTCTTCAGTAGGACTCTATGACTGATAACTCACTTGGCCTCAATTTTAGTGCTGGAGTGCTTACATTTGACTATCAGATGTGCATGGGTGATTATTCTGCATTCAAATAAGCCTCCCTCAAAAATACTGGCAGAGGCCCCTCTCAAAAAAAATAAAGAAATAAAGCCAAAGAGTCAAGAGTCAGCTCCAGACTAGATCCCAGGACATTTAAGAATTTAATATATGATTAAGGAAGTCCCAGAAACAAGCAGGGAAGGAAGAGATCTTCAACAAATGTTGATAGGAAAACTGACTGCTTGGGAGAAAAATGAGTTTGTTTCTTATCTTATATCCTATACAAACAAGAATATTCCAAACTATGCATGGAAACAAGCTATTTAAAGACTTTCCACAAAGAATTGGGGAATACTGGAATGCTGGGTTAAACAAACAGGTTGCATTACTGCAGGATTTCTTAATGCTTCATGTTCATCATGAATTGCCACGATGGGAATGGCAGTATGCCATATTCTCCAAACGTATTTGGCCAAAAAACACTATTTTTTTTGTAGAATGTTATTTAACATCTTATGAAACTAATGTTCTGTGGAACACTAAAATAAATTTATAAATTAAATGACTGAAGAGTAGGTGGTCAGACATACAAAGAAGAGCTAGTACCAATCCTACTGAAACTATTCCAAAAAATTGAGGAGGAGAGATTCCTCCCTAACTCATTCTATGAAACCAGTATCATCCTGACACCAAAATCTGGCAAAGACACACCAACAACAACAACAATGACAAAAAAGAAAACTACAGGCCAATATCTCTCATGAACATAGATGCAAAAATCCTCAACAAACTAGCCAGGTGAATCCAGGAACACATCAAAAAGTTAATTCACCACGATTAAGTGGGCTTTATTCCTGAGCTGCAAAGTTGGTTCAACATATTCAAGTCAATAAATGTGACTCACCACATAAACAGAATTAAAAACAAAAACCATATGATTATCCCAATAGATGCAGAAAAAGTTTTCAATAAAATCTAACATCTATTCATGATAAAAACCCTCAACAAACTAGACATTAAAGGAACATACCTCAAATAATAAGGGCCATCTATGACAAACCCACAGCCAACATCATACCTAATGGGCAAACGCTGGAAGTATTATCTTTAAGAGCTGCAACAAGACAAGGATGCCCACTCCTATTCAACATAGTACTAGAAGTCCTAGCCAGAGCAATCAGGCAAGAGAAAGAAATAAAAGGCATCAAAATTGGAAAAGAGGAAGTAAAATTATCCCTGCTTGCTGATGATATGATCTTCTACCTAGAAAAACCTACCAACTCCACCATAAAACTCTCTTTTTTTTTTTTTTTTTTGAGACGGAGTCTTGCTCTTGTCGCCCAGGCTGGAATGCAATGGCATGATCTTGGTTCACTGCAACCTCTGCCTCCTGGGTTCAAGTGAATCTCCTGCCTCAGTCTCCTGAGGAGCTGGGATTACAGGTGCCCGCCACCATGCCCAGCTAATTTTTGTATTTTTAGTAGAGACAGGGTTTCACCTTGTTGGCCAGGCTGGTCTCAAACTCCTGACCTCGTGATCTGCCCACGTTGGCCTCCCAAAGTGCTGGGATTACAGGCATGAGCCACCACACCCAGCCAAAACTCTTATATTTGATAAATGAATTCAGTAAAGTTACAGGATACAAAATCAATGTATGAAAATCAGTAGCATTTCTATGCACCAAAGCATTATCCTTAAGAGCTTGGAACAGCTCTTCAACCCTCAAGCTGACAGCCAAATCAAGAATGCAATCCTATTTACAATAACCACAAGCACAAAAAATAAAACACATAGGAATACATCTAACCAAGGAAGTAAAAGATCTGTACAAGGAGCATTACAAAACACTGCTGAAAGAAATCATGGAAAATACAAATGGAAAAACATTCCATGCTCATGGATTAGAAAAATCAACATTGTTAGATGTCCATACTGTTCAAAACAATCTAAAGATTCAATGCTATTCCTATCAAATTACCAATGTTATTTTTTACAAAATTAGAAAAAACTATTCTCAAATTCATAGAAAACCAAAAATGAGCCCAAATAGCCAAAGCAATCTTAAGCAAAAAGAACAAAGCTGGAGGCATCACATTATCTTACTTCAAACTGTACTACACGGCTACAGTAACCAAAACAGCATGGTATTGATATAAAAATAGACACATCGGCCAATGGAACTGAACAGAAAACCCAGAAATAAAGGAGCATACCTAAAACCAACTGATATTCAACAAAGTCAATGAAAATAAGCAATGGGGAAAGGACTCCCTATTCAATAGATGGTGCTAGGAAAACTGGCTAATCATATGCAGAAGACTGAAACTGGACCACTACCTACCACCATACACAAAAATTAACTTAAGATGGATTAAAGACTTAAATGCAAGACCTAAAACTATAAAAATCCCAGGAGAAAACCTAACCTAGGAAACACTCTTCTGGACACTGGCCTTGGCAAAGGCTTTATGACCAAGTCCTCAAAAGCAATTGCAACACAAATAAAAATCAACAATTAAGACCTAATTAAACTAAAGAGCTTTTGCACAGCAAAAGAAACTAACAGAGTAAACAGACAACCTATGGACTGGGAGAAAACACAAACTATGCATCCAACAGGACTAATATCCAGAATCCACAAGAAACTTAAATCAACAAGAAAAAATAAATAACTTCATTAAAAAGTGGGCAAAGAGCATGAACAGACACTTCACAAAAGAAGACATACAAGCGGCCAACAAACATTAAAAAGTCAAATAATTACAGAAGTTGTTGAGGCTGTGGAGAAAAGGGAATGCTTATACACTGTTGGTGGAAATGCAAATTAGTTCAGCCATTGTGGAAAGCAGTTTGGAGATTTCTCAAAAAACTGCAAATAGAACTATTATTCAACCCAGCAATTCCACTATTAGGTACATACTGAAAGGAAAATGCCAAAAATATACATACACTTGCATGTTCACTGCAGGACTATTCATAACAGCAAAGACATGTAATCAACCTAGGTGCCCATTAATGGTGGATTGGATAAAGAAAATGTGGTACATATATACTGTGGAGTACTATGCAGTCATTAAAAAGAACAAAATCATATCCTTTGCAGCAACATGAACGTAGTTGGAGACCATTATCCTAAGCAAATGAACACAGAAATGCAAAACCAAATGCTACATGTTCTCACTTATAAGTGGGAGCTAAGTCTTGGGTACATGCAGGTATAGATGGGAACAACAGACTGAAGAATCCAAAATGTGGGAGGGAAGGAAGGGGACAAGGGCTGAAAAACATACTTTTAAGTACTATGTTCACTATATTCATGATGCAATCACTAGAAGCCCAAACCTCAGCATCAGACAATATAGCCTAGTTATAAACTTGCACGTGTACCACCTGAATCTAAAATAAAAATTTTAAAAACAGGTAGTGATAGTGACAGATAAATAGGAGATTATTTTGAAATACAGTAAGGAAGAAGAAAATATAAAAATTTATAATTGGTTAAACACAGGGAATGGAAATAGGTAAATGTTAAGAAAAATATTCAGATTTCTCACTTATATGTGGGATGTAAGAATCAAAACAATTAAGTCCATGGAGATAGAGTAGAAGGGTGGTTGCCAGAGGCTAGGAAGGGTACTAGGGGGGTTGGGGGGGAGGTGGGAATAGCTAATGGGTACAAAGAAAATAGAATGAATAAGACCTAGTATTTGGTGGCACGACAGGCTGACTTATAGTCAATAATAATTTAAATGTATGTTTTAAAATATAATTGGATTATTTGTAACCCAAAGGATAAATGCTTGAGGGGATGGATACCCCCATTTTACATGATATAATTATTACATATTGCATGCCTGTATCAAAACATCTTATGTATTCCATAAATATATACACCTACTATTTACCCGCAAAAATTAAAAAAAAAATTTTTAAAAGAAAAATACTCAGATCTTTAAATTCACTTAGATTGGGAACACAGGATTAGGAGCAATATTGGTCAAGCAGAGGTGGCTTATGTTTTAAAACATCTTACACTTAGACTGCCTTTAAAACATTCATATGAAGTCTTTCATAAGCAGCTGGATATATGGATCTAGAATTAGGAGAGAGATCTGTGCCAGAGATATAAGATTGAGGGTTGCCATCACATAAATGATGAACAATAAAAGCAGTGAGATTGGCTTAGGCTAAGTGGGTACAGTAAGGAGAGTAAGTGCTGAAGTCAGGATCCTGAGGACTCAGCATTCACAGAAGGAATTACTGAAGGAAAAAACATAAAAACCAAAAAGGAACAGCTAGAGAAGTAGAGGGAAAACCATAAAAGTGAGATATCCTGAAGCCAGGGAAGAGTGGATTTTCGGAAGGAGTCAAAGCATTAAGTGTGGCAGAAAGGGGAAATAAAATGGGGACAGAAAAATGCCACTACATTTAACAAAAGGACGTCTCTGATGCTCTCAGCAGAATAATTTTAACAAGGTGTCATGCACAAAATAGAAATTAAACAAAAGTTTGATGACAGACACTTTTCAAAACATAAAGTTCTATAATTTCGGAAGTATTTTCTCATATTAAGATTTGTCACAGTTCTAAATCAGGAAAAACTTTGAAATCAGCTACCCAGGTACACATCACTGAAATCTTTTACTGCTTCTATTGGTTCCCCTCCTTGCTTTTAACAATGGCAAGCTTTCTAGGATGTCTCGTTGTTTTGTGCAATTAAAACCACCACAAGGAAGGCTTGCTATGGGTCTGTATGTCACAAAGGAAGTCTCCATAAATAAAAGTTGTCACAGAACCAGGGACCAAGGGAAAAAATTAGAACTGATCAAACTTTGATAGATTTCTTCTATAAGTGGGTAGTGCAAACCTTAAATACATGAACATCATTGTATTAGTCCACTCATGCACTGCTATGAAGAAATACCCGAGACTGGGTAATTTATCAAGGAAAGAGGTTTAATTGACTCACAGTTCTGCATGGCCTGGGAGACGTCAGGAAACTTACAATCACAGCAGAAGGCACCTCTTCATGAAGTGGCAGGAGAGAGAATGAGTGCCAGCAGGGGAAATGCCAGACAATTATAAAACCATCAGCTCTTGTGAGAAACAATCATGAGAACAGCACAGGGAAACTGTACCCATGATTCACTTATCTCCCACTAGGTCCCTCCATAACATGTGGGGATTATAGGAACTATAATTCAAGATGAAATTTGGGTGGGGATACAGTCAAACCATATCATTCTGTCCCTGGGCCCTCCCAAATCTCATGTCCTCACATTTCAAAACACAATCATGCCTTCCGAACAATCCCCAAAAGTCTTAATGCATTCCAGCTTTAACTCAAAGTCCAAATCCAAAGTCTCATCTGAGACAAGGCAAGTCCCTTCTGCCTATGAGCCTGTAAAATCAAAAGCAAGTTAGTTATTTTCCAGATACAATGGGGATACAGGCACTGCATAAATATACCCATTCCAAATGGCAGAAATTGGCCAAAACAAAGGAGCTACAGGCCCCATGCAAGTCCAAAATCCAGTAGGGCAGTCATTAAATCTCAATGCTCCACAATGATCACCTTTGACTCCACGTCTCACATCTAGGTCATACTGGTGCAAGAGGTGGGCTCCCATGGCCTTGGGCAGCTCTGCCTCTGTGGCTTTGCAGGGTACAGCCCCCTTTCCTGCTGCTTTCACTGGCTGGAACTGACTGTCTGTGGCTTCTCCAGGTGCACAGTGCAAGCTGTCAATGGATCTAGCATTTTGGGGTCTGGAGGATGGTGGCCCTCTTCTCACAGCTCCACTAGGCACTGCCCAAGTGGGGACTAGGTGTTTGGGGTCTGACCCCACATTTCTCTTCCACATTGACCTAGTAGAGGCTCTCCATGAGGGCTCTACCTCTGCAGCAAACTTCGGCCTGGACATCCAGGAGTTTCAATACATCCTCTGAAATCTAGGTAGAGGTTCCCAAACCTCAATTCTTGACTTCTGTGCATTCACAGGCTCAACACCATGGAGAAGCTGCCAAAGCTTGGGGCCTGCACCCTCTGAAGCCATGGCCCAAGCTGCACCTTGGCCCTTTTTAGCCATTCCAGGAGCAGCTGGAATGCAGGGCATCAAGTCCCTAGGCTGCACACAGCAGGGAGCCCTGGGCCCAGCCCCAAAAACCATGTTTTCCTCCTAGGCCTCCAGGTCTGTGACGGGAGGGGCTGCTGCCAAGGTCTCTGACATACTCTGGAGACATTTTCCCCATTGTCTTGGTGACTAACATTCAGCTCCTGCTACTTATGCAAATTTCTGCAGCAGGCTTGAATTTCACCCTAGAAAATTGTATTTTCTTTTCTATCGCATCATCAGGCTGCAAATTTTCCAAACTTTTATGGTCCTTCCTCTTGAATGCTTTGCCACTTAGAAATTTCTTCTGCCAGATACCCTAAATTATCTCTCTCAAGTTAAAAGTTTCACAGATCTCTAGGGCAGGGGCAAAATGCTGCCAGTCTTTTTTCTAAAGCATAGTGTTATTTATTCCAGTTCCCAATAAATTCCTCATCTCCATCTGAGACCACCTCAGCCTGACCTTCATTGTCCATATCACTATCAGCATTGTGGTCAAAGTTATTCAACAAGTCTCTAGTAAGTTCCAAACTTTCCCTTTTTTTTTTTTTTTTTTTTTTTAGATGTAGTTTCGTTCTTGTTGCCCAGGCTGGAGTGCAACGGTACGATCTCGGCTCACTGCAACCTCTGCCTCCCGGGTTCAAGTGATTCTCCTGCCTAAGTCTCCCCAGTAGCTGGGATTACAGGCATGCGCCACCACGCCCAGTTAATTTTGTATTTTTTAGTAGAGATGGGGTTTCTCTATGTTGGTCAGGCTGGTTGCGAACTCCCGACCTCAGGTGACTCACCCGCCTCGGCCTCCCAAAGTGCTGGGATTACAGGCATGAGTCACGGCGCCCGGCCAAACTTTCCCATATTTTCCTGTCTTCTTCTCACCCCTCCAAACTGCTCCAACCTCTGCCTTTAGCCCGTTTCAAAGTCACTTCCACATTTTCAGGTATCCTTATAGTAGCGCCCCATTCTGAGATACCAATTTACTGTATTAGTCCATTCTCACACTGCTATGAAGAAATACCCAAGATTGGGTAATTTATAAAGCAAAGAGATTTAAATTTGCTGGGGAGGCCTCAGGAAACTTACAATCATGACATAAGGCACCTCTTCACTGGGCAGCAGGAGAGAGAATGAGTGCCAGCAGGGGAAATGCCAGATGCTTAAAAAACCATCAGATCTTGTGAAAACTCACAATCGTGAGAAGAGCATGGGGGAACTGCGCCCATGATTCAGTTACCTCCCACTGGGTCCCTCCCACGACATGTGGGAATTATGGGAACTACAGTTCAAGATGAGATTCATATTACTATGTCTAGTTGTTATTGCTAATGAAATAAAAAACTAATGAAAACAATACTGGCCAGGCGCCATGGCTCACACCTGTAATCCCAGCACTTTGGGAGGCCAAGGCAGGTGATCGCTTGAGGTCAGGAGTTTGAGACCAGCCTGGCCAACATGGTGAAACCCTGTCTCTACGAAAAATACAAAAATTAGCTAGGCATAGTGGCGCACGCCTGTAATCACAGCTATCTGGGAGACTGAGGCATGAGAAGAGCCTGAACCCGGGAGGTGGAGGTTGCAGTGAACCGGAGATCATGCCATTGCACTCCAGCCTGGGCAACAGAGTAAGACCCTGTCTCAGAAAAAAAAAAAAAAGGAAAGAAAAACAAAATACCAAAAGAAGACCTCTGGAAGGATGTTACATCACCACCTTTGCATGGTGGGAGTTTAGTTGACTTTTGTTTTTTCTTTTGCTTTATAAACAATTTCAAATGATTCTATTATTAACAGTCATCACACATATGGTTAGAAACGAGCTTAAATGTCAGTAAAAGAATTGCTGAATGAGAGATATATTTTATTTTATTCTTTCATTGACTCAGGAGGGGGAAAAATCAAATGACATCATTTCTCTGTTCTTCCTCTGGTAGCAGTAGAAAGAAAACAAGCCAGGAAAAGCATGCTGGGCTGGCTCAGGAAGCAGAATAAAATAATTTTAAAATAAATAATTTTTTCCCGTAATTTAATATTTTCAGCACACACCTTAAGTCCTGTACGTGACTTTCAAGTTCTACAGATAAAAAATAATTATGGGAAACACTGGTTAATTTAATTGGATGTTATCTTCAAAGCAAATAATAAAACAAAATACCAAGCTTTAGAAATTCTATTTCAGCAAAACTCTGGAGTCAGACAGTCTGCATTCTGATCCTGGTTCTCCCACTGGCTCGCTATGTCACCTTGGGCAATTGACTCACCTTCTCTGTATTTAGTTTCCTCATCTGCAAATTGGGCATTAAAAGGCATGTATTTCATAGAGGATTGATTGAGTTACTATATGTAAAGAGCCTAAGTGCTCAATAAGCTTGCTACTGTTATTATAGCAGATCTCAATTCTGTTAGCACAGCCAAATTGACTCTGCAGTATTTAAAAGTCAAATTGCAAAAAACAACCTTGGTCCAATTGAATCAGAATCCTAGGACACGGTTTCTATGCATCCATTTTTTTAAATGTGCAAAGGACCTGAACAGACATTTCTCAAAAGATAACAAATGGCCAACGGATAGATGAAAATAATTCTCAACATCACTAATCATCAGGAAAATGCAAATTAAAAAAACAAAGAGATATAACCTTACATTTGTAAGAATGTCTGTTATCAAAAAGACAAAAGATAACAAGCGTTGGCAAGGATGTGGAGAAAAGAGAACCCTTGTACAATGTTGGTGGGACTGTAAATTACTATAGCTATAAGGAAAACTACATGAAGGCTCTATAAAAAACTAAAAATAGAATTACCATATGATCCTGCAATCTCACTTCCAGATATATATCCAAAGGAAATGAAATCAGCATATTGAAGGGATATCTGCACTCTCATGTTCACTGCAGCATTATTCATAATAGCCAAGATGTGGAATCAACCTAAGTGTCCATCAATGGGTGAATGGATAAAGAAAATGTGATACCTGTCAATCTAAAGTTATGCCTTTCTGAATTACAGACCTGTAGACACATAGATAGAAATAACCAATGGACTATTATTCAGCCTTCAAAAAGAAAATCCTATCATTTGTGACAATATGGATGAACTTGGAAGACATTATGCTAAGTAAGATAAACCAGGCACAAAAAGGCAAGACATGTTATCACTTATAAAGGAGTCTAAAATAATCATATTTATATAAGAAGAGTAGAATGGTGGTTACCAGAGGCCAGGGGGCTGGGGAAATAGGGAGATGTTGATCAAAGGGTACAAAGTTTCAGTTCAACAGAAGAAATATCTTTTTGACATTTATTGCACAGCATGATAACTAGAGCTAATAATACTGTATATTTCAAAATTGTAAAAAGTAAATTTCAAATGTTTTCACCATAAAAAGATAAGTATTTGGTGATGGATATGCTATTTGGATTGATTTAATCATTTTATATTGGATACATATATCACAACATCACTTTGTACCCCATAAATATATGTAATTATAATTTGTCAGCAGCCAACAATTTGTTAATTGGTGACCGTGATGAACTGTCATAGTTAAGAGCTAGGGGTCTGGTGTGAGACCAAGTTTCCTCACCTGTATTTAGGGCTACAGCACCCCTCACTAGGTACTCTTCAATAGTCTTTTATATGGTTTCACTGCCTCCTGATCCAATCTGCTACATTGGTCTTCCACGCAATTGTCAAATTCATTTTCTAAAAATCAAGTCCTAAAATTCTTCCTCTGATAAAATTAGCTCTCCCTTACTGAGAAATAAAATTGCTTAAATTAGCTCTCCCTTACTGAGCAAATAAAATACAAAATCATTAGGATGACACCCATGACTCCGGCCATTGTTCACTTTTCTGGCCTTCTCTCTCAGCAACAGTTATACCTTTCTGAATAGAGAGTCCACTTCCATGTAAGGTAGTGGGCATGTTACAGGGAGTATCAATGCACCTGCTGGGTGACAGTTAAAGTTAATTCTGACTCTGTTTATGATCCCATTTGGGATAGTGAATAGCAAAAGTTGGATAGCAGGGGATCTGTTCTTCCAAACAGCTCTATTTCAAAACACTGCACCCACAGCTACTTGGTTCCTAAGCTCAAATAATGAGAGTTCAGGTAGCAAGGCACACCTCTATTTGAAAAGCAATGAAAATATTAGTATTGAAGTTAAATACTGAATTTATGAGAACTACTATAAACCTTCATAAAAGGATGACCCCTAAAGAAACTTGAATGTTCCCTGTATCATTACATAAGTTGAAAAAGTTAGGGTTAGGCATGAGGTGCTCTGTCTTCCCCAGAAACAAAAGGCTAATGGGGTGGGGGATGTTTCATGTACCTTCTTTTTGGCATCAGATTTGGTTTAAGTGTCATGAGTAGAGCCATGATAGAAGCAGAGGATGGGAAGGCAGGCTGTCTGACAGTCTATACCCCAATGATTACCAAAGTTCTGATTTATTACTAGCTTAATAATTCGTTTCTAAGAGTGTCCCAGGGAGAGAGCATAGGGAAAGTAGAATGCCACATACATAGAATATTAATGGGCTTTTCCATCAGCTGCTTCTAAGAGAGTATTCTCTTCTTAAGTAGCAGGTACTGGCTCAAAGAGTACATCTTTAAGATTCCAAGTACTAATGAAATGAAGAAGCTGGAAGGAAAAGCAAACATGTACCTTAAGTACTTTTTGAAGTATTAAAGTTTCAGAATGGCAGCAATCTTACTCATACTCCATCTTCTTGCAAAAAAAGGATCATGACTAAGTCTGAAAAGTCATCATTTCTAATCAAACGCAAGGAAAGCTGTATTTTAAACATTAAAAACTTTTTCATTTCTCCATTATCCAAAATGCTACCATAGCATTATTTCAAACTCTCACATTTCACATCTAAGAATCCAAATAAATCCTCTTATAGCTAAGTATTAATTAAACCATTTTTTCTTCTGTAGCTGTGGAATTTTTCCACATGAAATAACTATGCATGACCACTACTTCTCTAGCAATCAGAAAACCAATGAATATCAGTAAGTTTCCTTACGCTACTCAGGGTTAGGGCTAAAGCCAAGAATACACTTGAAATTCTTGGCCCTTGATCATAAGTTCAGACATTTCCAGGGTAAGCAGACTAAAACTGGACTAAGATGGCCAAAAATGATTCCTAATGGATCTCAGAGATCAATACTACACTAAGTAGAAGGAAAAAACTTTCCTGTTATGCCTGACAGCGTTTTTTATAAAGCTGTATATCTCAAAACAAAACATTTTAACCCTTTTAGACCATGCCTGGGAAAAAAATTATGTAAAGAAAACAATTTTTAAGTATATGCTATATGAAGAGAATTTTCAGATGAAATCTATCATCTGTAACAACCAGCACCACTCTTTTATGTTGGGATACTTCCGAAACAGCAGAGCACTTTCATGTATGTTATCTGGTAGCTGGTAGATGCTATTCTCACTTATGTTTTGCTAATAAAGAAACAAAGACTCACAGCCAATAAATAACGTGTTCAAGATCATCCAGCTGGGCTACAGCAGTGTCAGACCTTAAATCTAGGTCTTTTCACTCCAAATCCCCATATCCTCTCTCCCCTCCCAAGTCTTCAAATGAGCATAACTTCAAATACAAGTATTCCTTGCCTTCTCCCTGCCTCTCTCCCCTCATCTTCCCTGCACCGTTTGCAATGCTGTTGTCAGGACTCCACTCCACATCTAATCTAATTTTACTCAGCAATTTCAATGTAGGTATTCCTAATAAAAATTAAGGAGTTGATCCATGGATAAAAGTGGAAGTGGAATTCTAAAGAAGTTCATATTAAGGCATTTTTAACTTCTAGGACTACATAGATATTTATTATTATCTACATCTATTCAGCTCTTGAGTTAGCATATTGATTATTTGAGTCTCTTGGATTCTTGTATCTGGGATAGTGACTATCAAGAATTGGATACCAAGAGATCTGTTCTTCCAAATAACTCTATTTCAAAAACCCAATCTACTTGGTTCCTAAGTTCAAATACTGAGAGTTCATGTAGCAAGGCACACCTCTCCTTGAAAAGCAATGAAAATATTAGTATTTAAATTAATACTGACTTTATGAGAACTACTGTAAACCTTCAGAGAAGGATGACCCCTAAAGAAACTTGAATATTCTGTGTATCATATATTGGAAAACTAAGAAAAAAAAGTTAAGAAAAGATAGGCATAGTCACTATGTATCCCCTACCACAGTGAAGCTTCTCTCTCTATGAGATACTTACAAAGAACCTTGGCATTCCTCAAAGGAAAAACTGTTGGGAACACTTTTAGTGAGATAAATTTGGTCTTTAGTAGTCTGCTGAGAAAGCTGCAAATGATGAAACAGTGTATCTTTGCTGAAATCGTTGTAAATTTGACTATAATTTCATCTGTGGTAGGTGCCAAGAGGTGTGCATTTCCTTCCTGAATTTGGTAGACTTGCAATTTCTAGTTGATAGGTAAGAATCAACCTAAAGTAGTGATGGTGGTGAGTATGTATAGCTCAATATCTCAAAAATAAACTCAAATGTTAAATACCAGAGTACTACAACTAATAACCAGAACACATAGGTTCTAGTCTTTTCTGCCATCTTGACTTTGAGGTCACATTTCTTCAACTGTAAAATGAGGCATTAGCTTCGATGATATCTAAGATCCATCTCAGTTCTAAGATGCTCTGATTCTTTTTTTTGAAATTTTACTTTTGTTCTGCTTTTAAAACTTTAAAAAATGGTTATAAAAGCAACACAACATATTTGTTGTGATTTAAAAATATGTAGACAAATATAACTACGGAAATAAAAATTACCCATAATCCTACCCAGAGATAACTGCTAAACCCCATGAAAGAAATGTATGGAGTATTTTATAACCTGCTTTCATTTAACATATTTTAAACTTCTTGCTATGGCATTAATGTCTTCTGAAACATTGACTTTTAAAATAAATGGGCAAGGGTAAAAGGCAGGCATATCAGAATCACTCGGAGGTGTCCCAGGCAGTCATTCCCTGGTTTTCCTGTTCCCTGTTCACTCTGACAGGTTCCTGGGGGCTGCAACTCTTTCATTCAAAAGAGTTGGCAGTGGCCGGGCACAGTGGCTCACACCTGTAATCCCAGCACTTTGGGAGGCCAAGGCGGGCGGATCACGAGGTCAGGAGATCAAGACCATCCTAACACAGTGAAACCCCGTCTCTACTAAAAATACAAAAAATTAGCCAGGCATGGTGGTGGGTGCCTGTAGTCCCAGCTACTTGGGAGGCTCAGGCAGAAGAATGGCGTGAACCAGGGAGGCGGAGGTTGCAGGGAGGCGGAGGTTGCAGTGAGCCGAGATTGCACCACTGCACTCCAGCTTGGGCGACAGAGTGAGACTCTGTCTTAAAAAAAAAAAAAAGAGTTGGCATTAACTGTAATTTCCCTCAGGAGCATTAGGGAAGAATCAGGCTGAAGAGCACTGTCCTTCCAAAATCACTTTTAATGGCTACTAAGTTAGAATGAGTCATCATTTATTGATCAGTTCCCTTCACTGGATATCTAGGCTATTTTCCTTACTGTAAACATTGTAATGAACATCTGTGTAGCTCCATCTTTGTACATATCTGTAATGAAACCTGTGCACTTCCTCTTCGTTAACTAGTAATAAGGGACTGTTAAGTTGCAAAGTCTCTCATTCTGTTCCAGTGAAATCCTATTAAATATGAGAATCTGACATAAAAAGGAAGGATGAACCTCAATTAGGAAATGTGGTTACTCACCAGCATCTTTGATCCAATTATCATAAAGATGCACAGTCCTCGATGTAAGATCACTGAAGGCCATTTTCCACAGGATTTACTGGCTCTTTTAATGGGTTCTTCAGTAAAATAAAACAGAAATGAGTTTATAATCTATAAATGCAAATAAAGTCAAGCTTATAGTAATACATTATTTAAAATGCTAAAAATTTAATATGAATAACTGGCAAGACAACAAACTCCCACTGAAGGCAAATGCATAAGTAAATTACTTTAAACCCTGATGCAGTTGCAGACATTTCGGGTTTTCCATCCTTCTAGAGACACTGCTAACATCACTGAAAAAGACTAATATTCTATGTACAAGACTCAAAAGCAGTAAATGACTCTAAGAACTTTCATAGGAGCAGCTCCCTTTTATGCTGACAACATAATTCAGGAACGGACTGCACTTGAAGTGGCAAAGCTAAAGCAGAAACCCTGGAGAAGAAAGTCAAGAGATACACAAACTTTCAGAGAAGATAAACTGATCCTAGACTTAGAGCTCATCTTCAGGCCTCATAAAGTCATCTATATGCAAATTTTTATAATTTAAGTAGAATAGAGACAGAAAGAGGGAAAGGAAGGTCTATAATATCCAAGGAAAAGCTGCTTAGTTTATCTAGACAGATAGACAAGAATAACTGGAGAAAGAAATCTGAAAAAGAAGACCAGTGAGGAGAAACTAGCCTTATTATGTATTAAAAGATATTATAAATCTGCAATAATTAAGACACTGTGGCACTGGCACATGGAGAAACGAACGTAATAGATTAGAATGTTCAGAAATAAACTAAATACACTTGAAAATTGAGAACTATATTTCAGTAACTAAATATTTTAGTAACTAAAATATACCTAAGATGTATATTTTACCGTATTTTAACATCTGTAAAATCAGGACTCACCTTCCAAATGAATGGTATGCCATAAAATTACTGGTATATTTGATTCAAAGCCATGTGGTGGGAACATGTAAAAGTTCTAGAGATGATGGTGGTGATGGCTGCACAACAATGTAAATGTACTTAATGCCACGGAAATTCACACTTTAAAATGGTTAAAGTGGTAACCATTTAAATGAAAATATATATAAAATGGTGAAAATAATAGGTATATTTTACCATGATTTTTAAAAATTGGCCGGGTGCAGTGGCTCACACCTGTAATCCCAGCACTTTGGGAGACCAAGACAGGCAGATCACCTGAGGTCAGGAGTTGGAGACCAGCCTGACCAACATGGTGAAACCCCATCTCTACTAAAAATACAAAAACCAGCTAGGCGTGGTGACGGGTGCCTGTAATCCCAGCTACTCGGGAGGCTGAGGCAGGAAAATTGCTCGAACCCAGGAGGCAGAGGCTGCAGTGAGCAGATTGTGCCACTGCACTCCAGCCTGGTCCAGCCTGGTCCAGCCTGGGCAACAGAGTGAGACTTGGTCTTAAAAAAAAAAATCTTCTAGGGTTCCCACAAGAAAATTCAGACTTTCCTCTGGATTCTAAAGTAAAGCCATTTTACTTACGTAAGTATAGGTAAAATTATATATGGCATATGCTATATGATAAAGGTGGCATCTCCAATGATTGGGCACTGAATTACCAGACATTAATCACTAAATGGTGTGGCACACCTGGACAGCCATCCGAGAAAAAAAGGTTCAATCCAAGTGTTATAATATAAACCAAGATAAACTCCAAATAAAGCAAATATTTAAGTAAGAACAACAGAACCATGAAATCACTAGATGACATAGTAGAAGACTTTTATAACCTTGTAGTGGGAAAGGCCTTACTAACTAAGACCTAAAATTCAGAAGACATAAGAGAAGGCTAACAAATTTAATCATAAATGTCAAACAGTAAAAAATATGTTCAATTCATATCATAGACAACGGCTACTCTCCCTAATATATGACAAGTTTCTAAAATTGATAAAAGACCTTAAGTCAATAGGAAATGGGCAAAGTTCACAGAAAAGGAAATACAAGTGGCACTCAAACATATGAAAAGTTGCTTAACTAATCATATTTAAATAATCTGCAATATTTTTTGTCTATTGAATAGGCCAAAATTCAAACATTTTTTTTATCAAATGGGCCAAAATCCAGACAACCATTAACTGTGTTGGCAGGAGTGTGGGAAATTCTCTCTCTTCATGCATTACTAGTGGAAGTACAAATTAGTGTAACTCTTATTGAGGACAATTTGCCATTATCAGTCAAAATTATAAATGCATACTTTTAACACAGCATTTCTACTTCTAGAAACTTATCCTGTAGAAATACATACACATATTCAGAAGGGCATATATGCAAGTTTATTCATTGCATCAGTAAGAGCAAAAGACTGGAAACAACCCACATGTCTACTAATGGAGAGCTGGTTAATAAGTGATAACAGATTTAACACCATGAAATATTATGACATTGTAAATAAGAATGAAGAACCTCTCCATGTACTGATATGGAAATATTTCCAAGATAAATCACTATTTGAAAAAAGCAAAGAGCTGGGCGCAGTGGCTCACGTCTGTAATCCCAGCAGTTTGGGAGGCTGAGGTGGGCAGATCATCTGAGGTCAGGAGTTCGAGACTAGCCTGGCCAACACGGTGAAACCCTGTTTCTATAAAAATACAAAAATTAGCCGGGCATGGTGGCAGGCGCCTGTAATTCCAGCTACTCAGGAGGCTGAGGCAGGGGAATCGCTTGAACCTGGGAGGCAGAGGTTGCAGTGAGCCAAGATTGCGCCATTGCACTCCAGCCTGGGCAACAAGAGCGAGACACTACCTCAAAAAGAAAAGAAAAGAAAAAAACAAAGAAAGTACAAAATTTAAAAATGATGACCTTGTATATAAAAGGAGAAAAGTCTTATGAATATAATTTTACATTTACTCATAGTTGTATAAAAGGAACTCTTAAGAGGTAGACACGAAAAAGGGAATGGGGTACAAACTGGGCTGAAGGAATGGAAGAAAGATTTTATACTGTTGTTTTGTGGCTCATATAGATATTTTACCTATCTAAAAATAAAGAATAAAATCAGCTGTACCTTTACTGGAACATTCCTACTTAAAAACCCATATACAAATACACATATGCAGATACACCCAAAATAGAAATTTTGTCTAAATTCTTTAAGAGTTCATCCCCTCCAGAGGATTTCTCCAAGTCCAGGAAGGCATGTCAGCATGGCCTCTGTATTGATACACCCAGTCTTCTCAGCTGAGTTCAGACTCAAGACTGGCTGTGGTGATGCCAGGGTCTTGCCAGAGTCTGTCTGGACTCTTTATTTTCCTAAAAAATCATCTCTCATCTCTATAGCAAAGGTGTAATGTGGGGTTGTGAGCAGGGGCTCTCGGCTCACAACAACCTTAGTTTTTCAATCCCACCATTTAATAGCTGTGTGACTCCAGCAAAATTACAGCTCAATTTCCTAATCTGTAAAATGGGAATTCCATTAATTACCCACCAAGATAAAAGAAACTAACTCATAGAGTTGTTTTGAGAACCATATTAAATAATATATATTTGTAAGGTTTGTAGCACAGAATCTGATTTTTTAAAATGAGCATTCAATCAAACTTATCCTTTTGTTTTAGTTTTAGGGTGGTTGTTTTTGTCTGCTTTTTTGGTTTGGTTTTGTTTTCTGAGACAGGGTCTGGCTCTGTCACCCAGGCTGGAGTGCACTTAGAGAGCTTGACTCACTGCAGCCTCAACTGCCCAGGCTCAAGTGATCCTCCTGTCTCAGCCTCCCAAGTAGCTGGGACTACCAAAGCATGCCACCATGCCTAGCTAATTGTTTTATTTTTTGTAGAGATGGATTTCACTATGTTGCTCAGGCTGGTCTCAAACTCCTTGGGCTCAAGCAGTCCGCCTGCCTCAGCCTCCCAAAGTGCTGGGATTACAGGCGTGAGAAACCGCACCCAGCCAAAATCAGCCATTTATCATTTAGAGAGAGAAATTGTGCCAATTTATGGGTACATACAGACATAAAGATTAGACACTGGGGACTTCAAAATGGGGGAGGAGGAAGAGGAAAGGAGAGAGGAGGATGCAGTCTGTAAAACTTCCTATAGGTACTATGTTCACTATATGGGTGACAAGGGTAATAGAAGCTCAAATCTCAGCATCACACACTATACCCTTGTAAGAAACCTGCACGTGTACCCCCTAAATCTAAAATATATTTTTTTAAGTTGTGCCAATTTAGTAGGAAAACATCTGGCCATCTCATTACCTGGTACAGTTAAATGGCAGTTTATGGAACAAATCTAGAAAAAACTCTACTACTTTTACTTTAAGAGCTAGCATATAACAGATTGTATGATTCTTCCCTTTATGTCTTCCAATTGTCTTAGTATGAGTGTTTGAGACCACACAAAAAGCTACATTTCCCCCTCACCTTAACCACTGATATACCAGCCCTTGACCCATTATTCTCAAAATTAAACTACTGAAATAAGGCTCGTTAAGTTATTCAGAATCAGAGTGAAATATTCTAGTTTTACAAGCCATGTGGCAGGGTTAGAATTCAAAGTATTATTCTGTATCTGTGCGATTTTTTTCCTCTTCTTCTTTCACTGCCTCCACATAGGCCATTTTCCCCTCCCCAGTCCTCACCGAAGCACAAAGACTCAAAGAAACCACACTCTAATGCAGGTCAGAAATATTCACAGGCAGCCAAGAAAGCTGGTTTCTCCAATCCCAAAAACTATACAAGACTGAGACGAAGGAAGGAGGAAAGGCAGAGGAAGAACCCAAACTAGATGAGGCAGGAGTAGATGTCATCAAAGCCAGCAGGAGATGAAGGACTACAGAGTTATGAAAAAGATCCAGTAACCATAGCTTTTTGGAGTGTGGACTCCTCTCTCACTAATCCACTGCTTGTAGATAATCTGTTGTCCTGTCCATAGTCTTTACTATTTGTGGGCCCACCAGAAGAGAAGGAACATCCACAATTGCACAGGGATGGGACACAACAGAAAAACCTGATCCCCCTTACCTTGTTGGAACTGAACACAAACTACTGAGAATTTCCTTATGAGCTGAGAGTGATGGACTGGATGCCAATGTTACATTGTAGGGACTGACTGGTTTAGAAAACTGTTAACAACTGAATTATATTGCAAGTATAATGATACCCCTAGACTAGACCCAGACATATCTTTGCCTTCTTTTACCATGACTCATCATGGGCACTTGATTGCTAGACAATGGGCACATAAAGATAGGAGGCAAGCCTGGCATGGTGGCATGTGCCTGTAGTTCCAGCTACACGAGAGGCTGAGGTGGGAGAACTGCTTGAGCCTGGGCAACACAGCAAGACCCCATCTCTAAAAAAAATTGGAGGGAGCAATTTACTCCATGTGGTATAGGTGTATAGGTGGTAGAGATATCCTTTAGTTAACAGCAGAACCAGGACCCGAAAAGACAATTTAGAATATCTGATGGCAAAGAAGTTCAGACCTGGTGATGGCTTAAAAATCAAGGCTCTTGTATGAATGAAGCTCACCAGACTATTGAGCACAAGAGAACTGGATAGAGAAGACTAAAAATGATCTACAAACCTATCCCCTTGATGCATCCCTGCCTCATCCGAGGTCTGACCATGGCTGGCCTAAGTTTAGTGGAGGTGCCCCATAGTCTCAACATGGTCCACACAAACTTTTCATGGAGCAGAGAGCTGGAGCAGGGAGTTGGTTAACTGCTTGAGCTATTATGAGAAGACTGAAGAGATACTATCAAGAGTTTGAGGAGTGGGAGGCCCTTCAAGATGGGTCACAGGAAGCTTTGGTGTTCAGATTGTTTTTGGACAAGCACCCACTGTACCTCTCAATGCAGTAGTTAAAGAGGTTGGTGTTATGCCACAGAGGTTCAGAAACTCATCTCATATTTGGGTAACATGAACATGCAATTTCTCAAAGGAAGAGTGGTAATTCATAAATAGGATAATACTGCTACAGTTTTTTTTGCCCAGACCTGGAAGCCATGGGGAGAAAAATGGGCTCATGAGACTGAACTGCAGCATCTTCAAAGCGCTAGCTCAACACTGCCCTAAGCTAGCAGGCACCAAATATCAGGATGACATGTTGCTGCTTAAAGTAAAATCAAGTAGAGGAACTAGATTTGGGTTTGGGGGTAGCATACACAGAGCCCTGGAAACATTAAAGTTCAAGAACTTTAATCTGACAGACTCCTGATACCCAAGAAATGAAGCAGAGACTTAAAACTCTAAGCAAGGGTAATGTCTTATCCTGCTGCTAAGGGGATGTGGACCTCCTACAAAGTGAGCAGCAGAGGACAGAAGCAAGAGATCCTTGTCATTTTTCTGGGAGGACTCTCAGAGGACTTGTCTGAAATGATCTACTTGTAAGACTACAATAAAGAGGTGCCAGCTGCATACAATATCCAAGTCCTGGGGCCCATGATGGTGAAAAAGAAGAAAGTACACTAAAAAAAGAAGTATTGTACCATAACACTACCTGACTATATTTTTAGCAGTTGTTAGAGATCAGAGCTCAGCAATGAAGACATTGAGAGGTTGAGAAGAAGGTAATCACAAGAAAGCAGTGGCCCAGAATTTGGAGCTACCTTAGATTATAAGGCAGTAGAAAAATCACCACCCCTCCATTAAGGGTGGAAGAAACAAGAGAGATACTTCAGAGGAATAGCTAAGGCTCACAGTCAGAGCTCAGCCTGCCTCCAAAGGCCTGAAAAATGTATGGCAGGAGTAGAGTAAACAGGAGCTCACTCATGAGTACTGGTGCTGGTGTTTCATTGCCCCACGTCTGCAACTGCCCCATGAATACTGCTCCTTGATTTTGATAGTATCACATGACAACTCGGTCATTTGGTAACGAAGTGACTTAATTTGCCTCTTTAGACCCAAATTAAAGATGTCAGGTTCAAACATGAGAAATGCGCCTTCTTCGTAGAGCAGAAATCCCTTCCCATAGGGCAACCTACCTGGAGACTATTCAGAGCCACAAGCTGCCTACGTTAGCATGATGTAGACCTAATACCAGAACATACACAGTGTGCCTGGGCACCTGGTCACTTTGTCCTTTTTGCCCAAGTCTATCTCAACAGTGATCAGAAGGCAGAACTCTGGGAGAGCATCTGGTTGGAATTCACTCAGATGAGGATGGGACCTCAGATGTGCTTGCAGTGGGAAGCACCAGACAAGAGCCCAGAAATCATGGCCAACCATTTCCAGGTAGACTTTCAAATGTAGAGATTTATTCTAATTCTGCAACAGACATTGGAGACACTGTACCTGAGGGAAAGGAGTGGTAGAACCAGCACATGGCTTTCTAGGGCATACCTTTAATCCAGGAACACAGCTATATGGTTTTCTCTTTCTCTTTTGATGTTTGGGAGGTTCTGGCCTCCCCACTGATCTCTGCTTTAGGAATCAGATATCAGGGACAAACCTGGAAGAACAGAACTGGCTAGCCACAGATGCTGCTCAAGGGACCACACACTGAAATGAACTGCAGGAAGGTACCAACATAGGGATGGAGCTCTGTGGTGGAACTGGGGACTGCAGGGTAAAAACCAAATGCTAACCTTCCTATGGGAAGATTTGTCTGGCCTCATATGGGGGATGGGGTGTTTGAAACTTTACCCTTGTACAGAGTAAGGGAGGAGAAGGGTACAGGGCAAATCAAGCTATTCCGCAGAAATAATAAATCCTTAATAAAGAACGGATCAGAACATGCCTTCAAATGCAGAAGCTGTTGAGCAAAAGCAGTGTGGAGAATAAAAAGGCAAAGGCAGCTAACTGTGACTGATTAGATAGGGACAGGGAAGTCCAGATGTGAGTCAGAATGGGGCAGTGGGATCACAGCCCAGAGGGTGGTGAAAGCCTCCCCGAGAGGAAGGTACTGAGAGACAGGACTAGCTGGACTTCCTAGGCCGACTAAGAATTCCTAAGCCTAGCTGGGGAAGGTGACTGCACCGGCCTTTAAACACGGGGCTTGTAACTCAGCTCACACCCAACGAATCAGGTAGTAAACAGGGCTCACTAAAATACAAATTAACACTAAAAGCAGGAGATAAAGAAATAGTCAAATCATATATATCACCTGAGAGCACGGGGGAGGGACAATGATTGGGATATAAACCCCAGGCATTCCAGCAGGGAGCGGCAACCTCTTTGGGTACCCTCCCATTGTATGGGAGCTCTGTTTTCACTCTATTAAATCTTGCAACTGCACACTCTTCTGGTCCGTGTTTGTTCTGGCTCAAGCTGAACTTTCGCTCACCATCCACCAGGGCTGAATGCCGATGTCGGAGACTCGCCACTGACTTCCAACCCTCCGGATCCGGCAGGGTGTCCACTGTGCTTCTGATCCAGTGAGGCGCCCATTGCCACTCCCAATCGGGCTAGAGGCTCGTCATTGTTCCTGCATGGCTAAGTGCCCAGGTTCATCCTAACCAGGCTGAACACTAGTCGCTAGGTTCCACGGTTCTCTTCCGTGACCCACGGCTTCTAAAAGAGCTGTAACACTCACCGCATGGCCCAAGGTTCCATTCCTTGGAATCTGTGAGGCCAAGAACCCCAGGTCAGAGAACAAAAGGCTTGCCGCCATCTTGGGAGCAGCCCGCCACCATCTTGGGAGCTCTAAGAACAAAGATCCATGCACGGTAACAGTATTGTATAGACAGTCTCTCTCTGGGTTATGACCCTAGAAAATCAGAGGCCCCAAGTCTCTGCTCCTACCATCTTTGGCAGGAAAAATCCCTGAGATAAGTAATAAACTTCTTAGTAAGAATTCAAAGGTTGCTAGGGAAACTTCCACCTAGATATTAATCCACACATTTCCTAGTATTTCCTTCCTCATCTGTTTTCTCACTGGAACTGGTTCCCCACTCTCGTCCCCATCCTTTATACTTTAGCAGAAACAAAATCTCAAAGAGGCTGTGAGGCTGGAGGAAAGTGACCAGCAGCTCTGAAGTATATTAAAACATGGGGGATGACTATAAAGTAATTATTTGTTTAAAGCAGGATTTCTCAACCTCGACAGTATTGATATTTGGGGGCAGACAATTCTTAGTTGTGGGGAAGTGTCCTGATTATTGTAGGATGTTTAGAACCACAACTTGGCTTCCATCCACGAGTGCCAGGAACAAGTCGTCCCCAGTTGAGATGATCAAAAACATTTCCAGAAATTGCCAAACGTCCCCTGTGGGGCAAAATCCTCCCAAGTTGAGAACTATTGTTCTAAAGGAAGCTACCAACATGTATTCATTCAAATAAAAGTTTGCTTCAGCGTAATCACTTTGGCAATTACACATTTGTGTGAGTGATACAGTCATCAAAACAATTTTTGAGCTTTTCTTTAAAAATCAACTTGAGTTTTTCAGAATTTCATTTAAATGGTTTTAAAGGAGGAAAAATCTTTGCCTACTGCTTCTACACAACAAGTTCATAACTAATCAAAAGTTAAGGTTGGTTTAGAGGCAAATGGATCAAGTGGAGCTGTATTTTAATCAATGAAGTGGGAAAGGGTGGGGAATAGAGCTGGGTTTAATGAAAAAGTAATTTACTACGGACATTTTCAGCTTATGGTTTATAAAACAAGAACAATTCCAAAAACAACTTGGGAAATGTTTGGGGCTATGGCAATATTAGTGGAAAAGATATATAGTAGTCTGAAGTGAATATTTTTGAGGAAACACTCATTTAGATGTATATATTCCAGCAGAATAGTTTATCTGCTGGAATTGTCACTTATTATAACTCCAATTAAAAGGAAGCAAACCTAGAATGTGGAACAGCCTCAGTAAAAAATTATTTCAAATGACAAATTTTCAAATTTGCTAATTATAACACATACGCATGTGTGTATGCGGCAATATATACATACTATACACACACACATTACAGAAGCAAAAATACATGTCCATTCCACCTATTACACAGGATTTTGTGTTTTGTTTTGATGGCTCATGTATACTAACCCACATTTCTCCTTGGTATTTTATGTATCACCCTCCATTCTCTTTTTGCCATTTCTCTCCATTGAATAGGTTGTTCACACTGCCTTGGAAGTAAAAGAGAACAGCAGAAAGCAAAGAAAGTTTTGTCTTAGCTTTTGGGTTACAAAAGCTTAGGCACTTAGCCATACAGAACACAGGGCAGAGACAAGAGGTGCCCATGCCTCCTGGCACAGAAAAGCATCCTTCAGGCTTGAGGGAAGGAGAGTCCGAGGAAAGGAGTTAGTACAGATCCCAGAGAGAAAGGTAATAAGCCCTGAGGAAGTGCCAGGTAGGATAACAGGAGGCAAGAGCAGGAGAGGTCAGGCACTATTGCCTGGGCAGAGTTGGGACAAGTGGCCAATGGGACTTTAGGCAGCCAGTGAAAGTTTCTTTTGCTCCAGTCTGGTGCAAGTGCAGTACAAGGACATCTGAGCACCCCCAATAGGCATGGAAATGGGAAAGGAAAATATCTTGGGCCCCCAAAGTCACTAAAGGGAAAAAGCAGCTGGGAACTGCTTAGGGCAAACCTGCCCCCAATTCTTTTCAAAGTTATCCTCTGCTCACTGAGATAAATGCATACCTGATTGCCTCTTTTGAAAAGGTTAATCGGAAACTCAAAAGAATGCAAGCAACCCTTTGTCTCTCACCTACCTGTGACCTGGAAGCCCCCTCCCTGCTTCGAGTCTTCCTGCCTTTGCTTTGAGTTGTCCCGCGTTTCCACACCAAACCAATGTACTTCTTACATACATTGATTGATGTCTCATGTCTCCCTAAAATGTATAAAACTAAGCTGTGCCCCGACCACCTTGGGCACATGTTGTCAGGACCTCCTGAGGCTGTGTCACAGATACGTGTCCTCAACTTTGGCAAATAAAGTTTCAAAATTAACTGAGAAACCTTTCAGATTTTCTGGGTTTACGGAAGTATTGCAGAAGAGCCATAGAAAATGAAGAAGTCATAAAAGTAGAAACAACATACATCTCTTCAGATCTGCAAGCACAAGTGGTCAAAGACGTGATGGGACCCTGGATATCTCAAAGGATGGCAATGTAGACAGAGAACATGGAGGATTAAAGGGCTCCTCCTCCCAATTACCTTGATACTACAGAAGCTTTTTTAACTTGCTGAGGGTGGAGGGGAGGTGCTTAGAGATTAAAGTGGACTAAAATAGTTTTCTACCACCTCAAGGAATAAAAGTTTGAAATAAAAATAAAGCTGTAAAAAAAATTATTTTCTTATATCAGGCCAAATAGACTTTAAGTCAAAAACTGTCACAAGAGATAAGATCATTATATGGTGATAAAGGGGTCAATTCATCAAGAGAATATAACAATTATAAATACATATGTACCCAACATAGTAGCACCAAAAATAATGCAAAGATTAATAGATCTGAAAAGAGAGAGAGACTACAATACAATAATAGTAGGGGACTTTAATGTCCTACTTTCAACATTGCATAAATCATGAAGACATAAAATAAATAAGGAAACATTGAACTTGAAGTACGCGTTAGACTAAATGAACTTAACAGACATGTGCTGAACGTTCTATCCAACAACAGCAAAATACACATTCTTCTTAAGTGTACACAGAACATTCTCCATGACAGATGATATATTGAGCCACAAAACAAGTTTTACCAAATTTAAGATGACTAAAATCATATCAAGCATCTTTTCTTGTCACAATGGTGTGAAACTACAAATCAATAACAGGAAGAAAACTGGAAAATTCACAAATACATGGAAAGTAAGCAACATGCACCTGAACAACTCATGGTCAAAAAAGAAATCAAAAGGGAAATTTAAAAATATTGAGACAAATGAAAATGAAAATACAACTTACCAAAACTTATGGGATGCCACAAAAGCAGTTCTAAGAGGGAAGTTTAAATGCCTATAATAGAAAAGAAAAAAAACTTCAAATAAATAATTAACATTACACTTCAAGAAACTAGAAAAAGAAAAACAAAGTCAGCAGAAGCAAGAAAACAATATAGATTAGAGTAGAAATAAAGGAAATAAAGACTAGAAAAACAATAAAAAGATCACCAAAACTAAGAGCTGGTTATCTAAAAAGTTCAACAAAACTGACAAACCTTTAGCTGCACGAAGGAAAAAAAAGAGTATTCATAAATAAAATTGGAAATGAAAGAAGAGACATTGCAACTGAGACCACAGAAATGCAAAGGATCATAAGAACTACTGTGAAAAATGATACACCGACATATCCCAGAATAAATGGATACACTCCTAGAACATATAACCTTCCAGGATTAAATCATGAAGCGGGAGAAAATCTAAACAGACCAACAAGGGTAAGGAGATCAAGTCAGTAATCAAAAACCTCCCATAAAATAAAAGTCCAGGACCTGATAACTTCACTGTTAAATTCTACCAAACATTTAAAAAATAACTAATAGACCGGGTGTGGTGGCTCATGCCTGTAATCCCAGCACTTTGGGAGGCTGAGGCGGGCGGATCACCTGAGGTCAGGAGTTCGAGACTAGCCTGACCAACATGGAGAAACCCCGTCTCTACTAAAAATACAAAATTAGCCGGGCATGGTGGCGCATGCCTGTAATCCCAGCTACTCGGGAGGCTGAGGCAGGAGAATCACTTGAACCTGGGAGGCGGAGGTTGCAGTGAGCTGAGATCACGCTATTGCACACCAGCCTGGGCTCAAAACTCCATCTCAAAAAAAAAAAAAAAAAAAAAAAAGTATAACTAATAGTGATTCTTCTCAAACTCTTCGAAAAAAAAATGAAGAGGAGGGAATACTTCCTGAACTCATTTCATAAGGTCAGCATTACTCAGATACCAAAACCAGACAAGGACACTACAAAAAAAGAAAACTTCAGGTCAATACCCTTGATGAACATACTGGCAAAAATCCTCAAGATAATACAAGCAAATCAAATTCAGTAGCACATAAAAAGGATCATTCACTATGATCAAGTGGGATTTATCCCTAGGATACAAGGATGGTTCAACAAATGCAAATCAATAAATGTGATATACCACATTAATAAAATGGAAGACCAAAACCACATAATCATTCCAATCGATGCAAAAAGAGCATTTGACAAAATTCAGCATCCTTTTATAATAAAAACTCAATGAATTCAGTTTAGAAGAAACCTCAAAACAATGAAGGCCATATATAAAAAGCTAACATAATACTCAGCAGTAAAGAGTTGAAAGCTTTTCCTCTAAGATCAAGACAAGGATGCCCACTCTCACCACTTTTTTTGTTGTTTGTTTTAAAAAATAGAAATTTATTTCTCACAGTTCTAGAGGCTGGAAGTTCACGATCAAGGTGCCAGCAAGATAAGGTCTCATTCTGAAGTCTCTTCTCTTGGCTTGCAGGTAGCAACCATCTCACTGCGTGTTTGAATGACCTCTTTGTTGTGCCCTCACCACTTCTATTCAACATAGTAGTCTTCCCTCCATATTCATGGGTTCTGCATCCATGGAATCAGAGGGCCAATTGTACATATTTTCAATCCACTGTTGGTGGATGTGGAATCCTCAGTTATGGAAGGTCAACTGTATTACACCATTAAGCATTCTAATTTTTAAAAATGTTTTACCGATTTATGTATTTATTTGGAGACAGGGTCTCATTTTGTCACCAAGGCTAGAGTGCAGTGGCATGGTCATGACTCACTGCAGCCTTGATCTCCTGGGCTAAGGAAATTCTCCCACTATAGCCTCCCGAGTAGCTGGGACTACAGGCATATGCCACAATGCCTGGCTAATTTTTTATTTTTTGTAGAGATGGGTGTCTTACTATGTTGCCCGGGCTGGTCTCAAACTCCTGAGCTCAGGTGATCCTCCCACCTTGTCCTCCCGAAGTGCTCAGATTATAGGCATGAGCCACTATGCCTGGCCTGGACTAGAGGAATCTCGGATTTTGGTACAGGGTCCTGTAACCAATCCCCCACAGATGTGAAGGGCTGACTGGAGGATCTAGCCACAGCAATTATGCAAAAAAGAAATAAAAAGGCATCCAAATCAGAAAGGAAGAAGTTAATGTGTCTCCTTGCAGCCAATAGGGTCTTACAACTAGAAAACCCTAAAGAGTACCAGGTGTGGTGGCTCACATCCGTAATCCCAGCACTTTGGGAGGCCAAGGCAAGGGGATCACTTGAGCCCAGGAGTTGAAGACCAGCATGGGCAACAAAGTGAGCCTCCATCTCTACAAAAAAATTAAAAAATTAGCCAGGCATGGTGGCGCACACCTGTGGATTCAGCTATACAGGAGGCTAAGGCAGGACGATGGCTTGAGCCCGGGAGGTCAAGGCTGCAGTGAGTCATGATCGTGTCACTGCACTCCAGCCTGGGTGACAGAACAAGATCCTGTCTCAAAAAAAAAGAAAAAAAAATGAAGAAACTAGAACAAAGCGAGCAGAAGGAAGGATAAGCAGCTTGCTGAGTCTGTTCAGTCTTTCTTCCCTTGCAGGACGCTTACTCCATCTCCTCCTGCCCTTGAATGTCAGATTCCAGGCTCTTTGGCCTTTGGACTCTGGGAACTTGCACCAGTGGCCTCTCAGGGGCTCTCAGGCCTTTGGCCTCAGACTGAGGGCTGCACTGTTGGCTTCCCTAGTTTTGAGGCTTTTGAACTTGGACTGAGTGACACTACTAGCTTCTCTCTCTTTCTCCAGCTTGCAGATGGCCTATTGTTGAGACTTTGCCCTGTGAGCCAATTCTCCCTAATAAACTCTCATATATATATATATATATATATATATATATATATATATATATATATATATATATATACACACACACACACACACATATATCCTATTGGTTCTGTCCCTCTGGAGGACTCTAATACAGACTTGTGAGTTTGTCAAGTGAGATTTGAAACCATTTACTTTAGGTATGGGATTGGGTCAGTACAATTTTTCTTTTATATCCCTTATGTCAGTGGTTCTTAAACCTGGTTGAAAATCAGAATCACCCAGGGAGAGATTTGGATTCAGTTAATGTTTGGGAAAATTCTGATGGGCCAGGTTTGAGAATCTTTTCTTAATGCTTCATAAATCATTCTCAGACATGACGACACCCATGACAACATGAGCAACAGGCATAAAATACATGACAAAGGATTCAGTTAAAGAAGGTCACTCAGGAACGATAAGGCATCTGGGTCAAGAAGGGCAGGAATAGGAGGTGCAATCAATGCTGGAAAAGATTAATCTAGGATTTCAAAAGAACTCACAAGAGATGTGAAATATGGGGACAGATCTTTGAATCAGCACATATATCCAGGATGTAAACTAACCTTTTATATCTGGGACGACTGCTTGAAGTTCCTAAGTATCTGTGAAAGAGAAAATCACTACTATATCTTATATCTTAGTAAATTACAGAAAATTAGACCATAAGCCTTGTCATTTAGGCAAACAAAATTGATGAAGAAATGTCAAAGATACTAAACACCTAACTTTCTATTTTTCAAATGGCAATGTTACAGAATCAGGGAAGATGCTTTCATTTGCAAGTAACAGAAAACTCATAATGGCTTAACCAGTAAGGGGATGTGTTTTCTCATAGTATAAGAAGTCCAAAGATATGGCAGTTCTCCTGAGTTGGCAAAATTCTCTTTTGTCATTTTTACGGAAAAAGACAGTAGCAACCCTTCCAAATAGCACATTCTCATACACCTTTATTTAGAGCAGTGAAAGGGAACTTCTTTGTGTCTCTTTTTGGGAGCTTCAAAATCCTTCTCAATCCTCCTCCAGAGGCCCTTAAATGTCCCTTCCCAGAATTGCATCACATGCCAACATTTAAACCACGCACTGAAAACAGCAACAACAACAACACTGGGACTGCAGTGATTCCTTGGTTAATCTACATTATATTTACCATTCCATCCCATCCCACAAGTCACAAGGGGAAGCACATGACCTCAGGGAGAAAGGAGAATCCCAGAATAAGGAAGAAGAGTGGGTAGCTCACATGGAAGAAGGAAGGTTGAGAGACAATGTTGGCTGTAGCCATGACACAGAGATTACTCTGCAGTGTCATTTCAAGTATAAACTGAAGCTGACAGCCTGAGCCTATCCAAGTGATCTCTACCTTTCCTGCTGATAGGTGCTCAGGATAAACTAATCTTGATTTTCGTTTAAACAAAGCATGATTAATAAGTGAATATGTTAAGTATGCCTGATAAACATACTTTGCAACACCATATAAGACTTGTTAGTGAATTACATACCTGCTATTTAGAAGTATCTTGTGCCATTGTCTCTCTGATACCCATAACACACTATAAACCTAAACACAGACAGCATAGGGTTGGGCTACTACTTGTAATTGTTGTTATATCACTTCCATGAACTCATGTTGTTCTGATGGGTATACAACATATTTAAATAAAATAGATGTTTCCCATCCCCCAATAACAATGACATAATAGAACATATTACCACATTTTCTATATGAATTAACTCAGGTCTGTCTTTCAATCAAGTTTAAGAGTAGTCATTTCCACGTCAAACAGAACCTCAAAACAAGTATTTTTACCATCCTTTCCACTCCCTACTACTCCATTATTTCATCTCAATTTTCACTTCCTCATTTTCCCTTCATAAAGGGATTAAGACTTAAATGCCTCTAGAAAAGATAATATATGTGCATGACCCACCAAAGTAATTCAGATTCCATTTCTGTTTGGCACAAGCTCTTCAGTATAATCATGACTCTTGAGTTTGAGCAGAGGCAAACAAACTAGATGTTCACTCACCAACCTCAACATGTTAACGTGACAACTTGTAAGAAATGAAGGAGTCCTAGAAGCCAATGATATAGCAACAGGCCCCAGTAGAAAATACAATTCACGTAAAAACCTTAGCACGAGTGCTAAACATTGTGCTACTTAATTGCGCTTATTTTTACTCTTATTGATAATAGAGGGCCTCTGAATCTAAGCAGAGCAATCAGTATCCTTCTGGAGTCTCTGGTCCTAACTCATCATTCTATAATTGGAGAGACAGGGCAAACTTAGAAAAGAGTCAGAGAATCTTTAGGGGAAATAAAGGACCCACTGAAGTTGCCATCACGTATAAGCTCAGTGCTAGGCAGTGCGGAATGGGAGGATAAAGACAAGGGCCCTACTCTCAGGCAGCCTCAACATGTGCAAAGAGTCTAGACTCTGGGATGAATAAATGTGAGTATTAAGAAAAGCATCTTAAAAACTGTACAGATGATAGTGACCACTGGGACCAACTGGGAAGTCTCTCTATCAGAAGAAGTGATAAGTACCCCAAAGGCAGTTTAATTCTTGTTTGTAATTTAAGTGCTAGGACTTCAATAGTCCTAGTCTCGAATAGAACAAGTGCTTAAGAAATATCTGCTGAATGAATTTAAAGATGTTGTAAACTCAGAAAAATAAGGGAAAGCAAGAGGGACAGACCAAATGCTCCATTTCTTAGGCCTTCTTCCCCACTTTTTTGAAACAAATACAAAATACTCCTCTCATTCATTTTCTCCTCAAACACAAATTAACTTTTAGGCATCTATTATTGTGCAAGAAAGTGCTAAGCAAGACACAATATTATTTTTAAAATATGGTTCCTAAATTCAAACAACTGAATCTGGCAGGTAAAAGGCACCTACTCAGATTTCTACAATGCGAAGCAGAATGCAGGGGCATGCAAACAGTTCACACAGACTGCAAAAGTCTTTAGGAATGAAGAGTCACATCTGTATCCACATGTGACCTAGAAGAAAGGCATAATGGAGGAAAGTGTACATGAGCTGAGCCCTGGGAATAAAATTTCAACAGGGCAAAAATGTGCACAGCTGAGAGAAAGGAGAGGCCTGCACTGCAAGTAGAGAAAATTCATTCGCTTATTCAACCAATATTCTGAAGTATATGTTATAGGCCAAACACTTTTTTAGGTGACAATGATACAGTAGGAAACAAAACAAAAATCCTGGCTTCATGAGATTATGAAAAGTTGCAGATGTGTCTCCAAAATGTTTGTTACTACAACTTGGTAACATACAGGGCTAAGGATGGAAACAATAGGAAGATCAAGACAGGAAAGGTAGATTACAGTGGTGGCACCTGATTCTGGAGGAACCAAAGGCCAGCCAGGCTAAATAATTTTTTTAGAGTTAGTTCTGTTGACCATGAGGAGTCATTACAGGTTTCTCAACTGAGAAATGTCTTAATCAATGTGGTGCTTTGAAAAGATTGTCTGGGTGGTGGAATCCAGGGCTGGGTAACTAAGGGTGTGGTTTAAAAGCAGGGAGAGCAATTACACACTATTGCATCTATTGGGAAGGATCCAGCATAAGCCAGTATTGCATCCTACTGGGAAGGATCCAGCATAAGCATCACTTCCTCTGAAATGTCATTCTTGATTCAGCCAGTCAGGGCTAGGTGTGCCACTAAGGTATCCTCAAAAGAATCTCTCATCTATGGGATCACTTCCTGTATATAGTATTGCAAATCTATTCTTATCTTTTCTACTCATGAAGAGGAAAGAGACTGAGCCTCATTATGTCCATATTCCCAGGGCCTAGACCAACGCCTGGCATGTAGCAGGAAACATGTGTGATATGAGTAAATATCCAAGTGTTATGGATTGAACTGTGTCTTCCCAACATTGTATGTTAAAGTCCTAACCTCCAGTTCTTCAGGATGTGACCTTATTTGGAGAAAGAGTCTTTCCAGAAGTCATCAAATTATAATGAGGTCATTAGGTGGTCCCTAATCCACTATGACTGGGGTCTTTATAAAAAGGGGAAATTTAGACACAGACATGCACACAGGAAGAGCACCCACCTATAAGCCAAGGGAGAGGCCTGAACAGATCCTTTCCTCAAAGCCCTCAGAGAGAACCAACCCTAACAACACTTGGATTTCAGATTTCTCATCTTCAGAACCATGAGGTAATAAATATCTGTTGCTTAAACTACCTAGTTTATGGCACTTTATTACAGCAGCTGTAGCAAACTAATACACCAAAGTGAAGATGTTCACTCAACTTGAAGAAAAATCCAGAATTGGAGCCCAGGATTAAAGCCAGGGTTACCTATAAAAAGAGGCAATCATTGTCATGGGAGCAGACTAAATCTCTGTGAGAAATAATATAGAAGGAGACATGGCAAAGGGCAGCACTCAGGGGACACCCATGTTTAGGAATCAGGAAGAGCAGCTGAGACAAATTTAAAGAAGCAACAGCCAGAAAGGTGCAGAAGGAAGCTGCCTGGTAGGAGCTTCAAATACTGCAAAAAAAGAAAAAGAAATGATGAAAAAAAAAGAGTAACAGAAATTTATTGTCTCACAGTTCTGGATGCTAGAAGTCTAAAATCAAGTGTTGGTAGGGTTGGTTCTTTCTGAGGGCTGAAGGAACTGTTTGCGGTCTCTCTCCTTGGCTTGTGAACTGCCATCTTTATGTTCACAGGGAGGCAGCCCCTCAGGGAACACCCATGCTGGGGAAATAGAAAGAGAATCCAGGGACAAACATAAAGAAGCAAGTCAGAGAGCTGCAGAAGGGAGCTTCTACTTTGGTATTGGTAGCAGCTGCAAATACAGAAAAAAGAAAAATAAATGGTCAAAAGAAAAACTGCCCACAGAATTTCACAGAGGCAACCAAATAAGGAAGGGCTACATACAAATGTTCTAAATTGCAAAACGCTGTGGCCCAGGAAAGGGTCGGGAGCAGAGTGGCATCTACAACACGGCAGGGTTCCTAACCCAACATGGCCTCTTCCCCCAGCTGCACTGGGGATGCAAAAGAGCCTGAGAAGCCTCACAAGTAACCTCACATCGGAGGAGAAGCAAACAGACTAACAATCCTAATTTTGTTTTTTTTTTCTCCAGGTGGTGAATGGTACAACAGGATTGATTCTGATTATGGAAACTCCATACACTGGTGAACAGATAAAAATGCCTTAAAGGGAATGGGATGCAACCTATGAGGTGGAATGAATCTTGCTATGAATATTGAACACTACAACTCAGGTTCCTGAATTCTTCTTTTTTTCACTTTCCATGTCCTTGGGCTACAGGAAAAAATGACTATAAACTGAAATTATCAGCCCTCAAACTATTGCTCAGTGAGAAAAAACAAACTGGCTCAAAAACACTGAGGGAAAGAGACAGCAAAGCACCCAAACTGTATCAGACCAAGTATGTGGTCTGACCAGAAGTGCCCTAATATTCATTTGATGAAAAAAAAAAAATCACTAGAAAACTTTACAAATAAACTGTGGGGGGAAAGAAACCAAAGCAAAAAGGACACAGCAGACAAAAAAGAACCCAGAACAACAAAAGGTAACTAAAGGAACAAAAGGAAATTCTCCAGAAGGGTTTTGAGTTAAAAACATGTATTCATAAAATGATAAAAGAATAAAATGGGGCCGGGCGCGGTGGTTCACGCCTGTAATCCCAGCACTTTGGGAGGCCGAGGCAGGTGGATCACAAGGTCAGGAGATCGAGACCACCCTGGCTAACATGGTGAAACCCCGTCTCTACTAAAAATACAAAAAGTTAGCCGGGCATGGTGGTGGGCACCTGTAGTCCCAGCTACTTGGGAGGCTGTGGCAGGAGCATGGTGTGAACCCGGGAGGCAGAGGCTGCAGTGAGCCGAGATCATGCCACTGCACTCCAGCCTGGGCGTGAGACTCCGTCTCAAAAAAAAAAAAAAAAAAAAAAAAAAAAAGAATAAAATGGAATGGGAGACTGTAGGACCAATGAAACAAATTGAGGACCAAAGCTCATTAGCACACTAAAAGATAAATCAGAAACAGCCAGAAACAGAGTATTCACAACCAAACAGTGATTTCTAGGTATAGAAGAAAACCTGAAGTGTTCAAATGAAAATGATAAAGGTTAAACTAATAGAAAAAAAAAAGAAGGGCAAAGATGATCCCATAAAAGGGTAATTGGTCTTTCTAAAGTACACGATTCAACAAAAGAAAAAGTAACATATTCAAATACATGACAAAAAATAATTTCCTACTGACTTTATAGACAGACTGAGAAAACAAGGTTGTAAGATAATCTGATGCATAACAATCAATAGCAAGACAAATCCTGGTTAAATTGATGAACTCAAAGAATAAGAAAAAATTCTTATGCATCTATGCAGAAAAATCAAATTAAAGAAATCAAAGAAAACCTAAATAAATGGTAAGTGATACCATGTTCATGGTTTGGAAAACTTAATATTGTTAAGATATCAATTCTCTTAAATTGGTCAACACAATTCCTATTAAAATCCCATATACTTAGCATATGACCCAGCAATTTTACTCTTAATATTAACCCAAGACAAAGAAATACTTATATTCATTCCAAAACTTGTACATGAATGTTTATAGTGACTTTATTCATAGTCACCCAAAATAATAAACAACTGAAATTTTCTTTGACTAATAAATGGATAAACAAACAGTGGTATATCCATTCAATGAATTACTACTCAGCAATAAAAAGAAAAAGGCTGCTGATACAACATGGATGAATCTGAACTGTATTTCTGTTAAGTGAAATAAGCCAGACTCCAAAGAATACATACTATAAAATTCATCTATGAAATTCTGGAGAAAGCTAAACTATAAAGTTGGAGAACATGTCAGAAGTTGCTGGGGTTGGAGGATGGAGGGGAGTTCATTACAAAGTGCAGCACAAGACAATTCTGGAGGGTGATGGAAATGTTATGAGAACAAAATGGTTTTTTCTTTAAAAAATAATATTAAGAGACTGGTAAAATGTTGACAATTTTTGAGAATGGTTGATGATAGTACATGGGTGTTAATATCTACCTCTGTGTATGTCTGACAACTCTATTTTAAAATGTTTAAAAATGAAAGAAAGAAAAAGAATGTTAAGATGACAACTGGTATTGGTATGTCGAAGAATCTAAGGAAGAAAACTAGTTCTCCAGTGTTGAGTGAATATGGATGAAGAAAAAACCTACTGAATTTTGAAACTAGCTAAATTTATAAACTTCTACAGTATAATACACAGTTGGGTGGCAGAAATCAAACCCAGGCCCCAAGGAGTGAGGAGGCATTGAAAGTAGCTAGTCTTGATAAATATAAATTTATCCCAGAGGAAGGTTTGAATGGAAGGACTTCTAGAGCTTGTCTAGCTGTGACGACTGAGGTTCTGAAGGATTTTCCAATAAAGAGTTGGACCCAACACTCAGCTCAACTGACTTCTGGGATCACTCCCTTTCTATGACCCAGTTACTCAAGATACTTATTTATAGGAGGAAGAAAGAAGATAGTAGAGTGAAGGACAGATTTATTTCAAGGACAAAAACATCTTGAATACATTTGTAAGGCCAAGAAAAGTTGGTGGAAGAGGAGAAGCTGAAATTGCATGAGTGTTTATGTATATGCCTAAGGCAAAAGCTTTGATTTCACAGGAAATCAGAAAAAAAGTAGGAAAATAGAGAAACCATAGCCTCACATTGGAGGAGAAGCAAACAGACTAACAATCCTAATTTTTTTTTCTCCAGGTGGTGAATGGAACAACAGGGTTGATTCTGATTATGGAAACTCCATACACTGGTGAACAGATAAAAATGCCTTAAAGGGAATGGGATGCAACCTATGAGGTGGAATGAATCTTGGTATGAATATTGAACTCTACAACTCAGGTTCCTGAATTCTTCTTTTTTTCACTTTCCATGTCCTTGGGCTACAGGAAAAAATGACTATAAACAAATTATCAGCCCTCAAACTATCGCTCAGTGAGAAAAAACAAACTTTATCTTGCCTGCCTGCTTTGCATTTGTGGCCAGTGGAACTTCACTTGAGGCTTGTTAACACAAATGAATCTTTGAATGTTTTAGGTACTTAAGAAAATGGAGCATTTCTTATAGTATGAAGGAAAACATTTGTGGGCAGAAGAACTAAAAAAGCAGGTTGGCCCAGTTTAAGGCAGTACCCCTAGGATCCTCCTCCTGCTATATTTCAATACTTAACACACACCTTCATTTCCCATTCATGGGTGAGGACATGGACACTGGAATCACATACTGAAGGGAAAGGGAGATGATGAATTCATTCATTTATTAAAGGCTTTTCATGTGGATTTTTCTAAGCCCACTGCTTATCTAAATTTCTGCTTAAAAAGCTTCTACAGAGAATTCATGTTAGAAACATTATTTTATTCAAAACTGATGATAGATTTGCCCATTACCTATACATGATTATTCTGTGGAATCAATTACTAAATTATACAAATATGCAATCCTACAGCACATTATATGTAACCAGTACTGATATTCCACTCTTGTGCTTTAGGACAGGCAGGTCAGTTTTTCAGGGCTGGCATCTGATCTGATTCATTGGACATCCATGCCACACTAGTTATTAATATTTTGGTTCTAACTCCTGCACATACCTCTATATTTGGGAGTCATTATACTGCATTTCATTTGTGGATATGTTTTACCTCACCTAGAATTTTGTAAGTTCTTGTAGGGTAGGGTGGAAGGGCTTCTTAAGCAAATTTGTATTGTGCACAGTACCGACCCAGGGGAGGTGAGTCAAGGACTAAATATCCATGGCATTCGTCAATCAGTAAAGAAATTCTCATAGCTGTACTGGGCAGTAAGAAGGCCCAATTTTCTCAGTTTCAATTTTAACTTAGAAGAGTAAGTAAATAAGGTATATTTATCTGTAAATAATTCACATGACCAGGTCAACCTCTCAACTTTCTGTTGTCTAACTGTATTCTATTTGTGCTTCTGCCCTTTACTGAGAGGCTGTATTTATCTTCTCAAAAGATCTTCTTTACTGAGATTTGATTCTCAAAAACTTGAGGAATGTGTTTTCATTAAGGTCAGTTGTACTTTTTTTAAAAAAAACTTTGCAAATTAGCTGCATTTTATTCATTTGAACTATGAACATTCATACCTAGAAGGAAAAAACCAGTATATAGTATGTGTGTGTTTATGCACATACTATATATATACTACTATATATAGCATAGAAGATAGTATAGTCATTAGCATACTGGGCATTCTAAGTGTTTCTCTTTATTGGCTTCAGTGTCTTTTGCAAGTAGTCCATCTGACTTATTTTCTGATAAGTAGAAGGTGTCTTCCTCTTTCCCACTACATTTTGTTAGACTAATAAATAATGACATATTCCTGAAAGGGGAAATGGAAAAGGTAAAAATAAAAATAAATAAATAATGACATACCAAGAATAAAAGATTAGAAGCTGAAAAACTGGGGCCTGTATAACTCACACAAAGGCCATCAACCTTTGTCTTCATGGATGTATGGATTAACGGGTTATTGAGGGAGTGAGTTATTTACCAGGAGAGTGAGTCTGTTATAAAAGCCAGTCTAGCCAACTCTCATGAGCCCCCTCACCATGTGATGCCCTGTACCACCTCAGGACTTTGTAGAGAGCACCACCAGCAAGAAGGCCCTCACCAGATGTAGCCCCTTGGCCTTGGACTTCCAGCCTCCAGAACTGTAAGAAATAATTTTTTTCTTATACATGACCCATTCTTTAGTATTCTCTTATAGCAACATAAAGGGTAAGACACCTAATCTCAATCTTAATCTAAGATAAATTATAGAAAAAAACATAAATGAGAAATATAATTCCAGGTACAGTCACTCAGACCTTTAACCTCAGCAATTTAGGAGGCCAAGGCAGGAGGATTGCTTGAGGCCAGGAGTTTGAAACCAGCCTGGACAACACAGGGAGACCTCATCTCTACAAAATTGTTTTTAAAAAATTAACTGGGCATGATGGCACACACCTGTTGTCCCAGCTACTCAGGAGACTGAGGCAAGAGGACCACTGAAGCCCAGTAGTTTGAGGTTACAGTGAGCAATGATTGTGCCACTGCACTGCAGCCTAGGCAACATAACAAGATCCTATCTCTCAAAATAAATAAATTAATTAAATAAAGAAAAGGAAATATAAAGAATAAAATGTTATCTTGAGAGAAAATGAAATAGTACAATGTAACAAAGAGTTTCTTGCTGTTAAGTTTGACAATAGAGAACCAAATTTATTGCTTGGTATATATTTAATTTTCATCAGAAAATGTGTTGGAATAGAAAAAAATTTAACTGGTTGTGACCTATGTTGTTCAATAACAATAGTGACAAGCCCTCTCTAGGCTGGAGAGGACAAGCTGCAAAATTTAATTGGAAAAAAAAAGAATAGGCATATGATAATGGAATAAGGGAAAGGAATTGTTCTTGAGTAGATATGACAGACTGTGATTTAGCATGGCAGGGATTCTGGATCACAGCATCTCTAAAGGTATTCCTCATGGAAGGTGTGACTCTTCTCAGATAATCATCTTGCTTGGTTAAAGGTTTCCTCTCTCACTGGAATTGTACACAAAGGTTGAGAACCTCCCTCTTGCTAAACCTAAAGGCTTATCCTAAGTTTTTGTCTACTCTGATCTGCCTGCAGTCCCTCATTGTTGACCTCTCCTTCCTTCTCACAGCCCTGACCTTGGCTTCCACAGTATAGCATTCATCTCACTGGCCTCAAGCCTTTCCATCATTCAGCTCTTGCTTGTTTTGTTTAGCTGGTTATTTTCTTCATACCCCTGCACTGAAGGATTTCTCCCTTCAATCCTTGGTGCTCTCTTTGCTTTCTATCTACTTGTTCCTAAAACAATGGTAATGACTCCTAAGTCTACACTCTGAACCCTAACCTTTCATCCATGCCAGAGTCCATTTTCTCCAACTGCCAATAAACATTATAATTTGGATATTCCACCATCACAGGAAGCCTAACTAATCCCAAAAGGAACTCATCTTGCCCAGCTTCTATCTTCAACCAACAGGTTTATTGATCCGTCACCTTCACAGGCGTTAATGGCTTGACTTTTCTTTTACTCCAAGCCATTAGAATCATCTTTGACTGTGCTCTTTTACCTCCAACCTGTGAGCTGTTACAACCTGACTTTTCTCAAATGAAAATGTTCCCCACAATTCTCACTGCTAACAACCAGAACTTCGGTTGACACGTGTATTACTATAACTGGGCCTGGATAACTCTTGCCTCTACTCATATATCCCTTAAATCTACGCTTAGGGTTAATCTTATTAAGAGAAAAATATAGTCCTAAAATACCACTTTCATCACCTTTTCCCCTTTCCCTATTCTAAATTACATCAAGTCCCAAGTTCTCAGCTCCACTATCTGACTCCACTCTTCTCATTCAACACTCCCTACTGCCCTCCAATGTAAAAATCTCTATTTCCCTTTAGTAAGTTATTTCTCACCTGCCCCCATTCCTCCCTCCCAATCTCAGAAGTCATCAACTCTTTGTTTTTGTTTATATCAATTTTTTTTTTTCAGTTAACAGAAACAGGGATTGTTACTTCAGAGAACACTTGTTAAAAGACCACTAGCCTGGTTGTAGTACAAAAAGGATTTGCAAAGAGGGGAAGCAGGAGATAAACTCGACAGGTAGATTGGGGCTGACTAAGAAGGTCCCTAAGGGCAAGTGCATCACAGTCTTTTCTCTTAGATAGTTAGCTGTCAGGCAAACACACTGAAACAATCATCAAATTATGATAAAGCCCAGACAAGCAAAACAAAATACGAAGGTCTCCCTTGTGACCACCATGTATGAGATTTGTAAGAACAAACATTTCCTGCCATGGGAACTTTGCCACTGTGTGCCTCAGATGAAAGCAGTTCCTCTGCTTTCATACATTAACCAAGAGATTCAAAAGCAAGGTGGCAACAAGAACGAACTCAGCTAAGCTACTTCTCTGACAAAGGTCGGAAAGACTTTTCTCAGTTGCCCAAATCAGCCTGTGCCAACCTGGAATCCTCATTATTGAAATCTTTTGCAAAAAGAAAGCTGTCTTGATTAAAGTTTTAAAAATCGGTGGTTCTGAAAAGAATAAAATTTTCATAATGAGTTATTATGAAATCTGTGAAATGGGTCAAAAATGCATAAGGAAGAAGCAGAACCACAGATGACAATCAGCCTTCTCATCCAGCCTCAGTAGTCATCTTGGAGTATTGCTCAAAAGTCAAAGAGGTGTTAACAGATTCTGTGAGGAGATTGCAGAGTTTTCTTGAAACAAAGGGATCTGACCCAGCATACCACAAGCAGTACAACTAGGCACATCCCCTGAAACCAACTATTGTCTCTACTTCTTGAGGCAAGGGAGTATAGTGAGTTGCTACCCAAGTTATCCAAGAGAATAACAATAACGCCCACTAACTGAAGGTTCTGGGTCATGTACTGTGCTAGGTATTCCACTGACATTATCACATTCAATCTTCCTAGCAGCTCTTATCAGAGAAATACCATTATCTTTATTCTACAGATAAGGAAACTGAAGCTCAGAGAAGTTAAGGAACTTGCCCCAGATCACACAGTTACTAAGCTGTAGAGGAAGTGTTCAAAGTTCAGGGTTCCAGTCTATGCTCGTCATGATAGCACACAGCTTCCCAGTGTGAAGGGCAGTAAGAAGAACAAGATGGTGAAATGAATTTCATCAATCAACCAACATTTATTAACACCACACTAAGCCCTATGCTGGGCTTAATTGTGAATGGTAAGCAGAAAATACAGGGCTGGAGACTCACCTCCACCCCATCCCCATTTACTGCTCCTAAAATCCCTATCCCATGAAAAACATCACATGAACTACATTGCAGCTAATTGCCAGGAAACTATAAGAGGACCCTAACAAAGCATATGAGCTGATAGTCTTAAATTCAAAGCATATACAGAATTTTAAGTGGTAGCCTTTAAACATATGCTACCAAGCTAATGCATAATGAACTGAAATCAATACTACTATTATACAATAATCGGTCCACATTACTTTCTGTAACAAGTGTGATTTTAATTGGATTAAGGAATTTGTAGCATGTTTTCCCTCTAAATAACCCACATGAAAATACTTATCATTCTTTAAATGTTTTTGTTCACTTCCTCCTATATGGGAACATAAAACTATGGAAAATACTAGCAAGAATCACAGCTTGGAAAGAATTTTAGGATTACCTAAATCTAAATAACCTAAATATACACTAAATCTACTACTTACACTCAGGTAATGAAATAAGCAGATGAGTATTTCATTTTCCTTTAGCATCACTCAGAGTGAAATCAGAAAAACCTTGCAGAAGTTATCTACCTTTGCTTAACCCTTTCATTAAAAAGTAGGAAGTAAACATGAACATCACATTGTAAATCTCAAATACACGCAATAAAATTTATTTATTTTATAAATAAATAAAATTTATTTATTTTTTTTTGAGACAGAGTCTCGTTCTGTTACCCAGGCTGGAATGCAATGGCACGATCTCAGCTCACTGCAACCTCTGCCTCCCGGACTCAAGCAATTCTCCTGCCTCAGCTTCAAAAATAGCTGGGATTGCAGGTTTGCGCCACCATGCCTGGCTAATTTTTCTATTTCTTTTTAGTAGAGATGGGGTTTCACCATGGTGTTTAATATTTATTTTAAAAATAAAATAAAAATGGTGAAAGTCTTTAGGTTTGCTAAAGCCAAGATGGAATAGTAGAGTTATGATGTAGCTCACAAGTTATGGCAGTTTTTATCTGAGGTCAATGGAGTGAAAAGACGTCTCAGGCAGATCTGAGGCATGTCCTGGAATGGTGTGGAATAACGCTAGTAATCAAAAGACCAGAACCTGGGCTTGAGCTCTGCCAACTTGCTGTGACTGGATATCGGAACAACTTTAATCCTTGAGTCTCTATTACCTACAAAATGGAGATAATATATGTCATTTAGAAGAGTTTTGGGAAGGGCCAGGTGTGGTGGCTCATGCCTATAATCCCAGCACTTTGGGAGGCCAAGGCAGCTGGATCACTTGAGGTCAAGAGTTTGAGACCAGCCTGGCCAACATGATGAATCCCCATCTCTACTAAAAGTACAAAAATTAGCCGGGCATGGTGGCGGCCCCTGTAGTCCCAGCTACTCAGGTTGAGATAGGAGAATTGCTACCAGGATTCAGAGGAGGCGGAAGTTGCAGTGAGCCGAGATTGCATCACTGCACTCCAGCCTGAGCAACAGAGCGAGACTCCATCTCAAAAAAAAAAAAAAGAGTATAGGGAGGATTAATTGGTTACCCATAAGCACTACATAGTCTAAAGACTTTACCTGAATAGATTGGGATCAATAAGACAAGGTGAACTCCTGGAGGGCAAAGAATAAATGTTATTTACCTATACCCCACCACAACCCACAATACCACACAGTTCTAGCCAAATAGGCCAAATTACACTATAAATGGATTTTTGACACAAAGTCAGCACTGGTTATTTCAACATGTGGCCCTTGGAAAAATGTACAATGATAATGCCATGGCAGCTTCTCTTCCAGTTGATACTTTAAATATTTAAGAAATTAACCAGTAGATGCAGGAATTAGTTCATAGTAGATACACATGCATTTTAAATTATTGGGGAAAATACAGATTATTCAACAAATTATGTGAGGATCAATGGGTAGCCAACTGGAAAAAAAATTAATTGAAATCCATATCTCATATTAAAACAAATTTCAGATAAATACAAAATTCAAATGTAAAAATGAAATTATAAAAATACCCGGTGTTTGGGGAAAACTGAATGAAAATTACACAGATCTCTCTGTAGTAATGTTGCAACTTTTTGCGAATCTATAATTATTTCAAAATTAAAAGTTAAATAATTGGTAAACCTGAGCTAATTATTTTATAATACTGGAATGAGGCAGGATTTTCCAACAATGACACAAAACATAGAAGTCACAGATGTAAAGATTAAATATGACCACTTTAAATATTTATACAGTGAAAAGCTTAAGCACACAAAATCAAAAGAGAAATGAAACTGAAAGGAAAACATAAGTATCTCATATCCCAAAAGGTTACTTTCTCTAATATATAAAGGCTTTCAACAAATTAAAAAAAAAAAATTTCTCAGCAGAGAAATGAAAAAAAGATACAAAAAACAGAGGGTTTACAGAAAAGGAAATACAAATAGCTCTAAAATGTATTCAAAAAGATGTCCAATGTTACTCAACAATGTGACAAGTACAAATTTAAATTAGAGTGAAATATCATTTTACTTATCAGATTGGCCAAGACCATAAAGTCTGATAACACACTTTGTTAGTCAAAGTCTGGAGAAACAGGCACTCTCAGACATTGCTGATGGGAATGTGAACTGGTACAACCTCTATGGGAGTGATTTGGCAATATCAACTATAAAACAAATGGTGTGTGTGTGTATATATATGTGTATATATATATGTATATATATTAGTATATATATTAGTTTATATTTGTATATATGTATATTAGTATATATATTAAGTATATATATACATATATACACATATATACACACACACCATATATATACACACACCATATATATACACATATGTATATACCATATATATACACACACACCATATATATACCATATATAAACACACACACCATATATATACCATATATATACACACCATATATATGTGTGTGTGTATATATATGTGTGTGTGTGTGTGTGTATATATATATATATATATACTTGCATGAAAGATACACACAGGAGATTTTTTTATTGTAGCAATCTTTTAATAGCAAAAGAAGTGGAAACAATCCAAATGTCCACCAATATGAGACTTGTTTAAAAAAACTGGTATATTTGAACAATGGAATGCTATGCCTTAAAAAAAGAATAAAGTTATAAAAAGGGCCAGGTGTGATGGCTCACATCTGGAATCCTGGCACTTTGGGAGGCCGAGGCAGGTGGATCACTTGAGGTCAGGAGTTCGAGACCAGCCTGGCCAACATGATGAAACCCTGTCTGTACTAAAAATATAGAAATTAGCTGGGTGTGGTGGCGGGCGCCTATAATCCCAGCTATTCTGGAGGCTGAGGCAGTAGAATTGCTTGAACCCGGGAGGCGGAAGTGGAAGTGAGTCAAGATTGCACCACTGTGCTCCAGACTGGGCAACAGAGTGAGGTTCCATCTCAGAAAAAAAAAAAAAAAAAAAAAAAAGTTATTAAAAGAATAAAGGAATGAAATAGCTTTACCTATGCTGCTATGGAATAATCACTAAAAATCACACAAGACAAATACTTCCTTGTATGTGCGCAAATCTCTGGAAAGAGTAATAAGCAACTGTAACACTGGTTACTTGAATAAAGTTAAAAATGAAAGCAATGATAAGATACATGTAGTAATGGTTCCTAAATTTTATGGCCATACATAGAAGGAAGTAAACTAAACAGTAATTATAATAATTACTCACATTTACTGAGAACTTGGTACGGGGCTTGAAGCTATAGCTTACTAAAAACAGATAATTCGCTACACAGAGAAGAAAACATCAACACAAGACAAACCTATCAGTAGACAGCATGGATTTAAGAAAACTTGAGGCTGGGCATGGTGGCTCACGCCTGTAATCCCAGCACTTTGGGAGGCTGAGGCGGGTGGATCACGAGGTCAGGAATTCGAGACCAGCCTGGCCAACATGGTGAAACCCCGTCTCTACTAAAAATACAAAAAAATTAGCTGGGCATGGTGGTGGGCACCTGTAATCCCAGCTACTCGGGAGGCTGAGACAGGAGAATCATTTTGAACCTGAGAGGTGGAGGTTGCAGTGGGATGAGATATTGTGCCACTGCACTCCAGCCTGGGCAACAGGGAGAAAGAAAAAGAAGAGAAGAGGAGAGGGGAGGGGAGGGGAGGGGAGGGGAGGGGAGGGGAGGGGAGGGGAGGGGAGGGGAGGGGAGGGGAGGGGAGGGGAGGGGAGAGGAGAGGAGAGGAGAGGAGAGGAGAGGAGAGGAGAGCAGAGCTTGATATAGACCTCAATATACTAAAAATGAACTGACAGAAATCAGGTGTTATCTTTGTATCTCACTTTCTTCCTCATTTCCCAACCTAGCATAGACTCTTTTAAAAAAGCAGCTACTCAAATGTTTATGAATTAATGAATGAATTACTACTAGTTGAATAGATGGGATAGGTGGATAGACAGATGGATGAGATGGACAATGTACTGACGGTTAGAAGAAAGAGTGAAGTTGAAGGGTCGTGATCTATCTCGGTTCCCATTCCCATCTGACACTGGGCAAATTCAGTCTCCTTTTGCTTCCCTGTACAAATGAGAGGTGCTAGAATGCATAAGTGTTTAAGAACCACGATCATAGGCTGGGAACGGTGGCTCATGCCTGTAATCCCAGCACTTAGGGAGGCCGAGGTGGGTGGATCACCTGAGGTCAGGAGTTTGAGACCAGCCTGGCCAACATGGTGAAACCCCGTCCCTACTAAATATACAAAAATTAGCTCGGCGTGGTGGCAGGCGGGCGCCTGTAATCCTGCCTACTCAGGAGGCTGAGGCACGAGAATCATTTGAACCTGGGAGGTGGAGGTTGCAGTGAGCCAAGATCGAGCCACCGCACTCCAGCTTGGGTGACAGTGAGACTCTGTCTCGAGAGAAAAACAAAACAAAACAAAAAAAACCACGATCATAATGCCTACCTGACTTGGTGGATAATTACTATTGTAGTAGACAAAATGATGCTCTCCCCTCCGCGCCTAATATGTCCAAAAGGGTTTCCACAGATGTAATTAAATGTATAGACCTTAAAATAGGGATTTACCCTGGAATATCATGTTGGGCCCGATGTAATCAAATGCATCCTTAAAAGTAGAGAACTGTCTCTGGCTGGAAGAAGGAGGATTTGAAGCATGAATATTCAGTGCAACTTTGCTGGCTCTGGGATGGACTGGCCCACATTCAAGGACTGGGGAGAGGTTCCTAGAAGGTAAGGGTGGCCTCTGACAGACAGCCTGGAAACAGGAACCTCTGTCCTACAGCCACAAAAAAAGTAAATCCTGCCAACAACCTGAATGAGCTTAGAAATGGATTCCAAGCTCCCATTGGAGCTCCAAATGGAGCCTCCTAATAAGAGCCCAATTGACCAACACCTTAATTGGGCCTTGTGAAACACAGAGCAGAAAAACCAGCTGTGCCAACCTGGAATTCTGACCTACAGAACTGTGAGATAATACATTTGTGTTATTTCAATGAACTTAAAAAGTCTGTGGTGGTTTGTTATGGCAGCAATAGAAAACTAATACACTATCTTTCGGTTTAGTTTAAGAACCATTTGTCAAGCCTGTTCCACATGCCAGGCCCTGTGACCAGTGTCTGGGATAGAAAAATGGGTACACATTCTCAAGGAGCTCATAAGTACTTCAGCCCAATGGACAATTCTATGCAAGAAGTTAGCACAAAGCACTACAGGAACACAGAAAGGCACCTAACTGGTACGACATCTTTAGACTCTTGACTTCTCACTTCTCCAACACCCTCCCCTTCTATTATTCGTTCTCCCAATGAGTTGGACCACGAACCTGATCACAAATCAGAAACTGTGAGCCATCCTTAAACTCCACTGACCCCTTAAGACCTGTGGTGTATGCCATCTTTATGATATTTCTCCTAAAAGTCCCTTCCCCTTTCCTTCAACTCCACTTCCTCCCCTCAACCCCTGACTGCTACTTCCTGAGCTTTATCATCTCTTGGCCACACACAGAAGGAAGTGAACTAATAAGTTTGTCTACTGATAAGTCTGTCTTGTGTTGATGTTCTCTTGTCTGCCTAGTGAATTATCTGTTTTTAGTATGCTGTAGCTTTAAGCCCTATACAAAGTTCTCGGTAAATTTGAGTAATAATTATAATTACTGCCTAGTTCACTTCCGTCTTTGTGTGGCCAAGATTACTGAAATCACCTTTCAACTAACTTTCCTAAATGAACAGCCATCCACTGTACACAAGGCCACCAGAGTCATCTTCCCAAGGATTAAAGCAGTCACACCATGCTCTACTTCAAAATCCTTCAAAGTCTGCCTACAGTTACTAAAAAGTCTAACTCTGTGGTGACGCTTAGCACCCTTCTAATCTCTAGCAGAGCAAAACTGTCCCTGCTGGACTTCTAACCCCAATTCCTAGGCAGGGTCTGGCACATGGTTGACTTCCAAACAGTATTCGCTGAACGAATGATCTCAACCCCACGTGACTCTCTAGCTTCATCTCTTGCCTAACAGCAACCTTTTCCACTATGTCCCCTCTATCCTCCAACTCAGCAAGCCCAAGTGCTCCTCCTTCCCCCTCTATCTATGCTCCAGTTTCTCTTCATGACTAAAAATCCTTGTTCGGCTGGCTGGGAAGCCTAGCTCACTTTTCATAATTCTGCCTTCCTCTAACATGCTTTCTGTTCCCCTTACAGCTAAACCACCCAGGCAAACTGTCCAGTCTCTTCTGAGCCCCTGACATAAGCTGTCCCCTCTTCTACCATGGCATCTATAGCAAACACTCTAGGACAGTGGCCTGTGACTGGTGCTGACGCACAAATGGTTTCTTACTAGATTGGTACCAGCTAACTCCAGAAATCAAGTGTAAGCATTTAGAAATGTTTATAGCAATTTGACATTGCTGTGACATCCAAGTATGTGATGCTTGTTGAACAAGGCATAGACCAGTTCAAGTGTTGCTGAATTTGTGAGGTGAGTCACATGTGGTGCAACCTGCATATTCACTATGTGCAATAGGACCATTTACTGATCCACGATAGGGAAAAAAAGAAAAAAACAAATTAAAAACCCAGTTGGTCTATTACCACAGATAGTTTGAGAAGCACTTCTCTAATGCCTTCAGGTGTGTTCTTACCTTCCTCCTTTTGGGAATGTTGTTTGCTGCCTGGGACAATGCAACAATGCAAATGTCTAATAAATATCAGTGAATAAATAAATGAAGGTGTGAATGATAAGAAGGCTTTGTGAAAGATGTGAGACTGAGCTATTTCTTGGTGAACAGTAGGAATTGGGTACTTTGGGGTTGTAGGATAGTCAAATGCACTGAGAAAGGAGTGCAAATGAGGAAGAGTGTGAAAGACACTGCATAGGCAATAGGAAGCGCTGAAAAGGTGAAATATTATTCATAAGCTCGATATGTAAAAGAGCTCAACCACACAGGTCACCAGAGTGCTACCCACTGAAAACCCCAAGCCTGTACCAGAAGAATCCCCTTAGTGCAAGCTTTAGCTATAGGCAAATCAGCTATGCAAAGGATGAATGTGATGGGTGAGCCTAAGAGCAAGAAGACCGAGTGGGGTTTAATTCCATCATCCCAATGAGAAATCATTATAGGCCTGAACAAGGGCAGAGATAGTTTGGTAAAGTAAATCCCAATGTGACAAGCCCAGGGGACATTCAGGTGGAGATGTTTAGCAGGCACTTGGGAGGAAGGTCAAGGCTAAGGATACAGCTTTTGGAACTTCACATCTAGTTGGTGATGAAAACCACAGTAATAGATGCATGAGAACAATAGTGGTCTAAAGACAAACGCCTGGAGAATACCATCACTTAAGGGGAAGGCCAAAAGATGGAATCTCACAAAGGAGACAAAAAAAGAAAGAGTCAAAAAGACATGAGGAGAACTCAGTACGTGCAGGATCATGAAAACAAAAGTGGGAAAAATTCTGAAGAGGGAGGCAGGGATGAATAGGGTCAAATGCATCAGAGAGGTTCAGTGCATAGAGTGGAATGGTCTTCAGCAAATTCAGCCAACCTGGAAGCCTCTGTGACTGGAAGGAAGAAGAAATTAAGCAATGATAAGGCTGAAGCCAAAATGCAAAGGCAGGTGATTAATAGCAGGCATTGAACAGGTCTTGTTCACGAAGCCTGGTGGTGAAGTCTAGAAGAGAAGAAGGAGAGGCAAAATCAAGCTTTATTAGTCTTAAGGTGATAACTGTTGGAGTATTTTTACAGTGAGGGGATGAAGTAATAGAGAGAAACAAGAAGGAACAACCCATGAAGGTCTAGAGGAGAAAATGAGGGGGATGGTCAGAAGCCCTGCAAGGCAGCATTCTCCCTCCACTGGAGCAAGGGTGATACCTCCTCCGAGAAGGAAAACGGGAAAGAAGGGCGTGAAATAGATGAGTTAGTAAAGGGGAGGAAGCCTTCTCCAGAGCCTAAGTCTGGATTAGGGCCCTTCCTACATGCGCCCATAGCATGTACCATGTCCAGTAATTGCCTAATTGACCTGCCTGGATGCAGGGATAGACCATAAGCACCAGGAAGGCACGGACTATAACTGTCCCATTTACCACTCTATGTCCCATGCCTACCACAGTGCCTGGCTTATCTAAGCCCTAATTAAATGTATAGTTGACTAAATGGGGACTAAAAATTAAAGAGGATTCACCAATAGATGCTTCAATTTTTCTAGCAAGTAGGAAGTGGGATCAATTGCCAAGGGTTTATAAAACGGAGTTAGGTAGAGGGTTTTTTAGAGATTAGTGAAAGAATAGAATAGCTTTTCAGGGAAATGGAAACTGAAAATCCTTCAAGAACAAGTTTAAAGTAGTGGTTCTCAATCTTAGTTGCACATTAGAATCACCTAAAGAACATGAGTAACTACTGATGCTTGGGTCCTGCCTCCAAATTTCAGATTTAACTGGTCTCTGTAGCCTGGGCTCCAGGATTTTTTTAAGTTCCCAGATGATTCTAATATGCAGCCAAGATTGAGAGTCACTGAGTGAAAGACTTAAGTAATGCTGGTCAGGATTGAGACAAGACTGGAAACCATGAACTGATCCATTTACCATTTTACCCAGTTTTCCACCACACTGTTCAGCTACCTGGGTATCCCTGCAGAGGATTACTGTAGGATTAATTTGGAATTAGGGCTTTACCAGGTAAATATGGAAGTAGGATAAATAAAAAATTCAGACACTACCTGGGTATCCGTGCAGAGGATTACTGTAGGATTAATTTGGAATTAGGGCTTTGCCAGGTAAATATGGAAGTAGGATAAATAAAAAATTCAGACACCAAGGCAAAATTATAGTCTCTGAGAGAGTGAAGAGAAGGAGGTATAAGAGAGCTGAACAGCCAGAGACCTTTACAGTGCTGTAAAGGTTATCACAGTTGAGTCACACAAGGAACTTTAAGGCCGCTCACAAGTCGGCATTTGAAGGGACGTGGAAGTCTCCCAGAGCAACAGCAGGAGTAACGATGGAGAAACGTCAAAGTCTCTAAGGCATGTGGGATTGAAGCGAAGAACAAGAGACAAAGAAGACTAAGAAAGGCAGAGGCAACAAAGCCCAACAGTGAGATGTTCAAAAAAGGAGAGTTTTGTTTCATTTTCCTATGGAAGTGAAAAAGTAACAGTTAGATTCAAATGTGGCAATGGATAGATAGGGGAATCCTGGCCAGTCCACCCAGATCTTTAAATATGGAAGAAAGCCTCCATTTCTTTCTACATAAAATTCATGAACAAATCCTATCTTCTAAATATATTCTAGAATCCAACTACTTTACTTTAACGGTGGCCCAAGCCACTGTCCTGTCTTATCCGGATTGCTGCAGTAGCCTCTAAGCTGGTCTCCCTGACTTCATCTTTGTCCCTCTTTAATGTCTTCCTCAAGTTAAAAACAACAAAACAAAAACTCAAGTCATGTCCCTTCTCTGTTTAAAATGCACCAATATTTTCCCACCTCACTCACAATAAAAGTCAAAGTTCTTATAATGGGCTCCACGGCCTTACATGATCTGGGCCCTGACTACCTCTCTGACCTCTGACCTTTCCTTCTTCTCACTTCTTTTTTTTTTTTTGAGACAGAGTCTCACTCTGTCACCCAGGCTGGAGTGCAGTGGTGCGATCTCGGCTCATTGCAACCTCCACATCCTGGGTTCAAGTGATTCTCCTGCCTCAGCTTCCCAAGTACCTGGGACTAAAGGCACACACCCAGGCTGGTCTCAAACTCCTGACCTCAAGTGATCCACCCAAAGTGCTGGGATTACAGGTGTGCGCCACCATGCCCAGCCTCACTTCTCATACTTAGCTTCAACTGCATTGATCCCCTTGTCCTTCCCTGAACACACCAAGAATGCCCTGCCTCAAGGCATTGAAAATCACTGTCCCCACAACCTATAGTTCTTTTCCTCCAGATATCTGCCACAGCTTACTCCTTCACTTTCCTCAGATCCCTGCTAAAATGTCACCACTCCAACAACACGCACTTCCCTTACCTTGCTTTATTTTTCTGCATCGTACTTTTCAGTGTTATATATATTTATATGTATTTCACCAATATTCTAAATTTACTTGTTTACCGTCTGGCCCTCTCTGCCCCCAAGAATGCGCTATATTATAAGCTGCTTAGGGGCAGGGATGTTCTTCTGTTTTGTGCACTCTTACCTCTCTGGCACCTGAAACAGTGCTTGACGTGTAACAGACACTGAAATATTTGTTGAATGAATGGATGGATGAACCTTCTCATAAGCAGTGTATGGGCCTGAGGTTGAGGGAAAGAGCTGTGATTCAGTTATATTTGGAAAATGATGAGACTGGGGATACAAGAGAACTGGAACACAATGGAACACCAGTCTCAAAGAATAAAGGACAGAGCTGAAAGTATGGTTAATAGTAACAGGAGCCAATAGAAAGGCTATAATACCCAGTAAAGGGTTTCTCTTTTGGTCAGTAACCAAAAATTACAAGAATGAGAGGAAGGGTGGGAATCCATAGCCTTAAATACCCTGCCTTGAGACAAGCAAGAATTGGCAGTCATAGGTTCAGTCCAAGTAGGGACAGGAATAGGGCATGGAGCCCCATCTGGGGAAGGAATGCCCAGCGGTGGACAGGCAGGGCACATGGACTGATGAATCCTATAGAGAGCAAAAAGCATAATGGTCTTTCCTATTACAAATCTGAATACAGGGGAGGTATTACGGTACATATACACCAAATAGTACGTATCTATAAAATGTACAGGTAAGCCAGAAAGGGAGGAAAAATAAATGGTACTCAAGGAGAGGGGTGGTTAAGAAAAGTAACCAACAGTAAGATCAAATTAATTCATCCTGTTTTGTATTTATGAGTACAGTTCATTTATCCAGCCTCATCTTCTAATGCAGTGTTTCATAAAAGTATTTTAGATAACTGAAATGCTTATCTCTAGGTGTAATCAAAGATACACCTGCCCAGATACACCTGTATCTGTGATTCTGATTTTTTTTTTACTGTAAAACATTTTTTTAAAGATTTCAATCATCTTATAACTGAACTTTTCTGGATGATTCAGGGATACTATTAAGATAACAGTATCATAGCAGTGTCCTCTGGGACTACCCCTATTTATGGCTATGGATCTTTGCCCTGCACTAAAAGTTCCAAATTGCAAGGCATTTCTAATGCCAGTGCCTGTTTTTTAACAAATTTCCTGTCTCCTCCCTATCAGTTTGTTAGCTACTGCTCTTCTTACTGTTTGTTACTAGCATTCCTGTTTCTACAAAATCTCACTCATTCTAATTTGTTTTCCCTAATATGCTATGGGATGGGAAATGAGAAAAACAACAACATTGGAATGTTTAAAATAGTGCTAAGTGGGTGGAGATTAAAAACCAGGGGGTTTCCTTCTGGGTGGAGCACAGATGTACTCAAAAGACTTTGGGACATTGTTTTCTCTGCTTGGGGATAATTTCTCTGCTTACTCATTTCCAGAAACATTTTAGGTACTGAAACTTCATGATAAATGGCCTCTGGGTTAGCAGACTGTATTTGTATCCATACTACTTTCTTCAGTACAGTTAGACTAAAATGATTGTTATTAAGGTGTCTCAATTCTCTTTAACAAATTAAACATGAACACAGATTCAGAACAACAGAGGATCTTCATTTATTCCATGTCTGCAAAAAACATCTCTAATTGAGAACGAAATGTATAATTTAGTTATTTTAACTGAAGAAAACATTTTCCCAGGGAAAGTGTAGTTACACACCTAAGCTAGTAGACAAATTGATTTAATGCATAATCTGTGTATACATTTGCAATACAATATTGCTAAAAATATCATTACTTAATTTTTAGGTTACGTAATTTTGATATGAAGGAAAAGATGCCAGAAAAAACTTAGACTAATATTTCCTTCCACTATTTATCTGGATAATATATAGTTTAATTCAATATTTCCTCAATGTAGGTTCCTCCAACTATGGCCCTTTCAAACAACAGCTGAACATCAACAAACAAAAATTGTAGACAATGTGAAACTAAAACAATGACTACCCTATAAAAGCTGTCATGTCAAATATTTACAAATATCTTTCTAGGTAAACATAGAAAAACATTTTCTTCTAGACAATTTTATACAAGATACTCAAATACCATGGATTTTCTTCCTAGTTAGTTGGGAGTAGGAAAGAAATCCTGGTTATTCTGGCTGGCTTTAGCTACTATAATGAGATTTCATACATTTGATGTTTGAAAAAGCCTAATAATTTCTAGACCTTTAAATGCCCCATCATGAAAGAATTGCCCAGAAGAGTGAAAAGTCTCAAATTCTACAAATGAGCATGTAATTTATTAACTTAACCTGCAATGATTAATAGGGAATAGAAATAAAGGAATTTCCATGATCACAACCAACACATGCCCTTGCCCTAGTTTCCCCAGGTGACCAGTTTTGGTACCACAACCCACCTGTGGTACAGGCCCCAACCTTGGCCTCCCATCCTTCCTGCACACCCAGAATCTCTCCTTCTTCATCTTTCTTTCACTCTTTCTGCCCTTCTCACTCCTTTCCATCCACAGAGGCACACCCCCATCTAGGCTCTGTGCTGGACCAAGTCCTCAATTTCCCACATTTTACACCCCTAGTTCCCTCTCCCCTAACAGTGTGTCGAGGCAGCAATGTGAATCCCCAGCTCAAAGCACCTCTCACCAGGACCTTTGTCTTTTCAGAACCCTCTAGCAATTTGTTAGTGGAGTCTGGAACCAAGCTGGAATTCCTGCTTGTGGGCTTCATTAACAGGACCCCTTTGACCCCTCACCCTCACCTCGCACTCTGATTCCTGATAATCTTTCAGCCAAGTACACTTTTTTGCTGCTCCCTGCATTCTCTCTGTTACATCCTCATATGGTAAAAATTATAATAGGAATAAATTATGCAGAGACATGGAGGATTTAGCACTTTTCATTAAAAATTAACATATATCTTTAAGAGCACAAAAATTATTTCTACTACTGAAATTCTAAGAATAAATGGATTTTCTCTGCTTTATTAATTTAACAAAACATATACCTAACAGCTCATTTTTACTTTACTTCAGGTAAAGTATTTATAGCTTTAGAAAAATATATTAACTGTATCATAGTATAGAACCTTATGGAAACATGTCACACTGCTGACTTTTATGTATCCAGATCATACTTTTTCCCTGCGCTAAGCCCAAAAATGCATAGGAGAGTTTTAAAAAAATCATTAGGCATAGGTGAACACTGCATTTTGAATTTAAACCATGAGAATAAAGAAATAGCAAAGTTATTAAAATATAAAATGACAGATTGTTTACTAATGTATTAATAGTTATCTATAAGCAATAAGCACAGCTAAATAAGTTACTCGTATTGTTTTAAAACTTTTCTTGTGATATTTATATAATTTGCTACTTAGACTCCGTATCATCCTATTACCCAAGAATCTCTCACTACTTTTAGTCATAACAAAGTGGTGGTTTTTAAAAATGTTCAGATTGATTGGCTATTTGATGACATTAAGTTATTATTTTTAACTTCTTAGGCATGATAATGGTATGGCTGTAATTTTTTAAAGTCCTTATTTTTAGAGGTATACTGGAATATTTACAGATGAAATAAGATTAGCCATAATTCTGAGTGATGAGTATATCAGTTCATTACATCATTCTACTTTTATAAATGTTTAGAAATTTCTATAATAAGAGTTTTTTAAGAAAGAAATAAAATGTTCATGTTGGAAAGGTTTATATTTTATGTTTAGAGCTTTCAAAAAAAAAGCATACTAGGAGATGGTTCTTGTTCCTCATCTAAATATTTCCCAATTCTTTTCCTAGAGAAAAACTTTAACAACCTTTTTTAAAAGGCTACAAGAAGCCGCAAAGCAGTTTATCAAAATGTTAGCAATTGTTATTTCTGGTTGGTAAGATTATAAGGGATATCTGTTTTCTTTGATGTTATAAGTTTTTTTATTTGTTATTTTCTGTTAGAAGTTCTCTATATTTCTAAAGTCAGCATATATTATTAATATAGTCAAAAAATGAGTGAATTTTCTCATTACATGGAAGATTTTTGCATGTCAAGTACAGAAAATCTGTCTATATCATAAATCCCTCTATCTTTTATATTTACCATGAAAAATATTAATGAACACATGAACCCAGTTGTCTATAAATCTACCTGTTTGTGACAGCAGGATGGAAAGAGTGAGTTTCGATTGTCACAGGAGAAAGACATACTAGAGAAGAAGATAATTCTGGAATGATGAAAAGGCTGGTAAGATTTTGGTCTCATTCTGGCAAGGCAGACATATTGACTCATACAACTGAGTGCTCATAATGGGCTCTCTAAGGGCAGATGATAAACAGGAGTCAGGTATTTCTGGAAATGTGACATACAATATCTTACATCACTTTCATTTTACATTTGGCTTAGGCAAGGTTCATGAGTGGCTACTGATATATAGTTATACTTTTGTTTTCTCTTGTTTTTATTTTAGATGGGTAGGGAGATAGAAGAGAGAAAAAGTTTATTCTACCCTTGAATAGAGGAAACATTTACTGTAATTTTGGCTCTTTGCCTCCTACATCATCTGCTCCTCTTTCTCCTCCCCCTGATCATTTCATTTTGAGAAATCATTGTCCATTCTCTACGTGAGGCCTGGCTGACAGGTTCTTAAAATCCTTGCTCACAACCACAGCTCAGGGCTCCTGAGACTCAAACAGTATCAGAAACTGTCAGGTCCTTGGGGTTGGGGACCATGTCTCTATTCATTTATTCAACAAATATTTGGCACCTGCTATGTGCCAAGCAGCCTTCTTGACACTAGGGATACAGTGAGATCCCTGCTTTCATGGAGTTTACATTCTTGTGGGAAGACATACAAGTAAACAAACAGACAAACATAAATAAGACAAATAGTGGCAAAAGTGATGAAGAAAATAAAGCACAACAAAGTAAAGTAATAGTAACTGGGGCAGAGGGCTGCAACAGTAGAAGGGTAGTGAGAAAGAGCTAGGATACTGGGGAGGATGTGGCAGCTGAGTGGTCCTGAAGGATAACAGCAGAGGAACAGAAACCAGAGCACAAAGACAGTGATGCTGGATGGCACAGACAGCTGGGCATTGATGGTCTTCTAACCTCAGGTAAGGTACCTGGGTTTTATTCTAGGTACAAGAGGAAACCATCAGAGGCTTTTTTTTTCTTTCTTTCTTTTTTTTTTTTTTTGGTAGTATGACTATTCATTTTTCAATTTTAAAATTTATAGTAAAATACAAATAACTTAAAATTTACCATCTTAACCATTTTTAAAAGTATATTTCAGTATTAATGAAATACATTCAGACTGTTGTGCAACCATCACTACCATTCAATTCTAGAACTCTTCATCTTGTGAAACTGAAACTCTCATCAGAGGCTTTTAAGCAAAGCAGTACATGATCTGTCTTATGTTTTAAAAAATAATTTTTGCTTGGTAGAGAATTGATTATGGGAATACAGCAGGAGTAGAAGTTTACTGAAGTAGATGGTTCAGGATGGATTTTGTTGACACAGCTGACATGATTGCTGCTAATTCACATATGGGCAAGAGAAAGAGAAAAAATGAGGAGAAATGACTTCTATATTTCATATGTCCAGTGTCTAACACATTGCAAATAGCTAATGTTTATTACATAAATGAATGAATACTGATTTAACATTTAAAAAGTAAAAACCTTTCTTCCTAGACAACTAGGACAACAGAAATGAAACTACTATGGACACAGGAGATTACCTTCTTTCTAGTGTCTGTCTATAATAATCATGTCCTTATAACATGGATAAAGTCTGTACAGTTGGTTCATGTTAACCTAATCTGCCTAATTTCAATATTATCATTAAAGGCCAATCCTTTATAATGTATACAGTAAGTTAAATTTTACTAAGCATTTTACATATATTATTTCATCCCTTTCTAAATTAATAGCTTTTAAAATTTGAGACTATGGTGCTATAGGCCACCTCCCCAGAGATTACATGTATACACAAATGTGATGTTTTGGGAGTTTATGGACCTTCTGAAGTCCATCCATAGACCAGCCTCAAGTTTTAAAAGGTTCTTCTCTGTCTAGTGCTAGAGTATTTATTGTATACATCATCAGGAGAATCTTATTAGCGTAGCCCTGGAGGTTTTAGAGAAATGCTTTCAAAGAGTTTACCTTCATTAACATCCACAATTCGTGAGTTATCAAGAACCAATATTAATTTTTAAAATATCTTTGCATCTTTAGCAAAACTGTTAAAGTATTATCCATAAAGCGATTCAAGATCCTCTTTATTAGGGCCAATTTGATAAATTCCTTTTGCACTTTACTTCTAGGACAAAAAGTACCTTATATATTTATGCTTTTAAAGAAGCAAAAAACAAACCATTAGAGTTGTGGTTACTCTTTCAATATAAGCTCCGGGCTAACTGTTAAAATCTAGTGTTCCATTTATCACAACTGCATTACCTAGATTTTCCCCTTCTATGCTTGGATCTTAATATATTTATTGTAAGCATTTCAAGTCTTTCTGGGAAAAAAGTAGAATGTGAATTATATATGATCATATTTAAAATCTGCAATATTACTATTTCATAAGCATATCAGCTGCCTCTCCCAAACCAGCACTTTTTTTCTGAAGATAAGAAAATAAACTCTAAGGCAACGTGTAGTAAGCAGCAGGATGTATAGTCAGAATCTTTGTATTCCAGGAACCCAGGTCTGCCAGCCACCACTCAGGTGACCTTGGGGAAAATCACTTAAATTTCTTGGAGCCTCAGAATTTTTGGTCTCTAAAAGTGAATTTAGAGCACACACAACAGGCAGTGTTGCAATCAGAATTAAGCAGCAACATATATTTGCCTGTTAATAAGTAGATGGCAACTCCTACTTGCTCTGTGCTCTGTCTACTGATGAAATAGTAAAACCTAAGGATTGGGGATTGATAGATTTTTTTTTTTTTTGAGACGGAGTCTCGCTCTGTTGCCCAGGCTGGAGTGCAGTGGCACCATCTTGGCTCACAGCAACCTCTGCCTCCTGGGTTCAAGCAATTCTCTTGCATTAGCCTCCCAAGTTGCTGGGACTACAGGCACCCACCACCACACCTAGCTAATTTTTGTATTTTTAGTAGAGATGGAGTTTCACCATGCTGGCCAGGATGGTCTTGACCTCTTGACCTTGTGATCTGCCCACCTCAGCCTCCCAAAGTGCTGGGATTACAGGCGTGCGCCATCGCGCCCAGCCGGAATTTTTTTTTTTTTGAGAGTGCAGATCAAAGCAATGTGCACTAACTCTCCATTAACCTTCCCCCTTCCCAATTCCAAAAATGCCACTTCCATGAGTGAGATACTCAGGCAGTCACCTAATGGGGATAAACTCAAGTGCTAAGGGCAGAGAATAAGAAAAGGAAGAGGGCTGTTAGATAAAGTCCATGGCTTGGGCTAGGTAATTTAGTCACCTCTGCTAAAATAATACAGTTTTTTCTTTGACACCTTTACTCATAGTTCAGGGTTAGGTTTTATAATACATGGGCCTCAGGACTAGGCACAGCATTGCATTGACTTGAGCTTCAGTTTCTGTACTTGTAACATGGGGGAAGCATAATCCTCGCCCTGCCGTATTCTACAGTAACCTCTGTAGGAGTAATTAATGTTACTTGTAGACAAAGATGGAGGGGGGCAATCCAAGAGCTTCAAAAATTCAGTGTCAAGTCATATTCAGAAATAAGGCTAATGATGAAAATATGATTATCAGCTAGAAAAGCAATTGGGCTCTAGTTGGGAGAACTTGTTTCTGGTCCCAAAATACTAAACAGGACTGTGGTCTTGGCCAAACGAAATGGCCTCGTGTCCTCAACAGTATAAGAGGTCAGCCTGAATGACCTCTCAGGTCCTTTGCAGCTCAAAACACTAATGTTTCTCTGAAAAATGACCAACATGCCCATGACCCAGCAAAGGCTTCAATTCTCAGATCCTTGGGTGGGACAATGCTGAGAGATGTCCTGTGGGACTGAGCGCCAGGTGCCCACAGAGGTAGTAGACTCTTCATTAACACTCCCTGTGTTGGCCGCCTCCTTTTCTTGTCTCACTTCCCCACTCCCCAACTTCTGGTACTATCTAGGATTATCTCCCAAATAAGTTATTTACACTAAAAAAAGAAAAAAAAATTAAACCTACATTAGAAATTAAATTCAGTTTTAAAGTACTAAGTTATGAAGTAGTAAGCACATGAGCACTGGAGTTCAGACTAAACTAGATTAGTGATTCCCAGTGCTATCACTAATCATGTGACCTTGGGCAAGGTTCTTCACTTCTATTTGCACCAGTTTCCTTGCTTATAACATGGGAAGAATACCACCTTCTAGGGCTTCTGTGAGGACTAAATGAGATAAGGCATAAATAGACTTTAGCACAGTGGCTGGAATATAGCCAGTGCTTAATAATTGCTATTATTATAAAATATAATTTTATTTTTCTCATTTTATAAGTTTGGCCTTTTTTCATCAACCTACTAATACTTCAGAAAAGAATAACTATACTTTTATAATTACTATTTGAATCTAAAATAAGTTACACCTTGACCAATTCAACTTGTCAGCTTAATAACACTAATAAATTTTTCAAGTTTAATAAACTCTAGCTAATGATATATTTTTGCTTTCAGTTTTTATGTAAGCCATTAAATGCAGGTAGGAAGCAGCTCTAAGTTCTACATATTGGTTCACATTATTTTTTTTTTTTGAGACGGAGTCTCGCTCTGTCGCCCAGGCTGGAGTGCAGTGGCATGATCTCGGCTAACTGCAAGCTCTGCCTCCCAGGTTCACACCATTCTCCTGCCTCAGCCTCCCAAGTAGCTGGGATTACAGGTGCCCGCCACCACACCTGGCTAATTTTGTTTTCGTATTTTTAGTAGAGACGGGGTTTCACCGTGTTAGCCAGGATGGTCTCCATCTCCTGACCTTGTGATCCGCCCGCCTCGGCCTCCCAAAGTGCTGGGATTACAGGCGTGAGCCACTGCGCCCGACCGGTTCACATTATTAAAATAAACTTAAATGTTATATAGATGTTATTAATGAAAGCCCAATTTAAAATAAGAAGCATGAGCCAGGCAGAGTAGCTTACACCTGTAATCCCAGCTACTTGGGAGGCTGAGATGGGAGGAATGTTTGATGCCAGAAATTTGAGATCAGCTTGGGCAACATGGTGAGATCCTGTCTCTCAAAAAATGATATAAAATAAGAAGTATGAGTTGATTATATACCATTAGTATGGAATGCTAAGTGAAGGTTCTGACTACTTACTACACTATAGCGTAAACTATTACAGTCAGACTAACAGGAGCAGGAATTCTGACTAGTTTTGGTTAGTTGATTTTTAAAAATTTATTTATAGCAAAGAATGAAAAATTTATTTAGATACTATAAACACTTACTTTTTAAAAAAATATATAAATAGGCATTAATTCTCCAATTTTCCAAAGTAGTCCCAAGGGCTGGGCACAGTGGCTCACACCTGTAATTCCAGCACTTTGGGAGGCCAAGGCGGGCAGATCACTTGAGCTCAGGAGTTCAAGACGAGCTTGGGCAACACAGAAAAACCCTGTCTCTACCAAAATACAAAAATTAGCCGGGCGTGGTGGCACACACCCGTAGTCCCAGTTACACGGGAGACTGAAGTGGGAGGATCAATTGAGCCCGGGAGGTGGAGGTTGCAGCGAGCTGAGAGCAAGCCACTGCACTCCAGCCTGGGTGACACAGTGAGATCCCATCTTGAAAAAAAAAAAAAAAAAAGACAGAGTAGTCCCAAGACTGTACTTGAGGAAGAGCTCCTCACCAATATTTTTCTGCTATAAACCATACCTAGAACTTAATCTACAATTTCCAGTTTTAACTTTCTAAGTGAATTAAAAACAAAGCAAAACAAAATAAAACAACTACACACACTTTTAAGGCAAGCTCAGGATATTTTTCAAGTTTTTACAATTTCTGTTTTTATTTTTGAATTTTTTTTTTAGACAGGGTCTCACTCTGTCATCGAGGCTGAAGTACAGTGGTGCAATCACAGCTCACTACAGCCTCGACCTCCTGGACTTAAGGGATCTTCCCACTTCAGCCTCTGGAGTAGCTAGGACTACAGACGCATGCCACCACACCCAGTTATTTTTTAAATTTTTTGTAGAGATGGATGTCTCACTATGTTGCCCAGGCTCGTCTTCAACTCCTGTCCTCAAGTGATCCTCCCACTTAGGCTTCTCAAAGTGGTGGGATTACAGGCGTGAGCCACTGCACCCAGCCATCTTTCTGATTTTTTTAGTTTTCCTGACCCCTTAGTGACTCACTTTTATGGAACCTTTCCAAAGAATTCAACATTCCTTTCACAATAACAATATTCTTTTTTTGCACTTACGTTTCATAAGTTCACGCATATCTAAATTATCTATCACAATAACAAATATAACTGGCACTAACATGTTTGCAATAAATACAATAAATTGTTGTTAAGCCAATAACCCAGCAGTTGGAGAAGGAAGAAGACTACTAGAAGCCACTGTTCATCATGCCTGGGCACCACCCCATGTGCTTATAGGGAAATGAAGAGCATAGGCTCATTGGTCAACTGTTAGATGTCAACGGTATTGTATTTGAATCAGGATGAACCATATGCAAACTGCCAACATCCAACTGTTTATTCACCTACAGAAAGGGCAATTGCATATGTTCAACCATATATATATATACACATTTTATTTAAAAACACTGACTATATTTTATGTTAAATATCACATCCACTACCATTTTTTTCCTTTAGAAGAATGAATAGTGGTTCTCACAGCTTGATTTAAAAAATTCCATTCCACATTGGCTCAGGAACTCACCCTAAGCTACTGAATAATTCGTCATTGGACTCTGGATTCCTAGGAATGCCATTTCTATCTTCTTTCTTTCTTCAAGTTAAAGTCACACCTGTTAGTCACACACGAAGAAGAGGATGAAGGATGAAGCTATCAGCTGTGCTTTCTAGCTAACTGAATGATAAGCAGCAAAGGGATTAAAATGTGGGTCAACATTGTTCGTTGGCTGGTTTATTTCTGAGACATAAATCTTTCTGTCCTACAGGATGCAACACAGCACTGTCTGCCTGAAGAAGGTACAAAAAGACAGGTAAGACTCTGAGGGGCAGAGAAGCCCCTGAACAGACTTAAAATAAGTCACCCTTAAGTAATAAGTGCCCTTTACTTTTGTTCTGCCCTTGTTAGAGCATTTAATTAAAATAAACACACAAACAAATCACAAGCGTGCTATTAGGACAAAACCCAAAAATTTGGGACAGAAAGAAGGAGAAGAGTTGGGGGATGGGGCTGTATTTAGATTAAGGGCTGCTAGTGAAACTCTCTTTGTCTAGATCTCACGTTTCTACCATTGACACTAAAAAATCTAAATTGGGTTTATTTTTATGGTTGCCCTTACGCCCTCACAAAACTATTGTAAGATATCAGAGTCCTAGGGCCTCCTATATTCTCAAAAATATCAACCCAGAGAGTTAGTATTCAGAGTGGGGAGAGCCTAAACCTTGTAATTACACCTAGGTTTAAATCCTGGCTGCATACTTCTACCAGTGTAGCCTGAGCACCCTTTCTGCTTTTTTCACCTTTCTGTACCTGTGCATATGATGAGCCAGACTTTGCTGGCTTCAAAGGATTCATTAGAAAATACAAGTAAAGAGACTCACTGCAGGCTGGGTGCAGTGTCTCACGCCTGTAATCCCAGCACTTTGGGAGGCTGAGGCGGGCAGATCACCTGAGGTCGGGAGTCGAGACCAGCCTGGCCACCACGGTGAAACCCCGTCTCTACTAAAAATACAAAAATTAGCCGGGCAGGCGTGGTAGGGCGGGGGGGTGGGGGGGGAGTGGGGGGTGGGGGTGGCGCTTGTCAGGAGGCTGAACCAGGAGAATTGCTTGAACCTGGGAGGCAGAGGTTGCAGTGAGCCAAGATCACAACATTGCACTTCAAACTGGGTGACACAGTGAGACTCCACCTCAAAAAAAAGAGAGATTCATTGCAACTATTACTTATGCCTAAAAGATGACAAACCTTTCACCCCATAATTTTCAATAAGATGTTTTAAATGTAAATGCAGCCTTGAGTATCCTGTAAGGACAGAGGTACAGATGATGCCCATGAAGTTGATTTTCTGTTTCAAAATTCACATGCAAGCTAAGCATAATCAAGATATCTAATGTAGGCTGGGCGCAGTGGCTCATGCCTGTAATCCCAGCACTTTAGGAGGCCAAGGCAGGTGCATCACCTGAGGTCGGGAGTTTGAGACCAGCCTGACCTAACATGGACAAACCCCGTCTCTACTAAAAATACAAAATTAGCCAGGCATGATGGTGCATGCCTGTAATCCCAGCTACTCGGGAGGCTGAGGCAGGAGAATTGCTTGAACACGGGAGGTTGCAGTAAGCCAAGAGCATGCCATTGCACTCCAGCCTGGGCAACAAGAGCAAAACTCTGTCTCAAAAAAAAGATATCTAATGTAAACAAGGAAGGTAGCTGTCCTTTCCAGATCAGATAGGGAAATGAGATAAAGGCCTGATGGGAGGAGGAGAGGTTTCATAAAGGTGAAATGGCAAGCGCCAGAGAGATTCAAATCTTAACACATCCTTTTCCTTCTTACAGGCTTCCCAGGATTCCCCACTGACATTATGATAAAATCCAAAACCTTTATGGGGTCAAAAAATGCTCTCAGTAAGCCTGGCCTCTGCATGCCTAGGCAACTTCAACTCACACCCTCTTCCTAGTTACTTTAAAGTATCTGCATCTCCCTGATCGCACCTGCACTCTCTCCCTAGATTCTATTTCCCACTCCTCGTCCCATTTCTCAGCTGCCCTAACTCGCACTCTTCCTTCTTTCCTCTCAGAAGGACTTCCTGTCTGCCCGCCTCTGCCTTGCCTCCCCAGGACCTGGTCTGTGTATATCACAGCACAGTTTATCATACTGAACTGTAATTTTGTAACTTACATTTACTTGTCTATAACTCACATGGACCTGGACTGGCTTTAGCAATCTGCCAGCCCCTTTGCCTGACACAAAGCTAACACTCAAATGTTTGTTGAGTGTGCAGCTTCTGAAACTCCCCAGTTTTATCTAGGTTTGGCTCTTTTACCCTACATTAGAAAGTCCAAGAAGCAGGGCTGCTGGTGTTCATGGCTTAAGTAGCTGCTTATCCAGATTGATTAAGATTTGTCTTTAACATGGGGAATTTGTAAGCTATGTGGAAACTTATCTCATTTGAATAATAGTCTGTTTAAAAATATTTATGAGTCAGGTGTGGTGGCTCCTGCCTGTAATCCCAGCACTTTGGGAGGCTGAGGAGGGCAGATCACCTGAGGTCAGGAATTCAAGAGCAGCCTGGCCAACATAGTGAAACCCCGTCTCTACTAAAAATATAAAAATTAGCCATCTTGGTGGTGAGTGTCTGTAATCCCAGCTACTCAGGAGGCTGAGGCTGGAGAATCACTTGAACCCAGGAGGCAGAGGTTGCAGTGAGCAGAGATAGCGCCATTGCACTCCAGCCCAGGCGACAAGAACAAAACAGTGTCAAAAAAAAATATATATATATATATATTTATGATGGGCCAGGCATGATGGCTCACGCCTGTAAGCCCAGCACTTTGGGAGGCTGAGGTGAGCAGATCATCACCTGAGTTCAGGTGTTCGAGAACAGACTGGCCAACATGGTGAAACCCCATCTCTACCAAAAATAAATAAATAAATAATTAGCTGGGCATGGTGGCATGAGCCTGTAGTCCCAGCTACTCAGGAAGCTGAGGCAGGAGAATCACCGAACCTGGGAGGCAGAGGTTGCAGTGAGGCAAGATCGCACAACTTTATTGGTCGACAGAGCAAGATTCCGTCTCAGAAAAAAAAAGAAAGGAAAAGAAATTATGATGGTATGCCAACTTCTATCATTTACAAAAAGAGTGATTTCACTTGCCAATGTAATAATATGTACTTTTAGAAATCAATTAGGAATAATGGAAATTTCAAATTTTTTCAAAGACCAGTGATATAAAATGCCCAACTGGTATTAGTTTTCAACTTTTTGCAACTGTGCATGGTCAAAACTGGATGAGTCACTGAAACACATGTAAGACATATTTCTAAAAGTGTGTTTATGGCATGCTTCTTTCCATGCTACGTGATGTATCTTCTTGAAATTCTGGCTATTCTCAGTTTAACATGCTACCATTTACCATGGCTCCGGAATTCCGTGTTTGGTAAATAGCAACCTTCCAGGCCATGTGCAATGGCTCACATCTGTAATCCTAGCACTTTGGAAGGCTGAGGCAGGAGAATCATTTCAGCCCAGGAGTTCAAGACCAATGTGGGCAACATAGTGAGACTCTGTCTCTATAAAAGATACAAAAAATTAGCCAGGCATGGTGACATGTGTCTGTAGTCTCAGCTACTGGGGACTCTGAAGTGGGAGGATTGCTTGAGTCTGGGGATTGAGGCTGCGGAAAGCCATGACTGTGCCACTGCACTCCCGCCTGGGTGACAGAGAGAGACCCTGTCTCGGGGGGAGAAAAGAGCATCCTTCTGTATCTTAAAACTGATAAGCACAAGTGGCACATCATGGAGAATAAACAAATCTCAAAAATTAGAAAAAATCCTACTTTCTCAATTTGCCTAGAAATTATTTGCAGATAGGCGCTTTCTTTTATGCACATTTGAAAACCCTATGGCAGGTTGAATTGTGTGCCCCAAAGAGGATATGTTGAAATCCTAACCCCCAATACCTCACAGTGTGCTATTATTTGGACATTGAATTTTTGCAGATGTTAAAATGAGGTCATACTGGAGTGGGATGGGCCCTAAATCCAATATGACTGGTGTGTTTATAAGATGGTTATGTGAAGACACAGACACAAAGGGAAAATGCATATGAAGACAGAAGCAGAGATTAGAGTGATGCCAGCACAAGGAATATCAGAGATTGCTGCTGTCACCAGAACCTAGGAGAAGCATGGAACAAATTCTCCCTCAGAGCTTTCAGAAGGGTTCAACACTGCTGACACCCTAATTTTAGACTTGTAGCCTCCAGAACTGTGAGACAATAAATTGCTGTTTTTTCAAGCTACCCAGTTGGTGGTACTTTGTTATGGCAGCCTGAGGAAACTAATACAACATTTAATAATACTGTTCATGTTTAATTGAATTGCTGTTACTTCCTAGAGAGAGAAGTTAGGTAAAATGCATTGATCCTCTTTTTAAAATCGCTTTTAGAAATCTGACAGCATGTATTGAGAACCATAAAAATGACCATACTTGCTGACGAAGTAATTCTACTTCTGGAACAGTATCATTAGGAAATGAGTCCCAACTTGTAAAATGATACAACTGCAAAGATAAGTATTACTATAACTTAGGTTGTTTATAATTTGTTGCTAATATACTTGTCCAACAATAGAGTTTTAGTTAAGTAAATCACATTATAATTACTAGAATACAAACAATATGAGTTCTGAAAATTACATAAGATGAAAAATGCTTACTAGGTATTATATGGAAAACACAGAATACTAAAAAAAATTACTTTCCTTTTTTTTTTTTTTTTTTTTTAAGACAGAGTCTCCTTTGTTGCCCAGGCTGGAGTGCAGTGGCATGATCTCAGCTCACTGCAACCTCTGCCTCCTGGGTTCAAGCGATTCTCCTGCCTCAGCCTCCCAAGTAGCTGGGACTACAGGCATGTGCCAACACACCCAGCTAACTTTTGTATTTTTAGTAGAGATGGGGTTTCACCATTTTGGCCAGGCTGGTCTCAAACTCCTGACCTAAGGTGATCCACCTGCCTCAGCCTCCCAAAGTGCTGGGATTACAGGGGCGAACCACTGTGCCCAGCCTGAGAATACTAAAATACTATATGGAGTATGATGAAGGAAAATATGCATAGAAAAAAAGAGAGAGACAAAGGCAACCTGGTTAAATATTCATTGTGGTAGAATTATGTTCAGTGGGTCTGAACTCTCTTCTTGGCTCCCTGATCTTATCCTTTTGGTACCAATTTCCAGTCTTATTTTCTCTCTCCTCAAGCCTCTCCATGCACAGCCAATTCTTTCTTGGCAATGCCTCTTGGGAGCAGTCCAGGCCCACTTCACCTTATACAGGTTTTTGTGAAAAGATTCCTATTTGGCCTGACTGTAGCCTATCTATGGCCAGAATAACACTGTCGTTCTATTGCTGAATACATCTACTGTGTTAATCTGTCCATTTATGTTTTATGCACTTTTATGTATGTGCTACGTTTTTCAATAAAAAGGTTTTTTTTTAACTTTATGTGTTTTCATATTTTGTTTTGTCAAGATAAGGATAAATGGTTTTCTGCTGATTTGCTTCATTATACCTCTAAATGTAATGTTTCATCAGAACAGCTGGGTACCTGTTTGTGACAATGGAGTGAACACAGGCTTTTCTCCCCTTCATGTACAATGTCTACCAGCTCCTACACGTTTACCAATGCAAACTCCGTAACTTCCTGTAAAACCTGGCTTAAAAATTTCCATCATCAAACCTGCCTGATGTGTGCTACCAAAATTTATACTGTATCATCTTCTACATTTATCAAGCAACTACTAGCTGTAAGGCCTGAAGATTTAATGTCCTAAGCTGTTTGCAATCTTTTTGTGCAAAGCAAACATAAAAGATGATAACAAATAGCAGAGAAGGGCATATGTGTTCAAAGTGGGGAAGAGGGAGAGTGGTGAAGAGAGGATGGGAGTGGGCGAGACTGATAAAGGCTAGAAGACACCATGTAAAAATTGGATAGAAGATATTTAACGAATGGGAGAGGAATGGCACGGCACCTTGGAGACCAGGATAATGGCAGGACCCTTAATGGAAATGAGCATCTGGAGCTGTTTTGGGGAAAAGCCGGGCAAGTCCAAGCGGAATATTATAATGTGCACTGACAGACGTTACACTAAAACTGAAGAAGACATGGAAAGCACAGAATCTTAAGCCAGATAAATACAGGTGATAGATGAAGTAACAAAGTCCCAAAAATCTATTTTTCTTAAAAAAAAAAAAAGCGGGGGCAGGGGGAGGGTGTGGGGATCCTAAACTAGTATAAAGACACATAAGAAGGAAAAGAGGGACCTGAGATTGACAGCCTGGTCAACGATGCCTGAAACAGCACGGGACTTCAGAAAATAAGGACGAGCAAACGAACTCTAGGTGAGGCAGTGTAGGACAGTGGTTAACAGCTCCAGTGCTGGAGACAGAACCCCAGAGCTGGAATCTCCTACCGCTGAGATGGGTGTGGCCTTGGGCAAGTTACTTAACCTCTCCGTGCCTCAGTTACCTCATCATTAAAATGAGAATAATATTAATATCTACTTCCCAGGATCGTTGTGAAGATTAAAAGCTTTTACACAAGAACTGACATCAGTGCCTGGCACCTAAGCACTGATAAATGTCTGCCACGGGGTGAGGGGTGGATTTTATTTAGTTCTCGGTGACCTTGGGGAGACCAATTTCTGATCAGTAGTACGAAGAGAAACTACAAAGAAAGGGAATGAATAAGCGGGTGCGTGGTAAGAACGCAGAGGCAGCCACCAGGTATCGATGACCCTTTCGGAGCACGTAAGCAATAAAAGTGAGGAATGAAATAAAGGGTAATCCGAGAGCACAGGGTTAAGTGAACATGCTTTCCGAGGGGAGATCGTAGCAAGAGGGAAAAGACCACTGGCGAGGAACTCGGGTCGCTAAAACTGTTCTTCAGTCGACGCGGGACTAACTACACTGGGAGCAGGACAGGTGTAAAGACCCGCTCCTTCCCGTCCCGAGTTCCCCAGGGAGCTCCAAAGAGCGCTCTGTCCGCACCGGGTGAAGTTTGAAACAGCTCTGACTTGAAGGGGGAAAGCCCATTTCCCAACGAACCTGGGAAAGCCCATTTCCCAACGAACCTGGGAAAGCCCATTTCCCAAAGAACCAACGATACCTGGGACGACAAAACAACAGGCTTTCCTGTTTCCATCTCCGGCACGACCTGTTCCACGGCTCTGTATTCATCAGCCTCCTCCCGGCCAGCAGCAGCCACCAAGACAGGATGCGGCTCGGGGAGCCGAAGGGACAGCGCCCCAAGTTCATCTGGCCGCGGGAGCAAAAAAAGCGCCCAAAGGGGAAGGAAGGAAACAGAAAGAAAGGGGCTCCGGAATTTGGGGGGGTGGCTAGCGAGGCCAGACCCCGGAGCTGGGAAAATGACCTCCGCGTCCAAGGTCGAGCAGGTCCTTCTCCCTCCCAGTCCCGCCGGCGAGCACCTCTGCCCCTCCCGCTCCGCTCCGCAGGGCCAGCGCCGCGCGGGACCCCAGTCCAGGCTCCGCTCCGCAGCGCGCCCACCGGGCCCGACCTTCCCTTCGGGATGCTGCCGGGTGGGGGCTCCCGAGAAGGCGCAGGTGAGCGCCGCGGCCCCGCGCTCCGGCGAAAAGGGCCTCGGTCCTCCCCACGCGCAGGCAGCGGGGACAGAACTTCCCAAGCGCCTCCCGAGCCCAGGGAGGGCCTGGCCCCGCTCCCGGGGCCCCCGCACCCGGGTCCCACTTCTCGCGCGCCGCGCCCAAGTTCCTCCATCCGGCCACTCCCGACGCCGTTCCCCTCGGCTCTGCCTCCCTCCCCAGTCTCTTCTCCTCCGCGCGCCGGGAAAGTTTGGCCCCTGCCCGCCGGCCTGGAACCCCGCACTCACCGCACAGGGAGCGGAGCCGAAGCGCCGGGCGCGCGCGGGAGAGAGGGCGGCGACTGGCAGCGCGAGCGCGGAGCTCCTCACAGCGGCCCCCGCTGTCCCGGCCGCCGACTGGGTTGGAAAGGGGAGGAGGCCGCCGGGTGTCACCTGCCCGCTATCCCACCCAGCCGCGTGACGCGCGCAGCGCCGCCCCCTGCCCGCCGCCGCCAGGTGCCCGCCGAGGGCCGGAGGGAGGAGCCGGGGCGGCGCGAGGGGGAGCGGCCGGGAGGGCGGAGGCCGCCCCGGCCTCGCCTCCGCCGCGCGCCCTGACTCTCGGGACTGGGGCCCACCGGCCGCTCTGGGTTAGCGGGGCTGGTCGTGGCACCGATGACCTTTCTTTCCGAGAGCAGATGCCATCACTTGGGGGACATCTCCAGGCTGACATAGCAGAGTGGAAATTGTCGTCATGCGTGACTCATTTGGGAATGAGCAGTAGAAAAATCCGAAATGAGGAAAACCTAGCTGAGGCTGGAGGCGGAGAAAAAGGGGACTCCTTGCTTCTGAAAGGGTATTGGGAGGGTTAATTCGCATCTGAAATGGAAGCCAGACCAAGAGGAGAAGGCCCTGGGAGGGGAAGGCCGACTTGGTTCAGCTCCATCCCCTGCTTATAAGGAATAAGAAACTAGAGAATTGAGGCAGCCTGGGGGGCATGGGGAGAGGACTTTTAGAGCAATGAAGATTAGATTGTATATCATCTAACTTTGTTTCTGGTAACAGCAACTGCTGCAGGAAAAAAAGTCTAGAAAATTCATTTCTCGTTACCTACTGTTGGATTGGAAAGTGGGGGTGGGGATGAGCGTTCGGAGTGTGCACCTGCGCTTGGTTTATTTATTTTTTAAACGTACCTGGCCTTGTGTCTGGTAATGATCCTCCTAATCGCTGGTATGATTTGGATCATCAATAGCTGAAAGGCAAAATAGGGGCCTAGAGAAGTTCCCTGCTTCTGAGGCAAAACCAAAGGCTGGTGTTGAACTGTCCAGAAACCTAAAAAACAATAATCATTTTTAGTTGCAGTCCTGACCCAACCACCTCACAAATGTGGGCTTTGAGTTTGTATTGCGAGTTCTCAGCATGGAATCAAGAAACACAAAAAGGGGCTGGGAGCGTCAGGACCACCAGAGAGGATGGGTAGGGAGAAAAAAAAAATTGGGGTGTCGGAAGCATATTTTCCTCACATGTAGGGATTGCCTTCGGCAGCTTAATCCCACTACATTAAACAAGAGGTTTTAATGTTTTTATGTAAAACTTCGAAAGTGTCCATTGAAAGAAAAGCAAAAAAAAAAAAAAAAAAAAAAAAAAAAGCTTAAATTGCAAAGAATCTCGAAGTCAAAAAAACTAAAGATTTCTCCTTTCTTTTAGATAACTTTGCTTTCATATTAAAAACAGATCATTTAGTAGACTTAGGAAGTCTTTTGGGAACGGGAGACAATTGCCTAATGATACTAGCCTTTGAGTCTATCACAATTTACCATTTATATATACTTATGAAATTTCAAATATGCAGAAGCTCAAATGGATTCATTTATTTAACAAATACTGGAGTGCTGCTATGTTCCAGGCCCTGAAGTTTCAATAGATAACAAATTCCCCGTTCTCAGGGACTATACGTTCATTCTAGTTGGAGATGACAGACAATACATGAATAAAGAAGTAAAAAAAATGTAGTGTTCAGCCAGGCGCAGTGGCTCACGCTTGTAATCCCAGCACTTTGGGAGGCCGAGGCGGGCAGATCGTGAGGTCAGGAGTTCGAGACCAGACTGTGCAATACAGTGAAACGCCGTCTCTACTAAAAATACAAAAATTAGCCGAGTGTGGTGGTGCGTGCCTGTAGTCCCAACGACTTGGGAGGCTGAGGCAGGAGAGTCGCTTGAACCTGGGAGACAGAGGTTGCAGTGAGCAGAGATCTCGCCACTGCACTCCTCCAGCCTGGGCGACAGAGCTAGACTCTGTCTCAAAAAAAAAAAAGAGGAAAAAAAAGAAAAAAAATGTGATGTTCAGGGTTTGATAAGTGCTATGAAGAAAAATAAAGAAGGGAAGGGGATGGAGACTTTTGGAGGTGGGGAGTTGTGTTAAATGTTAAAGTGGTTAGGGAAGGCCCCAGTGGAAGCAGGCATTTCAGCCCAGATTTTGAACAGGTAAGGTGACACACCTGTGTGCCTATCCAGTAACAGCATTCCACTCAAAGGGAATGGCAAGGCTAAAAGCTCTGGGGGTGTGGTGTGGGATATTCCATTCATAGACCAGCAAAGGGGAGATGTCAGATGAATTTCAGTGAGTGAGGACAGTAAGAAATGAGGTCAAAGAGTTAAGGAAGCATTTTGAGTAAAAAACTGTCATACTTTGACATTTTCAAGAGTATTTTGGCAACTTTTTTGAGAATAGGGCATGGGGTATGGAGGCAGAGAAGAAGGACAGAAGTAAGACGATGATCAGGAGGCTCTTGGGAAATCCAGATGAGAGATAAAGGTGGCTTTGACCAAGTTGGTAGTAGTGAAAGAAGATTTAAAAAAATACATTCTGAAGGTAATATTAACAGGATTTCCTGAGAATTTGATATGGGCTATGAGAGAGAGAAAAAAGAGGTCAAGGATGACTCCAGGGTGTTTGCCTTGGGTAACTCGAAGAAAAAAAATGCCATTTACTGAAAGAAAAAAAAACTGTGAAAGAAAAATGTAGGGAGAAGGGCAGGTCAGGAGTTGTTTGGCATTGCTTTAATTTGAGATACCTGTTACCTATCTAAATGGGAATGAATGTCAAGTAGGTAGTTGATTACACTAGTCTGGAGGTCAAGAAAGAGAGGTCTGGGCTAGCAATATAAATCTGGATGTAGTCAGTTTCCAGATGACACTGAAAGGCATGAGAATGGCTAAGAGCACCAAGAGTGAGAATAGAGAAGAGATTATCCCTCCTTTCCCCATTTGCTAAATTCTCACACACGGGGTTCTGTGTTTAGGCTCTTGATTCCATTCCACTGTCTATGTGTCCTGCCTTATATTTTCTTTTACTTTTACTATTTTATGTAAATGTGAAAAGAAGCTTTCTTTCTTGTTTTCAATGAAAAGCTATGGCAGGATTTTTATTTTAATTGTCTTAAAGTTATTTAGGGATAACCTGTCATCTTTATGATATTGAGGTGACCCATCCATGAACATATATCTCCATAGTTGGTCTTTCACATATTTTATTATGCTTATTCTTAGGAACCTTATAATTATTGCCACTACTATCAACGTTTTTTTTTTTTAAGACAGGGTCTCACTCTGTTGCCCAGGCTACAGTGCAGTGACACAATCATAGCTCACTGCAGCCTTGAACTTCTGGGCTCAAGCGATCTTCCAGCCTCAGCATCAGAGAAGCTAGGACTACAGGCATGCACCACCATGGGGGGCTAATTTTTTAATTTTTTGTAGAGACGGGATCTTGCTATGTTTCCCAGACTGGTCTCAAACTCCTGGTCTCAAGAACCTCCTTCTTCAGCCTCCCAAAGTGCTGGGATTACAGGTGTAAACCACCGTGCCTGGCCTGGTATATGTATTTTTAAATTACATTTTCTAAATGTAAATATAAGAACGCTAATTTTTGTTTAATGGTTGTAAATCCTTTGTCTTTACTAAATTATTAGTAATTTGTAGAGTGCCTCTGGTATTCTCTTGAGGCAACGATAACCCTTGTGAATAATTACAATTTTTTTCACTATATTTTATTCTTTAAGAGAAAATTGAACCCTGTCAACTTCTTACTCTATGTCAGTATCATATGGATTTAACTTTTACCAGTGATTCTTATACTTTACTGAGAGTCACAATGCTTGGGATGTTATGCAAGTTCCTGAAAATTATTTTGAGATGCTGATTTAGTGAGTCTGGAGAGTGGGCCAAGGAATGTGCATCTTAACACACGCTCTTAACTGATTCTGTTAAGAGTTGCTGAGACACCTTACATGTGACCTATCTTTTCTGATACTTATCATTGCCTCCCCAGCTGTGCTATAAGCCCTAAAGGGAAGATATTTTATCTACTCTCTCTTTATATCTGTGGTGCCTAGGATATTAGCCTACAAACAGTGGGTGCTAAATAAATATGTAGATGGCAAAAAGAAATTTAGAAAAGTTGTGGAATGTACTTTTGTGAGTTTCATATTTAAATGCTTTAAAATGTTTTCCTATTTTTTTATATAGATTTCATAATGATAACTCTGAGAGATAATGATAACTCTGATATCATCAGAGGAAGAACATAATTGCAATATGATAGGTTCATTGAGTAAATGACTATCAACCATTCCCACATCTTGTTTCTTTACCACAAGGTATCTGTAGCCTGCCAGACTTAAAGGCTTCATCCTTTTAATTTTTTTTGGCATTGAAATGCAAACTATGAGTTTCAGAAAAATCATTTTCTTTCTGGTAATCCTGTTCACATATCTAAGATATATGTAAAATTAATATCTCCAAGACAATGTGAGATACAGAATGAGAACATCCCTCAAGTTATTATAACAATCAATATAATTATTTTCCTGTAAACCTCAGTTATTTGAAAATACTCATGATTTTTGACTGTGAAGAATTGCCACTTATTATGATCATGAAATTAACTTTGATCTGACTTCAAATATTATAAAAATGCTTTCTGTGCCAACTATATTATCTGAATGTTTATTCAATCAGTTTATCTTGATATCACAGTTTTGTGAAGGCCAAATCTAACATAATAGTATCTAGTTAAAATTCTCATGTCCTACATTTCATAATAATAAACTGCTCTTCAAAGAGATAAAACTACTATCATAATTTACATTTTATTGCATGGGTAAATAATATACCATCAGGAAAAACTATTTTAGAAATTTAATGGAAACAATAAACAAGAAAACATAAAAAATATTTACACTTTAAAACTCCATTTAACTCTCATGAGTTTTGGGACTTTGTACTAGACACTATATGTTATTTATACTGCATGTTACTCATAACTTTTTTGTGCTATGTGTTACTCTAAGTTTTATGTAATAATAGTTAACTGATGTCTAATGTACCTCATAGGTTTACATAACAATTTATCAAATGGAGGCTCTGTTTTCCTGGAGGAGTTTCATTTATGCTAGGGTGGTGTTTCCCAAATTAGCCTGATTTTAATAATCACTGAGGATAAATGCTAAAAAACACAAATTTTGAGGCCCCTCCAGTACAAGGCCAGCCATACTTTGGATGGCAATGAAATAACCAATGAAAAGAATTTCAATGAGTTTTATCTGTGTCTTTTAACATTGTATATTTTATTTTTATTCCCTGGATATGCCTGCTTTTGGAGAGATAGCCTGTATACTTTATTATCAATCCTGGATGATTACTTTCTTGGATAATCATTACATTTTTAGTGTAGTGATTGAAAGGCTTATCAATTTGGGGTAAGAAAAAAACAAAGAATACTTTTATTAATAGGCTATCACATTTTAGAAGATTTTATAAAAACATTAGGATTTACATATTAGATTTTACATATTCTATGATACTCTGTTAAAAAAAATTTTTTTTAGGGATGGAGTCTCACTATGTTGCCCAGGCTGGAGTGTAGCAGCTATTCACAGATGCAATCATAGTGCACCACAACCTCAAATTCCTGGGCTCAAACAATCCTCCTGCCTCAGCCTCCTGAGTATCTGGGACTAGAGGCATGTGCCGTCATGCCCAGCTCTTAAATTTTTTATAGGTTTTGAATATTTCCAAAAGACTTCTTGTCTTAGTCTGATCAAGCTGCTACCACAACTGAGTAGCTTATAAACAGCAGAAATGGATTTCTCACAGTTCTGGAGGCTAGGAAGCCCAAGATCAAGCAGCTAGCACATTCAGTGTTTGGTGCAGTCCTTCTTGATTTATCAATGGCTCTTTCTTTTCTTTTTCTCCCTCCCTCCCTCCCTCCTTCTCTCCCTTCCTCCCTTTCTTTCTTCCTTTCTTGTCAGGGTCTTACTCTGTCACCTAGGCTGGAGTGCAGTGGCACAATCACAGTTCACTGCAGCCTCAACTTCCTGGGCTTAAGCAACCCTCCCACCTGAGCTTCCCAAGTAGCTGGGACCACAGCATGCACCACCACACCCAGCTAATTTCTGTATTTTTTTGTAGGGATGGGGTTTTGCCATTTTGCCCAGGCTGGCCTCGAACTCCTGGGCTTAAACCATCCTCCCACCCTGGCCTCCCAAAGTGCTGGGATTATAGGAATAAGCCACTGAACCCAGCCCTGATGGCTCTATGAAAGGAGAACCTGGGGCCTCTTTTATAAAGGCACTAATACCATGTGTGAGGGCTCCTATCCTCATGATCTAATCATCTCCAAAAGGCCCTCCCTCCTAATATCATCACATTGGTGATTAGGTTTGAACATATGAATTTAGGAGGACAGAAACATTCAGACCATAGCAATGCTATCCTAATAAAATTGTGGTAAGCAAAACGAGGCACTGGGGATTACACACACACACACACATATATATAATTTATTTTTTTTAAGATGGGAGTCTTGCCCCATCACCCAGGCTGTAGTGGAGTGGCGCAATCTTGGCTCATTGCAACCTCAACCTCCACCTCCCAGGTTCAGGCAATTATCCCACCTCAGCCTCCGAGTAGCTGGGATTACAGGCGCCCACCACCATGCTCGGCTAATTTTTGTATTTTTAGTAGAGACGGGGTTTTGCCATGTTGGCCATGCTGGTCTTGAACTCCTGACATCAGATGACCTACCTGCCTTGGCCTCCCAAAGTGCTGGGATTACAGGCATGAGCCACCGAGCCTGACCTAGGGGATTATATTTATTAGACAATATTTGTGAACCTTGGGTGCATACAAAAATATCAAATTAGTCAAATTATTTTTACTTGTCCAAGGAACATAGTCTTTGATTGAAATGTACATTTTAAACTGTTATTAGAATGTTTTTATTTTACAGTTTAAGGTATGTTTTCAAAATGATTTATCATGGTATAATCTGTAGTCAGTTAATCAGTGTTTACTGTAGTCAGTCAATCAATGTTTACTTTTGGCATAAATGACAGTGGAGGCCAGCTTTTAAAATCAGACTGAGTAGAGATGAGCATATATGTGTTAGTGACTGATTTCCTTTTTTTATTTTGAGACAGAGTTTCGCTCTTGTTGCCCAGGCTGGAGTGCAATGGCATGGTCTCAGCTCACTGCAACCTCCACCTCCCGAGTTCAAGCGATTCTCCTGCGTCAGGCTCCTGAGTAGCTGGGATTACAGGCGCGTGCCACCACGCCCGGCTAATTTTTCTGTATTTTTAGTAGAGACAAGGTTTCACCATGTTGGTCAGGCTGGTCTCAAACTCCTGACCCGTGATCCGCCTGCCTTGGCCTCCCAAAGTGCTGGGATTACAGGCGTGAGCCACTGTGCCTGGCCATGACTGACTTCCTAAGTGAAGAAAAGAAATTGTGAATTGCTTTATATTACTCATGTTTCTTTTTCTTTGGCATAGATCATCAAGACCTGACCCTGCAAATGGATGTGATTTAAAAAATGGTATCTTTTATCTCTGTTGTTCTTGGTTTTATATATCCATTTAATGCATTTAAAATGAGTTCCCTATCTATTTTTAAGCAATTGTGCAGATAAAGCATTCTAAGAAATGAGAGTGAAGGAGCTGTGACATATCCCCCAAAGCAAAGTTTGTGAGTCATTTAGTTACAGCTCATTTGTTTCAGCTGTTTTTTTCTAGATTAGCATGAGGAAAAATTAGACTTGTTCAGAAAGCTTAAGAAAATAGTTATTGTAAGGGAAAACAGTGATGGGCATAGAAATGGCCAGATTCTTTTCTATATTCTATCCTATTTTTAAGAGACAGGGTCTTGCTCTGTCGTCCAGTCTAGAGGGCAGTGCAGTAGTCATAGCTCACTGCAACCTCAAACTCCTGGGCTCAGGTGATCCTCAGGCGAGTAGCTGAGACTACAGGTATGAGGGTATGAGCCACCACACCAACTTGTTGTTGTTGTTGTTTTTGTTGCTTTTAGATAGGGTCTTGCTCTGACACCCAAGCTGCAGTGCAGTGGTATGATCTTAGCTCGTTGCAACCTCTGCCTCCTGAGTAGAAATGAAAAGCATGCCCACTCACAGCTATAGCAGATGATGGCTAGCTATTCACTAGATTTGTTTCCTCTTTCTCCTGGGCACGCAGCTGGATTATATCTCCCAGTCTTCCTTACAGTTTAGCAGTGGCCATGAAAGTGAATTCTGGCCAATGGAATTCGAGCAAAGTGTTGCTTGTCCCTTCCAGGCCTGGCTCATTCACATTTAACAGGTGAAATCCTGTGTGTTCTTTCTCCTGCATCACCCTGAAGGAAGCCTTATATGCTGAATGTGGTGGAGCCACAAGATGGAAGGGATTCTGTGTTCTCAAATTACCCTGTGGAGGGGAAGGATCTTCTAGGAATTATAAACAAATTTATAGTGCATTAAGCCTCTGAAACTTTGTAGTTAATCTGTTACAACTGTTAGCCTGCCTCAAGTGATAAAATACTCAGAGAAGATAGTACTCAGAGAAGGATTTACAGTTTCACCCTGCAGAAAGCAGGAAATGGTTAGCTCTTCCTTTGGCCTTTCCTTGATATTTTGCTAGGTAAGGGCGGACAACCTCTTGATATTCTTCCTTAATGGACTAGTTTTCCTAACTTTACCTTATTACAGTAGCCTCTTAACTAGCTCCCTGCTTCTGTTGTTGTCCTCTGCCCTTAGAGTTTATTATCAAAACAATGACCAGACTGACCTCAGGACGTTCTGCTAAATCCTCCAAGCTTTCCATTTGTTTGAAAAATAAGCCAAAGTCTTTTCAATGACCTACAAGAGCCTTTGTGATCTGCCACCTCTCCCTATTACCTTTTATCCTTATCTCCTTTACTCTCCCTTTCTGCTCAGACAGATACACCCACACAGATTTCCTTGCTATCTCTTGGACCCGGCAGGCATGCTTTAGCCTCAGGGCTTCTGTGCTTGTTCCCTCTGCCTAGAATGCTCTTCTCCCAGATACCCACATGACTTGCTCTTTTAAATCCTCCCGATGTTTGCTCAGAGAGGCATTTTCTGAGCATGCTATTTAAAACTAAAACTCCTCACATTCTCTATTCCTCTCTTCTACATTATTTTTCTACGTAGCACTTATCACCTAACATACTATACACATTTCCTCTGAAATATTGTTTATTGTCTGCCCCTCTCCACACCCCAATTAAAATGAAAGCTTCATGAGAATTTTTGACCTTTTTTTTAAAAACAGTTGCCCATCTAGAGTAGCACTTGGCAAACAATAATACATTTTTTAAAAAATAATTAAATGCTATTATATAGATAAGCAAAGTATGCCAAAGGAACACTAAAGAGAAACTCCTAATTCAAACTGGTTCTGGCAGGGAAGAACTTTCTGGAGAAATTTGCTCCTCTGCCAGGACTAAGGGGTGATGTAGTTGTTGCGAGCATGAGACAGTGGTCACGTCTTAGTCCTCATCTTAGCTGACCTATCATCATCATTTGACACAGTTGATTACGGTTTTCTTGAAATGCTGCCTTCACTTGACATCAGGGATACCACACTTGCCTGGCTCTTCTCCTTTTTCTGGAAATTCTTTTTCAGGTTCTTCACCAATTTTTCCCTCATCTTCCACCCCTAAATTTTGGAGTGCTCCAAGGTTCTGTTCTTAGCTGTCTTCTCTCATCTATCTGCACTCATACTTCACGTGATCTGAGTAAGAAAAGGCTTAAATGCCATCTCTATAGTCATGATTCCCAAATGTGTTTTCTAGACTGTATCTTTTTCTTGAATTCCAGATTTGTATATCTGAGTGCCCACTGGGCCTCACCATTTGATTAATAATTTGTATCTCAAACTTAAATGTCCAAAACAGAGCCACTGATATTTCCCCTTTTTGTAGTCTTCTCTACCTCATTCAATGGCAACTCTATTCTTTTGGTTGCTCAGGCCAAAATCCTTGGAGTCATCTTTGACTCTTCTCTTCCTCTCTGCCAACTCTTCAAAATATATCTAAAACCACTTCCCACCATCTCCACTGCCATCATGTTGGTACCGCCACCGTCATCTCTTGCTTGGAATATTTCAATAGCCTCTTAACTGATTTCTTTGATTCTGCTTATTGTTCCCTTAGTCTCTTTGGGCTGCTATAACAAAATATACTAAGCTGGGTGGCTTCTAAACAACAGAAATTGATTTCTTACAGTTCTGGAGGCTGAGAAGTCCAAGATCAAGACACTAGCAGATTTGGTGCCTGGTCAGGACTAGTTAGCTGTATGGTTCATAGTGGTGCCTTCTTGCTGTGTCTTCATGTGGTGGAAGGGGAAAAGGCAGCACTCCGTTCTCATGACATTATCACCTCCTAAAGTCCCTACCTCCTAATACCTTGGTGATTAGGTTTCAACATATGGATTTAGGGGAGACACAAACAATCAGACCATAGCACTTCCCTTCAGCCAATCCCCACTCTGACACCAGAGTTCCCCTGTTAACACCAAAGTCAGATTATGTCTCTCCTTTGCTCAAAACCTTCCAATGGCTTCCTATCAGCCCTATAGGTACCTACAAGGCCCTTCTTGACCTGAGATAATCTGTAACCACTATCCCCCTAATTATCCTTCTCCATTCAGCTTTCTTGCTGATCCTTGGACATGCCATTGTGCTCTTATCTCAAAGGGCCTTTATACTTGATACTCCCTTTGTCTGGAATGTTCTTTTCTGAGATATCTACATGGGTAAGTCCCTCACTTCCTTGAGGTCATTACTCAAAATTCACCTTTCTCAATGAAGCTTTTCCTGGATACCCCATCTAAAATTTTAATGCTATTCCCTCCTCCCACTTCCCATTCCTTTTCTCTGCCTTTTTTTCCTCCTTTGTAGTTTCAATAATATACCTTATTTTACACATTTACATTGTCTTTTTCCTCCACTTCAGTATAATAAGGCCATATGTGCTCAGTTTTTCAAGCCTGCGTCTTTCTTATATTATGCCTATTTCTGCAGTCACAACTTTAAATTCATGCTAATAAACATCCACTCTCGAGGGGAATGTTTGAGCATAGGTAAGGATTTGGTCTGTTTTATTCACTGGCACTTAGTTGGAGCTCAACTTGTGAATGAATGATTCAATAGATGAATTTGAGCTGGTAAAACTGTTTCCTTAGTGAGTAAGGGTCTTTCCACCCCTAAGATTTATTGGATTTATGAGTTGTTTAGGCTATGAAAATTTTTTGAATTGCTTGTCAACATCTGAAAATTTCACAGTTTCATATAAAAATATGAATTTTTCATTTCTCTTTGAATAATGAGCATTTCTAGCTACAACAGGCCCACATTCCCACATGGTGTAAGTTAGCTGGAGCTGAGTAGTCAAATACCATAGACTGTTGATTACTCCCCAGTCTCTGTTTTCTTTTTTGGGAATAGTAATGGAACTCCCAGGTTTTCACTGAGGACATGGCCACCTGGAATAAAGATAGCTTCCTTTTCAGTTAGCTGTGACCAGGAGTTCTGGCCAATAGGATGTCAGTGAAAATGGTGTGTGAAACCTCTGGGAAGTGTTCCCAAAGCGAGGGAGCATGTCTTCTTCCTTCTTCTCTTTCTTGTGGGGTTGGAATGTGGATATAATGATTAAAGCAATCACCTTGTACCACAAGGAGGAAGCTGTTGAGAGAGGGTGCAAGAGTCATCTGATAGAAAGAGCCTAGGTTCCTGATGATCTTGGAACCAGCATACCAACTGAGGACTACTTTCCTGGATTTTATCAAAATAAACTTATATTCTATTGTACCTATGTTATTTTGGGTTTTCAGATAAACCTACTTCTAATTCATGAGAGCCATTGCCATTGGGCAAGTGTTCTTAAGTTTGTCGTAATTCCCACCACTACCTAATGTCTCCCTAACATTGATGGGGAGCTGCCATTTATCATCACATCACCATACTGTTTTTCTCTTTATTATAAATGGGACAGTGAAAGACTGCATAGCCATGTGTTTCAAAAGAAGAGCACATGTCCTTGTGGAAGTAGAGATTGTTACTACATGACTAATACTGCACACCAACTATTAATGGACTAATTGCACAATTTAGGAAGTTATTTGGAAACAAAATACAGTAAGAAATATGACCAGAATAGTAAAGACATGTAATGAGAAACTTAGCTTAATGAAAAACTCAATGAACTGAAAGCAGGGACTAGAATTACAGCACATTTTTTTTTCATAAAAATACAGTAAGTGGTAATGGTGCAAAATATATTTAATGAAAAAATTTTCTTGGCATGAAAACCTTGTGCCAATGATGGATTTATAAAAAGGTTGACTGTAGCAAAAATTGTGTCCTGAACAGAAACTAATATTTGCAAATAGAAGTTTAACCAGGTATAATATTTCTTAGTATGGTGACGCTGGGGTGAAGGGACTTATACAAAGTTTCATGAAAAGGTTAAATTATTTGTAGCTTTTTTTAAGCTAATAAGAGTAGAGATATAAAATATATAAATACCACCCAGGTAGCTATAGTCATTTGTGGTATCAGAAAGGTTTTAAGTGTTTGAATAACTCTTTTTTTTTTTTTTGAGATGGAGTTTTGCTCTTGTCGCCCAAAATGGAATGCAATGGTACGATCTCGGCTCACTGCAACCTCCACCTCCCAGGTTCAAGTGATTCTCCTGCCTCAGCCTTTTGAGTAACTGGGACTACAGGTGTGCACCACCACGCCCGGCTAATTTTTGTATTTTTAGTAGAGATGGAGTTTCGCCATGTTGGTCAGGCTGGTCGCGAACTCCTGACCTCAGGTGATCCACCCGCCTCAGCCTCCCAAAGTGCTAGGATAACAGGCATGAGCCACCACGCCCGGCCTGAATAACTTTTTAAAAACTTTTTTTTTTTTTTGAGATGGAGTCTCGCTCTGTCGCCTAGGCTGTAGTGCAGTGGTGCGATCTTGGCTCACTGCAAGCTCCGCCTCCTGGGTTCATGCCATTCTTCTGCCTCAGCCTCCCGAGTAGCTCGGACTACAGGCACCCACCACCACGCCCAGCTAATTTTTTTGTATTTTTAGTAGAGACTGGGTTTCACCGTGTTGGCCAGGATGGTCTCCATCTCCTGACTTTGTGATCCGCCCACCTCGGCCTCCCAAAGTGTTGGGATTACAGGCGTGAGCCACTGCGCCCAGCCTAAAAACTTTCTTTAAAACAGGGTCTTGGCCGGGCGCGGTGGCTCACGCCTGTAATCCCAGCACTTTGGGAGGCCGAGGCGGGCGGATCACGAGGTCAGGAAATCGAGACCATCCCGGCTAAAAGGGTGAAACCCCGTCTCTACTAAAAATACAAAAAATTAGCCGGGCGTAGTGGCGGGCGCCTGTAGTCCCAGCTACTTGGGAGGCTGAGGCAGGAGAATGGCATGAACCCGGGAGGCGGAGCTTGCAGTGAGCCGAGATCCCGCCACTGCACTCCAGCCTGGGCGACAGAGCGAGACTCCGTCTCAAAAAAAAAAAAAAAAAAAAAAACAGGGTCTTGCTGTGTTGGCCAGGCTTGTCTCAAATTCTTGGCCTCAAGCAATCCTCCCACCTTGGCCTCTCGGTGTTGGGATTACAGGTGTGAGCCACTGTGACTGGCCTTGAATAACTTTTGAACATTGTGACAGCAGTGGGTACATCAGGAAATCATTTTTGTGTGTTGAGTGAAGTGCTTATAAACAGGACTGCAGGAGGTACTCCAGCAAATCAATGTTAACACTGAACTTGGTTTACAAAATGTAAACCCACAGAGGCAGTTTGCACAAGTCATATGACGTTTGTATCATAATTCAATAGGAGTAAAGTTTAACTGAAAAAGAAAACATGTCATGAATGCAGTAGCTCATCGTATGAAATGGATGTGCTACCATGGTTTGAACCACAGGAGGCATATCCATGCTTTACTTGATAAATTGTGCACAACAGAAGAGGTACGAAACTGAAGAGATATTTTCTTGGATGGTTGTGAGAAATTGGTTTATGTTGTCTAAAGCAAATGTTAAAGATTTAGTCAAAGATTGTGCCTTTGGTTGAGATTATATACACTCTATTTCTCTGCAAGTATGTTTATAACGAGTTACACAAATGAGCGTATGTTCATAACCAGTTACATACACTATTTTTCTGCAACTATGTTCATAACCATTTTATTGATCTAATTTCTAGCCAAACTGTGTCTTTGGGAAGTTCAGCCAGGAAAAATCTGGCCTTTCATATGCAGAAGTTATTTTCCAGAAATTTAAGTGATGTTTACCCCTTGGGGAGCTAATAACTGAATTCCAAAATAGTTATTTGGTTTTAAAATTTATAAAAATGAAGAAACTTGGATCGGTTTGCCTTTTTTCTTTTTCTTTTTCTTTTTTTTTTTTTTTTAGATGGAGTCTTGCTCTGTTGCCCTGGCTGGAGTCAGTGGTGCAATCTCAGCTCATTACAACCTCCGCATTCTGGGTTCAAGTGATTCTCCTGCCTCAGCCTCTGAGTAGCTGGGACTAAAGGTGTGTGCCACCATGCCCAGCTAATTTTTAAAACATTTTTTTATTTTTAGTAGAGATGGAGTTTCACCATGTTGGCCAGACTGGTCTCGAACTCCTGAGCTCAGGTGATCCACCTGCCTCGGCCTCCCAAAGTGCTGGGATTACAGGCGTGAAACCACCATGCCCGGCCCAGGTGGATATTTTAAATGTATATATAAAAAAAAAAACCACAAAAAACAAAACTGAGCAAGGAAATCTATTTTAGAAAAACTGTATCTGTGAAAAACTTTTTTATTTATTTGAATAAAATATTGATCCCAAATAGGGCAGGAGAAACTGTCACATTTCTCTGGTTCAAGGCAAAAATATTTATAGAAGAAAAATATAATCAAAATACCTATTTTTAATTGGATATTTGAATTTTACATCAGAAAATTAAATCTCCAATATAGTTATGTTACATGCTTATACCACAGTACAATACAAATAAAAAATATAATTCTTACATTTGCTACGCCGACTCCTTCATTAATTTACCATGCCCTTTGTGAGGATTTGAGACTGTGAGCCTTCATCTTACCTATCCTGTATTTTTTTCTGGGTACAAAGCAGTGACCTGAAACATATAGACTTTTCAGAATGATTTGTCATTTTTCCATAATGGAGGAAAACAAGAGCAGAAAGTCCAGAACTTTAGAGTCAAGGGCAATGGAGAAATTCAGTTCAACCATAATATTACCAAATGGGAACAGACTAGAAGTGAAGATCTTATAAAAAATCTGAACTCAAGATTTCCTAAAGTTCTTTTACTTTTGTTTAGCTGTTGAGAGTCACAAGGCAAGTCTCAATATAGCCTGTCTACGGGAGAAAATTACTAAGCCCCACAGAGCCCACTAGAAAGATGCAGGGAGGATCTATGCTGGGAGTACAGGCCAATAGCACCTTTGAGAATAGGACCCTCTGCCATACTGTGAGAAGAAAAACTACAAGATTAATGTGATATCCAGCTTATCAACTAGTATTTAATAACACTTAAAAAATTCATACATCATAAATTACAGAAATAATAATTAAGAACTGAATCATTTGTGAATTGTGAAGTAGAACTGTTGGTTCGTAGTTAAGTGCTTGGTAATTGTGTTGTTCACTAATTAATTAAAAAATATATATATTTTTTGGCATCAAGTATCTGCCAAGCAGTGTTCCAGATGCTGGAGAGCAGTGAGAACAAAAATCTCTGCCCTTATGGGGTATACATTTTAGAAGGGAGAGAAAAGACTAAATAAGCAGATCATGTCCTGGAAAAGGTGAAATTTGAGTGAATTTTGACAAGAGCTCAGATCCCAAAAATCCTGAGATTTTTAAGTAAAAAGAGTTCTATTGGCTGGGTGTGGTGGCTTATGCCTGTAATCCCAGCACTTTGGGAGGCCGAGATGGGCGGAACACAAGGTCAGGAGATCGAGACCATCCTGGCTAACATGGTGAAACCCCATCTGTACTAAAAATACAAAAAATTAGCCTGGCATGCTGGCAGGCACCTGTGGTCCCAGCTACTTGGGAGGCTGAGGCAGGAGAATGGCGTGAACCTGGGAGGTGGAGCTTGCAGTGAGCCGAGATCGTGCCACTGCACTCCAGCCTGGGCGACAGAGCAAGACTCCGTCTCAAAAAAAAAAAAAAAAGGAGAGAGGAGCCAAGATGGCCGAATAGGAACAGCTCCGGTCTACAGCTCCCAGCGTGAGCGACACAGAAGATGGGTGATTTCTGCATTTCCATCTGAGGTACCGGGTTCATCTCACTAGGGAGTGCCAGACAGTGGGCGCAGGTCAGTGGGTGTGCACACCGTGCACGAGCCGAAGCAGGGCGAGGCATTGCCTCACTCGGGAAGTACACGGGGTCAGGAAGTTCCCTTTCCTAGTCAAAGAAAGGGGTGACAGACGGCACCTGGAAAATTGGGTCACTCCCACCCGAATACTGCGCTTTTCCGACGGGCTTAAAAAACGGCACACCAGGAGATTATATCCTGCACCTGGCTCGGAGGGTCCTACGCCCGTGGAGTCTCGCTGATGGCTAGCACAACAGTCTGAGATCAAACTCCAAGGCGGCAGTGAGGCTGGGGGAGGGGCGCCCGCCATTGCCCAGGCTTGCTTAGGTAAACAAAGCAGCTGGGAAGCTCGAACTGGGTGGAGCCCACCACAGCTCAAGGAGGCCTGCCTGCCTCTGTAGGCTCCACCTATGGGGCAGGGCACAGACAAACAAAAAGACAGCAGTAACCTCTGCAGACTTAAATGTCCCTGTCTGACAACTTTGAAGAGAGCAGTGGTTCTCCCAGCACCCAGCGGGAGATCTGAGAACGGGCAGACTGCCTCTTCAAGTGGGTCCCTGACCCCTGACCCCCGAGCAGCCTAACTGGGAGGCACCCCCCAGCAGGGGCACACTGACACCTCACATGGCTGGGTACTCCGACAGACCTGCAGCTGAGGGTCCTGTCTGTTAGAAGGAAAACTAACAACCAGAAAGGACATCCACACCAAAAACCCATCTGTACATCACCATCATCAAAGACCAAAAGTAGATAAAACCACAAAGATGGGGAAAAAACAGAGCAGAAAAACTGGAAACTCTAAAAAGCAGAGTGCCTCTCCTCCTCCAAAGGAACACAGTTCCTCACCAGCAACGGAACAAAGCTGGACGGAGAATGACTTTGACGAGCTGAGAGAAGAAGGCTTCAGACGATCAAATTACTCTGAGCAATGGGAGGACATTCAAACCAAAGGCAAAGAAGTTGAAAACTTTGAAAAAAATTTAGAAGAATGTATAACTAGAATAACGAATATAGAGAAGTGCTTAAAGGAGCTGATGGAGCTGAGAACCAAGGCTCAAGAACTATGTGAAGAATGCAGAAGCCTCAGGAGCCAATGCAATCAACTGGAAGAAAGGGTATCAGCGATGGAAGATGAAATGAGTGAAATGAAGCGAGAAGGGAAGTTTAGAGAAAAAATAATAAAAAGAAATGAACAAAGCCTCTGAGAAATATGGGACTATGTGAAAAGACCAAATCTGCGTCTGATTGGTGTACCTTAAAGTGACGGGGAGAATGGAACCAAGTTGGAAAACACTCTACAGGATATTATCCAGGAGAACTTCCCCAATCTAGCAAGGCAGGCCAACATTCAGATTCAGGAAAAACAGAGAACGCCACAAAGATACTCCTCGAGAAGAGCAACTCCAAGACACATAATTGTCAGATTCACCAAAGTTGAAATGAAGGAAAAAATATTAAGGGCAGCCAGAGAGAAAGGTCGGGTTACCCTCAAAGGGAAGCTCATCAGACTAACAGCGGATCTCTTGGCAGAAACCCTACAAGCCAGAAGAGAGTGGGGGCCAATATTCAACATTCTTAAAGAAAAGAATTTTCAACCCAGAATTTCATATCCAGCCAAACTAAGCTTCATAAGTGAAGGAGAAATAAAATACTTTACAGACAAGCAAATGCTGAGAGATTTTGTCACCACCAGGCCTGCCCTAAAAGAGCTCCTGAAGGAAGCACTAAACATGGAAAGGAACAAACAGTACCAGCCACTGCAAAATCATGCCAAAATGTAAAGACCATTGAGACTAGGAAGAAACTGCATCAACTAATGAGCAAAATAACCAGCTAACATCATAATGACAGGATCAAATTCACACATAACAATATTAACTTTAAATGTAAATGGATTAAATGCACCAATTAAAAGACACAGACTGGCAAATTGGATAAAGAGTGAAGACCCATCAGTGTGCTGTATTCAGGAAACCCATCTCACATGCAGAGACACACATAGGCTCAAAATAAAAGGATGGAGGAAGATCTACCAAGCAAATGAAAAACAAAAAAAGGCAGGGGTTGCAATCCTAGTCTCTGATAAAACAGACTTTAAACCAACAAAGATCAAAAGAGACAAAGAAGGCCATTACATAATGGTAAAGGGATCAATTCAACAAGAAGAGCTAACTATCCTAAATATACATGCACCCAATACAGAAGCACCCAGATTCATAAAGCAAGTCCTGAGTGACCTACAAAGAGACTTAGACTCCCACACATTAATAATGGGAGAATTTAACACCCCACTGTCAACATTAGACAGATCGAGACAGAAAGTCAACAAGGATACCCAGGAATTGAACTCAGCTCTGCACCAAGTGGACCTAATAGACATCTACAGAACTCTCCACCCCAAATCAACAGAATATACTTTTTTTCAGCACCACACCACACCTATTCCAAAATTGACCACATAGTTGGAAGTAAAGCTGTCCTCAGCAAATGTAAAAGAACAGAAATTATAACAAACTATCTCTCAGACCACAGTGCAATCAAATTAGAACTCAGGATTAAGAATCTCACTCAAAACCACTCAACTACATGGAAACTGAACAACCTGCTCCTGAATGACTACTGGGTACATAACGAAATGAAGGCAGAAATAAAGATGTTCTTTGAAACCAATGAGAACAAAGACACAACATACCAGAATCTCTGGGACGCATTCAAAGCAGTGTGTAGAGGGAAATTTATAGCACTAAATGCCCAGAAGAGAAAGCAGGAAATATCCAAAATCGACACCCTAACATCACAATTAAAAGAACTAGAAAAGCAAGAGCAAACACATTCAAAAGCTAGAAGAAGGCAAGAAATAACTAAAATCAGAGCAGAACTGAAGGAAATAGAGACACAAAAAAACCCTTCAAAAAATTAATGAATCCAGGAGCTGGTTTTTTGAAAGGATCAACAAAATTGATAGACCGCTAGCAAGACTAATAAAGAAAAAAAGAAGAATCAAATAGACGCAATAAAAAATGTTAAAGGGGATATCACCACCGATCCCACAGAAATACAAACTACCATCAGAGAATACTACAAACATCTCTACGCAAATAAACTAGAAAATCTAGAAGAAATGGATAAATTCCTCGACACACACACTCTCCCAAGACTAAACCGGGAAGCAGTTGAATCTCTGAATAGACCAAAAACAGGATCTGAAATTGTGGCAACAATCAATAGCTTACCAATCAAAAAGAGTCCAGGACCAGATGGATTCACAGCCGAATTCTACCAGAGGTACAAGGAGGAACTGGTACCATTCCTTCTGAAACTATTCCAATCAATAGAAAAAGAGGGAATCCTCCCTAATTCATTTTATGAGGCCAGCATCATCCTGATACCAAAGCCGGGCAGAGACACAACCAAAAAAGAGAATTTTAGACCAATATCCTTGATGAACATTGATGCAAAAATCCTCAATAAAATACTGGCAAACCAAATCCAGCAGCACATCAAAAAGCTTATCCACCATGATCAAGTGGGCTTCATCCCTGGGATGCAAGGCTGGTTCAATATAGGCAAATCAATACATGTAATCCATCAATATAGGCAAATCAATAAATGTAATCCAGCACATAAACAGAACCAAAGACAAAAACCACATGATTATCTCAATAGATGCAGAAAAGGCGTTTGACAAAATTCAACAACCTTCATGCTAAAAACTCTCAGTAAATTTGGTATTGATGGGACGTATCTCAAAATAACAAGAGCTATCTATGACAAACCCACAGCCAATATCATACTGAATGGGCAAAAACTGGAAGCATTCCCTTTGAAAACTGGCACAAGACAGGGATGCCTTCTCTCACCACTCCTAGTCAACATAGTGTTGGAAGTTCTGGCCAGGGCAATTAGGCAGGAGAAGGAAATAAAGGGTATTCAATTAGGAAAACAGGAAGTCAAATTGTCCCTGTTTGCAGATGACATGATTGTATATCTAGAAAACCCCATTGTCTCAGCCCAAAATCTCCTTAAGCTGATAAGCAACTTCAGCAAAGTCTCAGGATACAAAATCAATGTGCAAAAATCACAAGCATTCCTATACACCAACAACAGACAAACAGAGAGCCATATCATGAGTGAACTCCCATTCACAATTGCTTCAAAGAGAATAAAATACCTAGGAATCCAACTTACAAGGGATGTGAAGGACCTCTTCAAGGAGAACTACAAACCACTGCTCAAGGAAATAAAAGAGGATACAAACAAATGGAAGAGTATTCCATGCTCATAGGTAGGAAGAATCAATATCGTGAAAATGGCCATACTGCCCAAGGTAATTTACAGATTCAATGCCATCCCCGTCAAGCTACCAATGACTTTCTTCACAGAATTGGAAAAAACTACTTTAAAGTTCATATGGAACCAAAAAAGAGCCCGCATCACCAAGTCAATCCTAAGCCAAAAGAACAAAGCTGGAGGCATCACACTACCTGACTTCAAACTATACTACAAGGCTACAGTAACCAAAACAGTATGGTACCAGTACCAAAACAGAGATATAGATCAATGGTACAGAACAGAGCCCTCAGAAATAATGCCGCATATCTACAAGTATCTGATCGTTGACAAACCTGAGAAAAACAAGCAATGGGGAAAGGATTCCTTATTTAATAAATGGTGCTGGGAAAACTGGAAAGCCATACTTAGAAAGCTGAAACTGGATCCCTTCCTTACACCTTATACAAAAATCAATTCAAGATGGATTAAGACTTAAATGTTAGACCTAAAACCATAAAAACCCCAGAAGAAAACCTAGGCATTACCATTCAGGACATAGGCATGGGCAAGGACTTCATGTCTAAAACACCAAAAGCAATGGCAACCAAAGCCAAAATTGACAAATGGGATCTAACTAAACTAAAGAGCTTCTGCACAGCAAAAGAAACTACCATCAGAGTGAACAGGCAACCTACAAAATGGTAGAAAATTTTCGCAACCTACTCATCTAAGAAAGGGCTAATATCCAGAATCTACAATGAACTCAAACAAATTTACAAGAAAAAAACAAACAACCCCATCAAAAAGTGGACGAAGGATATGAACAGACACTTCTCAAAAGAAGACATTTATGCAGCCAAAAGACACATGAAAAAATGCTCATCATCACTGGCCATCAGAGAAATGCAAATCAAAACCACAATGAGATACCATCTTACACCAGTTACAATGGCAATCATTGAAAAGTCAGGAAACAACAGGTGCTGGAGAGGATGTGGAGAAATAGGAACAGTTTTACACTGTTGGTGGGACTGTCAACTAGTTCAACCATTGTGGAAGTCAGTGTGGCGATTCCTCAGGGATCTAGAACTAGAATACCATTTGACCCAGCCATCCCATTACTGGGTATATACCCAAAGGACTATAAATCAGGCTGCTATAAAGACACATGCACACGTATGTTTACTGCGGCATTATTCACAACAGGAAAGACTTGGAACCAACCCAAATATCCATCAATGATAGACTGGATTAAGAAAATGTGGCACATATACACCATGGAATACTATGCAGCCATAAAAAATGATGAGTTCATGTCCTTTGTAGGGACATGGATGAAATTGGAAATCATCATTCTCAGTAAACTATCGCAAGAACAAAAAACCAAACACCGCATCTTCTCACTCATAGGTGGGAATTGAACAATGAGAACACATGGACATAGGAAGGGGAGCATCACACTCTGGAAACTGTTGTGGGGTGGGGGGAGGGGGGAGGGATAGCATTGGGAGAGATACCTAATGCTAGATGACGAGTTAGTGGGTGCAGCGCACCAGCATGGCACATGTATACATATGTAATTAACCTGCACATTGTGCACATGTACCCTGAAACTTAAAGTATTAAAAAAAAAAAGTTCTATTGGCTGAGTGATTCTTATATTTCAGAACTTTATTTCATTTATTCTTACAACTTTGTAAGGTGTATTTTATTCCCGTTCTACAAATGAATAAACTTGCAAAATCAAATAGGTAATCAATGATGGCTCCATAATAATTCACATGGAAACTTTGCTTTAAAAGTGTAATTCAGGCAAAATTCATTCCATTAGAATTTGAGTGTTCACTCAGTATTAAGACAATTCATAAAACTTTTATAATGACACTCTACCTCTGCCTTCAATGAACTTTAATTATAATTAGTTTAGAACCTAAGCCTCTAATTATTTATGCATACCATTTTTAAATGCTTTAGAAAATATGATGATTTGTGATTTTAGAGCAGGAATGAACCTTAATAATTTTCTATTCCAGTTTTCTGTCCCCTTCCTTTTTTTTTTGAGATGGAGTCTCGCTCTCTTGTCCAGGCCGGAGTGCAGTGGCGCAATCTCGGCTTACTGCAAGCGCTGCCTCCGGGGTTCACGCCATTCTCCTGCCTCAGCCTCCCAAATAGCTGGGACTACAAGTGCCCGCCTAATTTTTTTTTTGTATTTTTAGTAAAGACGGGGTTTCACCATGTTAGCCAGGATGGTCTCGATCTCCTGACCTCGTGATCCATCCACCTCAGCCTCCCAAAGTGCTGGGATTATAGGCGTGAGCCACCATGCCCAGCCCTTCCTTCATTTTTAACCAATGAAAAAAGAAGGAAAAAAAATATCCAAATGTATATGTTTCCTTGGTAGTGACCTAAGACAGACTCAGGACTTTTGATTTCCAGTCCACTGTTATTTCTTTTTCTTTTCATTTTTTTGAGACAGAGTCTTGCTCTGTCACTCAGGGTGGAGTGCAGTGGGGCGATCTCGGCTCACTGCAACCTCCGCCTTCAGGGTTCAGGCCATTCTCCTGCCTCTGATGCCCAAAGTGCTGGGTTTACAGGTGTGAGCCACTGCGCCTGGCCTTATTTCTTTATAAAGCCATTACAATGAAAAAAATAATCTTACCATTCTTTAATGTCCATAGTGATCATCACTGAGTTATTCTAATAACTTTTTCCATAATACTCTGAATTTTGCATATATATGTAAGAAACCATTAGAATATTACAATAAAAGTTAATAACTCAGTTCTCAAAGACTTATTAGGAATGTTCTTTGTTTTAGCATAAGTTTGAACAGTGTATTTATTTAGAAAATATACAGATTTACACAATAGTGGATGATACCATCATGCAGGGTGTAGAGAAGCTGGAATTAAGTGTTTGAGCCACATGGGAGAAGCAGCTCTCCTGCTCCTGGTGGTGTTTTTACAGAAGGTGTTGACAAGCTCTCATTTAGTACTGTTGCTAATCCTTGCCACAATGGATGAAATGAACAAAAGAAAACTGGCTTGTGCCAGTCACCTGAGCCAATAAATTGTTGCCTTAAAGAGCTGACTACAGGCTGGCCGCGGTGGCTCATGCCTGTAATCCCTGCACTTTGGGAGGTCAAGGCGGGCAGATCACCTGAGGTCAGGAGTTCGAGACCAGCCAGACCAACATGGAGAAACCCTGTCTCTACTAAAAATACAAAATAAGCCAGGCATGGTGGCGCATGCCTGTAATCCCAGCTACTTGGGAGGCTGAGGCAGGAGAATCGCTTGAACCCAGGAGGCGGAGGTTGCGGTGAGCTGAGGTCACACCATTGCCCTCCAGCCTGGGCAACAAGACGAAACTAGTTCTGTAAAACTTATGCAACCACCATTAACAAACTGTCAAGGCATAAAAACACGAGCAGCTTAATGAACTTAGTCTTAACATTGACTTAATTGTGTTTTTAGAGACAGAATAACTAACCAGGTTGGGACAGAGACACCCATTTCTTTCTAGACCTCAGAAGAGCATGAACTCGGAGAGCGGTTATCAATCCACTAGCACAAAGTTTACCAGTATCTTCATGAGGAGTGGTCAGTCAAGAGGACATTGGGCACCTGAAAAGTCCTACACACAGAGAACTAAGAGAGGTCGCAACATAGTTCTTTAATTTTACCCCCTTCCTTTGAAATTTTAATTGTCTAATTATTAGGTTGGTGCAAAAGTAATTGCAGTTTTTGTGATTACTTTTAATAAAAACAAAAAACAAGAAGCCACATGGCAGCAAAAGAAGTATGCCTTCTGTATCTGAGGATGTTGCTGATAGAGCTAGCAAGATAGAAAAATTTGTATTATAATAAATGATTTGTAATAATTCTAAGCACCCAGGAGGTTTACAACAGTGATTCTAGGTAGCACATTAAGAACTACACACATATTCTTTGCAAAGAAGAAAAAATGTTTATGATTAAACTTCGTTAGTTTTCTTCCCTGAATTTAATACTTTTCCAGAATTAAAACAGAAGAACTAGCACTATCCTGAGCCCTAGATTTAACCTTCCGATGTCCAGAAATTCATTACAATAGAAAGCAAAGTGATTGTTTTCCTTTCTGTAATTAGCTTTCCCTGCTATATTTTTCGACAGGCAATATTCTAATTGTGCTAGGCTTGCCATTCCATTTCTGGCATAGTTAGAGTGATTTTAAGTTTACTGCTTTAGTGATAAGTTTTTTAGTTCGGGCTCAATAATTAGCACCTGAACATGGAAAACATTAAATTAAAAAAATGGAAATTTACCAAAGTATTTGTTTATAAAAATTATAGAATTCACAGAAACGTCTTTAGCTTCTCTAGTCTTCAGTAGTTATATCATTTTTATAGAAATAACAAAGTATTAGTATATTACTCAACAGTAATGAAATATTTCTGAATGAAAACTGTGTAGCCCTTATTTAAGTACCTAATTTGAGGTTTTCCTTTCCATTGTGAAATAGTGATTTTGCTTTGAAAAATAATTGAGATTAGTTTGCTGATGCAATATTTTTCTACCACTGTCTCATTTCGATTTTAAATAATAAAGCTAATGGTGTGTCTCTCACCAATACTGAGCTCTACAAACCTATGTGTCTCTTACTGAAGAGCTTCGTTTTGAAATTACTTTATCTATTATTATAATTGGTACAGTTTAAGGTTTTGTCTTTAGAGAATTTTTTAAAGGTTTTAAAATCTATTTTAAATGGGGCTTTTTAGTATAAACTGGACACAAGGAACACTTCAGTTCATGGGATAACTTTTTTTCTCTATTAAGGTGTTCCCTTAATTCTAAAGTAAAGGCATGGTAGCAAGTTTAAAAGAGAGGTCAAGCTGATCTACGATGTGATTTTTTAGGCTTCTGGTTAAAAATAGATTTATGGCTATGTTAATAAAATGTGCATTTATTATTTCTACATATTTTTTTAAAACTAGGCATTTCATAGGTGTACCATAATGACTAGTTAAAAATGGAATCAAAGTGAAGTGAACAAATGGCCTAAGTATTCTTTGAAATATGGCAGAATATAAGTACCTTAGGTGACGAAAGGACAGCCAAGACAGCGTGAAAGGAAAACATATAAAATGTACAAGGCACTGGAGAGAAGTTATACATGATCGCTGCCTTCATAATAGATTCATTGATATACAATGTGAATAAGGGTTGACAAATACCAGTTGAATAAACAATTATTAAAAAGTTTCAAGTGGAAGCCTCCCATATTTCTCCACTATATTTTTGCAAGTGCTTAACAAAACAAAACAAAACAAAACAAGGGTTTAGGGTGGGGAGGGGAATAAAACAATAATCAAAAGTCTCCCCTAATTATCACAGTCAGGCCTGAATTAGTAACCTTGAATATCAAACACAAACTCTCAAAGTATAGGACAGAAACAACAAAACAAGTAATTATTAAGCACCTACTACATGCCAACTACAGTTCTAAGAATTGAAACAAAACAAAACAAAAAGGGCAAGGAGAAACGAAAAGATAAGACAATGAAAGAGAAGTCGAAGTCAGGCCCGGCACGGTGGCTCACGCCTGTAAATCCCAGCACTTTGGGAGGCCGAGGCTGGTGGATCACTAGAGCCCAGGAGTTCAAGACCAGCCTGGCCAACATGGTGAAACCCCACCTCTGCTAAAAAAAAAAAAAAAAAAAAAAAAAAAAAATTAGCCAGGCGTGGTGGTGGGCACCTGTAATCCCAGCTGCTTGGGAGGCTGAGGCAGGAAAATTGCTTGAACCTGGGAAGCGGAGGTTGCAGTGAGCTGAGATGGCGCCACTGCCCTCTAGTCTGGGTGACAGAATGAGATTTTGTCTCAAAAAAAAAAAAGGGAAGAAAGGAAGAAACATAGAGAGGTCAGTTACATGCAATTTTTAGATAATCCAAAAAAGAAGAAGGAAAAAGGAGAAGCAACAATTAGACAAATATTAGAAGAAAATATACCTGAGCTGAGAAAAGGTTTGGACCTTCATTGAAAGAGCTCCCAAGAAGTCTAAGAAGTGACGGAAGAGAATAAAAAAAGACATCAGATTTCTTGACGAGATTAAGAAACTGTAAGTTTTTACTTTTTTCTTTTAAACCTCAGTTTACAAGCTTCCAGCTGTAACGAATGAATTCCCTACAAAGGGAAAAAAAACCAAAGTGGCTTTGGAATTCTCAACTGCAATACCAGAAGCTAGAAAAAAGTGGGCACAATATCTATAGACCAACAAAACAAAAGGACTACAACCCAAAAATCGTATACCCAGCTAAACTATCATTTCAGAGGGGAAAAAAAAGATGATATTCAACAACTAAATTGTACAAATTGTACACCAAAATATACCAAGAAAAATATAGTACAGTTCCAAGTCTTCACTAATAAACATGTAGCCTTGAACAGGGGACCAGCTGAAAACAACTGGGGGACATTCACAAAATGCAGTATGATGCAGTTAACAAAAAGAATAACTTTGTTATAACAAATGACAGAGAGGGATTTATATAAGCTGTAACTGCAAAATATAATTTAAAAACTTTGTATATCCCAGTTCTGCAAAATAAAAATACATCCCCTATATGTCTGCATAGATATATATAGGATTGCAATATGAAAGAACACAGTCTAGGTTAATAACTTGGTTTGTGGCAGCAGGGGTAAGGACTGGGGAATGTGGTACTAATGTGGAAAGAGAGGGGTGTTTATAACAACAGCTTGTTGAACATCCCATTATGTAAAATTATATGTATCATAAGAGATTCATGAAGAATGACCATGAAAATGTTAGTGGTGGTTACCTTATGGTATTATAATTCCAGGTGACCACTACCTTCCTTTTTAGATTTTTATGTTGTTTGAATTATTTATAATGAGCCTATATATCTATATAACTAGAAGTAAGTAAAACAGTTACTTGCAGTTTGGAAGCAGACTTCCTTTTTCTTAAAAATAAATTTCCAATTTTAATAGCTTTTCTTTTCTTTTTCTTTTGGGAGACACAAGGTCTCGCCATGTCACCCAGGCTGGAGTGTAGTGACACGATCTTGGCTCAATGCAGCCGTGACTTTACAGGTTCAAGTGATTCCCCAGCCTGAGTCTCCCAAGTAGCTGGGACTACAGGTGTGCACAACACACTTGGTTAATTTTTGTATTTTTTATTTAGAGACGAGGTTTTGCCATGTTGCCCAGGCTGGTCTTGAACTCCTGAGCTCAAGTGATCTGCCTGTCTCAGCTCACAAAGTGTTAGGATTACAACCACCGTGCCCGGCCAATAGCTTTTTCAAACTAGCTTTTTCAAAGGTCAAATGCATCCTCACCAAGGGGACAAGATTGAAAGTAGAATGGCCTGGGCTTAATAAATCAATGATTTGAAACTATCAGAAGAAAACATGGAGAAAATGCTCCATGACATTGGTCTGGGCAATGATTTTTTTGGATACGATCTCAAAAGCACAGTAACAAAAGCACAAGTACAGAAATGAAATTACATGAAACTAAAAAGCTTCTGCACAGCAAAGGAAACAATTAATAGGGTGAAGAGACAACCTACAGAATGGAGAAAAAATATTAACTATAGATCTGATAGGGGGTTAATATCCAAAATACATAAGGAACTCAATAGCAGGAAAACAACCCATTTAAAAATGGGCAAAGAACCTGAAAAGACAGTTCTCAAAAGAAGACATGCAAATGGCCAGCAGATATATGAAAAAATTATCAACATCAGCAGTCACCAGGGAAATGCAAATTAAAACAACGAGATACCACCTAACACCTGTTAGAATGGCTACTATCAATAACACAAAAGATAACAAGTGTTGGCAAGGATGTGAAGAAAAAGGATTTCTTGCATTATTGTGAAGAAAAAGGAATTCTTGCATATTCTTGGTAGGAATGTAAATTAGTACAGCCATTATGGAAGACAGTATGGAGTTTCTGCAAAAAGTTAAAAATAGAACTACATATGATCCAGCAATCCTAATACTGGGCTTATATCCAAAGGATATGAAATCAGTATGTCAAAGAGATATCTGCACTACCAGGTTCACTGCAGCATTATTCACAATAGCCAGGATATGGTATCAACCTAAGCATCTGTCAATGGTTGAATGGATAAAGAAAATGTAGTACATATACACAAACAGCTGATCTCATAGAAGTAGAGAGTAGAATGGTGGTTACCAGGAGCTAGGGTTGTTGGAGAAACATTGGTCAAAGGATACAAAATTTCAGTTAAAAAGGGGGAATTAGTGCAAGAGACCTATTGCACAACATAGTAACTATAGTTACAATTACAAGATTACTATTAATTTTGAAAAATAAGAGAATGGATGTAAAGTGTTCTTACCACAAAATGGTAACCATGTGAGGCATATGTCAGTTAGCTAGATTTAGTCATTCTATAATGTATATATGCTTCAAAACAGTATGTTGTACATGGTAAATACATACAATTTTATCTGCCAATTGGAAAAAAAAATCAATTGTAAAAGCAAGTGTTTGGAAAACATTTAGCTGGAAAGGTCTGATAGGAGGTCTAACCCTTATACACTTAAAAACTCAACAACTGGCTGGGTGCAGTGGCTCAAGCTTATAATTCCAGCACTTTGAGAGGCCGAGGCGGGTGGATCATTTGAGGTCAGCAGTTCGCAACCAGCCTGGCCAACATGGTGAAACCCCATCTCTACTGAAAATACAAAAAAATTAACCGGGCGCAGTGGCGGGAGCCTGTAATCCCAGCTACTCAGGAGGCTTAGGCAGGAGAATTGCTTGAACCTGGGAGGTGAAGGTTGCAGTGAGCTGAGATCAAAACACTGCACTCCGGCCTGAGCGACAGAGTGAAACTCCATCTCAGGAAAAAAACAAAAAAACAAAAAACCCTCAACAACTGTTTACTTTTGGTATTCAAGCTCATAAAAGCCTCATTTACTAGTCTACTGCTGGTAAGGATCAGGAAGGGAAAATTAAGATTACCTTCATGATAATCACGTGTGGGTTGACACAGACGGAGACAATAACATAGAAATTTTATTACAGCATTTCATGTTTAAGCCAGATTCCCTGCCAGGATATTTTCTGCTTGAATTAATGAGGCAGGATTTGGTCATACCTTAATGAGTTTCACAGAAAAAGAGTTCAAGCATTAGCGCAAACTGCCTTCTGACATTAAAATAAAATAAAGCAAACATGGGATTTTCACAAAGTTAAAAGCCTCCTGTGATGCACATTTTGGATAGTAGGAGACATTGAGCCCCAAAATGTTTAACATAAAGCATGGTTAATTAAATGAAACCACTGAAAAATGTGAATACATGAAGAAGAAAGAATAAAATAATTTTGATGTTACCATTTCAACTACTATTTTTGATATAATCATTCTTGGCAAAATCATTCTTAAAGGTGGAAACGAGCAGGCTGATAGTACAGCAAGTAAGAGAAAGTCAATACTGATGGCCTCCACTTGCTGATCCTCTGAGACTGCATCTTATAGTTCATAAAATCTGCTGAAGGTCACAACTGAGGTACAACGACTTGTGTTACTTGTACTGTAGCAATGAGGGCTTTCCCAGGCCACAACATCTGGGATCAAGGAACACATTTTGACTAAATAAACTATACAGAAGTCTGTTTTAGGATTTTATGCAAATATTAACCTCATTTTAAAACATGAGGAAAAATATTACCCACATTTAGGGCTAATTTAGCTGTCAGGAATAGACCATACAGTTGAAAAAAACACAGTCTCATTTAAAAAGTTTCAGCAGAGACAAAAAGGTACTAAAGATGATATTCATCCTTCTTCATCACTGCTGCTCCAGGCATCTTCAAAGGCCGGATTTAATTGTGATTTTGTTGTAGTCTAAAAAAAAAAAAGATAAAGAAAAAGGAAGATTCTGTTTTTTCTACTTCATAATTTTAGGCTCACAATAAAGTTATGAAATATATCAGATAAATAGCAATTACATTATTTTGGAAGAAAATGTATAACTGTTAATTTCAGAACAAAAATAAGAAACAACCCATATACAATATAAGATAATGTAACTTCATTTGAAACAGACAACACCAGACTTTATCCAAACACCCTGTTTCCTTTAATCACTTCACAAATACATACATACACACATACATACATATACTATGATGCTGCCATTGCTCAAGGTATTTCTCAACAACTCTTTGGAATTACCTGGAGAAAGTGGCACTCTGATATCCATAGGCTAAGACTGGACTCCAGGTGTACAGTCTGACCTGACAGCCCAAAATATCAATGGTGGCAACTCTTTATTGTTTGGATGAAAATAACTTTTATAAATAAACAAATACCAAATATGGAGAATAAGGTATTCAAGCTGAATAATACCATTTTTAGTCCAAAAATAATGTGGGTTATTAAGTAGTGATATTTATGTACTTATTTGTAAGCAGTGATATTTAATTACTTATTTTTATAGGTTGGTAGGGCAGTTCAGTAAAACATGCAAAATACGTCAGAAATGGTAACACGTTTATAGTCAGCACATAGGTTTCCCTCAGGGATTTGTCTGAAGGATAACATGCATCTAGATGATGTTTATTTAAAACAACAAGGTGATTAGCAACTACAGAAATTTTAATCATCTGTGGTATTTCAAATCAGTTCATTTTGGGGAAAACTTCTGAATAGCTACTTCTGATACTCATGCAAATAACTAAAAGGGCTTTAAGATGGTCTCATTGTTAAAGTAATTGGGTATTATGAGCCAGGTTTGCTTCTTTTTGTGCAACTTTTACAACTACTACAATTTTATTCAGATTCCAATTCCAATGCTGTATTAGCATCAAGACTACTCTTAAATTATTTTAGATTTATTGCCTTTTATAACTTAGAGAAATTTTTTTTTTCCTTTTGAGACAGAATCTCACACTGTCGCCCGGGCTGGAGTGCAGTGGCGCGATCTCCGCTCACTGCAAGCTCCGCCTCCCGGGTTCACGCCATTGTCCTGCCTCAGCCTCCCAAGAAGCTGGGACTACAGACGCCTGCCACCACGCCTGGATAATTTTTTATATTTTAATTTATTTATTTTTTCTTTTTTTTATTATACTGTAAGTTTTAGGGTACATGTGCACAACGTGCAGGTTTGTCACATATGTATACATGTGCCATGTTGGTGTGCTGCACCCATTTAACATTAGGTATATCTCCTAATGCTATCCCTCCCCCCTACCCCCACCCCACAACAGGTCCCGGTGTGTGATGTTCCCCTTCCTGTGTCGAAGTGTTCTTACTGTTCAATTCCCACCTATGAGTGAGAACTTGGCGGTGTTTGGGTTTTTGTCCTTGCAATAGTTTGTTGAGAATGATGGTTTCCAGCTTCATCCATGTCCCTGCAGAGGACATGAACTCATCATTTTTTATGGCTGCATAGTATTCCATGGTATATATGTGCCACATTTTCTTAATCCAGTCTATCACTGATGGACATTTGGGTTGGTTCCAAGTCTTTCCTGTTGTGAATAGTGCCGCAATAAACATACGTGTGCATGTGTCTTTATAGCAGCATGTTTTATAATCCTTTGGGTATATACCCAGTAATGGGATGGCTGGGTCAAATGGTATTTCTAGTTCTAGATACCTGGGGAATTCCTACATGGACTTCCACAATGGTTGAACTAGTTGACAGTCCCACCAACAGTGTAAAACTGTTCCTATTTCTCCACATCCTCTCCAGCACCTGTTGTTCCCTGACTTTTTAATGATCACCATTCTAACTGGTGTGAGATGGTATCTCATTGTGGTTTTGATTTGCATTTCTCTGATGGCCAGTGATGATGAGCATTTTTTCATGTGTCTTTTGGCTGCATAAATGTCTTCTTTTGAGAAGTGTTTGTTCATATCCTTCGTCCACTTTTTGATGGGGTTGTTTGTTTTTTTCTTGTAAATTTGTTTGAGTCCATTGTAGGTTCTGGATATTAGCCCTTTGTTAGATGAGTAGATTGCAAAAATTTTCTCCCATTCTGTAGGTTGCTTGTTCACTCTGATGGTAGTTTCTTTTGCTGTGCAGAAGCTCTTTAGTTTAATTAGATCCCATTTGTCAATTTTGGCTTTTGTTGCCATTGCTTTTGGTGTTTTAGACATGAAGTCCTTGCCCATGCCTATGTCCTGAATGGTAATGCCTAGGTTTTCTTCTGGGGTTTTTATGGTTTTAGGTCTAACATTTAAGTCTTAATCCATCTTGAATTGATTTTTGTATAAGGTGTAAGGAAGGGATCCAGTTTCAGCTTTCTAAGTATGGCTAGCCAGTTATCCCAGCACCATTTACTAAATAGGGAATCCTTTCTCCATTTCTTGTTTTTGTCAAGTTTGTCAAAGATCAGATGGTTGTAGATATGCAGCATTACTTCTGAGGGCTCTGCTCTGTTCCATTGGTCTATATCTCTGTTTTGGTACCAGTACCGTGCTGTTTTGGTTACTGTAGCCTTGTAGTATAGTTTGAAGTCAGGTAGTGTGATGCCTCCAGCTTTGTTCTTTTGGCTTAGGATTGACTTGGCAATGCGGGCTCTTTTTTGGTTCCACATGAACTTTAGTTTTTTCCAATTCTGTGAAGAAAGTCATTGGTAGCTTGATGGGGATGGCATTGAATCTATAAATTACCTTGGGCAGCATGGCCATTTTCACAATATTGATTCTTCCTACCCATGAGCATGGAATGTTCTTCCATTTGTTTGTATCCTCTTTTATTTCCTTGAGCAGTGGTTTGTAGATCTCCTTGAAGAGGTCCTTCACATCCCTTGTAAGTTGGATTCCTAGGTATTTTAATCTCTTTGAAGCAATTGTGAATGGAAGTTCACTCGTGATTTGGCTGTTTGTCTGTTATTGGTGTATAAGAATGCTTGTGATTTTTGCACATTGATTTTGTATCCTGAGACTTTGCTGAAGTTGCTTATCAGCTTAAGGAGATTTTGGGCTGAGACAATGGGGTTTTCTAGATATACAGTCATGTCATCTGCAAACAGGGACAATTTGACTTCCTCTTTTCCTAACTGAATACCCTTTATTTCCTTTTCCTGCCTGATTGCCCTGGACAGAACTTCCAACACTATGTTGAATAGGAGTGGTGAGAGAGGGCATCCCTGTCTTGTGCCTGTTTTCAAAGGGAATGCTTCCAGTTTTTGCCCATTCAGTATGATATTGGCTGTGGGTTTGTCATAGATAGCTCTTGTTATTTTGAGATACGTCCCATCAATACCTAATTTATTGAGAGTTTTTAGCATGAAGGTTGTTGAATTTTGTCAAACGCCTTTTCTGCATCTATTGAGATAATCATTTGGTTTTTGTCATTGGTTCTGTTTATATGCTCGATTACGTTTATTGATTTGTGTATGTTGAACTAGCCTTGCATCCCAGGGATGAAGCCCACTTGTTCATGGTGGATAAGCTTTTTGATGTGCTGCTGGATTCAGTTTGCCAGTATTTTATTAAGGATTTTTGCATTGATGCTCATCAGAGATATTGGTGTAAAATTCTCTTTTTTTGTTGTGTCTCTGCCAGGCTTTGGTATCAGGATGATGCTGACCTCATCAAATGAGTTAGGGAGGATTCCCTCTTTTTCTATTGATTGGAATAGTTTCAGAAGGAATGGTACCAGCTCCTCCTTGTACCTCTGGTAGAATTCGGCTGTCAATCCATCTGGTCCTGGACTTTTTTTGGTTGGTAAGCTATCAATGATTGCCTCAATTTCAGAGCCTGTTATTGGTCTATTCAGAGATTCAACTTCTTCCTCGTTTAGTCTTGGGAGGGTGTATGTGTCCAGGAATTTATCCATTTCTTCTAGATTTTCTAGTTTATTTGCATAGAGGTGTTTATAGTATTCTGATGGTAGTTTGTATTTCTGTGGGATTGGTGGTGATATCCCCTTTATCATTTTTTTTGCGTCTATTTGATTCTGCTCTCTTTTCTTCTTTATTACTCTTGCTAGTGGTCTATCAATTTTGTTGATCTTTTACAAAAACCAGCTCCTGGATTCACTGATTTTTTGAAGGGTTTTTTGTGTCTCTATTTCCTTCAGTTCTGCTCTGACCTTAGTTATTTCTTACCTTCTGCTAGCTTTTGAATGTGTTTGCTCTTGCTTCTCTAGTTCTTTTAATTGTGATGTTAGGGTGTCCATTTTAGATCTTTCCTGCTTTCTCTTGTGGGCATTTAGTGCTATAAATTGCCCTCTACACACTGCTTTGAATGTGTCTCAGAGATTCTGGTATGTTGTGTCTTTGGTCTCGTTGGTTTCAAAGAACATCTTTATTTCTGCCTTCATTTCGTTATGTACCCAGTAGTCATTCAGGAGGAGGTTGTTCAGTTTCCATGTAGTTGAGCGGTTTTGAGTGAGTTTCTTAATCCTGAGTTCTAGTTTGATTGCACTGGGGTCTGAAAGACCGTTTGCTATAATTTCTGTTCTTTTACATTTGCTGAGGAGAGCTTTACTTCCAACTATGTGGTCAATTTTGGAATAGGTGTGGTGTGGTGCTGAAAAGAATGTATACTCTGTTGATTTGGGGTGGAGAGTTCTGTAGATGTCTATTAGGTCTGCTTGGTGCAGAGCTGAGTTCAATTCCTGGATATCCTTGTTAACTTTCTGTCTTGTTGATCTGTCTAATGTTGACAGTGGGGTGTTAAAGTCTCCCATTATTATTGTGTGGGAGTCTAAGTCTCTTTTTAGGTCTCTAAGGACTTGTTTTATGAATCTGGGTGCTCCTGTATTGGGTGCATATATATTTAGGATAGTTAGCTCTTCTTGTTGAATTGATCCCTTTACCATTATGTAATGGCCTTGTCTCTTTTGATCTTTGTTGGTTTAAAGTCTGTTTTATCAGAGACTAGGATTACAACCTCTGCCTTTTTTTGTTTTCCATTTGCTTGGTAGATCTTCCTCCATCCCTTTATTTTCAGCCTATGTGTGTCTCTCCACGTGAGATGGGTTTCCTGAATACAGCACACTGATGGGTCTTGACTCTTTATCCAATTTGCCAGTCTGTGTCTTTTAATTGGAGCAGTTAGCCCATTTACATTTAAGGTTAATATTGTTATGTGTGAATTTGATCCTGTCATGATGACATTAGCTGGTTATTTTGCTCGTTAGTTGATGCAGTTTCTTCCTAGCCTTGATGGTCTTTACAATTTGGCATGTTTTTGCAGTGGCTGGTACCGGTTGTTCCTTTCCATGTTTAGTGCTTCCTTCAGGAGCTCTTTTAGGGCAGGCCTGGTGGTGACAAAATCTCTCAGCATTTGCTTGTCTGTGAAGGATTTTATTTCTCCTTCACTTACGAAGCTTAGTTTGGCTGGATATGAAATTCTGGGTTGAAAATTCTTCTCTTTAAGAATGTTGAATATTGGCCCCCACTCTCTTCTGGCTTGTAGAGTTTCTGCCAAGAGATCTGCTGTTAGTCTGATGGGGTTCCGTTTGTGGGTAACCCGACCTTTCTCTCTGGCTGCCCTTAACATTTTTTCCTTCATTTCAGCTTTAGTGAATCTGACAATTATGTGTCTTGGAGTTGCTCTTCTCGAGGAGTATCTTTGTGGCATTCTCTGTTTTTCTGAATTTGAATGTTGGCCTGACTTGCTAGATTGGGGAAGTTCTCCTGGATAATATCCTGCAGAGTGTTTTCCAACTTGGTTCCATTCTCCCCGTCACTTTCAGGTACACCAATCAGATGTAGATTTGGTCTTTTCACATAGTCCCATATTTCTTGGAGGCTTTGTTCATTTCTTTTTATTCTTTTTTCTCTAAACTTCTCTTCTCACTTCATTTCATTCATTTGATCTTCCATCACTGATACCCTTTCTTCCAGTTGATCAAATCAGCTACTGAGGCTTGAACATTCATCACGTAGTTCTCGTGCCATGGTTTTCAGCTCCATCAGGTCGTTAAAGGACTTGTCTGCATTGGTTATTCTAGTTAGCCATTTGTCTAATTTTTTTTCAAGGTTTTTAACTTCTTTGCCATGGGTTCAAACTTCCTCCTTTAGCCCGGAGTAGTTTGATCGTCTGAAGCCCTTTTTTCTCAACTCGTCAATGTCATTCTCCATCCAGTTTGTTCTGTTGCTGGTGAGGAGCTGCGTTCCTTTGGAGGAGGAGAGGTGCTCTGACTTTTAGAGTTTCCAGTTTTTCTGCTCTGTTTTTTCCCCATCTTTGTGGTTTTATCTACCTTTGGTCTTTGATGATGGTGACGTACAGATGGGGTTTTGGTGTGGATGTCCTTTCTGCTTGTTAGTTTTCCTTCTAACAGTCAGGACCCTCAGCAACAGGTCTGTTGAAGTTTGCTGGAGGTCCCCTCCAGACCGTTTGCCTGGCTATCAGCTCAGAGACTGCAGAACAGTGGATATTGGTGAATAGCAAATGTTGCTAGCTGATCGTTCCTCTGGGAGTTTTGTCTCAGAGGTGCACCTGGCTCTGTGAGGTGTCAGTCTGCCCCTACTGGGGGGTGCCTCACAGTTAGGCTACTCGGCATCAGGGACCCACTTGAGGAGGCAGTCTGTCTGTTCTCAGATCTCCAGCTGCGTGCTGGGAGAACCACTATTCTCTTCAAAGCTGTCAGACAGGGACATTTAAGTCTGCAGAGGTTTCTGCTGCCTTTTGTTTGGCTATGCCGTGCCCCCAGAGGTGAAGTCTACAGAGGCCGGCAGGCCTCCTTGAGCTGTGGTGGGCTCCACCCAGTTTGATCTTCCCAGCCGCTTTGTTTACCTACTCAAGCCTCAGCAATGGCGGGCGCCCCTCCCCCAGCCTGGCTGCCGCCTTGCAGTTTGATCTCAGACTGCTGTGCTAGCAATGGGCGAGGCTCTGTGGGCGTCGGACCCTCCGAGCCAGGCGCAGGATATAATCTCCTGGTGTGCTGTTTGCTAAGACCATTGGAAAAGTGCAGTATTAGGGTGGGAGTGACCCGATTTTCCAGGTGCCGTCTGTCACCCCTTTCTGTGACTAAGAAAGGGAATTCCCTGACCCCTTGTGCTTCCCAGGTGAGGCGATGCCTCACCCTGCTTTGGCTCATGCTCAGTGCGCTGCACCCACTGTCCTGCACCCACTGTCCGACACTCCCCAGTGAGATGAACCTGGTACCTCAGTTGGAAATGCATAAATCACCTGTCTTCTGCATTGCTCACGCTGGGAGCTGCAGACTGGAGCTGTTCCTATTCGGCCATCTTGGCTCCACCTAGTTTTTTGTATTTTTAGTAGAGACGGGGTTTCACCGTGTTAGCCAGGATGATCTCGATCTCCTGATCTCGTGATCTGCCTACCTCAGCCTCCCAGAGTGCTGGGATTACAGGCGTGAGCCACTGCGCCCGGCTTAGAAACATTTTTTAATGGTAACCCCTACTGCATGTCTGAGAATGTTCATTTTCCTTTTGATGAATATGATAACTTTGAATCTTAGAATTCAATCAATGAAAACAGTAGAAAAAGTTACGTGTTCCTAGTACATTTTCCAAGTATCAGCTAGAAGAGCTGGAAAACAATATATTAATTTAGGCATTCTTTATTGTTAAACAGATTACATTATTAAACTTAATGTCAGCTATACTCCAAATGTCCAGAAGCGAAACTATTATTATTATTATTTGAGATGGAGTCTTGCTCTGTCACCCAGGCTGGAGTGCAGTGGCATGATCTTGGCTCTCTGCAACCTCTGCCCCCCAGGTTCAAGTGAGTCTTCTGCCTCAGCTTCCTAAGTAGCTGTGACTACAGGCGCATGCCACCGGCGAATTTTTGTATTTTTAGTAGAGATGGGGTTTCACCATATTGGCTAGGCTGGTCTTGAACTCCAGATCTTGTGATCTGCCAGCCTTGGCCTCCCAAAGTGCTGGGATTACAGGCGTGAGCCACCACTCCTGGGCACGAAACTATTATTAAACCTCAGGTAACTACTCACTGATTTCTAGCCACGGTACACTTATTTGCAACAGTTGTATACTGAAGTCTGTTCATTTTGTCTTTCATCCAAATGTTTACTGAATTTCCTGTCTTTTTGGGTTGTCAATTTGACTATTAAATTAGGTTATTTAGTGAGAGTTTATTAAAAGACATCTTGTCATTGGGGGTTAGCTGACTCCTCTTCCCTACTCTGTCTCTAGAAGCCTTTAACTTGCCTTTGATAACTACCAAAAATAGCCCTGGGAAAACACACACACACACACACACACACACACACACACATGTCTGTAGGTGGATAAGCCACATGAGGGCCATGCTTCCTAATCCTACTATGGAAGCCCAGTGTGTAACCTATTAAAAATTTTAATTTCAGTTGAAAACTCAACAGAAAAGCAAAATTATACTTCATCATAAATTATTTTTGTATGGTAAGCAAAGAAACAAAAATAAATGAAAATCATAATCAGTTGCATACAAATTATTTCACTTTTCAGTGAAATAATGATATATGAATGCATTACAGTATTTTAGAAATACATTTTATTGCCAAAACAATCACAAATAAATATTATACTGGTAGTATGATAAAGCAGCAGTAAAAATGTTGTAGATGGATGTGGTACACATTACCATTTGAGACCCACTGATCAAGTGTCACTACTATTATTTCAGTTTTCTCTGCAACATCTCCTCCTAGTGGACATGCAGTCTGTGCTTGAACATATTCATCTATATCTCACCAGGTTGTCAATTCTACTGACAGATAGTGTCAATGTTATAGAAATAATGAAGCATGAGTTTAGAGGGGACCTAGTTATGAGTTTAGAGAAGGAATAGAACCAAACTTAACATCTACAAGGATATTTCTTGATAACTTTCAAATTTCTGACTGGTAATTAGTGGCAACTCTCAGGTTGTCAGCAAGTGATTATACATTGACACAAGTGATATGTAAAACAGTTATGTATTGTGTGAATGTCAAAACAAAGTAAGATTCTTAGTGAGAGGTCAGGTTTAAACTGGAATAAACCTGCCCTATAGATCTCAGGCAGGAAAAAGTAATTAGGAGTTATAGATAGGCTTGTCTTGACCAGACCAGCTTTTAGAAAGGAGGGTCAAAAGGAAGCCAGATTCCTCAAAATATAATAAAACAGTCTGCCAACTAAATAAAAGGATTTATAGTTAAAGACCATAAATCCTGTCCCTATCATCCAGTGTTCTTCCTTTCTTTAGATAGAATTAAATTCATCTTCTACTTTGGATATCAGGAGAAACACCCCTAAGGGATTACATCTTGATTGATGGGGAGGTAACTCTCATCTGAAGAATGCATTTGAAAGGAAACCTAAGAATAACTTTGATTAGACAATTCTGATATTTGGAAATATTATAAGCTTGTCCCAGATCATAAGTAGAATAAATGGCAGAACTGGGATTCAAACCCAGTTTCCTGAAGCTAAAGACTAAGTATGTGGGCTGAGGGTGGTGGCTCAAGCCTGTAATCCCAGGACTTTGGGAGGCCGAGGCGGGTGGATCATGAGGTCAGGAGATCGAGACCATCCTGTGAATTGTGAAACCCCATCTCTACTAAAAATACAAAAAATTAGCTGGGCGTGGTGGTGGGCGCCTGTAGTCCCAGCTACTCGGGAGGCTGAGGCAGGAGAATGGCGTGAACCCAGGAGGCGGAGCTTGCAGTGAACCGAGATTGTGCCACTGCACTCCAGCCTGGGTGACAGAGCCAGACTCCTTCTCAAAAAAAAAAAAAAAAAAAGACTATGTGTATGTATATGTGTGTATGTGTTTTTTTTTTTTTTGTTTTCTAGTGTGGTATACTGCCTCCTTGGGAAATAAATATCAAATAAATATACTTATTTTGTAGTTGGGATAAAAGCACTTTTAAACATGGCTTAAATTATAAACATACATGTAAGGAATAGGATCTTCTGGACAGACTATTCTACTGGGATCTGCATCATGATCACATTCATGTTCTGCCTATATTCACAGGAATGCTTCAAACTAAAATTTTATGGAAATTACTTTAGCACATACCATTTTATATTAATATGAGAATGACTGCTATCTTAAAATATATGAACATGACATTTTAAAAGGTAAGGTTTTATAGCTCTAAAACAAATACAAAACTCAACTTGATATTTGTATATCTCTATGTGATTTTCTAACTTGTTTTGCTTAATTTCTCATATACAAAAGTTTGTTTACACGAAGAGTTCAAACTATCACTATAACGACATAACAAGGAAATAAACCATCAGTCACATATTATCTTTTTTTTTTTCCTTTGAGTCAAGATCTCACTCTGTCACCCAGGCTGGAGTATAGTGGTGCAATTGTGGCTCACTGTAGCCTTGAACTCTTGGGCTCAGTGATCCTCCCACCTCACCCTCTTAAGTAGCTGGAACTATAAGTGTAAAGCCACCAAACCTGGCTAATTTTGTCTATTTTTTGTAGAGATGGGGTCTTTCTATGTTGCGTAGGCTGGTCTTGAACTCCTGGACTCAAGAGATTCTCCCACCTCAGCCTCTCAAAGTGCTGGGATTACAGATGTGAGCCACCACACCTGGCCACATATTATCTTTAAGAATTAAACAATTTAGTATTCTTCTAACATCCTTTTCTATACATAAGTCACTATAGATTTACTTTTCATTTATTTTTACTGTTTTCATTTGGTAAATAAAATGTTATATTTCCTAACATGGCTTACAGTGTTAACTTGGGTTTAATGTATACAGCAATTCCCAAAGAGCAGGACACAATAATTACATAAAGAAATGTAAAATAAATGGCTAAACCTAATTATTTGACCATATTAAGCTTTATACAGAAGAATATTCTGACACCAAAAGCAGCTGTATGCTAAAGTTAATCAAGCCACAATAAACCAAATTAGACGTGATAAAATCTGGAAGTATGCATATGGCATTGGGTAGCTACTTAAAGATTTATCAAAAGGTATTTTTTTCTCTTTATTTGGATTAAGGACAAAAGAAAATAATTCACAGGTTTACACAGCAGTAAACCTTAGCAGTTGAAAATTTAGGTATGAAATATATATTGTCAATAGCTGTGAGATGCTATCAACCACCTCTATACAAATTATATTTTCATGTGGTTTTTGACATAGTCCTTTTTTCATAAAGGAACTAAACACAGTATATGAAAAATGTTTTTTGAATGTCAAACGTGCTCTATCAATAACTTTTCCTCCACCTCCATTTAAGATGCTTTTACTATGACTTGGTTAAGATTACCTTAAGGTGTTTCCAACTACATTATTTATATTTCCAACTTAAAGAACTATATGTATATATATATGTATATATATACAAACATTGTTTTTAGACATTGCTTTTAGACTTTTTATATTGTAGAAATTAAGATAAATGAGGATGATTATTAGGAGAATAAACCTTGGTGGGAGAGAAACCACCTTTAAACAGCCTCTATCTTCCTACTGCTTGATGTGAAAGTTAAAAAAAAATACAGAGGCTATTACTTTAGGTCAGGGACAATGGTCTTGTTCATCTTTGTTTACCTACTGTGTTTTTAAGGTCTTTATTTACACTGTCATGCTTATACTGATTTATGTTCTACGAAAGGCACTGTCAGACTGCTGGTAGGAGTGTAAACTGGTAAAATTTGACGTGAGAACAAAGTCTTAAAAATGTCGGCTAGGGGTAGTGGCTCATGCGTGTAATCCCAGCACTTTGGGAGGCCAAGGCAGGTGGATCACTTGAGGTCAGGAGTTGAAGACCAGCCTGACAAACATGGTGAGACCACGTCTCTACTAAAAATACAAAAATTAGCCAGGCGTGGTGGCGGGTACCTGTAATCCCAACTACTTGGGAGGCTGAGGCAGGATAATTGCTTGAACCCAGGAGGCAAAAGTTGCAGTGAGCCAAGATCACGCCACTGCACTCCAGCCTGGGCGACAGATTGAGACTCCATCTCAAAAAAATAAAAATAAAAATAAAAATAAAAATAAAAATAAAAATAGAAAAAGAAAAGAAAAGAAAAAAAGTGATATATAATAATTTAAGAGATAATTCCACTTTTAGGAATCTATCTAAAGACATAGTCAGAAATATTAACAATTTTTGAACAGATATTTACCTTGATGTTTACAATAATCAACAGAAATGCCTCCAAGTAGGTAAATATTTGAATTGCTTTTATCAATGACAGAATATCATTAGAAATGTTTACACATAGTTATTAATGACATGAAAAAAGGCTTATTGTACAATGTTAATGAGAAAAGTGAGATACCAAGTTGAATGTCCAACCATGATATGAACTATGTTAAAAAACATATGCATAGGAAAAAACAGTTATGAAACAAATCAAAATGTTAATATTGATTAATTTGACTTGAGGAATTTTATGTTCTTCTTTTGATATTTTTCTGAATTTTCCAAATGTATTAAAATAGTCAAATTATTTTTACGGAAATTACCAAGAAATGCTTTTTTGTTGTTGTTGTTCTGAGATGGGGTCTCACTACATTGCCCAGGCTGGTCTTGATTTCTGGGCTCAAGTGATCATCTTGCCTCAGTCTCCCAGGTACCTGGGACTATAGGTGCATGCCACTGGCAAGAAATGCTTTAAAAGTCTCTCTCACATAAAGTAACAAAACATTATTTCTTAAGCTTTAGAAGTCACTGTACCATTTGTGAAAATAATATTTACCTCATCATCATCAGGAACTGGTTCATATAAGGATGGAACCCAAGCCAGAATGTTGCAGTCTCTGCTACCACTATAAAGTTCCTATAACATAGAAGGCAAAGATGATACTGTGGATCAAGAGCTGATATCAAACTGAAATGAATTATATCATTTTTGAAATAATTAGGTCATAATAATTAGATTAATGCTATTTCTACTCCCTAAAGAAACTAGGCCAATGCTGTTTTTCCTTTGTTTCTTTGTTAGTAAAGCTTTGTTTTGTATTTAAAAATAGTATTAGGATTTGTCAGAGCTTACTAATGGTGTGAAAATTTTACAAACACACCCCAAATCCTAGCAGTTTTATCAATTATAGTATCCATATATTTCTAATGTCAGAGAAAGAAAAAAATAGTTTGTCTTTCTGTGTCCAAATAACTGAGCTTCAATAAAGACTTCAGTGAAGAAACCATATGAGCGTCTACTAAAATAGGCCAAGTTCTCAAAAAGTTTTATTTAACTTACAGCTGCCTAACTGGCTGCAATTCAACAGAAGAGCTTGAAGATGTATATCCCATGCCTGTTGAGAAGTTTACTTCATAAGGGGAAGCTTGGGGTGATGCACAGCCTATGTCAATGTCTACAGATATGCTGTTTGCTTATGGCTGAACAATGCTCATGCCCCTCCCCAACAAAACCGAAGAAATATGTTATATTGGCTTTTTTCCTCTGCTGTTTAATACAATTTATTTTTATTATTGTACATCTCAAAAACAATGTGAGGCATGGTATAATTGTGTTTTTTATCTAAGTAAGGATGTGGGAAAAGGGAAAATAAGATTATATAGTAATTTATAGAAAATGTAGATTTAAATAATTATTAGATATACATTATCAAATTTCCTAAATAAAACAAAATTTTGTTGACTGTATTACAAAATCTAGACTATAAAGTTACACTAACTGTGGCTGATGCAAAGATATATATGTTCAGTGCCCTTGAGTAATTTTACTCCCCTGAGAAGGCCAGGTAATGCGCAAGATAACTTGGTCAGATAAGCTTATAGAGCAATTCACAATAAGTACTAACACACCCAGTGAAGACATAAAGGAAATTCTGTAGATGTTCAAGAAAGAGATATTGAAAGCAGCAACATTTAAATTAGAATGACTAACAAAGAACACTTAGATAGAATGATTTACATTAAGCCTTGAAGTATCTGTGATAGATGGAGGAGTTCATTTGGGCAATTAGATTTTCTTAAAAAATAATCTCAAAATGTAAGTTACAAGTGCAGTCCAAAAGACTTCTTTTCCCCCTTGAATCATATGAGAGTAAGTTGCCAACATTAGGCCTTACTACTCTTGAATAATTCAGTGTATTTTTCCTGTGAACAAGGGTACTTCCCCTTATAGTTACAAAGTAACCAACAAAATCATATTATTACCACCATCTAAAGACCACATTCATGTTTCATTATTTGTTCCAATACTGTCCTTTATAGCAAAAGGGACCAGTTAAAAATCACATGCTGCACTTAGTCGTCAAGTCTCTTTAGTTTTCAAGCTGGAACAGTTCTTCAGTCTCTTTGGCTTTTCTGACTTTGATAATTTTGGATATACAGCAGTTACTTTGTAGACTGCCCTTCACATTTGGCTTGTCTTATGTTTCCTCATGATTAAATTTGAGTGATACAATTTGGTCAGGAATATCACAGAAGTGATGTCCCATAACTGGGATGCTAACTTAGATTATTCGATGAAGGTGATATGTGCCAGGCTCCTTCAGGGTAAAATTAATCTTTTTAGTTTGTACTTCATATTTTGTAGGGTGATATGTTGAGATTATATAAATATCTCATTCCTCATCAAATTTTCAATTTATTAATTTACTTACTTATCCCAGCCTAGATTCATGAATTTATATTCTGTTGCCCATGTTGGAGTGCAGTGGTGTGAACACGGCTCACTCAATCTCCTGGACTCAAGCAATTCTCTTGCTTCAGCCTCCTGCACAGCTGGGACTACAGGCATATACCACCACACCTGGCTGATTTTTTGATTTTTTGTAAATACAGGGCCTCATTCTGTCACCTAGGCTGGCCTGGAACTCCTGGGCTCAAGTGATGCTTTCGGCCTCCTAAAGTGCTGGGATTACAGGCATGAGCCACTGTGCGCAGCCATTGTCACGATTTTAATCCATTCTAGGCACACCTATTAGAGAAGCTCCAATTTGGTAGAAAGAAATAATTTGTGGTTAGAGTACCTGGGATGAAATTTCGGCTGTGTCTCTAAGTAACTTTGCAAAGAAAGGAGGGACAATGTTTTAAGAATTTCTTTGAATACAAACACATGCTTTATCAGTAACTACTTGCAGGTTAGGGGCAAGTCACGTCACCTCTCTGGTGCTTTCGTTTTCTTCTCTCAGAACACTAAAAATGTTTAACAAATGGGATATACCTTCTTATTGACTAATAAAAAGAGATACTGGCTATAGGGTTGGAGTAGGGTCTTGTAGGTCCCCTTTTAGTTGCTGCGTTAAGGTGACGTCTAAGAGGTCCCAGGGAAGGGGCTGAGGCTGGAGGTCGCTTGGGGGCTTGGTGCAGCAGCTGTTTACCAGCCAGTAGGATATATAAATATTTATATATTTTAATAATGAATACTGCCATAATGGTATGTACTGGCTGAAAAATCAGGTCTATATATCTTACAGCACAGTGTCAGGCACAAATTAGGCAATCAGTATTAATGAATGAATGAATAGGAGATTCAAAGTGATAGTCTCCTTGAGCTCTAATAATCTGTAATGTTCATTCTATCAGTATTTAACTTACGTGAGTTTCATTTTCCTTACCTACAAAACAGGGAAAATACCAACTATCTTGCAATGTTATACTCATTTAAAGAAGTGCATGAGGTAATTTGTGCAAATGTTCTCTGAAAAAATGAAAAACCATCTGCTCCATTGGTGATATGAAAAGATCTGGATGTAAAACAAACAAACAAAAGCCAGAGTATTTAAGAAATTATATAGGTTGTATTAACTTCAAAACCTCCCTTTACTAGCCATTGGTAGAAAATAAGGAAGAATAGATCATCCACACATACATAAACCAACATATACAAATTATATTTTATGATTAAATGCCTATATTTTATTTCTTACCCAAAAGATTGTTTCAAGAAATTATTTTAATTCACCACAGATTTTCAGTTGTTAAATAAATGAAGGTCATATGCAAAAGAAACAGAATTTATACCAATCAAGTTGCACAGTATTATATTGATTCATTCATACATTGTATGCTGTCTAACAATCTAGGCTGTGCTATTCTCTATTAAATAAATCCTACTACAAATGTGGATTAAAAGCATAACTCCTCAGAATAAAATCATAATTTATTCTTTTACATATAACTGGTCTGGCAAGCTAGCTAGCTGAACATTTTAAATTCCTGTATCACTCTTACCTGGAAATTTGACTGAAATACACAGCAGTCAACAGTTTTATAATGTCCCTTAAGCATAGTTATCTGTTCTCCTGAGTAAACTGTATAAACAGCAATGGTGCTACCATATGGTACAAAAACAAATTCTGAACTGCAGCCACAGGAGACAGTGAATTTCAATCCTTTTTTACTGTTATTACAAACTTTTCCATAGTTCACCTGTAGGATTAAAATAATAAGGTTACTCATCTCTGAAATCTGAATTTAAAACACAACAAAGCCTAGGAGAAATACTTAAAATATTATGCTATAAAAAGGGCTCTTTTAAATTTAAGGAAAATATTCAACGTTGACAGAACAAGGGCCAATGACATGAATGTACATTTAACAAAAGAGGAAATACAAATAGTAAAAAACCACAGGGGTAAATGTTTACTTTTCAATCTTAATAGAAGTAAAATACAGACTTCAACCTTGAAGAATCATTTTAGACCATTTAGCAAAAAATTAAAAAAACGTAAGACATTAGTGATACAAGTGAGGTAAACATGTTGGTGGCAGTGTAATTTGGCTATTCTTTCTAAAAGGGCAAATGGTTTATTAATGCAACCATTCTTTTCAAAAGAATAATATTTTTTGGGGGGTGTATATTATATACTCCCAAAAAACATTATTTTCAAAAGACTACCCCACCAAGAATTTTTTTTGGGGCTAATACCCCCCAAAAACCATTCCTTTCAAAAGAATGGTATTTTTTGGGGAGGGGGTAATGATATTTTTTGGGGGGGCATATTCTTTTTTTTTTTTCCTGCTGATACTTCTTTTATTTCTGTTGTAAAACAGAGTAGGGGTTAAATAAAGGGTATTGGGTTTGTCAGCTCCAGCCTCTTGGGACTCTTTTTCCTGGAGAGAGTGGAGAGAACAGTGGGAGGCAAAGACACATAGTTGGGGAAGGGTTCTTTTAATATGCAGATGCTTCAGGGAGAACCAAACTATTTCACTGGTAATCTCCCGTCCCACTGGAACTGGTGCTTGGATCGGAAGGGAAGTGAGATCAGTCAATTAGTTACCAACACTGCCATCAGCATTGCCAGAGAGGTGGAGGGCAGACATCATGGAATCAGACAGCTCCCTGGGGATTTTATCTGCACATTTCTGTAAATTCTTACTCTTCAGGGAGGATGCTAGAGCCTGGCCCTGTTGTAGGGGGTCCATCTCCATGATCCTCTGCAGTACTGGGCAGCAGTCCACTGGGCACACATCCACCTTACTGTTTTTTTTTAGGGTGGTGGTCTACATTGAGTTTAGCCCACCCCATCTGATGACGATTCGGATTGGTGCAATAACCAGTGAGATCTCCAATCTTATATACAGTAGCTTTATCTTCAATGGCATCTGCTATTTCCATCATCGGAGAATGGAGCAACTTGATCTCCATTTTGAGTGGGTCTGTGTCACCCAATAGCTCATCAGATTCTCCAGTGGCCAAGCATTCCATGGTGTCTTCATTGACTTGCTCGGTATCCTCGATGTCAAAGAACTTGGTCATTTCCTTAATTCTCAGCACTGAGATGGGCAGGCAGAGTGTGAGTGGGTGGTGGTGGTCTATAGAAGCTGATCTTCCCGCTCACCCAGTCAGCTAGGACAGTTTTGGCTGCCTGCTCCTGACTGTGTAAGTCTCTCTTCTTCCCCAAATGGTGGGCCACTGCTGTCAGAAAGTGCTCAGTAGTCTGGTACCCAGAGAGAAGGTAATAGTTGGAAATCTCCTCCAGGTTGCAGCACTGCAAGATGGTCTCCACTGGGGTCATGGGGTCTGCCAGTCTCTAGATGTGGATGCAGTTATGCAGGATGGTGCCCACCTCTGAGCTGGGCCCTGGAACAATGGCTGGAGCATCCAGCAGCCGGATGAACTTGTCCAGGTAGACCTCCTGCATGAATTTCGTGACCCCAGGAATGGCTCCCACACTGCATGCATGGCTGTGCTTCAGGCTTTTAATCAGGCTGCTTTTCCCAATATTGGGAAGGCCTACAATGTCCATATGGATGTGGGTGCGCATTTCACCAAGGCAGCAATAGTTCCCCAGAACCCTCATGAGGTTTTCAGCTCCAAAGCTGACCTGATGCTGGGTCCTGGCCTTGAAAGCCACAGTTGGCAACTCATTCCGAAGGTAATCCAGCCACTTCACAACCTCCTTGGGGTCCAGGTCAATCTTTTTCAAGACCAGGACCAGCTTCTTGTTGCCTTCTGCCCATAGGATAGCCTCCCCCATTTGGAAGCAGCAGCAGCAGCCTAATGGGTCTCTGGCATCCAGGACTTCCAGAATCACATCAGAGTATTCTACCACCTCACGGACTCCTTGTAATAAGCCTTCATAGTGGCCTCGTCATCCAGCTGAGGAAACATATTTAATTCCTGCAAAACTTCTTCCTTACACTGAAACTCCTCCTGGCGTCTTAGGATATCCTCACAGTAGCTCTTGATAGACCTGCGTTTTTGTCTTTCTTGCTCCTGGGCAGCTTGCTGCTTCTCCCTCATCTCCTCAACCCTCTTCTTTATTTCAGCCTCTCGATTGGCATGATCATTGGAGTGAACAAACTGAGGAGCAGAGGGCACTTTGGAGGTTGCTTTCTTCCCATTTTGTTTTGCAGGCTTCTTACAGCCCTTGGAAACTTTACCTGGCTTTTCATTTTTGTTTCTAAGTTTCATCATCATGATCAGCTTGAAAGCAGATAGGTTCGAATCCGCTTGCTCTCTTCCTATACTTCCGGCGGGGATCTGAGAAGAGAGAGTAACAGACGCTCTTGTGCTGCTAGGCTCCGGACTTCTGGCTTCCGGATGCCAGCCTGGCGGCGCCCGACTCCGCCCACTGGGCAGTCTCCACGAGGGGGCGGGGCTTCTCCCTTCCCTTTATAGTTAAACATTTTTTCATACACATAATATAAAATTTACCATCATAACCATTTTTAATGGTACTCAATGGCATTAAGTGCATTCATGTTGTTGTGCAACTCTCATCACTATCCATCTCTAGAACTCTTCATCTTGCAAAATTTTACCCATTAAACAGCAAAGATATTCTTACCCCTTGACCTGGTAATTGCTCCTGGGAATTTATCTTTTTTTTTTTTTTTTTTGAGACAGAGTCTTGCTCTGTCGCCCAGGCTGGAGTGCAGTGGCGCGATCTAGGCTCACTGCAAGCTCCGCCTCCCGGGTTCACGCCATTCTCCTGCCTCAGCCTCCCGAGTAGCTGGGACTACAGGCGACCGCCACCACGCCCGGCTAATTTTTTGTATTTTTAGTAGACACGGGGTTTCACTGTGTGAGCCACGATGGTCTCGATCTCCTGACCTCGTGATCTGCCTGCCTTGATCTCCCAAAGTGCTGGGATTACAGGCGTGAGCCACTGCGCCCGGCTGGGAATTTATCTTAAGGAAATAATTAAATAGCAAAAGCTATATGCCCAGAGGAATTCTATCCAGTATTATTTAGAATGGGGTAATAACTGAGAATAGGTATATATTCCTAATAATGTTACATTAACTTTATGATTTATATAAATCATAATTATGAAAATTATGCAGAAAACAGGGATAAAGGCTAAGTGTAAAAAAGCACAGACCATAAATAGTGTGTACACTGTAGTTTTACCTTTATATAAATAATTATGTATTTGGGACAAAAATTAAAATTCTTTGCTTGTACTCCAAAGGTGTAGTGTGCAGGCTCAGCAGTGTGAGCATCACCTGAAGCAGTCAGACATGCAGACTTCCAGGCCCCACCCCAATCCTACCGAAAATAATCTTCATTTTAACAAGATCCCTAGGTAATCCCTAGGTAAACACTAATGCAAATTTGAGAAGCTTTGGGCTAAATAAGTTGATGGGTTTACTTCCTGATAATAATTTTGATAAGCTTGGGGTGAGTGTAAAACCAGTAACTAATCATTTGGGAATCATGATCATGCATATCAACAAAATCCACTGTCGTCAGGGCTAATATTGAAGTTTAAATAGTGATTTGTCGGCTGGGCGTGGTCTCACTCCCGTAATCCCAGCAGTTTGGGAGGCCGAGGCAGGCGGATCACAAGATCAGGAGTTCAACACCAGCCTGGCCAAGATGGTGAAATCCCATCTCTGCAAAAAACACAAAAATATTAGCCAGGCCTGGTGGCGGGTACCTGTAATCCCAGCTACTCAGGAGGCTGAGAGAGAGAATTGCTTGAACCTGGGAGGTGGAGGCTGCAGTGAGCCAAGATGGCGCCACTGCCCTCCAGCCTGGGCAACAAAGCGAGACTCTACCTCAAAAAAAAAAAAAAAAAAAAGGGATTCACTTTTTTTTCTATAGGTTAGATAAGTGTGTGTGTATGTGTATGTATATATATACATAAATAAAAACACTGAGGTCAAAATGGATACATGCTAATAATCTATGGATACTATACTTGGCTTACTTTCCCTTTAGGCTAACTTGTGCCAGAAATGGGTACATGCATTTAGCTACCTCATGGCAGTAGCAGTATAGTGGGTTAAATATTAAACTCATTTTGGTGGACTTGGGTTTTAAACACTCATCTTTTTTTTGCCCCTTATGAATAATGATTTAACCACTTCGTTTCATTCTTCTTATCTGTTAAACGGAAATAACATCATTTACTTATAGAGTTATGTATCGTGAAAAAGCAAATGAAATAATCCATATGAAAGCACCTGGAACACAAAGGTATTCAGTAAGTTCCTAGATTAATTCCTATACATGTTTAAAAATATAACATTCCCTCATTTGTGTCTTCTGATCCTACATGTGCAACAATTTGCACAATGATATGGGGGTGGGGTGACGAAGAAAAAATACAAAACAGTTTTCAACTAGTATTTCACTGTTCCCCCTGGAAAAATTATAAACTGCTAGACTGTGATGGCCTTATTCACATTTGTTTCTCAGGACACCTAGTTATAAAACTTATGGTCTTTCCAGTATACCACATTCCTTCCCAAATATGAACTGGAAAGTGTTGAATGAGGTATGAATATTGAACCAGGGCATTAACTTTTGTCTTGTCCTTAGGGTTTCTTCCTCCAATCCATCCTACAACTTAATGTCATATTAATATTTCTTTTCTTTTCTTTTCTTTTTTGAGACGGAGTTTTCGCTCTTATTGCCCAGGCTGCAGTGCAATGGCATGCTCTCGGCTCACCGCAACCTCTGCCTCCCAGGTTCAAGTGATTCTCCTGCCTCAGCCCCCAAATAGCTGGAATTACAGGCATGCGCCACCATGCCCGGCTAATTTTGTACTTTTAGTAGAGATGGGGTTTCTCCATGTTGGTCAGGCTGGTCTCGAACTCATATTAATATTTCTTTTTTGTTTGAGACGGAGTTTTGCTCTTGTTGCCCAGGCTGGAGTGCAATGGCGCGATCTCGGCTCACCGCAACCTCCACCTCCCGGGTTCAAGCGATTCTCCTGTGTCAGCCTCCCGAGTAGCTGGGACTACAGGTGCCCACCACTGGCTAATTTTTTGTATTTTTAGTAGAGACGGGGTTTCATCGTGTTAGCCAGGATGGTCTTGATCTCCTGACCTCGTGATCCACCCACCTCCGCCTCCCAAAGTGCTGGGATTACAGGTGTGAGCGACCGTGCCTGGCCTGTCAACTTTAAAATAAAAAAAAGAAGTTACTAAACGGCAGGACTGGTTCTATCTGATAGCCCTTTAAAAATCTGAAGACAGTGTGTTTCCCCTTAAAGTAATCTTTTCTGGTATCAACCGTAAGTATTCTATGTAGGTCAGTTTCTGGGATACCTTAGTTACCTATGCATGAATTACTTTTACTTTGATCAAGTCCACTGTAAAATGTATTATCCATTTTCAATACATTATTTTAGATACGGACTTAATAGAAAAAAATCCAAAGGGCATGAGACTCACCTTCAAGAAGGAAAGAAAAATGGAATAGAACCACATGAACAATTTATATATACATTCAGTACCATTTATATTTATCACATTAAACTTTGACACACATGCCCAGCTACTCTTCCAGAGTGATCCTGTCACTTCTCCACTCACAAGCCTTTAGTGGCTTTCCATCTCACCCAGAGAAAAGCCTGACCCCTTACAAAGGCTTGCAGGGCCCATATGATCTGGCACCCTAGTTCCTTCTGTTCCTCATCTGTTATTCCCTTCATATTCCAACGCAAGAACCTCTTAGCTCTTCCTTGCGTATCCCAAGGAAGTTCTCGCCTCAGGGTCTTTGTACCTTTTTTCTTTCCCTGACTAGAATGATATCCCCCAGCAAACAACTGATGAGCCACTTCCCCATTTCCTTCAGGCCAAATGTCACCTTAGTGAAGCCTACCCTGACTTCCCTATGTGAAACAGCAACTCCAACGTCCCAGTATTTCCTGTGATCCTTTCTTTGCTTTGCTTTTCTTCATAGTCCTTACCTAATCTAATATATAATTTATCCATCTGTCCATCTATTAATTGATTGATGCCTTTCATACTCTTGCTGAAATGTAAGCTCCATGAGGATAGGACTTTTCCATGTTTTGCCAACTGCTGTCTAATACTGCCTGGCAAATTAAATGCTAATTATTATTAGCACAGTATCTGACATACAAGCTCTCAATAAATATTAGCTATTATTATTATCACCAAATTATAAGCTTTTAGTAGTTTGTTCTGAAAATTATTAAACCATAGGCATATCTGATAAGACTATAACCTACATAAAAACAAGTACTAGAAATTAATAGCCACATAAGAATATAGCACCTTCGAAATATATTTATTGCAGTAGTATTAAATAAAGTACTACATATTCTGGTACTATAAAATTCACTGTAAATTTTGTTTATAAGTCATATATAGTACAGGTTAAGTATCCCCATCCAAAATGATTTGGACTAGAAGTATTTTGGATTTTAGAATATTTGCTTTACTGCCTGAACATCCCTAATCTGAATATTCAAAATCTGAAATGTTCCAATGAGCACTTCCTTTGTGTGTCATGCTAGCACTCAAAAAGTTTCAGATTTTGGAACATTTCAGATTTCAGATTTTCAGATTAGGGATACTCAACCTATATAAAATTTGATTACTTAGCTTCATATCTTTAATTTATATCAGTAGTCCTCAGTCTTTTATTTTTCTCTACTACGCTTTGCACTCCCATTGAGAACAGTGGCTCAGTAGAACAGTGATTCTCTGCTAAGTAGGGAGAATGTGGTAGGTAGTGGGTAAGGGTGGGTTGTCCTGAGTTGAGAATTACTAGTCCACATAGTAGAAACACATTTTTAAAAACAGCTGTGATTAAAAGGGAATAAATGAGTTAAATATATAAAAAAATCAAGTGTATGTCACAGATCCATTTCTTAATTTATACCCAAATATATACTTAAAAATCTCTTACAAGTGTGTTTTCTCCATTGGAACTATTCCAGAGCCTCATTCGATTATCTGTACCAACAGTGAGGAGGTGAAGTCCATCACTTGTAAAACATAAGCCATTAACTTTCCCATTATGAGCAGTGTTTGCTGCAATGAAAAACATAGTTCAGTTTATCTGTTCTTGTATTCAGGACATATTTAATGTTTGATGATATAATTAAACATATTAAAGGACAACTACTTGAGTTACTTAAAAAATGTAAGTAGATTATACTTAACCAACCCTTCAGATTATTTGAATAGGATAAGCTATATAAATCAGAACCATAAAAATAGAGGAAAACAAAAAAAAAAGGGAAAAAATTTCTGCCTAACATACTTTTCTTTTCCAGCAAGGAAATTGTGCCATGAAATTCAATTAAATGTGTAGCTTAACACTAAAATTTAAAATTAAATGCCTTTCATCTCTCATATATTTTTATTGCTAACCTAAAAATCATTCTATGGACTATTAAAATCAATAATTCTAGTGTTTTCCATTGAAAAAAAAAACAGGGAAAGGATGACTGTTGTAGTCTCAAAATTTATATCACTTACAAAATTAACAAGTTTGAGAAAGCATAATTCTAAAATAGCCTAATTAATTTAAAAACATATAAAACATGTTTTATATAGTTTACATGTTTCATAAGGTTTTTTAAAAAACTATATAAATTCTAATATATGAAATATATTAGAATGAACTATATAAAACCTATGATTGTTTTATATAGTTTTTAAACTTTGTGATTGTTTTATATAGTTTTATGTAGAAACTACATAAAACTATAGTTGTTAAGAAATTACATAAAACAATTATAGGTTTTATATAGTTCATTCTAATATATTTCTGGTCCAGAATTAATTCTCTATCAAAATTTCTACACAGGAATTAAATTCTACTGTAAAAATGCAGTTTAGGTACTTTGTCACATGGATTGCAGCTGACTCACATTTAACACAATTTTATGTTGATACAATGGCCACAAAATGTTACTATTTCTGTAATTTATTGTGACTTTTTAAATGGCATTGAATATGTATAGTTGGCCTCAATGGAGCAAAAACAAAACAAGTAAAGCAAGTTAATTCACAAAAATTTCTACTTTTGAAAATTTGGGGGCAAATGAAACTGCCATTTTTATTTGTATCTTAAAGAAAGAGAATCATAATTTAGTTTATGTAAATTAAGAAAGTGATATACGATGAATGCCTTTTGAAAAATCATAAAGTTTGCAATTTGTCAATATGCGTTTATTATGTGGCTTCAATTAAAAATTTTCAATGTAAAAAAATACTATCATTGTCATATTTATTAATGCGTTCTTCCTTACCTGATTCAACAGCTTGTGACTTTTTCCCATTATGTTGATCAAGAGTAATCAAACATCCTGATGCTCTTCTCACATCCCATAATTTTACTCTACTGTCAGCACTGAGAAGAAATAAATGTTACATTGACATATGTAGCTAGGACAATGACTGTACCCCTCACCCACCTTTCTAATTTTATGGCACACAGAGGTCTCGTTATATAGGTACATATGTATTCATACATTAGGGTTGTTGAACTTTTGCCTTTTCAGCAAATATTCAATAGTCAACAGTAGCTCAAATAAGTGAGTAAATAGCAAAAAAAAAAAGTAACCTTTCTTTTCCAGATAACAAGAACAAAATTTTGCTGCTTTTTATATTGTTTTAAATTACATGAGCATCTTTTCTCCCAAGGACCAGAAAGGCTTGTAGCTTGTTCCAAGTAAGTTCCTTACCATACCTTTTCTACTGCTTGTTATCCAAATGCTGTCAAGACAAGCAATTAACTAATTTCACTTTGCTCAAGAATCCATTTGGTATGATTTGGTGTTTTTTTCCTTTTTATATAAAAAACGGTAAGTGTAAGGTGAATAATGAGGACAATGCATTTCCATTTGGTTTCCTATACTCAAATCAATCTTTGCCAGATATATGAGAACTATATTTAATGTCTCCTAGAAATTAGACACTTACTTTCATTTTCTTTCAAGTAAGCAAAAAGAAGAAAGGCAAATCTATGATCAGACATCTATTTCAGCTTCTAGATTATTTCTAAAGAAAAATGCCTGGCAATCCGACGTGCTCCTAATCAGTTCAACTGATGCTATCATGTCCTCACAAGGACCTCAACAATATTGTAACCCAGGGGGCTTATCAATGCCATTTTAATAAGAGAGAGCATTACATTTTTATAAGCCTATTTTTTATTTAATTTTTTTAAAAAAATATACACACAAGGTTTACTGGTTTCTATAACCTCGATTCTTTTCACAGATGACCATCAAACCTAGCCAACTGGAATAGTTAGCAAAAAACTAGCATTACCCATTCTTAAGTTGGTTTTCTTTCTTTCCAGGTGAAGGAAATGAAATCAGTATGAGGATTTAAGTCTCTTCTGAAACAGATTAGATTTGAACATATCCAACTTTTAACACTGATTACTAGGTCCATTGTGGTACTGATTCAAATTCCTGGAGTATTCTTATAATTGAAAGCTTCTTAGCTCTCCTCTTATCTGATGAAAACCAAGTTAAGCATGAAAAATGTAAAATCCACCCAAGCATAACCAGCACCTAGCTCCTAACCTTCATACCTCTTCAGCTAGCCTTCTTATGGCTACATTCTAGACCTTGCTGCACTTCAGAAATCATAAATTTCAACATCACATTCTGCCAGTTATTAACAGAAGCTTCTTTGGGGCCTGAACTGTGACAGGGAGACAGGGCTGGCAACTTAAAAAAAAATCCAGACACAGATCTTTATAAAATTAATATGAATAGCTTTCGTAATAATTCTTCTTCTACTTAAAGTTTTATGAAAATATATAAAAATATTTGATTACTACTTCCTATCCCTTCAGTTTTTAAATTTTCTTAGTCTAACTCTCATACTTCTACTTCATTAGATCCTTGATCCCTCCTACAAGCCTTTTTGTGATTTTTTTCCTTTTACCCATGACTTCTACAATTTTCAGGCACCTAGGTACTTTCCTGTAGACACCGAAAATTGTTAAGTCTCTTTCATTTAATGTTTTAATTTCTGTGGCTTAGTACAGCTGTGCTCTACATATTCAACAGGGAGCAAGTGCCCAGTAATCCTATGGGCCCTTAATCAGCTCCCTCACTCTTTCAATCTATTATTCCAGATCCATACTATCTTTCCTCAAAATTGCATCCTCATTCCTATATTTTCAAGAGATGACATCAAGTTCTACTCCACTAAAAACCAAGAGAAGCCGTTAAGTCTGAGTTTCTTGAGCTTCTCTGCCAAAGCTACAAAGTTAACTGTATTCATGTCCACCTTTTCCTCTTTCCATTTAGTCTCACAGTGCTCTTCATGTGCCAAACTAGGTGTACCCTCCACCCTCATCTGGATCCTTGATACTACCCACTTCTGTGTATTCAAGGACCTAATGCACCAATTATTCCCTCCATTTCTTATCTTCACCTGTTTCTCTCTACTGGTACTCTTTCCCCAGCAGATAAATATGCAATACTCTTTTTCTCCAGCAAAAAATAAACCTCCCCACATCTTTTGATCCTCTCAGAGTTAAGTGATCCTGCTTTCTTTTCCTATATTACACCTACCAGAGATGTACCTCTATTAAAGCATTTTTCTGGATGCCCTGTAATCACTGATTTTTGACTATATGCCTCATTAGATCATTAGATTGTTGGTTTTTCAAAGCCTTGGTTACCTCTGTGTCCCTAGCACAATGCTTGGCACGTGGGAGGAAGTCATTAAATATTAGAAAATTGAATCAATGAATGTGTGGATATGTTACATCAAATTCAAAATAACTCCAGGTTAAAGATAATGAATAAAAATGCTCTATTTAAAAATTAGCACTGTGTTATACATTTGTGTGTAAGAATGACACAACACAGTTCCTCTGTGTTCTAAGGTGAAACACCTTGAAGGTGGATAGGATTAGAATTAGAATACAAAGGAAGATTTCTTTTGGTGACATGAATTAAAATTTCTAAGTCAATACTTCATTTTAAAGGAGTGAATTAATAATTAAATATGCTAAAATATATACATTACATAAATGTAGACTTTTCAAAATGCTTATTATTAATTACTAACTTCAAAAGCAAATAAGTTAAATTTTACCTTGCTGTTGCCAAGATATAGTCATAACGTGGAGACCAGGAAACTGCTAATATTTCTTGTCTGTGACCTGCAAATACAACTATATGAAAAGTCTTGCAAGATATCTGAAAAATCAGAAGATAAAGTGCCAATAATTTTGCCTGATTCTGAAGAAAGTGAGGCCAAATATTCAATGTGAATAGATATGACCATTTTTCAGATTTATAATAATCGATGTTTCAATGCTAATGTGAAGTTTACAGGGGTATTTCAAACATATGGTATTTTATTGTAAAAGAACTGGTTTTGCTTTGGAAAAAACAGAGTTAAGTAAGTCTTTCTTTTTAAATACAGTTGTTAGCTTATGTCAGTAAATCCATATAACTCAAGCTCAATTACTGTAATAAAACATATAAGATAAACATTTTAAAGGATAAAAATGTTTTCCAATTTCTCATAAAGTTATAAGAGAAACCTACTTTAACTCATGCTTGTAGAAAAGCATTTATATAAAATGTTTTTTTCTAGAAAGCACAGGTGATAAGTTCAAAGGGTGATTTCAATATTTTAATTCACTTTTAGCTAACTGAACTATTCACATCAGACATTTCCACCTGCCCAGCTTATATTAATAAAAATTCATAATAATGTCAAAAAATGCTATCTATCTCATCAACTTTTCTTAACATATTTGTTATGTGTTTCTTTGAGATCAGTCAAAATATATAAATTATATTCTATCTTTTCATTGTTTAGAATTAGACAATCTAATACTGATAAAAGTAGCAAGAATAATTTAAATACACCTTTACCAAAGAATTACTTCAATATATTTTTCTAAAATATTTTTACTGAGAAAAAATGTACCTAAATATTAAGAACAATGTTTACTCATTAGCCAGAATATTAAATAATACATATGAGACAAGTACACTGATGTGAGTTGCATTAGTCTTTTTAATGTAGAAATAACACAAGGTTTTGAGTTAGAACTATTTTTCATATTGTTTGAGCTTCCCCAATGATCATTGTTCATATAAATGTGTTTTCAATGGTTCAGTTTTATAAGAATAATGCACAGAAGGATCTTTATTTCCCTGCTGAGTCTCAACAACCAGCACAAAGTACATTAGTCATGTCACTTACAAAGAATACACTGTTAGTAACGTTTCTTTTTATTGAATCGTTTACTCAAAGTAGTTGCCGTTTGAAATAAAATAAAAATACCCTGTAGAATGTGAGAACAGGATCCAGACTTCAAGTCACAAAGTTGTACTTTGGGTCCTCTAGTACCAACTGTAAAAACAGAACCGGTTTAAGATAATTTTATCATAAGTCATCATCAAAAGGAAACAAGACATTATCATTAGTAATCATGACATTTTCACTGTATCCATGCAGAAATATGAAGATATATGCCAAAATTACATTGTCATTTTTAATGTTTACATTTAGAAAAGTTATTTTAACTACAGTTATATTTTAGTAGTAAGAGACCTCTATTATTACATTTATTTTTTATTCTGAAATAATTATAGATTTGCAAGCAGTTGCAAAGCTAGTATAAAGAGAACCGTGTACCCTTCACTAAGTTTCCCCAACGATTATGTGTGAGGTAACTAAAACACAGTATCAAACCCAGGAAATTTGTATTGGTAAATGTGTATGTATGTATGTACAGTTCTATTCCATTTTATCACATCAAATCATTGTATTTTAATAGCTTAGTTTTTCCAAGTTAATGATATACTTCCAATCACTAGTAACAGATTCACAGAAACTGGACACAGACTGAAAGGACCTCAAGACAACTTAGTTCCTAGCTCTTCTTCACAGATAAAAGAGGTAGAGACTCACATGGTGCCAAAGAAATAATGAATCACAGGGCCCAGATACCTGATACCAGAAAATCATTTTTTCTTCCTTATATATGAAGATGTTTGTTGCAGGTGCTTTTATATAAATTGATGCTTAATTTGAATCACAATCTTAGAGAAAGAAAGAATTTCCTTGTTTTATTGTGTCAAATTGGGAAAGTTGCCAAATTTTATTCATGTAAAATCTCTGAAACTTTGGTGGTTTAAAAGGAACTCTTTAGACAGAAATACGCTCTTATTCTCTGAATCCTGGCCACAGCATAGTGCTTGCCTTGCAAAATATCTGTTGAATATAAATAGTACAATATCTGTTGAATATATATAGTGTGTGTGTGTGTATATATATATATATATATATATATATATATATATATATATATATATATAAAATTGTGATATTCCTCTGGGTTAAAATGTCTACATCAAAACTAACTACATATAAAAAGGGAGAAAGTTTTCAGTATGTCAAAAGACAAAAGAATACACTTACAAACCTGCTACCAAACAGTGCTTGGTGGAGACTGGAGACATATGATGACTATAAACTGTTTCCTCAAAATTAAATACATCTGCAGTCTGGTAATCAAAAGACATTTAAAAAGTATAAGGTTTAAGTATAAAAACAAAGCAATAAATTTTCTATTTACTTTTTCCTAAATTTTTAGCTATTTTTAAATTGACTGTTAGCAATTCAACTTAAACATAGGAATGTAATACCCCAAAAAACCTTGATAATTTGAAATCCTGTCATTTACAACATTCTTTTCCCTTCTATGAAAAAAAATATGTTTTCCCAATAAATCCCAGAAATTAAGAAAATATAAGCCTGTGGCTCACCATATTCCTCTCCACCCACCCTGGTGGGGAGGGGGCTCAGCATCTACATGGATGATGTAGCCAGCACTGCCTCTCAGTTCCGTATAACCTGAGCTACCACACCCAGGACGCTGTCACTACCTAGAATTGCCCCTTCTTTGAAATCATACATTTCAGTTATCTATGACCACAATCTTCTACCATTTTCAGCTTTTCCCCCTCCAAATACTCTCAAGAAATCTGAATAAACTCTGGAACCCCTAACAGTTCCTTTCATCTACTTCTCTTCCTCTCCAGCTTGGATTTCAAGGTCCAATACCAATACCAAGGTCAACTGCCAATATCTGCAATTCCTTTGCTAACATCCTTCCACTTGTCAAGACTTCACCCTGGGTGACCCCAAATGTCTGCCTTCTCTGTACTTATATCCAAATTGATCTACACCAGGTGTTGGCAAACTTTCTTTAAAAGTCAGATGGTAAATATTTTAGGCTTTCAGGACCAACTACTCATCTCTGTCACTGCAGTGTTAAAGCAGTCATAGACAACAAATGAACATATTGTAACTGCTCACCAGGTTCTTCCTGCCTGCTGCACAAACAAAATCAATTCACAAAAACCATGGCATTGTAGTAAAGAGTTTAACTGATGCAAGGCTGGCCAGGCCAAGTGCGAGATGGGATTTATTAATATTACTCTAATCAACCTCCTTGAAGTCTTGTAGGTTTGGGGTTTTTCAAAGGTAGTTTGGGGGAAGGGGTGGGAGTGGTTAGATGATGAATAGATGCTTGCTATTGATTGGTTGGGGGTGCAATCATAAGGGTGTGGGGAATGGTCCTCTTGTGCACTAAGCCACTTCTGGGTGGGGCCACAGGGGCAGTTGGCAGGTCCAGGTGGAGCCCCTGGTGTCAGACATGAAAAAATCCTGAAAAGATATCTCAAAAGGCCAATCTCAGGTTCTACAGTTGTGATGTTATATGCAGGAGTAATTGGGGAAGTTATATATCTTGTGCCTCCGGAATAATGGCTGGCAATCATTTATGTCTCTTTATTTATTTATTTATGAGACCAGGTTATGAGACTGGCTAATTTTTGTATTTTTGGTAGAGATGGGGTTTTGCCATGTTGCCCAGGCTGGTCTCGAACTCCTGAGCTCAAGCAATCCACCCTCCTTGGCTTCCCAAAGTGTTGGGATTACAGGTGTGAGCCACTGCTGGGCCTATGTTTTAGCAGAATTCAGGCTTGTCTCCTCCTCCTAGTCTGGTGGTCTCTCATTAGCTTTACAAAGGTGGTTGAGTTTTGGAGAAGGGCTATTATCATTTAAACTATAAATGGCTGGGGGCAGTGGCTCACCCCTGTAATCCCAGTACTTTGGGAGGCCGAGGCAGGCGGATCACTTGAGGTCAGGAGTTTGAGACAAGCCTGGCCAACATGGTGAAACTCCGTCTCTACTTAAAATATAAAAATTAGCTGGGCGTGGTGGCAGGCGCCTGTAATCCCAGCTATATGAGAGGCTGAGGCAGGAGAATCGCTTGAACCCGGGAGGCAGAGGTTGCAGTGAGCTAAGATCACGCCACTACACTACAGCCTGGGCAACGGAGCAAAACTCTGTCTCAAAAATAAATAAATAAATAAATAAATAAATAAACAAATACATACATAAAATAAAAAAAATAGAGTATTAACTAAATGTCTTCCAAAGTTAGCTTGGCCAAAGCCCAGCAATAATTAAGGCAGCTTGAAGGCTAAAGGCAAGAGGGGGTGGTGGCTAGATCAGATCTCCCCTACTGCCACAGTTTTCTCACTGATATAAGTTTTGCAAAGGCAGTTTCAATATTTGTGTCCAAAACCTACTTTATTTACAAAAAAAGGCCATGAGCCAGACTTGCCCATGAGCCCAGACTTAGCCAATCCCTTGCTCTCCTCAGGTAAAAAATCTTATAATTAGGGCAGTGTGACATCACCATAAAAGATTATTCATTTCCTCTGGATTTCAGTAATGACTGCCAGTCCCACTATATTTCACTTGTATTCTTCTCTGCAGTATTCCTCAGCTATTTCAAATCTTCTCCACAAATATACCAACTCAGTCACAACAGGTAATTTGATCTTTTATTTCAAGGAGAAAATAGGAGGCAGTCAATCAGAATTTCCTTAATGTCTTACCAACAAACCTACAAACACATTTGCTTCCACTTATCCTTTTTCCTTCTTCACTCCTGTTATCATAGAAACATGATTCTTTTTTTTTTTTTTTTTGAGATGGAGTCGCTCTGTTGCCCAGGCTGGTGTGCAGTGGCACGATCTTGGCTCACTGCAACCTCCGCCTCCCGGGTTCAAGCGATTCTCCTGTGTCAGCCTCCCGAGTAGCTGGGACTACAGGTGCCCGCCACCATGCCCGGCTAATTTTTGTATTTTTAGTAGAGATGAGGTTTCACCATATTGGCCAGGCTGGTCTTGAGATTCCTCCCCATTTTTAATGTCAATCCCCCTACTTGTGTTCAGATTCCCTTCAGCACTGTCAGAAATCTCACCCTATAGATTATCTTCTGGGTATCTATAACCTCTGTCCCCACTGGCTCATTCCCAACAGCACTACAAGTGAAAGTCTTTTTCATCTTAACACCGCTTCCCTAAGACAAAAAAAACAAAGAGCATTTTCGCCCTACATTCTCCCTAATCTTTCCTCCTCTTCAAATCCAAACTTTGGCTATCTCTAATTCCTTATCTCCCACGTATTTCTCAACTAATTGCAATCTTATTTTTATCGCACTACTGTAAATCACACTATTCTTCCAATATTACCAATATGTTCCTCATCTGATTTAATCTGTCAGTAGCATTCAACACAATTGATTACTCCCATCCTCTTTAAAGCAATCTTTTACAGGCTTCCATTGTATCATATATTCCTGATTTTCCTCTTTCTCTCCTTGGCTACATCTTTTCATCACCTTTAGCAGACTTTGCTTTCATTTTTCTGTCCTATTTATCTTTGTCTTCATGGTCTTGTTCTATGTACTCCTTTCAAATGCCACTTGTATGTTATGGGTTAAGTATCCCTTATCCAAAGTAACTGGGACCAGAAATGTTTCAGAGTTCAGATTTTTTTTTTTTTGGTTTGGAAGGTTTGCATTATACTTACAAGGTTGAGCATTACAAATCTAGAACTCAAAAAATTTCAAATTTTGAACTTCTGGATTAGGGACACTCAGTACATAGTGAGGCACAAATCTGTATATTCAGTGTAGACCTCACTCCTGAATTCTGGGTATGTATAGATCGATTCCTGGATTATCTTCATTTGGATTTCCTGTAAATCCCTCAAACTCAACAAATCGAAAATTGAACTCATCATTCCAACCCTTCCCCATCTTACTAAATAACAAAATAACAATATAATCCACCCAATTGTCAAGCCAGAGAACCTGGGGGTCATTCATATAAATACATATATATATATATATATATTTTTTTTTTAAATAATGGCTTTGTCAAGATACAATTCACATTATCATACACCTTGGAACCCATACGAAGTGTCACTAGTGATGCTGCAAGTGGTACCAAGAAGCAGAGAAAAGTCATGACATTATAAAAAAAGGCTGAATTGCTTGACATGTACCATAGACTGAAGTGTGCAGCTGTGGTTGCCCACCATTTCAAGATAAATGAGTCCAGCATAAGAACCATTATGAAAAAAGAAAATTTGTGATGCTGTCACTGCAGCTACGCCAGCAGGTGTGAAAACCTTGTATGTTTTGTGAAATACCTTTGACCTCTTATTGAAAATCCATCTTTTATGTGGGTGCAGGATTGTTAACAGAAAGGCGTATCTATATGTAGACTCTAATATGACTTTTAAAAAGCAAAGTCAGTATAGTCATTATATGACAATGTGAAGCCAAAGGAAGGTGAAGGATCTAAAGCTGGAGAATTGAATGCCAGATAAAGATGGTTTGATAATTTTTGGAAAGTTTTGGCTTTAAAAAAGTCAAGATAATAGGATGAGAAGCTTCTGCCCACCAAAAGGCAGCAGATGAGTTTCCAGATACCATTAAGAAAATCATCGAGGACAAAGGATATCTGCCTGAACAAGTTTTAAATGCAGACAAAAATGCCCTATTCTGAAAAAAAAAAAAAAAAAAAAAAAAAAAAAAAAAAAGCCACAAAGGACTCTTATGACATGGACCCTTCAATGATATGGGCTCTGAAACTAAAGCAAATAGTGGAAGAAGGTTCAGTACTGTAATAGAAACATTTTTAGAGAAATACAGCAGAACACACAAAAATTACGATGTATTTCCATAGTTATACCAAGTGTGGCTGCCTCTCCTTCCAAATCTTACACCTTTTGCTACCCTAGAGACAGCAAGGTCAACTCCTCCTCCTCCTGCTCCTTCTCCTCAGCCTACTCAATGTGAAGATGATGAGGATAAAGACCTTTATGATGATCCACTTCCACTGACTTAGTAGTAAATATATTTCTCTTCCTCATGATTTTCTTAATAACATTTTCTTTTCTCTAGCTTACTTTATTGTAACAACGCAGTATATAGGCCGGGCATGGTGGCTCACGCCTGTAATCCCAACACTTTGAGAGGCCGAGGTGGGTGGATCAACGGAGGTCAGGAGTTCCAGACCAGCCTGGCCAACATGGCGAAACCCTGTCTCTACTAAAAATACAAAAATTAGCCAGGCATGGTGACACACGCCTGTAGTCCCAGATACTCGGGAGGCTGAGGCAGGAGAATCACTTGAACTCAGGACGGGGAGGTTGCAGTGAGCTGAGATTGCGCCACTGGCCACTGCACTCCAGCATGGGTGACAGAGCGAGACTCCGTCTAGAAAAAAAAAAAAATAATAATAATAAAAGAATACAGTATGTATTACATATAACATACAAAGTTGTGTTAATTGACTGTTTATGTAATCCAGAAGGCTACCAATTAACACTAGGCTATTAGTAGTTAAGCTTTTGGGGTAATCAAAAATTATACATAGATTTTCAACTGTGATGGGGGTCAGCTTCCCTAACCTCCACACTATTCAAGGGTTACCTGTATTATCATAAATCAAATTAATGTCATCAACGGGTACATTTCTTGATTATCCAGTTCCACTGTATGGTGTTTTTCTTTTTTACTTACCAATATCACATTGCCTTCACTAGTATAACTTTATAGCAAGTCTTGATATCTGATAGTGAAGTCTTCCAACTTCACTCTTTTGTTTCAAGAGTGCCCTGCTGTTTTGCATTTCCATATGAACATTAGAATTAGCTAGTCAATTTTCAAAAAAAGAAATCTTCTAAGAGTCTGATAGAAAATGCATTGATTCTATAGATCAGTTTGGGTAGAACTGATATTTTTATCACACTGAACCTTTTAATTCTTGAACATGGAATACCCCACATTTATTTAGGTCTTAATTTCTCTCAATAATGTTCTAAAGTTCTCTGTGTATTCGGAATAGTCTTGTATATTTTTCATTAAATATATTACTAGGTATATGATGATTTTTGATGCTATGGTAAACAATGTTGGTTTTGAAATTTCATTTTATAATCGCTTGTGTTTGGAATTCAGAAATATAATTTACCTTGTATCCAGCAAATTTGCTAAATTTACTTATATTAATTCTAATAATTTGGCTATAGATTCTTTTGAATTTTCTACGTTCATAATCATGTCTTCTGTGAATGACAGTTTAAATGCTTCCTGTCCAGTTCCTATCCCTTTTATTTCCTTTGCTTTATTGCACTGACTAGGACATTCAGTACAATGTTGAACAGAGGAAATAATGAGGATAATGCAAAGGGAAAGCTTTCAACATTTTACCACCAAATAAAATGGTTGCTTTAGTTTTTTAAAAAAATAGATACTTTGTATCAAATTAAGGAATTTCTCTTCTATTCCTAGTATGCAGAGAATTTTATTTTTATTTTTATATATTTTTTAATTATACTTTTAAGTTCTAGGGTACATGTGACAACGTGCAGGTTTGTTACATAGGTATATATGTGCCATGTTGGTTTGCTGCACCCATTAACTCATCATTTACATTAGGTATTTCTCCTAATGCTATCCCTCCCCCTACTTCTCCACATTCTCCCCCTATTTCTCCACATACTCTCCAGCATCTGTTGTGTCCTGACTTTTTAATAATCGCCATCCTAACTGGTGTGAGATGGTATCACACTGTGGTTTTGATTTGCATTTCTCTGATGACGAGTGATGACGAGATTTTTTCATGTGTCTGTTGGCTGCATAAATGTCTTCTTTGAGAAGTGTCTCTTCATATGCTTTGCCTACTTTTTGATGGGTTTTTTTTTTTCTTGTAAATTTGTTTAAGTTCTTTGTAGACTCTGGATATTAGCCCTTTGTCAGATGGGTAGATTGCAAAAATTTTCTCCCATTCTGTAGGTTGCATGTTCACTTAATGGTAGTTTCTTTTGCTGTGCAGAAGCTCTTTAGTTTAATTAGATCCCACTTGTCAATTTTGACTTTTGTTGCCATTGCTTTTGGTGTTTTAGACATGAAGTCCTTGCCCATACCTATGTCCTGAATGGTACTGCCTAGGTTTTCTTCTGGGGTTTTTATGGTTTTAGGTCTAACATTTAAGTCTTTAATCCATCTTGAATTAATTTTTGTATAAGGTGTTAAGGAAGGGATCCAGTTTCAGCTTTCTACATATGGCTAGCCAGTTTTCCCAGCACCATTTATTAAATAGGGAATCCTTTCCCCATTTCTTGTTTTTGTCAGGTTTGTCAAAGATTGGATGGTTGTAGATGTGTGGTGTTATTTCTGAGGCCTCTGTTCTGTTCCATAGGTCTATATCTCTGTTTTGGTACCAGTACCATGCTGTTTTGTTTACTGTAGCCTGGTAGTACAGTTTGAAGTCAGGTAGCGTGATGCCTCCAGCTTTGTTCTTTTGGCTTAGGATTGTCTTGGTAATGCGGGCTCTTTTTTGGTTTCATATGAACTTTAAAGTAGTTTTTTCCAATTCTGTGAAGAAAGTCATTGGTAGCTTAATGGGGATGGTATTCAATCTATAAATTACCTTGGGCAGTATGGCCATTTTCACGATATTGATTCTTCCTATCCATAAGCATGGAATGTTCTTCCATTTGTTTGTGTCCTCTTTTATTTCATTGAGCAGTGGTTTGTAGATCTCCTTGAAGAGGTCCTTCACATCCCTTGTAAGTTGGACTTCTAGGTATTTCATTCTCTTTGTAGCAATTGAGAATGTAGTTTACTCATGATTTGGGTCTCTGTTTGTCTGTTATTGGTATATAGGAATGCTTGTGATTTTTGCATGTTGATTTTGTATCCTGAGACTTTGCTGAAGTTGCTTATCAGCTTAAAGAGATTTTGGGCTCAGACGATGGGGTTTTCTAGATATAGAATCATGTCATCTGCAAACAGGGAGAACTTGACTTCCTCTTTTCCTAATTGAATACCCTTTATCTCTTTCTCTTGCCTGATTGCCCTGGCCAGAACTTCCAACGCTATGTTAAATAGGAGTGGTGAGAGAGGGCATCCCTGTCTTGTGCCAGTTTTCAAAGGGAATGCTTCCAGTTTTTGCCCATTCAGTATGATATTGGCTGTGGGTTTGTCATAAATAGCCCTTATTATTTTGAGATACATTCTATCAATACCTAGTTTATTGAGAGTTTTTGGCATGAAGGGCTGTTGCATTTTGTCAAAGGCCTTTTCTGCATCTATTGAGATAATCATGCGGTTTTTGTCATTGGTTCTGTTTATGTGATGGATTACGTGTATTGATTTGCCTATATTGAACCAGCCTTGCATCCCAGGGATGAAGCCCACTTGATCATGGTGGATAAGCTTTTTGATGTGCTGTTGGATTCAGTCTGCCAGTATTTTATTGAGGATTTTCGGATCGATGTTCATTTGGGATATTGGTGTAAATTTCTCTTTTTTTGTTGTGTCTCTGCCAGGCTTTGTTATCAGGATGATGCTGGCCTCATAAAATGAGTTAGGGAGGATTCCTTCTTTTTCTATTGATTGGAATAGTTTCAGAAAGAATGGTACCAGCTCCTCTTTGTACCTCTGGTAGAATTCGGTTGTGAATCCGTCTGGTCCTGGACTTTTTTTGGTTGGTAGGCTATTAATTATTGCCTCTATTTCAGAACCTGTTATTGGTCTATTCAGAGATTCAACTTCTTCCTGGTTTAGTCTTGGGAGGGTGTGTGTGTCGAGGAATTTATCCATTTCTTCTAGATTTTCTAGCTGATTTGCATAGAGGTGTTTATTGTATTCTCTGATGGTAGTTTGTATTTCTGTGGGATTGGTGGTGATATTCCCTTTATCATTTTTTATTGCGTCTATTTGATTCTCCTCTCTTTTCTTCTTCATTAGTCTTGCTAGCAGTCTATCAGTTTTGTGGACCTTTTCAAAAAACCTGCTCCTGGATTCATTGATTTTTTGAAGGGTTTTTGGTGACTCTACTTCCTTCAGTTCTACTCTGATCTTAGTTATTTCTTGGCTTCTGCTAACTTTTGAATTTGTTTGCTCTTGCTTCTCTAGTTCTTTTAATTGGGATGTTAGGGTGTCGATTTTAGATCTTTCCTGCTTTCTCTTCTGGGCATTTAGTGCTATAAATTTCCCTCTATATACTGCTTTAAATGTGTCCCAGAGATTCTGGTACATTGTGTCATTGTTCTCATTGGTTTCAAAGAACATCTTTATTTCTGCCTTCATTTCGTTATGTACCCAGTAGTTATTCAGGAGCAGGTTGTTCAGTTCCCACGCAGTTGTGTGGTTTTGAGTTAGTTTCTTAATCCTGAGTTCTAATTTGATTTCACTGTGGTCTGAGAGAGTTTGTTGTGATTTGTGTTCTTTTACATTTGCTGAGGAGTGCTTTACTTCCAACTATGTGGTCAATTCTGGAATAAGTGCAATGTGGTGCTGGGAAGAATGTATATTCTGTTGATTTGGGGTGGAGAGTTCTGTAGATGTCTATTAGGTCTGCTTAGTTCAGAGCTGACTTCAAGTCCTGGATATCCTTGTTAACCTTCAGTCTCATTGATCTGTCTAATGTTGAGAGTGGGGTGTTAAAGTCTCCCATTATTATTGTGTGGGAGTCTAAGTCTCCTTGTAGGTCTGTATGGACTTGCTTATGAATCTGGGTGCTCCTCTATTGGGTGCATATATATTTAGGATAGGTAGCTCTTCTTGTTGTGATCCCTTTACCATTATGTAATGGCCTTCTTTGTCTCTTTTGATCTTTGTTGGTTTAAAGTCTGTTTTATCAGAGACCAGGATTGCAACCCCTGCTTTTTTTTTGCTTTCCATTTGCTTGGTAGATCTTCCTCCATACTTTTATTTTGAGCCTATGTGTGTCAGTATGCAGAGAATTTTTAAAAATGAGGATGGGCACAGTGGCTCATGCTTGTAATCCCAACACTTTCAGAGGCCAAGGTGGGAGGATCATTTGAGGCCAGATTTTGACACCAGCCTGGGCAAGACAGAGAGACACTGCCTCTACAAAAAGTTAAAAAATTAGCCGGAGATGGTGGTGCACACCTGTAGCCTTCACTACTTTGGAGCCTGAGCTGAGAATCCCTTGAGCCCGGAGTTTGAGGTTATAGTGAGTTATAATTGCGCCACTGCACTCTAGCTTGGGGAACAGGGCAAGACTCTTGTCTCTTAAAAAAAAAAAAAAAAAAAAGGATATTGACTTTTATTTCAAAATGTTCGTATCTATTGAGATGACTAATATGTAGTTTTCCCCCTTCATTCTATTAACATGATGAATTACATTAGTTGATTTATAGATGTTAAAACAACCTTTTTTGTCCACTCATGATATATTATTCTTTTTGTATGTTGCTAGATTCTACATATTAATAGTTGATTTAGGATTTTTGTTATTTATATTTGTAAGAGACACTGGCTTGTAATTTTCCATATAATGTCCTTGTAAATTTTGAAATCATGGATATGCTGGCCCCATAAAAAAAGTTTACAAAAGTTCCTTTTTTTCCTCTTGAAGCATTTGTATAAGATTGGTATTATCTCTTTTTTAAGTGTTTAGAATAACTTACTCGTAAAGGCACCTAGGCCTGGAGATGTCAGTCTTCTTCTATTGTCTGTTTTTACTCCTAAGCTCATTTGTTGGTAAGCTTGGAAGTTTCTGTTTTGAGTGCTAGAAATTATATAGAAAAAATTGGGAGAGATTCTGCGTTATGTTATCCTCCTCTAGAGAAGATCCAATCTCTCTTTTGCAGGTAGGAGAGGGAAGATCATATCAATTCAAACATAAAGCTTGTCTGCTATTGTAGAGTTCTGTAATAATTTTCTACTGATGCAGTAAGGAAAGTACTTACTGTACTTAGTAAGTACCACATACTTAGTAATTTATAACACAAATTTATTATCTGTAATAAATCTGTTCTACAAGTTAAAATTCTCACATAGGTCTCAATGGATTATAATCAAGGTGTTGACAGGCTGCATTCCTTTTTGGAGGCTCTAGGAGAGAATACTTTCTCCATCTTCCAGAGACCACCCACATTTCTTGGCTTGTGATCCCCTTAATCCATCTTCAAAGCTAGCAATTTTACATTTCTCTGGCCATTCTCCCAGTCAAATTTACCCCGTCTCCTTCTGCCTCCCACTTCCATTTTTTAAGATTCTTATGATTACATTGGGCCCACTAGGATAATTCAGTATTATCTCCCTGTCTTGAGGTCAGGTGATTGGCAACCTTAATTCCCCTTCGTATGTTCTAGAGATTAGTACATAGACATCTGGGAGCGGGACATGATGCTGCCTACCACAGGCTCCATCTACCTCCTATTTGTACCCATTATTAGAGTATTCCCCTCTAGGTGCCCTAAGAGCCTGGGTGTTTTCCTAGGCCCCCTTCTACTTAGCAAGTACTGCACTGCAATTCTTCTCTCCAGTACCATGTGACTGGGGAAAATTGCTGTTCTTCAAATGTCTTCTGCTTCATTTCTTAAGTCTATGGTCTCGCATAGCTTGGTCAGCAAATATCTCAAAGAAAAAACCAGTGCAAGATGTTAGGCTGATTTCTCTGCATCTCTCTTCTTTCTGTGATCTTGACCCTTTAATTTCTGGCTGTCTTGGCAGCCCACATTCCAATTTCTGTCTCTCTAGCTTTATGAAATTGACTAAAGTCCCACTCATTTATCTGCCTCTTAGAAGCTATCCAATGCCTGTCTTCTCAGTCTCTTGCCTTACTTTAATGACAAATGTCCAAAGAGAAAAAGAGTGTGTGGAAAGTTGAATGCATTTCTGTAAGTGTTCCCCTCTCTAGGATCTGATTCTCAATTCCTAGATTTCTTGGCAGCTTTATAAAACCCTCAACTAGATGCCTGTTTATGCTTTATCTAGCTTTTCTCAATGGAGGTGCTGGTTTGGCTACAAGATATTCCATTATAGTCAGAAGTGAAAGGTCATGACATTCATTTAATTGTTAAAATATACTCTCATTTTCAATGACATGTATTTTAAATAAATATACTTTATTATAAAAATAAATCTGAAATAATAGGACTATTCTAATGTAGCAAGGTCAAAAAAACACATCTATTTAGTTTGAATTATTAGAAGTATATTAAATTTACATTTATATACACAACACTGTTTTGTTTTGCTCACTAGAATCATAATATACTTCATGATTTTATTACTTTTTAGTATGTGGCCAGTTACATACATTGTTAGTCATCCCTAAAGCATTTACTCAGCAGTTACTGTACATAGCACTGAATTTAGTAATGTATAAGACATAGTACTTTCTTTGGGGAAGTAACAATCTAGAACAACAAATAAGACAAACAAGTATGAAAATGATATTATAAAGTAGTATGAGAATGTATTGAAATAGGAATACAGAAAATAGTGCTATAAAGTAAAATAATGGTTAATATTTACTCCAGAAGCTGAAATCACTAAACTGCATGATAGAACTAAAAGGGACCTTAGACACCATCTAGTCTGACACTTTAATTTTATAGCTGAAGAGACCTTTGCTAACAAATTAAATGACTTATCTAAAGCAACAAATCTCATAAGTGGCAGAATGGAACTAGAACTCTGGCATCTACAGTCTTGGCTCAATGTAATTGTAAAAAAAGATGTGACCTTAGGAGAAGGGAAGAGTTGCAAGGGAAAGGGACTTGAGGTAGGGAATACAACAGATTCAAAACACGATCAGTTTAGTTGCAGCAAAGCATTTGTGTTGAAAACTGGTAGAACATAGGATTGAAGGAACAAGGGTTGATGTCATGGAGAACTTGGAATGCCAGGCTGAGTTTAGACAATGGGAATCCCTAGAGGGTTTGGGTAGTGACATGATGAAACTGCTTTATAATAAGATTAATTCTGGGGTAGAACTTAGTGTAGAAAATGTAGAAGGTAAGGCAGTGATTTTAGTAGTCCAGATGTGCAGTAAAGGCAAGGTAAATAGAAAAGAGAGGTATGAGAGAGTTTGAAGAAAGGATTGCTAAGATTTTATGACTAAATTTAATGAGATGTGATCATGTTCAGTTGGGACCATGTTAAGTTTGAAGGGATGACACTACATTTAAGTATAGAGGTACTGTAGAAAAGTAGAGACATATCAGAGTAGAGCTCAGAGAAAAGATTAGCACTCGGAATGTAAATTTGACCAAATGTCATACAAACTATTATCCATTGCTTGTCTTTACTAAGCTACAGTATTAACAGCTTTCTCCTTCAAGTTTTTAGATCAATCAAAGATAAATCCAATTTTCTACTTTAGATTACTAGATCATAGTATTTTTCACAAAGGGATAATAATATTAGCTAACAGTTTTTGAGCATTTACTATATGCTATGTACTGTACTAGGTACTTTACATATTTTGGCTCATTTAATCCTCACAACCATACTATAATCATTATTCCCATTTACAGATGAGAAAGACACACAGAGGTTTGGACATTTGCCCAATGTCATACAGCTGTCAGCAGCACAGCCAGGATATGAACTCAAGTAGTCTAGCTCTTCTTAACCACTGTACTGCTTTCACATCTAACATATATGACATCTCAGCAAATAATCATACTAAAATGGTTTAGGATTAAATTCTCCTTTATCCTACAAAGCAATCTGCAAATGTTTTAATGTACTTACTTGTAATGTATTTGTATCCCATACTTTCAGAGTTTTATCAAATGAGCTTGATGTGAACATGCCAGTGTCATGAGGATACCACTGTACAGTCTCCACACTGTATCTGTGAACATCAGGATGATCTCTACAAAACAGCAATCAAAATTTACATTAACTGACTTATGTGAGTTTCAAAACTGGTACTATATTAAGAACAAGTAGTAGTCTCAGGTAGGATGATATGAATGGCCAAACCGAGATCACATGCCTGTGTCCAAGCTGTGTAGAAGGCGAGAAAGAATGTCCAGGCATCTCTAGATTCAGGCTCCCACTGTGTGATGTAGAGACATACCTCCTACTAAGGGTCACAATGTGAAAGATTCTCTGTTTTTGTACTATATACAGCCTGGAGGCATCAGCCAACTACACTGGTCTTCTTTCATCTTGAAAGAGTGATTTGGTCTTACTGGAAGAGACAGCTGTTTTGGTTTTGGATTTGCTTTTCCAAAGTCTCATTCTATTAGCACTACTATTCTTAGAATTATTGAATGCCTCACACACCTCCATGGTATTCTATACAATATTGCTTCTTATCAAGGAACTTATTCTATGACCAAAGAATGCAACTGGTGTAGGCCCATGAGATTCACATCTTATGTAACCCACCATCCATAAAAACATAACATGTTGAAGACTCTATGACGTCAGCTACAATACACCACCTTGTGAGGGTGGTATGCTGTCCTGAAGGATGCAGTATATGCTCTGAACCAGTGACCAACATAGTGTGTTACCTAACTGGATCTTGATTCAAACAAACTGGCTTTTAAGAGAGATTTATGAGACGAAGAGGGAAATTTGAACACAGACTGGATATTTAATATAGATAATTTTTGTGTATTTAAGATAGTGGTACTGTAGTTATGCTCATAAAGTCTTTATCTTTTAGAGATATAAATAATTATGAATAAACGATAGGTTGTTCGAGATTTGCTTCAACATAATTATGAGGGTGGATGGGTGGGAGGTAGAGATGAAACAAGATTGGTTATGATGGTTGGTGAAGCTGGGTGATTGATACACAGGTCATTATACAACTCTCCAATCTTGTATATGTTTGAAATTTCCCATAGAAAACAAAAGTTAACAGAAGACTTCTGCAACCCTATGCAGATACAACCGTGATGCTTTTGGATTCCTTAAGATGAAGGTTTGGGACCTTAAAACATTTGTGGTGCTATCTGAAGGAATGAGAACACAAAGAAGGAAAGTCTTAAGTGCCAGCTCTGGCATTAAAACAGCTGCAAAAATACAAGAACTATAGTGCCTACTCATATTTCCTTTTTTTCTCTGTAAATATTCATATATTTTAACTAATTTTCTCTTTCCTCTCTTACCTTTATTATTTTTATAGGTTAACTATATCATTGAGTCCACAAATTGTATAATACTGATATAGGATAAATTAAACTAGTGGAAAAATGAACATGACCTTGAAATGGAGCCAGGTGTGGTAACTAAATCAACTTAGGATCATCACCCTTTGGGGAAGAGGATGATCACCTTTTTGGCTGTATAGTGAAGATTTGCATTAGGTTAGGCTGGAACATTTTTTTAAAAAACAGTAATTATGGGAAGAAAGGTGTATACGCATGCTGGACAGCCAAATGGGTGGATTGTAGGGAACATGTGCCTTTTTTTCTTGGCTGATGAGCATTCAAACTCCTATTTAGAGGAAATGCCCTTTGTTTTACTGAAAATAAGAGCTCTACCTCTTCTTACAGAAAGCAAGGGACTCTAGACATTCTCTTTTCCTAGGAGAGTTAGCCATTATTCAAAGCTGAGGAGTTGAGAGTCTGCGTTGGTGACATATAGCAAAACCCAAACTAATGTTCCTGTGGTGTGACCCTGACTGTGTTCTCTATCCTGACTTCTTTTGTTTTCTGCTCATTTTCTAAGTCTGATTCTCCCATCTTCCTGACAGTTATGTGAGATACTAAATATTCTTCCAATAAATTTCGCTTAAGATAAGCAGATTGATTTCCTTTTGCTCCTAAGAATATTGACTTCTACAGAGATTTTTCCAGTGATACTACTTTTAAATGAAACAAATTTTTAATGTAGTGATAACAAATAAAAGCTCACTTATATTTTAAGTTTAAATTTTAAAATAGGATATTTTATTATGTTACTATATATGTTCTGTTATTTTCATTTATATTTAATAAGAATTTTGGTAGAGGAAAGGAATCTTTTTAGTGCTCAAGGACAAACACATTAAGTATACTAATAGTAAGCATCAGAAAATAGTCTAAGTCACATTAACTTAATAATAGTCTTTATTGAAATTATTTTTAAATTGGATTGTAAATCCTTCAGATGTATAAAATGTTATTATAACTCATTTTGTAAAGATGCATACTATATGTCCATTTTCAAATTCAAAGTCACACTTTTAAATATAGAATCTGAATCCAAGAATAAAATCACAGTAAAACAAGACTGACACATTACGCATTTACTTATGTCACAAACCAAAACAAAGCAAATCACAGTTCCTCACGGAATATTATGTAGCACGTAGAATAGGTGAAAATACTATTTTGCTATGTAACAAAATAAATTTAATGTTAAAATGTTAGCTAGGATAAAAATAAGATAAAAATGAATTTAATTAATTAACATGACTTTTTTTGTTATTGAGGGTGGGAAGAGAGTATATATGGCCTAAGTCTCTAAGTTCTAGAGTATTTGAGGCGATATCTTGTTTTGTACTAAGTATTCCTGTAAGTACATTGCTTTTCACTTATGCAGTGGTTTCGGTTTTCAACACGCTTTTAAAAAGATAGTATTTCATTTAATTCTCATAGAAACGTATAAGAACCACAGGGCATGTATACTGATTTCTAAAATAAAATAATGTGAAGCTGAGATTAACTGATTTTCCCAAATTTGTATTTCTAATGCGAAACACCAGAGCCAACAAACAATAGCAAATCTCCTCCGAAATATTCCATAGCATATATTCTAATGCTTTGGGAAGAGCTGTAATAGATAGTTGATGTTAATGTTTACAAAGTTTTCCCTCTTGAAAGCATTTTCTCAGTGCCCATTCTCCCTGTTAATTCAAAGGTCTGCTCATTATCAGATTGAATGTAGGTGAAGAGAAAGGATTAAATGACCACAATGGAAAAATTACAATGTCACAAAACATTTTATTAGAGACTTAAAAAAAATTATCACAAGATTGGTAAGCCAGTAGAGAACAGTCAGAGAAGACAAGTATTACAGATGTATGTTTTTAAGTTAGACATCTTTGAGTAAGTAGAGAGACAAGACAGGGGTGAGTGGGTATATGTGTATGTGTGTGTTTGGTGAGGGAATACCAATATGTTTAGTATATCTAAACCTTTTTCTTCCATTAGTATCAGGTGAAAATCTAATTTGTGTTTATAATTAGCTGAAGGACTATAAATGAATCTTACACTAAGTGGTACTAAAAACTCTAATTAGTTACTGAGATGTGCTATGTAGGTAAAGAAAAAGAAGGACATAATCACAAGTTTTTTAAAAATAAAATACTAATGAAAATTGATACTGAAGTTGCTTTGGGGAAGACACATGTTAAAAAACTATACCTGAATGTCAGTTACTATTTTCAAGAAAGTGTCAAGGAACAGCCATGCAAATGTGTTATGTGAACCATTCGCTTGACCCATTCACTTGACTGCAATTTTCATGTTTTGCATTCGATGCAAAAAATACTCAACTATTTACAAATTCATAAATTTTTACATTTTAAATACATACCTGCCAATGGAACACACTGCTTTACATGTGTAATAAGATTGTCTGCTGGAGTTCTCAAGGTCATAAAGTACAATCACACCATCTGAACCACCTGATAACATGCTGATAATAAAAAAGTTCACATTAATTTATCATTTTATTTATTATTTAGTCCATTTATTTATGATTGCAAATTTCTAAAAACTGATTTGCAAACACTCAAATGTATTAAGGATACATTAATTTATAATAAGTTAATCCTCAATAACACAGACTTCATAAACTAAAATTTCTTAATATTTAATACAAGAATGAATATAAAAAAATTCATTCTGTGATCATTTCAAGTTTACTTCCATAACTTCAAAAAGAAAGGGTGACAGAAACAAGACGGCAAAAGAGATTTCTTAAGAAAGTAAAATATTACAAAGTTATTTTAAATGTCCTAATTATGACTATGCTAAATAAAAAAGGAATTAGACAAACCAACTATTACTGACACTTGCTATTTGGCTCTGGGCAAGTTATACCACCTGTCTAAGACTCAACATTTGTAAAGGAGGGGGACATTTTTACCTGAATCACAGTGTTGATAATAAAAGTGCAAAATTCTTTTTATAGTACCTGGCAAAAAATAGGGGCTCAATAAATGTTAGATTCCTTCCTTCTCTTATGAATGCATTCACTCAATTCATTCAACTTTAAGTTCCTACAATGTTAGACACTCTGCTAAAACAACTGTCAACAAGGCAGGCATGGTTCCTGTCTTCGCAGAGTTTACAATCCAATAGGGAAAACAAGTAGTATGCATAATCACACAAATTATTAGTTATGATTGGGATCACTGTGACAATAACTTATTTTTATTCTAGTTTGGAAATTCAGGAGCAGTTTCCCTGATTGCAATATTTAAGCTGGTATGTGAAGGATGATTCAAAGTTAGCCAGAAAGGTGTGAAAGTAACAATCCAAGCCCATTCTAGGAACCAAAAGAAGGGATTTGTTGCTGGAGCAGTGTGGAAGGGAAAGAGTGGTGAGAGATGAGAGGCAGGAGCCAAACCACTGAAGCCTTACTTTTGGGAGTAAAAGAGGGTGCTAAAAAATTAGCAGTATCTTTTTTTGGAAACAATTATTGACTCACTCTCAAGCTGGTCTATTATATTGGTAGAACCTACAAAATTATTCTATTCAAAAACTTTGCAAAAATATTTCTAAAAAGTAAAAGTAACAAGCATATATACTAAAGCTATATACATTGATTGAACTTAATAATTTGTAAAATCATTCTTGGTACTTCATATACTTTAATCAGTTTCTTAACCATATTTGTCTCTAATACTGTTACTGTGTTTTTTTAAATGGGATTTTTCAATATGATCTTATTAGTTTTTTTGGCATAAAATTGTCTAAAAATCATCTTTAAATCTGGAGTTGTTGACACCTTTAACTGACTTCCCTAAAAGCCATAATGTTTAATTTAGGAAATAACAATAGTTGATGAGGTATATGATAAGTTCAGAGAAAATTCTGCAAAATGGAGGATATTCTTGAAATGTGCAAATATTTCAGGTTATTTTCACTGTTTTTACCTTAATTCAAAGTACCTTTCTTTAGTATACTTATTTTTTTACAAGACAAAATTCTCCTTGAACAAATTCTTTATGTCTCTTTTGGAAGTTACACCAAATTTAAATATTATAAAATCTTAGACATTGTGAATGTTATTCCATTACAAAATATACATTTATCCCAATTACAAATATACATTTATCCCAATCAAAAATAGGGGAACCATCAAAAATTCTTCACAGAGATCCAAACAATGCAATCTCTCTACATCATCACTCTTTCCTTTTCACCTCAAAGTAACTCATTATCATGATTTTTATCGTAGTCACTGTCTTTCTCTTCTGTATAGTTCATAGTTCATCACCTTAGAGTGTACACATGAATATTAGCTTTGCTTTTTAAAAAAATTTTAATGTCTTTTAACTTTAAGCTATAGGTCTCCTCTACCTTTCTTCCTCCCTCCTGTACTTTTCCCCTCTCTTGTAATTTATTTGTTGCAAAAACCAGATCATTTGTCCTGTAATTTCCAGCCTGGACTTTGGTGACTGCATTCATGTGCTATAATTTAAAATAATTTCTATTTCCCATTGCTCTTTGTTGTGATGTGATATTAGCAGACAAACCAATATCTAGATCCATCAATTTATACATTTATATAAAGTGTTGCTATCTGCTAATATTATTGCTCACCGTCAATCCTTAAGTTGCTGTCTCTCTTGTCATTCTGGTTGAATGATTTCATTCTCTGGTTGATTCCTAAGGAATGGCTAATGAGAACAACAGTCTCTGAATTCTTGTGTTGTTGACAATTTATCCGTCCTTTTTGTATCTGAAATCAGTTTGGCTGGATATAAAATCCTTGACTCACATTTTATTTCCTTGAGCATCTTGGATAAGAAGCTTCATTTCTTCTGCCAGAAAGCCCAAAGTCAAAGTCTAGTGACAATATAAATCCCCCCCTCTTATATAAAGTTCCAGATCTTATTTATCCTAGAAAAGCTTTCTTGAATTATTGTTTTAATATTTATTCTGCTCTTTTGCCTTGGTTTCTTTTTTGGGAACTTCTATCATATGTTATGCTGGATCTTCTTTGCCTATGTTCTATATATACACCTCTTGAATTATTTTCCTCTGTTCATTTCTTTTTGGCTTTTAAAATTTTCCTCCTTTCTAGTTTCTATTTCTAAGGCATTACCTCTTCCATTTATTTGTGTTCTTTAAGTTTTAGTCAGTCTTCATTTCTGAAATATTTTTATTTCTAATTTTCTGAGTTTGAGCATCTCATTTCTGAGGTTTTCTAATAACTTAACATTATTCTCTCATTTATTATATGTTTATAAAACAACTTTTACCTAGTTTTGAAATATTAGGTTAGAGTTCTCATCTGTTTTATAGATACTTCTTTCCGGTGTGACTTCACTATCTGTAGCAGCTTTAGTCCACTTCTTATTCTCTTTGTTTTTATAATGATTTTGTAGGAACTTTGACCTTAATCCTATTCCTTTGCTCATTTTTATGTAAAATTAATTTTCTTAACCTTTTAGAATGGAGGCTTGACTTACAATAATGTTTAAATTTTATATATTAAAACATCCTCTTCTTCCCTTAAAAATTTTTTTTGGGGGGTAAGATTTCAAAATATGGAAGCTTACTTTCAGAGATTTCCTGTTTCTGTTCACCTTTCCAATTTTATCGGGGACATCTTTTTCCTTTGTTTCTATTGTCTCTGTACTGCTCAATTTGGATTCTATTTCCAGCAGTTTTCCTCAGTATATAGTTCTGTACTGGGGGCGCACTTTGACTGGTTAGCTCTTTGGAAAGATATTAGAGTCCAGACTGCTATAGCTCCTTCTGGTCTTACCATGGGCCACTCAAACATATCTACAATTAGAGTATGCCATCTTCTCCCAGTTTGAGCTGCTGTAGTCAAATTTGCTTGCTAAGTTTTCAACCAACCTGTTGGTTACTTTGGACTTATCCAGGTATATCAGATGCCTTATCGCTTTTTACTGCCTCCTCTAGCAAAAATGCTGGTAGTGCACAGATCTTTTAGTTGTCAGTGGTTTGTTCCCACTTATTCACAGTTTGGGGTTTGTAGGGATACTTCATGACCTAGTTTGGTTGTAAGTGTTAATCTGGTTTTTCCTATTTGCCATTTTTAGTCTCTTTATGTGTTTTAATGGAGAACTAGAGGAACATTAAAAACTGCATTGACATTGTCATCTTTCTTTCTTTTTTTCTGAGAAGAAGTCTCGCTCTGTAGCCCAGACTGGAGTACAGTGGCATGATCTCGGCTCACTGCAACCTCTGCCTCCCAGGTTCAAGTGATTCTCCTGCCTCAGCCTCCAGAGTAGCTGGGATTACGGGCACGCGCCACTGCACCTGGCTAATTTTTTCTATTTTTAGTAGAGACGGGGTTTCACCACGTTGGCCAGGCTGGTCTTGAACTCCTGACCTCAGGTAATCCGCCCGCCTCGGCCTCCCAAAGTGCTAGGATTACAGGTGTGAGCCACTGCACCCGGCCTGTCATCTTTCAAGAATGGCACCCAAACTACAGTTTTTGGCACTACATTCACTGAGTATTTTGATTGAAAGATTTTCATCTGATTTTGAACAAAATACAATTAAATGTAGAGGCAGTGCTATTTAACTCTCCAAGATAAGGAGCTTGTACCAGAAACAAACACACGTCTTTCTTCACTGAGAATGTCTTGTTACAAACATGTCTTAGCTCCTTTAAATGGTGTGTGTAATGATGTAGTAGATTTATGTTTTAGCACAAGATCCTTATCTTGTGACCCAGTCACAAATAGTTCATGAACTAGTAGCATGTATTGATTTATAGACTTGTTTTTAAGATAAATTCAATACCAATTTATAAAACAATAGGGTTAATTTAAAAGTAGTTATTTGAAGGCTCAAAAATCCAATTGATGGGCAGTAAAGAAAGACTGCTAATAATGCCCTACTTAGTTATTTTAAAAAATATTCCACATTAGCTTTATTACATTTTGTAGTTCAGTTACTCTAATTGTGTACATAGAGAAATATTTGTAAATTTTAACAACTACAACTTTTATTTAGATTGATAAAATGTTTGGACACAGTTGTGAGTTACATGTATACTACAACCAATTCCCAAAACACTTTTGCTTCGTAATTAATCTTCATGAAACGTTGCTTTTCTTGCCATACAGATGTATTATCAATATAAAACAAAATTATGTTAAAAGTTGAAATTTTAATCTTAATTGATATGGTATTTACAATAATGTCAGATGTTTTGACTCTGTTAAAATGGCTTCCAAAAGCTTTTCTCTGATTCCATTAACTTTCTATTTGAAGTATCTGATGGCACTGACATTAACTATGAGATACTTTTTGCTGATAGAGTATGAAGAGATATGGTTTCATGTTTTTATATAGACAAGAAAACTTAGTATTAAAGATGAATGAAATTAACTTAGAAGAATTTAAAAGGTATAAAAGAAAATTCAAGCTTCACAGAGTGATACGCAAATGCACCCTCTGCAGTTGCACCTGTTAAACTGTAATTTTCAGATACTTTTTGTAAAATAACACCTTACTTTGAAAATCTCTGCCAGATTTGTGTATTCTGTCTGGTTTCCAATCTGATTTTCAGTGACACCTTTACAGCTCTCATGGTGGATGGTAAATATTAACAGGTGTTTTGAACAAGTTATATACACATCGATTTTTTTAGTTTTCCACAGAATGTACGCTTTCCTTTTAATATCTCTTGTTGCTATCAAAAGGGGTTAATGCAAAATACAAGTCTTAGCAAACAATGAAATAGTTGTAGACTTTTACCGTGCAATAAAGCGGAAAATCACTGTAGCAAGAGTCTTCAGACTTTTCTCTATGTGCTGTATTAAAAGATGCCTCATCTGCATTTCTCAAATATATTTCATGCACATATAATCTGTAACTTCCCATATTTCTCACCAACTCTGCCAACTGGTAGTCTACTGGCTTCTCATACATCACAGGCCACACAACTGATTACTACACCAAGTGGCTGGCTGGAGTAACAGTATTGATTACTTTCCTGACCAGCATCCAAACCCAAAAGTCAGCTATCTCCTGCTGCTCATGTCTGCATGTTTCATAAGTGAGTGCCCCCCCAGCTGTCCTTGAATAGAAGGTGTTACACTGAGCCTGGAAAAGGTCAGGAAAAAGAAAAGAATTATTACTCATCTTTTAGATTTAACCACATGCTAAAGTAAGATGTTTCTCATATACTAGTAGATGAGACCATGGTGGAAGCTGGAAGTAAAAAGTGGAAGTTTATCAAATCTGTTCTGACTTGACTTAATGTATTAATAATAATATTTCAGTATAAAATAAAAATTCTGGGGGAAATGCTAAACATACCATAACACCAAAAACTGTTTCCTTTAGTTAATGCTATATGTGGCCTAATTATAGGCCACATGAAACATACCATAACACAAACTGCTTCCTTTAGTTAATGCTATATGTGGCCTAATTGTAGGCCACATGAAAGGTTTTGTACGGTCTTTTAAGAGTAATGCAGTGTTATGACGAATTGTAAGTAGGAGAATATGTTCAGAATTGAGTTTTTCAAAGCATTTTGGCTGCTGTGTAGAGACTGGGCTGAAAGGAGTAAAAGTATATGTAATACTGCTTTTGATTAATAGTGGCAGCAGTGGTGGCAACTGTTTATGACGTGCCAGGTCTTACGTTAATCATGTTGTGCATATTATCTCAATCTTCAAAACAAGCTTGTTAGGTAGGTACTATTGTTCCCATTGTATAGCTAAGGCAACTGATAATTCGAAAGGTTAGGTAAGGGTAAAGCCAGGAAGAACTCAAATATAATTCTTATTTGTTTCTAATCTAATTCTTCAAAAGAGTCTTTCACTTTTTATATTTATTTTACCATTAGACTTTTTTGAGAGTAGCAACTATGTTTTAAAATAGCACCTAAAGACACATTCTAGCACCTAAAAGCCCTCTGCATCCAAAAGAAGTTCAATGTTTGTTAATTTAACAATAAGTAAATATTTATATTAAAGTAGCTTGGAAATGTTTATTTGACAACATTTGGTAGGTTCGATGTTTTGTATTTACTTGAAATTAATAATGCCAGATTCAAAAATGCTACAATTTAGGATTTTCATTAATTTTAATGAAACTTCTACATCATTAATTTGAAAAAGCAGGTTTTACTGCATTTCACTTAGAAAGAAAAATGATTATACAAGTATAATAAACTTACTATCTCCCTTCAACAGGTTCAATGTCAAGGGTGTTAATTCCACCGCCGTGGATTCTTTCAACATCTCTGTCTTTATTTAATTCCAGTCCCAAAACTCTTAAAAATAAAAGGGGGAGAAAGAAATTAACAAGTAATTTAACATTTAAAAATTTCTTATTTAACCAAGATTACTTATGGTACAAAAATCACAAGAAATGTCTAAATCTTCTACCACACATCCTAACGTATTTATAGATTTTTAGACATCTTGTATAAATGTTTAAAATATCAGCAGTAGTAACAATTACATGCAAACTTTTAAAGGTATTTAAAGACGGAAATTTGTACGAAAAAAGTTAAATTCTGATAAATGTAGCTGAGGACATCTAATGGACAAAAGCATAAATTACAGGATTAAAAAAATTCCTTGAAATGTTTCTTAAAGACGGACAGAAATAAAAAATGAGTATGGGCTGGGTGCAGTGGCTCATGCCTGTAATCCTAGCGCTTTGGGAGGCTGAGGTGAGAAGACTCCCTGAGACCAGGAGTTGGAAAGCACCCCAGGCAACATAGCGAGACCCCATCTCTACAAAAAATAAAATAAAAATAAGCTGGGCATGGTGGTGGGCTCCTATGCAGGAGACTGAGGCAGGAGGATTGCTTGAGCCCAGGAGTTCAAGGATGCAGTGAGCCATAATCACTTCATTGCACTCCAGCCTGGGTGACAGAGTGAGATCCTGTCTTAAAAGAAAAGAGACTATGTTCAACTTAACATTTATGTGTATTTAAATAAAGCCACTTAAATATCAATACAAATAATTAACAAGTACTCTCACAAACTAAGACAAATGACATTTCTGATATTTTATAACTGTAAACCATCATTATCCTGGTGAGCATATTATTAAGATTAAATGAGTTTGTATATAAAAGGTGCTAATTACAATGCCTAGTACATTGTAAGTATCTAGCGAATATTAACTATTTGAATCTCTCTTAATCTGTTGGCTGTTATTAGCATCTACACTAATTTAACCAGAATTATTTCTAAATTCATTATTGATTAAAATAATGCTAGTTTAAATATCAAATTATAAATTTTTGGCCTATAAAATTATCAGTTTTTTAAAAAGATAACAATGCACAATGCTGGAAAGGCATAAACTGATACTTTCATTCATTGACATTAGTACAAGTAATTATAAGCATTTTGGAAATCATTTTAGCAGTATAAAGTATCTGATTTGAAGATATACATGGCCCTTTGTCTTCTAGACATTACATATAGTACAACAATGACAAGCAGGCCAGGCGCAGTGGCTCATGCCTGTAATCCTAGCACTCTGGGAGGCTGAGGTGGGCGGATCACCTAAGGTGAGGAGTTCGAGACCAGCCTGGCCAACATGGCTAAACCCTGTCTCTACTAAAAATACAAAAATTAGGCTAGGTGCGGCGGCTCATGCCTGTTATTCCAGGACTTTGGGAGGCCGAGGATCACAAGGTTACAAGATTGAGACCATTCTGGCCAACATGGTGAAACCCCGTCTCTACTAAAAATACAAAAATTAGCTGGGCGTGGTGGCCTGTGCCTGTAATCCCAGCTACTTGGGAGGCTGAGGTAGGAGAATCACTTCAACCTGGGAGGCGGAGGTTGCAGTAAGCCGAGATCACACCACTGCACTCCAGCCTGGGTGATAAGAGCAAGACTCCGTCTAAAAACAAAAACAAAAACAAACTAAAAAATGAGCCAGGCCTAGTGGCGTATGCCTGTAATCCCAGAGGCTGAGGCAGGAGAATCGCTTGAACCCAGGAGGCAGAGGTTGCAGTGAGCCGAGATCGCGCCACTGCACTCCAGCCTGGGTGACATTTATTGCAATACATCTATATACATTGCAATTTAGCCTTAGGTTTAAATATCCAGACAAACAGTAATGAGTTATCTGACTTTGATCAATAACAATAACAGCTAATATAAAAAGCCAGGCCGGGCATGGTGGCTCATGCCTGTAATCCCAGCACTTTGGGAGGCCAAGGAGGCCGGATCACTTGAGGTCAGCGATTCAAGATCAGCCTGGCCAACATGGTGAAACCCCGTCTCTACTAAAAATACAAAAAAATTAGCCAGGTGTGGTGGGGCATGCCTATAATCCCAGCTACTCAGGAGGCTGAGGTGAGAAAATTGCTTGAACTCAGGGGACGGAGGTTGCAGTGAGCTGAGATCATGCCACTGCACTCTATACTCCAACCTGGGTGACAAAGCAAGCAAGACTCCGTCTCAAAAAAAAAAAAAGCCTACTACTCATTGTAATAGGTAGTAATAAGAAGTGTAATAAGTGGTAGTCCCAGGAGTGGTGATTATTATTAAATGCATCTCCTGATTATAAGATTAATAGAAGAGTAATTTGCCCAAGGTCACACAGCTAATATTTGGCTGAGCCGCATTTGAACTTTAACATTAAATTTTTTTTTAAATTTACTTTTAGAGACAGGGTCTTCCTCTGTCACCCAGGCTGGAGTGCAATGGCAAAATCATAGTTCACTATAGCCTCAAACTCCTGGGCTTAAGGGATCCTCTTGCCTCAGCCTCCCAAATAGCTAGGACTACAATTGCATGTTACCACACCTGGCTAAGTTTTGGTATTTTTTTGCAGAGATGAAGTATTGCTATGTTGCCCAGGCTGGTTTGGAACTCCTGGCCTCAAGCAATCCTCTCACCTTCACCTCCCAAAGTACTGGGATTACAGGTGTGAGCCACCACATTCAGCCCTGAACTTTGACATTCTTTCCCCAGACCACTATGCTGTTCTGTCATTTCTGAACTTCAATATTTCATCAAAACTTTTTTTTTCATATTTTTCCATTGAAATTGCCATTTTTCTGAAAATATTTTTCCATATGATCATTTTTCAAATTACAACAGAATATATGCTCTTTGTAACAAGTAAAAACAGTATCATTCAAACATGTATAAAGGTAATCATCTTTTCCTTCAGCTCCCTCTTCCTAACAGTAAGAAGCATGGCTCCCAGTAAGAAGCATGGCTCCCATTACTACCAATATATTTATCAATCCCCTGTATGTAACCAATCTCCCATCTCCACTACCATCCCCTCCCCCAACAGCTTGGGCTCTGATTTCTGTCTCCTCTAAAATCCTTATCACCTAAATTTGTATGTCCCCACAATTAAACTACTTCCTCAACCTGCTCAGGCTCTGAAATTCCACTCTAGGAAACCTAATCCCATACTAAGTGAGAAAGCTTACCTCTGCCCAACATAATGACTTCAGGACTGAATTGTCTGTGAACTAGAAGGAGAGTTTAAGATGAAGGGAAAAGGGCAATAATACTATAAAGGGAAAGAGAGGTGGGGAGTGGCAGGAGACAAGGTGTACAAAACATAGGTTAACATAGCAGGCCTGAGACGGCTACCCTTAAAAAGTTCTGCTTGCAAGATTGGCTCTTGGTTACAGTCTGGGATTTCAGGAGGGTGCCCACCATGACTGGATAAGAATGGCTCACTGTGCCTAAACTATTTGAGAAAATAATGTGCTTTATGATGAATACCTGCTCTACTTTTGGGAGTCTGGAATTTTGGTACATGCTAGATAGAGGGTGCCTTTATGAACGGTACCCAGTAAAAACCTTCAACATTGAGTCTCTAATGAGCTTCCCTGATAGACATTTCACATATGTTGTCACAATTTGTTGCTAAAGGAATAGAGTGTGTCCTGTGTGACTCCACTAGGAAAGGATTCTTGGAAGCCTGTGCCTGGTTTCCTCCACACTTTGCCCATGCACCTATTCCCTTTGCTGAGTTTATCTTGTATCTTTTCACTGTAATAAATCACAGTCATGAGTAATTGAGTCATAATTAAATGCTGAGTTCTCAGCCCTTCTAGAAAATCATAAAACCTGGGGATGGTCTTGAGGACTTCCCCCAACACAATGGCATAGGAGTAGAGGGAAAAGAGAAGGGAAAATGGGCAAGGAGAGAGGAAAGAGTAGACACATAAAGGAGGGAGGGTAAAAAGGGAAAGAGAAGAGGGAAGGCAGAAGAGCCTGGGGTAGAAGGGTAAGGACAAAAAGCAAGCCCTGGTGTCTTTTAAAATCACCTTTCCAATCTCTTTTTTATATAAAAGCATTGCTTACTGGTTATTAATAGCTAGCATTCACTTGGCTTAGTTCGTTTCCATGCCAAACTGATTGTTAAATATTTTATCAGTCTCTTGCTTCTTCTATGGCACATGCTTGCCCAAATTTCCTATTTAATTTCAGTTTTTACCTTTTATTTTTGTTTTAATGTTTTAAATGGCTTTTATAGGATGTATATTATATGTATGTATATCTATGTATGCATTTTTTCCTTTTTTTTCTTTTTTTTTTTTTTTTTTTTGAGACGGAGTCTCACTCTGTCACCCAGGCTGGAGTGCTGTGGTGCAATCTCGGCTCACTGCAACCTCCAACTCCCAGGTTCAAGTGATTCTCCTGCCTCAGCCACCTGAGTAGCTGGGATTATAGGCATCTGCCACCACACCTGGCTAATTTTTGTATTTTTAGTAGAGATGGGGTTTCACCATGTTGGCCAGGCTGGTCTCAAACTCCTGACTGCAGGTGATTCACCTCCTTGGCCTCCCAAAGTGCTGGGATTACAGGTGTGAGCCACCATGCCCAGCCCCTGTATTTTCTATCTACTATATATTACTTAGTTTTTGTTTTACTTTTTTGAATTTTTAGAATTTTTTATTTATCAATAGGTTTTGGGGGGAACAGGTGGTGTTTGGTTACATAAGTTCTTCAGTGGTGATTTCTGAGATTTTGGGGTACCCATCACCCAAGCAGTACATACTGTACCCAATGTGCAGTCTTTTAACCTTCACCCCACTTCCACCCTTTCCCCCGAGTCCCCAAAGTCCACTGTATCATTCTTATGCCTTTGTGTCCTCCATAGCTCAGCTCCCACTTATGAGTGAGAACATACAATATTTGGTTTTCCATTCCTGAGTTTCTTCACTTACAATATGGTCTCCAATTCCACCCAGGTCACTGTAAAAGCCATGATTTCATTCCTTTTTATGGCTGAGTAGTATTCCATGATACACACACACACACACACAACCACATTTTCTTTATCCACTTGTTGATTGATATGCATTTGGGCTGGTTCTATATTTTTGCACTTGCGAATTGTGCTGTTATAAACATGCATGTGTGAGTATCTTTTTTGTATAATGACTTCTCTTCTACTAGGTGGATACCCGGGAGTGGGAATGCTGGATCAAATGGTAGTACTACTTTTAGTTCTTTAAGGAATCTCCACACTGTTTTCCATAGTGGTGGTACTAGTTGACATTCCCACTGGCAGTGGAAAAGTGTTCCCTTTTCACCATATCCATGCCAACATCTACTATATTTTGATTTTTTGATTATGGTCATTCTTGCAGGACTAAGGTAATATCACATTGTGGTTTTGATTTGCACATCTCTAATCACTAGTGATGTTGAGCATTTTGTCATATTTGTTGGCCATTTGTATATCTTCTTTTGAGAACTGTCTATCCATGTCAGCCCACTTTTTGTTGGGATTGTTTATCTTTTTCTTGATTTGAGTTCCTTGAATATTCTGGATATTAGTCCTCTGTTGGATGTATAGGTTGTGAAGATTTTCTTCCACTCTGTGGGTTGTCTGTTTACTCTGCTGATTATTTCTTTTGCTGTGCAGTTTAATTAAGACCTATCTATTTATCTTTGTTTTTGTCGTGTTTGCTTTTCGGTTCTTGGTCATGAAGTCTTTGCCTAGGCCAATGTCTAGAAGGGTTTTATCAATGTTATCTTCTAGAATTTTTATGGCTTCAGGTCTTAGATTTAAGTCTCTGATCCATCTTGAGTTGATTTTTGTAGAAGGTGAGAGATGAAGATCCATTTTCATTTTCCTCCATGTGGCTTGCCAATTGTCCCAGGACTATTTGTTGAATAGGGTGTCCTTTCCCCACTTTAGGTTTTTGTTTGCTTTGCTGAAGATCAGCTAGCTGTAAGTATTTGGCTCTACTTGTGGGTTCTCCACTCTGTTCCGTTGGTCTATATGCCTATTTTTATTACCACTAGCATGCTGTTTTGGTGACTATGGCCTTATAGTATAGTTTGAAGAAGGGTAAGGTGATGCCTCCAGATTTGTTCTTTTTGCTTAGTCTTGTTTTGGCTATGCAGGCTCTTTTTTCCTAGTTCTGTGAAGAATGATGGTGGTATTTGATGGAAGTTGCATTGAATTTGTAGATTGTTTTTGGCAGTATGGTTATTTTCGCAATATTGATTCTACCCATCCAAATGTAGAATTTAGCTGTGTTTCCATTTGTTTGTGTCATCCATGATTTCTTTCAGCAGTGTTTTGTCTTGTAGAGGTCTTTTACCTCCCTGGCTAGGTATATTCCTAAGTATTTTATTTTTCTTTTTTGAAGCTATTATAAAAGGGGTTGAGTTTTTGATTTGATCCTCAGCTTGGTCACTGTTGGTGTATAGCAGAGCTACTGACTTGTGTATGTTAATTTTGTATCCTGAAACTTCGCTGAATTCATTTACCAGTTCTAGGAGCTTTTTGGATGAGTCTTTAGGGTTTTCTAGGTATACAATCATGTTATCAGTAAACAGCAACAGTTTTACTTCCTCTTTACTGATTTGGGTGTCCTTGATTTCTTTCTCTTGTCTGATTGCTCTGGCTGGGACTTCCAGCACTATGTTGAATAGAAGTGGTGAAAGTGGGCATCCTTGTCTTGTTTCAGTTCTCAGGGGGAATGCTTCCCAACTTTTCCCCTTTCAGTATAATGTTGGCTGTGGGTTTGCTATAGATGGCTTTTATTACCTTAAGGTATGTCACTTCTATGCTGATTTTGCTGAGGGTTTTAATCATAATGGGATGCTGGATTTTGTCAGATGCTTTTTCTGCATCTATTGAGATAATCATCTGATTTTTGTTTTTAATTCTGTTTGTGTGGTGTATCACCTTTATGGACTTGCATATGTTAAACCATCCCTGCATTCCTGGTATGAAACCCACTTGATCATGGTGGATTATATTTTTTATATGCTGCTGGATTTGGTTAGCAAGTATTTTGTTGGGGGTTTTTGCATCTATGTTCATCAGGGATGTTGGTCTGCGGTTGTCTTTGTTCTTTCCTGGTTTTGGTATTAGCATGATATTGGCTTCACAGGAGGATTTAGGGAGGAATCCCTCTTTATCTTTTGGAACAGTGTCAATAGGATTGATACAAATTCTTCTTTGAATGTCTGATATAATTCAGCTGTGAGTCTGTACCTAAACTTTTTTTGGTAACTTTTTTATTACCATTTCAATCTCATTGCTTGTTGCTGGTCTGTCCAGGGTTTCTATTTTTTCCTGGTTTAATCTAGGAGGGTTGCGTATTTCCAGGAATTTATTCATCTCCTCTAAGTTTTCTAGTTTATGTGCATAAAGATGTTGATAGTAGCCTTGAATGATCTTTTGTATTTCTGTAGTAAGGGTTGTAATATCTCCCATTTTGTTTCTAATTGAATTTACCAGATCTTCTCTCTTCTTTTGTTGGTTAATCTAGCTAATGGTCTATCAATTTTATTTATCTTTTGAAAGAACCAGCTTTTTGTTGCATTTATCTTTTGTGTTTTGTTGTTGTTGTCCTTTCAATTTCATTTATTTCTGCTCTGATCTTGGTTATTTTTTTTCTTCTGTTGGGTTTGGGTTTGGTTTGCTGTTTCTCCAGTTCCTTGAGGTATGCCCTTAGATTGTCTGTCTGTGCTGTTTCAGACTTCCTGAGGTATGCATTTAATGATATGAACTTTCATCTTAGCACCACTTTTGCTGTATCCCAGAGGTTTTGACAGGTTGTGTCACTATTATCATTCAGTTCAAAGAATTTTTTAATTTCCATCTTGATGTCAGGTATTCTATGTCAATTTTTTGTATTTATGTGAATCCTTTTCCCCTAAGGTGTGTGATCCTTTGGGGGTGTTAAACAACCTTGTTTTATCATATTACCAGAATTGTTTTTCTGATTACTTCTCATTTGGGTAGACTATGTCAGAGGGAAGATCTGGGACTCAAGGGCTGCTCTGCAGATTCTTTTGTCCCACGAGGTGCTCCCTTGATTTGGTGCTCTCCTCCTTCCCCTAAGGTTGGGGCTTCCTGAGAGCCAAACTGCAGTGATTGTTATTTCTCTTTTGGATCTAGCCAACCAGCAGAGCTACTGGGGTCTGGTTGGTACAGGGCAGTTTCTGCAAAGAGTCCTGTGATGTGATCTGTCTTCAGGTCTCTCAGCCGTGGATACCAGCACCGGCAACCGTAGAGGCAGCAGGGGAGTGAAGTGGCCTCTATGAGGGCCCTTGGTTGTATTTTTGTTAAATGTACTGGTTTTGTGTTGGTTGGCCTCCAGCCAGGAGGTGGCACTTTCAAGAGGGCATCAGCTGCAGTAGTATAGAAAGGATACATGCTTGCCCTAGGGTTAGGTGGTGGGCAGGCCGATAGAGCTCCCAGGAGATTATGTCTTTTGTCTTCAGCTACCAGGGCAGGTAGAGAAAAACCATCAGGTGGGAGCAGGGTTAGGCATGTCTGAGCTCAGATCTCCTTGGGTGAGGCTTGCCGCTGCTGCTGTGGTAGATGGGGGCATGGTTCCCAGGCCAATGGAGTTATGTTCCCAGGGGGATTATGGCTGCCTCTGCTGTGTCACACAGGTCACCAAGGAAGTTGGGGAAGGCCGGCAGCCAAAGGCTTCACCCAGCTCCCATGCAACCTACAGCCTAAAGGGCTGGTTTCACTCCCACTGCGCCCCTACAACAGCTCTGAGTTTATTTCCAGCAGGGCTGAGGACTTGCCCCAGGCTTTAAGCCACCCAGCTGAGAAAGCCAGCCAACTCACAGTTCCTTGGCTGTCCCACAGTGCCTGCAGCGGCAATCCACTTCCTTCAAAGGGTCTGTGGATCCTCTCCGCTTTCCTGGAGCGTTCCTGTGGTAGTTCTTATAGCAAAAGTTCACGATATGCATCTCCATACACTGCTCTGTCCATCTGAGTGGGAGCTGCCAAGTTAGTCCTGCCTCCTATACACCATTTCCTCTCATTCTCCTCTGTTTTAGTGTCTTAAGATGGCTACATATTCTTTTTGTTCAATGAGTTAATATGTATGCGTGTGTGTGTGTGTGTATACATACATACATACATACATACATATATATATATATATATATATATATATATATATATATTTTATTTTTTTTTTTTTTAGGTTACGAAGTTTCATTGAATATAAGTTTCTCTGGGTCCCCTAAGTTGTAGAAGTGGTTATTCTCCTTTTCCTTGATTTCCAACTTGTAACTTCAATTTTCATTTCATCTTTGATTCTGGAGTTTTCTGAAATGTAATTATGAATTTCCAAAACATGAGGTGGTGGTGATGTTACCATGAATTATTTCCAGTTTCTATACCTTATGATCAAAGAATGTGGCCTGTAAGATAGCTACCTTTTTGAATTTTTTTTTTTTTTTTTTTTTTGAGACGGAGTCTCGCTCTGTCGCCAGGCTGGAGTGCAGTGACACTATGTCGGCTCACTGCAACCTCTGTCTCCAGAGTTCAAGCGATTCTCCTGCCTCAGCCCCCCGAGTAGCTGGGATTACAGGCGTGTGCCACCACACCCGGCTAATTTTTGTATTTTTAGTAGAGACGGGGTTTCACCATGTTGGCCACGCTGGTCTCGAACTCCTGACCTCAGGTGATCCACCTGTCTCGGCCTCCCAAAGTGCTGGGATTACAGGCGTGAGCCACAGCGCCCGGCTGAATTTGTTAAAGTTTGCTTAGTGGCCAAGAACAATTTTGGTAAATGTACCACTGACTTACAAAAAGTATGTACGTTCTCCACTTAAGGGATGTAAAGTCATGTATCTACTAAATCTAGTTTGTTGTTTCTTCATTTCCTCCATATATATGTAGCTTTATATAATGTCCTTCTTTAAAATGTTTGGTGCTTTTAACCTTAAATCTTACCTTACCTAATATTCGTAGTGATGTCCACATTTTGTTTACAGTTGTCTGATCTCTCTTTATCCTTTAACTTTTTAACTATTCAAGAATTTTGTAAAGTATTTTAAAATATTTTAACTTAATGTATTTATGAGAAACAGCTTTTAGCTTTATTTGTTTTAAAAATTAATCTGATAATATATGCTTCTTAATGGAAGAAATCAGCCTGTTCACCTTTGTTATGACATCTGATATACTTGGTATTATTCCTTCTTTACTTAATGTCATGGTTTCTTCTTTTACCTTTACTTTTGCTAGTTTAATGAAGTTGCTATTCATTTCCATCTTGTCAATTGAGAAGTGTCTAAAAAAAATTTCGCAGCCATATTATATATTTCCAGCTTGTTTATTATTATATATTTACATTTAATCATACACATACTGCAAGGTTCATAGGTTTCCTCTCCTCTTCATCTTTAATGTTCCTTCGGATTTCATTCAAATACATTTGGTTTTTGATTAACGTTCTTTCCTAATTTTTTTCCTGAAGGGAAATTGGGTAAAATATTTCTATGGACCTTAGCACAAAGATATTTCTTCTGATAGACTGGTTTGTTTGGATTCCCCGGTTGCAATACTTCTTTTTTTTAATTTTTAGATAACTTTTAGTTGCTTTTTGAGACAGAGTCTCGCTCTGTCACCCAGGCTGGAGGGTGGCACAGTCTCAGTTCACTGCAACCTCCACCAAGAGATCCTCGTGCCTCAGCCACGTGAGTAGCTGGGATTACAGGCACCTGCCACCGCACCCGGAGCACGCCCGGCTGATTTTTGGATTTTTAGTAGAGATGGGGTTTTGCCATGTTGCCCAGGCTGGTCTCGAACACCTGAGCTCAAGTGATCCACCTGCCTTGGCCTCCCAAAGTGCTGGGATTACAGGCTGCAATACTTCTTTCTTGTTAGTAGGTATCATTCCAGTGTTTTCTAGTCTCTAGAACTACTGATGAGATGTTTTACCTTTATGAATGGTAAATTCTTTACCATTAGAAGCTTTTAATAATATTTTCTTCATTGCTAGATAAATTTACTAGGTATACATACTTTTATGTCTTTTTTATCAATCTTGTCTGGACTTCAGTGAGCCCTTTGAGTCTATGAATCCAGATCTTTTGCAATTCTTTTTCTTTATTACTATTTGTTTTGTTCTCCCTCTGGAACTATTATTGTCTGCTAGATCTTTTGAATCTACCCTCCTAATCTCTTATCATTTTCATTACTGGTCTTTTAATTCTTGTTTTATGAGTTGTGATATTTAATTTGATAATTTCATTCATTATTCAATACTTCAGTTCTGGGTAATACTACTATAAAAACTAAACAAAATGCAGAGACAGCTACTTGAGGACTCTGAAAAGTAAACAGCCACAGACAATCCCATGACAGAAATGGCTATGGCTACGCATAGTGGCCTGCAGAAGCCAGAACTCTGAGGAAGGGAAATTGTTTTCTCTGTTCATCAGAGTCCCGATCCCAAGAGGGTAGGGACAATCCCTGTTGTTTATTGCCTCTCTTCTCACTTCTGAGCCCAGACTTGGGCCTAAACTTGGAAGCGTATGGCAGAACAGGGTAACTGAACCCTAAAGTTTCTGGCTAGATGGCCAAAACAGGGAGTCCCAGAGAACTGGGAAGCATCCAGGAGATCACAGAGAAGAAGGAGCTCAGGAAAGTGATCCCATAAAGTTGTTTATAAACTCCAGAACTCATCCCTGAGTGAGGCATGCATAGATCTAACCCTGAGTCGTATACAAAGGATTTTGAAAATTGAGCTAATCACTCAGGTCACAGTCTGACCATTGAATGGCATACACCTGGGGAAGATCTGAAGAGACTTTGAAAACTGAGCTAACATTAAAACTACAGTCCATAAGTAGGTAGGTTCTTGTAGCCTGAACCTAATCTTGCTAATTAAATGTTAAAACAAAAATATCAACATTCTTCATAGGATCAAAACAAGACCCAGAGTATTCAAAATGTCCAGGATGCAAATCCAAAATTTCCCTGCATATAAAGAACCGTGAAAATTTCAACTTGCATGGGAAAAGACAAACAAAACAAGCCAAAGCTGAGATGACACAAGTGTTGAGATTATCTGATAAAGACTTCAAGGCAACCATTGTAAAATGCTTGAACTTGAGCAACACTGGCATGGTGGCCCGAGCCTGTAATCCCAGTGACTCTTGTGAAGCTGAGGCAGGGGGACTGCTTCAGCCTAGGAGTTCAGGACCAGCCTGGGCAAAACAGTGAGGCCTCATCTCTAAAAATAAAAAAAAAGCTTGAGTAAGCCATTGTGCACACACTTGAAACAGATGTTAAAACAGAAAGTCTCAGCAAAGAAATAGAAGACATAAATAAAAGCCAAATGGAAATTTTAGTTTTCAATATAAAATTATTTTAACTTAATGTATTCACTAACAGATTGGAGATGGCAGAGGAAAAAATCTGTGAACTTGAAGATAGATCCATTAAAATTATACAATCTAACAATATAGAGGAAAAAAGATCGAAGGGAAAAAGAACAAAGCCTTAGGGATCAGAGGAACAATTATAAAAGGACTAACATTTTTGTCATTGGAGGTCTAGAAGGAGAAGAGAAAGAGTGTAGTGTTGAAAAAACATTGGAAAAAATGGCTGGAAAGTTCCCAAGTTTATGGAAAGATATAAGTCTACAAGTTCAAGAAGCAGAATGAACCCTAACTAGGATAAATCCAAAGAGATCTGCAACCAGACACATCATAATTAAACTGCTGAAAACTAAAGACGAAGTCTTCAAAGCAACCAGAGAAAAATGATAAATTACCTATAGGAAAACAATGATTTGAATGGCTGCAGATTCCTTTTCAGAAACCATTAGACCTACTCTAAAAAAATTGATAAACTATATTCTTCAGAGACAAGAAAAAGATATAAGAAGGAAATTTGAGGCATCAGGAATAAAGAGACAGCAACAGAAATAACTATCTGGTTAAATATAATGGCTACTTTTTTCCTTAAAATATGATTGATGGTTGGAAAAAATTATAATGTCTGATAGAGTATATAATGTATGTAAATATAAAATATAAGACAACAATATATATATGGTGCAGGGGAAAGGGTGATAAGGTTTCTATATGCCAAATGAAGCAGTAAAACAATGAAATGATCCGAAGTAGACAACGAAAAGTAAGTATTTTATAATTCCTAGAGCAGCCACTAAAGAATTATACAAAAAGATATAGTCAAAACCATAGTATATAAAATAGAATACTAAATAATGTTCAAACAGTCAAATGAAAGCAGGAAAGGGGAAACATAAATATGGAGCAGCTAGCACTCTCACCTATTAGTGGTGGGACTGGAAAATGCTTTTGGAAAACTGTCAGTTTCTTAAAAAGTAAAGGATTTATCTAGTAGCTCCACTGTTATGCATTAACTTCAGAGAAATAAAAGCATATGTTCATACAATGACTCATACATGAATTTTCAGAGCAGCTGTAAATGTATTAGTCCTGAACTGGAAACAACTCAGATGTCCATCGACAAGTGACTAGATAAACTGTGGTATATCTGCACAGTGGGATACTCCACAGCAAAAAAAAGGAATTGATACATGCAATAACATGGAGAAATTTCAAAATAATGTAATTATGCTGAGTGAAAGAAGCCAGACAAAAAAGATTCCATTTATATAAAATACTAGATATGCAAACTAATCTATAGTGACCTAAAGCAGATTAGTAGTTTCTAGAGAAGGAAGAGGGTAAAGCAGAGAAAGAAGGGAGACAGGGATTATAAATGACCGTCAAAAATTTTTTAGGGTTATGGATGTTCTCTTGATTATGGTAATGGTTTCAAAAGTAAATATATGTCAAAATTCATCAAATTGTATATTCTCATTTAATGTGCAGGGTATTGCATGTCAATTATACCTCAATAAAGTTGTAAAATGTTTTTTTAGAGGGTGTAAACTGTGAACACTGCATATCAGTGTTCATCCTTTTGCTCTTACATGATGACAAGGAAGAACAGTAGACATCTCCTATGAATAAAATGGAACTATATAATTGTTTAAGCAAAAACATCACTTAATGATGGAAATATTTTTAAAAAAATTTTAGGCTGTGTGGTAGCTCGCACATATAATCCCGGCACTTTAGGAGGCAAAGGCAGGAGGATCACTTCAGCCCAGGAGTTCAAGACCAGAATGGGAAACATAGGGAGACCCCATCTCTACGAAAAATTTAAAAATTAGCTAGGTGTGTGGGCACATGTCTGTGGTCCCAGCTACTTAGGAGGATGAGATGGGAGGATCATTTGAGCCTGGAAAGTCGAGGCTGCAGTGAGCTGTAACTGCACCACTGCATTCCAGCCTGGGTGACAGAGCAAGACCCTGCCTCAAAAAAAAAATATTTTTTTAATTTTTAAATACTTTATTTGTCTTAAACGTATAAGCAATCCTCACTTGGCACAGTCTGATATGAATTTCAGTTACCACAGTTTATTAACCGTGAGAAATAGCATAAAAGTTTGCTACTAGCTTTTCAGTTCACAAATCATTACATAAATAACATATGAATCAAAATTGACCAATTTGCAATTTTACTTCTTTCAAAGTCTATGGGTGATTGGTCACTGTGCATCTGTTATTCAGTTCACACACAGGCTGCAAAGCATGGAGGTTTGTTATTAATATTTCTGTGCCCTTGAGATAAACCCACATGGAATTTTACAGATTAAAAGAGGAAATTGGCCAAAAGAATGAAAGTGCACTAAAGAAGAGTGATAATACTAGAAGTGAAACTTGCATTAAACATAAATGGAGCAAATGAAAAAAAAGCTGCCTGTGGGAACATGCTGATTGTGGCAACAATGACACTGCCGCCATTTGAGACATTCTAGATATGCAGACTGAGGAAATCAGTGAAGGTGAACTTATAGACATAAATGAGGAAAAGTGATTGTGATGAAAGGCTGATGATGTGTCAGAGGAAGTGACACTGGCAAAAAAAACACATTAAAGGAACTCTCAGAGATATTTCACAACATTGAAAACGTAATGGATAAAATGTTGGAAACTAATATTTAAATTTCTCCAGAACGCAGAACTCATAAGCAACTGTGTTCTCCAAGTAAATATCTTCACAGGTTCCTCAATTAATGTGGGCAAAATTAAAAGTACAACTTGCTTCTTCCCTTTGGAAAACCCTCTCTCAGAGTATATTACCAACATTCAACTTCTTATACAAGGCATAGATCTGGGAATCATTATTCATTCTTCTCTTTTTGTCATTCACGTATCCACTCAATTTCCATGGCCTGTTGATTCTATTTCTCAGACGTTGTTCAAATCTCTCCACTATCTTTATTCTACTTGGCAACTCTGTGGCCCAGGCTTCCAACAACTCTCTCCCGGACAAGTGTAATCACAACAGTTACCTAACTTGGCTCCCACTCTTGTTCTCAGTTGCAACCCATTCTCCAAGCAGAAAACAAAATGCAATAGCTGTTACCTTATTCTCATCTTCACACCTCTACTCAAGTACACAAGGCTCTTCCTCATCTAGTTTCTGTCTACTTCATCTCTTGTCAATGGTCCCTACCCCAATTCTCCGCTCTAGTCATTCTGAACTTTGTTCAATTCCTGGCCTGTGTCCTCTGCCTTTAATAGGCTGCCTGGCACACTGTAGGAATTCACTAAATATGCAGACTGAATGAATGAACGAGTCCGTGGAGGGCAGTTATTCTTTGGAGTAACTTAAGAGAGAAGGAATACAGTACAACGAAGTATTCTTATTTAGGTTTATAGTGTCTTCACCTGAGCCCGCGGGGGAACCCCCCCCCCACCCCCGGGGAACCCCCCCCACCCCCGCCGCCCCCCGCCTGCAAGTTGTTACCAGTAAATAAAAGGGATCCTATTTTAGCAAGCCACACAGCATTAGAGGGCAAATAATAGTTTGGTGGCAGGAGAGCGATGAGACGGGAAAGTGTGGGGCAAAGCTTACAGTCATTGGTCCAGATTCTAACTGGCCTGTTAGCCAAAAAGTAAGGTTTTCTTTACCTCCGTGTTGACTCTGCTCTCCGAAGGCGAAGAGGGTCCTCCAAACCCGTTTGGCGTGCGGACAAAAACCCCAGCATATCGTGTCCTCACACCGGCTGGAGCACTGGACGTCGCCATGACAGAGCTCAGGGGCGGGACTGGAACAGCAGAGTCTCCCATTGGTCAGTCGGTGATATATCCGGCCAATGGTGAGCGCCGTTACTAGAAGGGCTCCAGGATGGAGGCCGACCTGACTTCTCCGCCTCGGTGGGCTGGGTCGGCGGCTGGAGCATTACCCCTACTGCGGGTCCCGCTGCTGGCAGCGCTGGAAACTGGGTGGACGGCATGGGTTGGTCTCAGGATTTGTTCCGCGCCTTGTGGAGATCGCTGTCAAGGGAAGTGAAGGAGCACGTGGGCACGGACCAATTCGGGAACAAATACTACTACATCCCGCAGTACAAGAACTGGAGAGGTGAGGTGGCGGCGTGGGCAGCGATTGCGTGGTCAGTGATTGCGAGGTCAGTAAAGGAGGGAAAAGTGAGAGCCCCTAGTCAACTAACGCATCATGCGACACTTAGGGTGTCACCGGAGAGAATTTCCCGAGTTCGTTCTCCCCTGTCGACCCCTTCACTCTGGCATCGGAGCCCTACCCGGCCCGGCTCTGGGCGCCTTGGCCCGGCCTCGTGCGTCCGCGGTCCCTACTACCCAGCGCCTTCCCCCGGCGTGCCCCGGGCTGCTTGCGCTGTTAAGGCGCACCACCACTTTCCTCCCAGCCACGCCTGTAGAGGAGCCTCAGTTTTAGCCCTGGACTGGCGACGGAGGCAGGGAAAAGTCCACGGAAATCTTTCACCAAAGGGGCTAGAAGGGCCAGGGGAGGGGTTTTTCGTACGCTGTTCCCCGCCTTGTGACCCAGAGCTGAGTGGTGTAATTGAAGAGGAGTATCTTCAGCGCCTCGGCTGTCTTCTTTCTTGGTGTTTACCCTTTTCGGTGGCACCCTGGCTCCGGCGCTGGCCCCATGCGCCTTCCTTACTACCAAGACTTGTCAGAAGTAGGTCCATATCCCCACAAGGCTCGCTGATTCCTTTCTCGGGAGTTGACATTCCAAGACCCCGTTGAGCTCAATTTAAGAAACGTGGCAATAATCATGGTGTTACTGTGTAGGATTCGTGCCAAGTAGTTGAGCGGGTTGTTTGGGGAGTAAGGAGGCGTTGCTGTCCATTGAAATCACACTGTGTAGCCGCCGTCGTAACCTCTTCTGTGTTGTTCCATCGCCGCATGCAGAAAATGTCAGGTTTTGGGCGAAGAGGCGTGGGTTAGAATCTCAGCTTTGACACCTGATAGCTCGGGAATCACGGAAAAAGTACTTGTCCTCTCCAAGTCTCAACATCCTCACTTGAAAGTTAGAGATAATATAAGATCAGCAATGTTGAGAAGCACTAAGACCTTTCCAAGATTATGTGCCATTCATTTCCCACACATATAAAATGTATTCTGTGATTTATCACTCAATTAATTTATTTTTGCCTGGCCTTTTTCTGTAACTTATTTTAATATTTAGACTTGTTTCCCTAATGAGCTCCTCTGTCAGGCAGGGAATATGTCTCACAAAAAAAGAAAAAAGCCTGCAAAGAACATAGCATGGTGTTAAGTATTTCTTGACAGGTTGCAAGCAGAGAGATGTTTCTTTTCCATAAGTTGTCAGTAAAATTAAAAATATGCAAACTGTCAGACTGAGTTTTTTTAAATTGAAATATAATTTACATACAGTAACATTCACCCTTTATGGTGTACAGTTTTATTGTTTTTGACAAATGAGTAGAGTAACCTCACTGGATTCAAGTAATAGAATAATTCCATCACCATCAGAATTTCCTCCAACTCCTTAGTAGTTCATTCCCACACCCTTTGGCAACTACTGATGTGTTTTATGGGCCTATAGTTTTGTCTTTTCTAGAATATCATATAAATGGAATTATACAGGATTTAGACTTTTGAGTCTGGCTTGCTTCACATAGCATAATGTAGCTGAGATTCATCCATGTGTCAGTAGTTGTTCCTTTTTATTGCTCAGTAGTATTCCATTGTATGGGTTTGCCAGTTTATCTGTTCACAAGCTGAAGGACATTAGGATGTTTCCAGTTTCTGTGATTGTGACAAAAGCTCTACAAACATTCCCATACAGGATTTGTGTGAACGTAAGTTTTCATATCTCTTGGGTAAATATCTAGTAGTGGGATTACTAAGTTGTGTGATCAATGTGTGTTTAACTTTATGAGAAACTACCAAACTGTTTTTCAAAGTGGCTGTACCATTTTGTATTCCTGCCAGCAATGCATTAAAATTCTAGTTGTTTCCACACCCTCACCAGCACTTAGTATTATCTGATTTTTGGGTGTGTTTTTATTTTTATTTTAGCCATTTTGATAGGTATATAGTGGTATCTCATTGTGATTTTAAGTTTCATTTTCCTAATGCCTGAGGATGTTGACAGTCTTTTCATGTGCTTATTTACTATCTACAGATCTTCGGTGAAGTATTGTTCAAACCTTTTGCCCATTAAAAAATCCATTTATGGCTGGGTCCGGTGGCTCATGCCTGTAATCCCACCACTTTGGGAGGCCGAGGTGGGTGGATCACCTGAGATCAGGAGTTCCAGACCAGCCTGGCCAACATGGTGAAACCCCATCTCTACTAAAAATACAAAAATTAGCTGGGCATGGTGGCACGCGCCTGTAATCCCAGCTAGTCGGGAGGCTAAGGCAGGAAAATCACTTGAACCTGGGAGGCGGATGTTGCAGTGAGCCGAGATCACACCACTGCACTCCAGCCTGGGTGACAGAGTGAGACTCCACCTCAAAAAAAAAAAAAAAAAACAAGCCCAAAAAACAACAAACAAATATATTTATACCAGTTTTTGTATCATTCATTTATATAGAGATACAATACCATTAAAGTTTCAAATTAACAGTCATGTCTATTCTACAATAACATGAATATTTTATTTTTACATATTCTCACTAATTTGTATATTTTCTTACATAATTGTAATTGCATTTTGAGAGTTTTATTGAAGTATAATTGACAAAAAAAATTGCCCATGCTTAAAATGTATAATTTGGTAAGTTTTGACATATGTATATATCTGTGAAACCATCAACACAGTCAAGAAAATTAACATATTCAATATCCACAACAATTTGTTGTGCTCCTTTCTAGTCTTGCCTTATGCTTCTGCTTCCATGGATAGGCACTCATCTGATTTCTGACACTATACATTAGTTTGTATTTTTTATAATTTTTATTTAGTTATTTTTATTTGTTTATTTTGAGATGGAGTCTCGCCCTGTCGCCCAGGCTGGAGTGCAGTGGCGCTATCTCGGCTTACTGCAACCTCTGCCTCCCAGGTTCAAGTGATTCTCCTGCGTCAGCCTCCCAAGTAACTGAGATGTGTGCCACCCTGCCCAGTTAACTTTTTGTATCTTTAGTAGAGACGGGGTTTCACCATGTTGGTTAGGCTGGTCTTGAACTCCTGGCTTTGTGATCTGCCTGCCTCGGCCTCCCAAAGTGCTGGGATTACAGATGTGAGACAGTGCGCCTGGCTAGAATTTTATTTAAGTGGAAGCATACAGCACATATTCTGCTTTTTTTTTTTTTTGTTTTTTAGGTTCTTCACTCAGCATAATTATTTTGAGATTCATCCATGTTTTTGTGTTTATCAGTAGTTTATTTCTTTTTAATGCTGAGTAATATTCCATTGTATGTATATACCATAATTTGTTTATCCATTCACCTGTTCATAGATATTTGGGTTGTTTCTAGTTAGGGGTTATTACAAATAAATTATGAACATTCATGTGTAAGTCTTTGTATGGACTTATGTTTTTATTTCTCTTGATGTAATATTTAGAAATGGAATGGCTGAGTCAACTTGTTAGGTGTATGTTTAACTTCTTAAGAAACTGCCTAAGTGGTGGTACCGTTTTACCTTCCCACCAGGAGTGTATGAGATTTCCAGTTGTCCTATATCCTTATCAACACTTGGTATGGTCAGTCTTTTTAATTTTAGCTCTTCTAGTAGGTGTGTTGTGGTATCTCATTTTTTTTCTTTAGTTTTCTGTTTGCTATTAGTTGGTTTTTTTAGATTCTATTTTTAAAATACAGTAAAATTAACTTTTAAAATTGGTGTATAGTTCTATAAATTTGAACACATGTGATTCATGTAACCAACACCAAAATCAGGATACAGAACAGTTCCGTCACCCTGAATAACTCCCTCATGCTACCTTTTTGTAGTTACAATCTCTCCTCATCCCTAACCTCAGCAACCACTGATTTGTTCTCTGCCATTATACTTTTTTCCATTTGAGACTGTCCCACATGTATACTTATACCATATGTAACCTTTTGAACCTGGCTTCTTCTATTCAGCATAATGCCTTTGAGATTCATTACGTATATCAGTAGTTTGCTCCTTTTTACTGCTGATTAGTATTCCATGTTAATGGATGTACCAGTTTGTTCATTTACTCATTAAAGGGCATTTGAGTTTAGTTACTTGCAGTTTTTGGTGATTATGAATACAGCTGCAAGAAACATTCACATATGGGTTTCGTGTGAACATAAGTTTTCATTTTCCATGAGTACATACCTAAGAGTGTGAGTGCTTGGCCATAGCAGCTCCAGCTTACTCTGTAAAACGGAAATAACAGTACCTACTTAGCCTCACAAAGTATTTTTGCTACTCAAGAGAGACAAATTGGATAACGTAGCATTTAAGAGAATGGGATTTAATGTCGAAATCAGTTTGACTTAATTCACAGAGACCTTTTACTTGGTCATTTTTAAAAATTTATCACTGATTTGTAGTTTTCAGCATAGAGATCATGATATGTTTTGTTAAATTTATTATAAAGTATATTATATTGTATTGTTATTATAAATGATGCTTTAAAAAACGTAATTTCTAATTCTTTGTTACTATTATATTGAAGTACAATAGATTTTTCCATGTTGAGCATGTATCTTGCAACCTGTTTTACTCACCTACTAGTTCTTGAATGAAGCCTTTTGCAGATCCTTTGGACATTCTCTGTAGGTAATTATATCAACTGTGGATAGAGACAGTTTTGTTTTTATCCTTTCTAACTTATTTGCATTCTATTTCCTTCTCTTGCCTGGCTGCACTAGATGAGCCTCCAGTATAATGTTGAATAAGAGTGGTGAGCATAGGTATCTTTTTCTTGTTCCATATCTTAGAAGAAAAACATTTAATCTTTCATTTTTTTTTTCCCCAAAGGTGGAATTTCGCTCTCGTTGCCCAGGCTGGAGTGCAATAGCGTGATCTTGGCTCATTGCAACCTCCACCTCCTGGTTTCAAGCGATTTTTCTGCCTCAGCCTCCTGAGTATCTGGGATTACAGGCATGTGCCACTATGCCTGGCTAATTTTTTATTTTTAGGAGAGATGGGGTTCGCCATGTTGGACAGGCTGGTCTCGAACTCCTGACCTCAGATGATCTGCCCACCTTGGCCTCCTAAAGTGCTGGGATTACAGGCATGAGCCACCACGCCTGGCCACTACTCTTTCATTGTTAAGTGTGGTGTTAGCTATAATTTTTTAGATACCTTTTATTAAATTAACAAAGTTCCCTGTCTGTACCTCGTTTGCTGAGCGCTTTCTCTTATGAATCGATGTTGAATTTTGTCAATTTTGTCACATGCTTGCTTGCTGGGTTTTTTTTTTTTTTTTGGTTCTGTTGGAATGATCATGTGGTGAATTTATACTGATTGACTTTTAAAAATTAATAGACTTTATTTTTTAGAGCAATTTTAGGTTTACAGAAAAATTGAATGGAAACTACTCAGATATTCCTGCTCCCCCAATGCAGTTTCTCCCATTGTTAATATCTTGCATTAATGTGTCCTCACTTCCTCCCTTCCTGCTACCAAACCCCTAGCAACCACTGATCTTTTTACTGTCTCTGTAGTTTTGCCTTTTCCAGAATGTCATGTAGTTGCTGTCATATAGTATGTGATCTTTTCAGACTGGCTTCTTTCACTTAGTAATATGCACTTAAGTTTCCTCCATGTTTTTTTGTGGCATAATAGCTCCTTTCTTTTTATTTATTTATTTATTTTTGAGACAGAGTCTCACTCTGTCGCCCAGGCTGGAGTGCAGTAGTGCGATATTGGCTCGGTGCAACCTCTGCCTCTCAGGTTCAAGTGATTCTCCTGCCTCAGCCTCTCGAGTAGCTGGGATTACAGGTGCCCACCACCATGCCCAGCTAATTTTTGTAATTTTAGTAAGAGACAGGGTTTCGCCATATTGGCCAGGATGGTTTTGAACTCCTTACCTCAGATGATCTGCCTGCCTCAGCGTCCCAAAGTGCTGGGATTACAGGAGTAAACCAGATGCCTGGCCATCTACTTTCTTTTTATTGCTAAATAATATTCTGTTGTATGGTTAGAACCACTGTTTATTCGTTTGCATATTGAAGGACATCTTGGTTGCTTCCAAGTTTTGGCGATTATGAATAAAGCTGCTATAAATATTCCTGTGCAGTTTTTTGAGTGGACATAAGCTTTTAACTCATTTGGCATTGATTGATTGTTGAATGTCTTGAATATTGCATTTGTCAGGTAAACTCCACTTGGTCATGATGCATTATCCTTTTTATATATTATTGGATTGATGTGCTTTCATTTTATTGAAGAATTTTGTTTTCTGTTCTTCAGGATCTTAATTTCTTCCTTTTAATGTGTTTTCTAGGTTTGTTTTTAGGTTAATGCTGGCCTTATAAAGTGAGTTAAATTTTGTTTCCTTCTTTTGAATTTTCTGGAAGCGTTTGTGAAGAATTTGTATTACTTATTTCTTACATGTTGGATATAAATTGCCTGTGAAGCCATCTGGTCCTGGAGTTTTCCTTGTTGGAAGGCTGGAATTAAAAATTCAAAGATAATAAATTTTTAACCTACAAATTTAATATCTTTGGCAGGTATAAGACTACTCAGGCTATCTATTTTGTCTTAGGTGAGTTTTGGTAGTTTTTATCTTTTGAGTAGTTTGCCCTTTTTATCTAGTATGTTGAATTTACAGTCATAAAGTTGTAATACCTCTTCATTATCTTTTTAATGTTTGTACAATTTGTAGTGATATCCTCTCTTTCCTGAATTGATAATTTGTGGCTATTGTTTTCTTGGCCTATCTGATGAGTGGTTTGTTAATTTTATTGATCATTTTAGAGAATTAGCTTTGAGTTTCACTGATTTTTCTCTGTAAGTTTTTTCCATTGGTTTCAGAACTTATCGCTTTCTCTTATATCGTCATCGTTTTCTTCTGCTTTCAATTGGTTTTATATGTTCTTCTAGTTTCTTAAGGTGGCCACTGAGATCATAATTTGATCTGTTTATTTTTTAATATACATTTTTAATGTTAAAATTTCTTGTAGGCACTGTTTTGGCCACATTTCACAAATTTTTATCTTAAAATTTTCATGTAACGAATATATTTTCTTATTTATTTTTTCCTATATGACCTATGTATTTATTTAGAAGTATGTTCTTTACAAATATTTGGAGATTTTCTAGATGGAGATTTTCATTGACTTCTAGTTTAATTCTATTATATTCAGAGAACATATTTTATATGATTTCAGTTATTTTAAATGTATTGTAAATTGTTTTATGGCCTAGAGTATGGTGCAATTTGGTAAATCTTCTGTTTGTGCTTGAGAAAAATGTATTATCTATTTTGCTATTTGGGGTTGAATGTTCTGTAAATGTCAGTTAGCCCAAGCTGGTTGATAGAGTTGTTCAAGCTTTGTATATTCACACTGATTTTTTTTGTACTTATTCTATCAATTATTGAAAAAAGTATGTTACAGTCTCTGAATACAAGTTTACATTTGTCTTTTACTCTTTCCAGTTCTATCAGTTTTTGCTTCATGTATTTTCAATACCTATTGTTAGGTCCTTACACATTTATAATTGAAAGATAATAATACAAATTACCCAAAATAAAACACAGAGAGAAAAAAGACCAGAAAAAAAAGAGCAATTAGCAAGCTGTGGGATACCCCCAAGTGGCCTAATATATGTAATTGGATACCATGAGGGGTAAAGGTCATTTTGCAGGTCAAAAATATTTGAAGAAATAATGGCCAAAAATATTCCAAATTTGATGAAAACTATAAACCCACAGACCCCAAATCATCAACAAATTCCAAAAACAAAAAGTGTAGAAAACCACACCAAGGCATATTATTATCAAATTGCTCAAAGCCATTGATAAAGAGAAAATCTTTATAGAGCTAGAGAAAAAGATACATTACTTACAGAGGAAGAAAGACGAAAATGAGTTCAGGGTTTTTTTTAAAACAAACAATATAAGCTGGAAGACAGTGGAACAATATCTTTAAAGTACCAAAAGAGAAAGTCTGCCAACCTATAATTTTGTACACAACAAAAATACCTTGTTAAAACAAAGGCAAATGAAGGTTTTTTCAGACATACTGTACCTGAAAGAATTCATTACACAGAGACCATAATTCCCTTTCCTCTTCCCTCTACTGGATATCTTATTCCCTGGATTCTGGGCCTTTCACCACAGTTTTGTAGCATATATGCTTCAGTAGCCTCCTGAGAAGAGGTTCAAGGCGGATAAAGTTTTTGAGTCTTTGAATGTCTGAAAAGATTTTTATTCTGTCCTCATTTGGTTGATGTATTTGTTGGGTGTAGTTTCTACTGCAGTCATAGTGAGTAAATGTCTAGAGAAAAGCAAGCAGTAAATTCTATACGAGCTTAAAAGGAGTAGCCTATGAATTGAGGAAGAGTATATGCATAATGTAGGCTTTGGTAAATGTTTTTAATGTAACCTAATGCTATGGTTTACTGTATTTATGAATATATATTTTAAAATGCATGATTACATTGAATAACAGTGTTTTGGCTTTAATAGTAAAGCTTTTTTTCAAATTTAGTCGGTATAAAATTATTTGAGATAGTCACACATACTTTGTATGTGCCCTATTGACAACAACCAAAGGAATTTCTCCTTTCCATGCAAATGAGGAACACATAGACACAGATGTAAATGTTCTAAATCATTATTTCTAGTGATATAAGTTAGGATTGTTTTACTGGAAGATTGTGGTGCTTTTTGAGTGTTGGCTGTGTATTTTAGACAAAGTAGCTGGTAACTAGGACTAGTTCCAGCTTTACAGGTCACCATGATACCCATATCCATGTCTCTGGTCCCAAGTCATTAGCTGTAAGATAGCCAAAGACCTATGATGTGGCTAGGTGTGAGAATTCTGCCCCATATAGGCATTCTGTATAGGTTGGTAACAGACCAAACATGGTCAAATTTTTTTCTGTTGAAATTTGAACTCATAGATATATAGAGAGAGGAAAATATGAGAATAATTAGGGATCAGTAGATGTCCATTTCTAAGAAGTTAGGGTGGCAAGCATGTTGAAAGGTTCCTATTAGAGCACAATAGGTATTGTTGTGTCCTAAATCACATTCCAGTTGTCTCTATTTTGCAAATGTTGAGTTTTTCGTCTTTCTTCCTGTATCTTTACAGTATTCCCTGGTTACCTGAGATAACTTGAGCGTAACTGTTCTTTGAAATCTGAGACTAGCTAACATATATACTATGTACTAGATTTTAGAAAATTTTAGGTATCTGAAAATACAACTTTTTCCTTTCATGTGTTAATTTTGTCTCTTAGAAATTCTTCCTGTTAAATATCAAGGAACTCATGACCTCAAGTGATCTGCCCGCCTCAGCCTCCCAAAGTGCTAGGATTACAGGCATGAGCCACCGTGCTCTGCTGTCCTTTTTTTTTTTTTTAAATAGTAGCCATCCTAACAAGTATAAGGTGATAGCTTATTGTGGTTTTAACTTGATTTCCTTGTTGGCTAGTGATATTGAGAACCTTTTCATATACTTGTTGGCTATTTTGTATGTTTTCTTTGGAGAAATGCCTGTTAGTTCCTTTGCCCATTTTAAAATCAATTTATTTGGTTTTTTGCTATTAAGTCATAGAAGTCACTGATACATTTTGGTTTTTAATCATTTATGAGATATGGTTTGCAAATATTTGTCCTATTCCATAGGTTGCCTTTGTATCCTTTGCTTTGCAGAAGTATTTTGGTTTGACGTAATCAGACTTATCTATTTTTGCTTTTGTTGTTTTGTGCTTTTGGTGTCATATCCAAGAAATCATTGCCAAAGCCAATGTCAAGAAGCTTTTTCCCTGTTTTCTTCTAAGAGTTTTGTAGTTTAAGGACTTACATTGAAATCTTTAATTCATATTGAGTTGATTTTTATATACAGTGTGAGATAAGCGTCCAATTTCATTCCTCTGCATGTGGATATCTAGTTTTCCCAATACCATTTATTTGAAGAGATTATCTTTTCTTCACTGTGTGTTCTTGGCATAATTGTCAAAACTCACTTGTCCTCATGTGTGGGTTTATTACTAGGTTCTGTCTTCTGTTCCAATAGTTTATATGTCTGGTTTTATACTGGTACCATACTGTTTTGATTACTGTAGCTTTTAAACGTATTTTGAAATCAGACAGTGTGATGCGTCCAGATTTGTTCTTCCTGCTTAAAATTGTTTTGGCTACTCAGTGTCTTCTTGTAATTCCATATGAATTTTAGGATTGTTGTTTCTATTTCTGGAAAAAAAAAGTCATTGGAGTTTTGTTAGAGATTGTGTTGAATCTGTAGATTGCTTTGGGTAGTATGAGCACTTTAACAATATTAATTCTTCCAGTCCATGAACATATCAGATGTCATTGCATTTATTCCTGTCTGCTTGAAAGCATTTCTTTCATCCATGTTTTATAGTTTTCAGTGAATAAGTCTTTCACTTCCTTAGTTTGTTGCTAAATATTTTACTTTATTGATGTTATTGTAAGTAGGTTGTTTTCTTAATTTCCTTTTCAGATAATTTGTTGATAGTACCTAGACATGCAATAGATTTTTGTATGTTGACTTTGTTTTTTTTTTTTTGAGATAGAGTCTCGCTCTGTCACTCAGGCTGGAGGGCACTGGCGCGATCTCAGCTCACTGCAACCTCTGCCCCTGGGGCCTAAGTGATCCTCCTAAGTACTGGGACTACAGATATGTGCCACCATGCCCAGCTAATTTTTGTATTTTTTGTAGAGATGAGATTTCACCATGTTGCCCAGGCTGGTTTTAAACTCCTGGGCTCAAGTGATCCACCTGCCTCGGCCTCCCAAAGTGTTGGGATTATAGGCATGAGCCACCATGCCTGGCCTCTATGTTGACTTTGTATCCTGCAACTTTGCTGAATTCATTCATTAGTCTGAACAGCTTTTTTTGTGTGTGGAATCTTTGGGGATTTCTATATGTAAGGTCATCATCTGTGGCTTCTTCCGCTCTAATTTGGATGCCATTTATTTGTTTTTCTTGCCTAGTTGCTCTTGCTAGAACTTCTGTTTTTGAATAGGAGTGGTGAGAGTAGGCATCCTTGTCTCATTCCTAACCTTAGAGGAAAAGCTGTCTGTTTTTCACTCTTGAATATAATATTAACTGTGGATTTGTCATATATGGCCTTCATTATGTTGAGGTGCATCCCTTCTATACCTGACACTAAGAATTTTTATCTTAAAAAGGACTGAATTTTGTTAAATGCGTTTCCTGCATCTATTGAGATGGTCATACAGTTTTTGTCCTTCATTTTGTTGATTTGGTATATCACATTGATTTGTATATGTTATCTCAATTTTTTGAAGTGTTACTTATACGTTTATAAAAGTTGTGAGCCAAGAAAAATTTGTGCTGAGGTTTTTATGAAAACATTTACTGCCAAACTATATTTTCTATACTTTCTGTATTTCTGTGTGAGTATATTTAGACACACGTATATTTGGATTATCAGTGTGCCAAACATTATTTATAATATCATCTCCTGAATTTTATATTTTATTTTTTTTAGTTAAAAAGAAAATACTGCCTTTTGAATATGAAGTTCTCAAACACTTTTGAGAAACCAGATCAAAAGAGGTATTAACCAAACTTTGAGAAACCGGATCAAAAGAGGTATTAACCAATTTTAAAGTTGATAATTTAAAATTGAGGTTTGCTAATCAGAAATAGAATTTTGCTTATAACTGAAGGGTGTTTTATACCTTTTGTGCTTCCTTTTTAAGAATATTAGTTGGATTTTACCTTTTGTTCTAACTTGAGAATCACTGTTTTATTTATTTTTAATTATTGAATTAAAATATAGTAGAGAGAATGAGAAAGCAAACCTCCACATACCTGAAGCTTACTTTTTACAGTTATACTTGTGGTTAAATATAATTTTCTTCCTAACCCCCAGTTATCTTTCCTATTTTATTTTGAAGCAGGTAACAAACATCTTGTCAATTTACCTATAAACATTTCAGTATGTATCTTTTAAACACAAGCACTCCTGTTTTTAAATGTAACAATAACACCATCATCATATATAGAAATAAATCCCTTAATATCATCAGATATCCAGCCATTCACATTTTCTTGGTTATCGTATAATGTTATAATGTTCTTGTTTATTGGCTGATCTGTTTACTTTTTTTTTTTTTAACAGTTTATGTCTCTATAGATTCTCCCTTTATCTTTTTAAAAGCTGTTCTTCTGATTCCTGATTACCCTCCTTAGATGTCTTTTGCAGCATAGCCCTCAATTTACTTGAAATTAGCTGTCTGCACCCAGACAGACCCCAGTGAATATTACAGGCCAGTAGCTCCTCATTGTGCTCTGGTAGAATTACTTTGGTAGAACTGTATTCAATACAGAGTTCCTTCACTTTCAGCCCCTGCTAGTGGGAATCTGAAGACTGTCAGTATCAGGTGAAAGTTGTAGTTGCCTGTGAGAAATAGGGAAGGGGCTCATTGGGACACTGACCATGTGTTATTGTTTGGGTTTGTTCTTTTGGTGTTTTCTTTTTGCTGTTTTTTGAAAAACCTGTATTTTGTGTATAACCTGTATTAGTGATAACCAGGACTCCCTGTAGTAGCACTAGTGGCATTTTTGAATTTTTTGGACTTGACTGTTAACATTTGCCACTTGCTCTTAGCCTTGCTCCTCCAATTTTGGGGTTTTCTCAGAACCTATTTTTGGAAAACTATATTGATTCTTTCTAAGCAAGTCTGTTCACTTGTGCTAATTCACAGGCCAGTCAGCACTGCTAAGTTTGCTTTTCATCTCATCCTGTGTCATTTGTTAATTTTCTCATGTGACAGATAGTTATTGACTACTGCTCTAAGCAAAACATCTGTTTTATGTATTTCAGAACTTTTGGCCTTAGTGTCTGACCTTTTAATGGTACCTTTGTTTTCTAGCATAGCTGTATCTCCTCTCATATATTCTTTAATAAATTCAATTGGGTTTTGGGAGATAAAGGAAGTAAACATGAATCATAGGCTATTTTAATCTGAAGTTTTCATATTTAATTTGTAACAAATTGAAAACACATTTTTTTCATTCATTTTGTTCTCAGCTACTTATAATCTTCCAATCTTTTTAGTGATACTTAAAGTAATGATAACTATTATTTATTAGGTGCTAACTCTGATTACTTAACATTTTTATAACAACCATGTAACCAGGGATTATTATCCTCATTTTAAATATGAAGTGATTGTTATGTTTCTGAATACTTAAATGTACTTTATATGCATGTGCCTGGATATAAAGTAGATGCTGAAAAAGCAGCTATTCAGTGAATTCAGATGTTTACGGACCCAGAGGCATAAAGACAAAAACAAAACAAAATATAAGAAAACCACAGAAAATGGTTTTTCTGTTAACTAGTTTTACAAAATCTTGAGACAGATGCTTAAGATATACTTTTCTTTTTATTATGGTAAATTGGCCAAATTATTCTTCAGGGACTAAAATATTCTCATTAGAAATAGGAGTATCTTTTCATAATGTCACGACGCCTCTAGTGTGGTTCAGGTTTGGATTTGGTTTAGTCAGTGTCCTAAATATAGTTTCATTGCCAGCCTCAAACTTGTTAAGATACCCAGTCATAAGGATGAATATATCAAAACCTATGTTATCCACTATTATATGTAATTGTAATCCTGCATTGTTTTAAATTATCTCACCTCATCATATTTGTATTTAGGATTTAAAATATACTAAAAATTATAATGAATTAGTATGCAGTTAAGTAGTTATTAAGGATCAAAACAAATGAAATGGTCAGAATTATAAGTCAAGTCTCTTGTTTTTAGTAGCTATTGGAAGATCATGATATATAGCTCTTTTCAATGTGATATTTTCTCTTTAACATTTGGGAAATTATGAAGACATTTCAGATTTTTCCAGTAGATGGCAGAATTGTTTTAAACATTTTAGATTCACTGTTAAATTTTTTTTGAATTGATTTGAAGGAGTAATCATTTCTCTAAAATAACTGGATGTATTTTTTCTTCCAAATAAGCCCTGCACTACTGTTTTATAAACTAACTTTTAAGATAAAGATTTTTAAATGATAATATGGATCATTCCTAATCAGTAATGCACAATGATAGAAGTGGCAATTATATTTTGAAGAATGGATAAAAAAATTTTAAATCAAACATTTAGTTTTTTCAATAGTAAGTAACATTCTTTCTTTAGTTATCAGAGATCCAGAGGTCACATGATGTAATCATCACCATGGGCATCATCAGATTGATAGAATATCCTAAAATATTTTGATTTTAGCTAAAACATGCCTTCGGTTTAGTGATATCTATAAAAAGTTGAACTTACTTTAAAATACTTTGTTGACTATAAAATAGTAATTTAAAAGTTTTTATACAGGTTGTCTCAGAGTTGTTTGAAGGTTGGATTTTTAATTTTCTGATCTTCATTTTGAAATTTCATGTCTTATGTTTTCTTCTGAGACTATTTCAAATACTTACTGAATTCCCTTAGTTCGTGTGTATATGTGTTCATGTACTTAAATATTTAATTGTATTTTGTTGAGGGGAAACAAAAACCCTTCTCCCTTACTTATACAAATAGTACCACATCTGTGTCACACTTTCAAACAGAAAAACAGGAGGATGAAATGTGTTCACAGTCGTACCTGTCAGTTCTTTATGCTTTATGCTTATGAAGTTAAGGAACCTTAATCTTGAATTCTAGTTTTCCCTGCCATAGAAATATGAAACATTTTAACAGAAATGGAACTAATAATGGATGAGTGACTAAGCTGGGTTATGTTTCTAAGTGAGGTTGAAAATATTTCATGTAAGAGAAAAAGAGTTATTTGTCTCCTTTTGTTTTGAGGGTTTTGTAATTGCTTTATATTAAGAATAGTAGTGTCAATAATAACAATAATGAGAATTAGTATTTCTTAAATACTGTGTATAGGCACTATGCCTAGCATTTGTTGTGACTCGCTGTATTTGTTGAAGAATATAATAAATGAGGGAAAATAATATGTCTAGTGTTGATTTGTCAATATCACGTAGCTATGAAACTCAATTTGCATTCTTTTTGTGTAAAACCCAGTTTCTCTGCATCAGTGTAAATCACATGAAACTATTACTTTTCATACTCCCTCACTTTTCAAAGTACTACTCAGTTCAGCAGTTCCTTTCTGCTGCTGTTTGAAGACTTTGTAAGTGTGACTTACTCTGCAAGAGTTGTAAAAGTGAGTTGACAAGGTTGCTTTTGAGATTTTTCAATTGAATTGGGTTTGGTAGAGATAGTATCTTCAGAACTATATGTCAGACTTCACTGTTTGATTGTTTGAATAAATTTCCATTCTTATAAAATGAATTGGAAATGTACCTGATTTTTTTTAAAATTAGGTTTGTTATTTTTACACTTAAAAGGCTGTTTTTTTGCTTTTATCTTTATTTCCGTTTAGGTGACTGGTGCCTCCATCTTGTGGTCCAACTCACAAATTGCATCCTTTGCTAGAGATTGTGTTTACACTTTTTTTCCCCTCAGCTGAATAAATGACAGAAAATTATTTTCTGTTTTATTTATTAAAAATATAACTCCGATTAAGCATACATTACCTTCAAAGAGGACAGAAAGTGCTCAAAAGGGACCACCTAAAGCAACCTGTTCAAGGATGAAGTCTTGTAAAATAAATTATTATTGTTGATGGTAGTGGTGATGGATGATGGTGGTGGTAGTGGTGGTGGTGGTGGTGAATGAGAGAGAGGATGAAGTTCGATTTGCTCTTTATGTTGAAAAATGAAACTTAAAGTCTTCAGCAAAATTTACTGTATAACTTGGTCAGGCATGGTGGTTCACGCCTGTAATCCTAGCACTTTGGGAGGCCAAGGCGGGTGCATCACCTGAGGTCAGGAGTTCAAGATCAGCCAGGCCAACATGGTGAAACCCTATCTCTATTAAAAATACAAAAATTAGGCCGGGCACGGTGGCTCACGCCTGTAATCCCAGCACTTTGGGAGGCCAAGGCGGGTGGGTCACGAGGTCAGGAGATCGAGACCATCCTGGCTAACACAGTGAAACCCTGTCTCTACTAAAAATACAAAAAATTAGCCGGGCATGGTGGCGGGTGCCTGTAGTCCCAGCTACTCCGGAGGCTGAGGCAGGAGAATGGCGTGAACACGGGAGGCGGAACTTGCAGTGAGCCGAGATTGTGCCACTGCACTCCAGCCTGGGCGACAGAGCAAGACTCTGTCTCAAAAAAAAAAAAAAAAAAAAAATTAGCCAGACATGGTGGCAAATGCCTGTAATTCCAGCTACTCAGGAGGCTGAGACAGGAGAATCGCTTGAACCCAGGAGGCAGAGGTTGCAGTGAGCCGAGATTGTGCCACCACACTCTAGCCTGGGCAACAGAAGGAGACTCTGTCTCAAAAAAAAAAAAAAAAAAATTTACTATGTAATTGCAACCTTAGCTAATTATTAGAATTAAGAATGAATCAGTATCTGTGGTCCTACTTAGGAAGCTTTGGTAGCAGGATCGCTTGAGCTCAGGAGTTTGAGGTTACAGTTAACTATGATTGCATCACTGCACTCCAGCCTGAGTGACACAGCAAGACTCTTTCTCTAAAAAAAAAAAAATCTTAAAAAAGAATGAATTAAGTACTATTTTTTCCTCCAGCTTTATTGAAGTTCAATTTATAAATACAAATTGTATATATTTATATTGTTGAGTATGCTTGAACACCATAAATATATGTATACATTGATATATACTTCGTGATTACCACAATCAAGCTTAGGCAACATATCTTTCACCTCACATAGTTATCTTGGTTTTTTTTTTTTGTAGTGAACAAGTACTGATTTTTTTAACATAGGTTTTCTGACAAAACTATGATAGCACAATATGACATTCTTCTTTTCACATTTGTCTCCATGGAATTAACAAAAGTGACTTTTTTTGCAAAAGTTGAAAGCATCATCAAGTTTTCTAAAGATTTTTATTACTCAGTGATTAATACTGTATTCACTGTCCTTTAAACACCTTTCATGTTCCAATTCTTATTGGTCTAACTACCTTGGCCACGTTTTCAATTAGAAAGTAATAATTTTCTCATGAAGCTATATTATTTTCATAGACTTCATGAAACTTTATCTTTTTGAGATTTGCAATTTTACTTTGCATTCACCTTGTGCTACATTCATAAACATTAGAAAATTGCGTGGTGGCTCACGCCTGTAATCCCAACACTTTGGGAGGCCGAGGTGGGCAGATCACGAGGTCAGGAGATCGAGACCATCCTGGCTAACACGGTGAAACCCCATCTCTACTAAAAAATACAAAAAATTAGCCAGGCCTGGTGGCACGCGCCTGTAGTCCCAGCTACTTTGGAGTCTGAGGCAGGAGAATTGCTTGAACCCGGGAGGCGGAGGTTGCAGTGAGCCAAGATCACACCGCTGCACTCCAGCCAAGTGACAGAGTGAGACTGCATCTTAAAAAAAAAAAAATGGAGAGACTGACTTATAAACAAAGAGATTGTCATTTATTTATTTATTTATTTATTTTTGAGACAGAGTCCTGCTCTATAGCCCAGGCTGGAGTGCAGTGGCGCGATCTCGGCTCACTGCAACCTGCGCCTTCCAGGTTCAAGTCATTCTCCTGCCTCAGCTTCCCGAGTAGTTGGAACTACAGGCACGTGCCACCATGCCTGGCTAATTTTTGTATTTTTAGTAGAGGCAGGGTTTCACCATGTTGGTGAAGCTGGGCTCAAACTCCTGACCTCGTGATCCACCTGCCCTGGCCTCCCAAAGTGCTGAGATTACAGGTGTGAGCCACTGCACCCAGCCAAGATTGCCTTTTAAAGATGAGGTAGAGATTCTAATATTGAGTAGATATCTAAATGTCCCCTGATATAAGTTACATAGTGAAGATTTTTATTTACCTTGAAACTATTGTTTTCCTACACGTACTAGGAACTTCAGTTACTCTGTTAATGAGTACACAGTCAGTGAGGAATTCTTGGATGTAAATAAGTCTGCAACTTGCCTTCCCCTCACTGGCAAGATTTTTGAAAAGGGAGTCAACCTACTGACTTCATCTCTCATCTAGAATTCATCTTTCCATAAGTGTTGTACATTGTACTGCATTTCCCATTTGGATTATAGGCGATTGCTTGTATAGCTAGGTCCCTGACTCTGTGTTCTTCTGGACATTTTCTAGATTGTAGCAGGTATTCAGCAAAACTTGTTCATCCATCTGACTGATATTTATTGTATACCTTGTAGGCCAGGCACAGTTCTAGGCATTTGAGATACTATATTAATAAGCAGAATACTGAAAAATCCGTGGCTTTACTGAGCTTACATTGAAGCTGAAGGAATCAGATGGTTTTAAAAACTGTCATAGTTGTTACAGTGTGGTAAGTGTCAAGAGAAAAGAAAAACTAGGTTAGAGTTGAGATCAGAAGTGTTGGCTGTAGAGAGTGGGTTGAAATCTTAAATGTGATGGTTAGGGTAGATTCATTGAGAAGGTGATATTTGAACAAAGACTTGAAGGGAGTGAGGAAGTTAGCTAAGTGAATATCTGGAGTAAGAGCACACCAATCAGAGGGAATAGCAGTATACATTTTGCTTTCACTGTGAATAAAATGGAGAATTATTCCAGGGTTTTTAGCAAAGGAGTTACATAATCTAATTTATGATTTTAAAAGGATTGCTGAATTTTTTTTTAATTGAGAATAGACTGTAGCAGGCAGAGATTGAAGCAGGGAGATCATTTAAGAGGCTTTTTTGATGTTGTTTTTGTTTTAACTCTTCAACAATTTTAGACTTACAGAAAAGTTGCAAGAATAATACAAAGAATTCTCACATACTTTCCCCAAATCAACCAAATGTTACTGTTATACCACATTTGGTTCATCTTTCCAATTTTTAAGATTTATTTTTTAAATTAACAAATAAGATGTATATATTTATGATGTATAGCATAATGTTTTGATATATGTATATATTGTGGAATGGCTAACTCAAGCTAATTAACATATGTATTACCTCATAATTTTTTTTTGTGGTGAGAACACTTAAAATCTCTCTTAGCACTTACAAAGTGTACAACACTTTTTTTTTTTTTTTGGAGACCGAGTCTCACTCTGTTGCCCCGGCTGGAATACAGTGGTGCTATCTTGGCTCACCGCAACCTCTGCGTCCCAGGTTCAAGCGATTCTCCTGCTTCAGCCTCCTAAGTACCTGGGATTGCAGGCGTGCACCACCATGCCTGGCTAACTTTTATATTCTTTGGTAGAGACAGGGTTTCACCATGTTGGTCAGGCTGGTCTTGAACTCCTGACCTCAAGTGATCTGCCTGCCTTGGCCTACCAAAGCGCTGGGATTACAGGTGTGAACTACCGCGCCCGGCCACATAACGTTGATTACCATTACCATGTTGTACAATGGAACTCTTGAACTTACTCCGTCCTGTCAAAGAATGTTCATATCCTTTGACCAACATTTCCCCAATACCTACCACCCACCAGACTCTGGTAACTCCTCCTGTTCCTGCCCTTTTTTGACCCAGGTGCCTTACCATTTTCAGATGACCTTCATCAACTAAATCCTTTGTCACGTATTTTCTGTCCGTTCCTCATGTTATGGTTGTTGCTATGTCTGAGAATAGTTTAATGCAGTACTAGGAAGAGGTTCCCAAACCTGGCCAATTGTCAGAATTTCCCCAAACACACTAACATAATTAGAATCTCCCCAGGTTTTTCCGATTTTTCAACTAGGTCTAGGAACCACTAACATGACAGATACAGAAGACAGAAAAATTGTACTGACCTGAGCCCATACCTAAAGTAAATGATTTCAAATCTGACTTGACATAGCTGAGAACATAATTTTCCTCCGACTTTATTAAGGTATAATTGACAAAAATTGTATATATTTACAGTGTACAATGTGATGTTTTCATATATGTATACATTGTGAAATGATTAAATCAAGCTGATGAACATATCTACACCTCACAGGCTTATTTTTTTGTGGTGAGAACACTTAAGATCTACCTTAGCAATTTTCAAGTATATAATACATTACTATTAAATATAGTCACCATGCTGTACAATAGATCTCTTTAACTTATTCATCCTGTTTAAGTCAAACTTTGTACTCTTTGACCAGCGTCTCCCCATTTCCCCACCCCAGCCCCTGGCAACCACCATTCTACCCTTTGTTTCTATGAGTTCAGCTTTATAAAGATTCCACATATAAGTGAAATCATGTGGTATATTTGTCTTTTTGTGCCTGTCTTATTTCACTTAGCGTAGTATCTTCCAGGTTCATTCATGTTGTCATAAATGGCAGATTTCCCTCTTTTTAAATGTTTAATAGAGTTCCATTGTGTATATATACCACATTTTCCTTATCTGTTCATCTGTCAATAGACACTTAAGTTAATTCCCTATCTTGATTATTCTAAATAATATTACAGTGAACATGGGAGTGCAGATATCTCTTTGGCATACTGATTTCATTTCCTGTGGATATATACCCAGTAGTGGGATTGCTAGATCATATGGTAGTTCTATTTTTAGTTTTTTGAGAAATCTCCATACTGTTTTTCCATAATGGCTATACTAATTTACATTCCCACCAAGAGTGTGCAAGGTTTTCCTTTTCTCTACATTGTCGACAACACTTGTTACCTTTTGTCTTTTTGATACTAGCCATTCGAATAGGTGCGAAGGTATGTCTTGTTGTGGTTTTAATTTGCGTTTTCCTGATGATGATTGATGTTGAATATTTTCTTCACATGCCTGATGGCCATTTATATGTCTTCTTTTGAGAAATGTCTTCTTAGATCTTTTGCCCAATTATGAATCAGTTATTAGTTTTTTTTCCTGTTGAATTGTTTAAGTTCCTTGTATATTTTGGATATTAACCCTTTATCAGGTGTACAGTTTGCAGATACTTTCTTTCATTCCAAAGGTTGTGTCTTTACTCTGTTGATTATTTTGTTGTGCAGAAGCTTTTTAATTAGAGGTAATCCCACTTGTTTATTTTTGCTTTTCTTGCCTGTGTGTTTGGTGTCATATCCAAGAAATTATTGCCAAGGCCAAAAAGCATTCCCCTCTGTTTTCTTCTAGTTTTACAGTACAAGTCCTGTGTTTTAAGTCTTTAATCTATTTCAAGTTGATTTTTGAATATAGTGTGAGATGAGGGTCTAATTTCATTCTTTTGCATGTGGATATCCAGTTTTCCAAACATTATTTATTGAAGAGACTTTCCTCTTCCCATCTGTGTTCTTGGCATCTTTGTAAAAAATCTATTGATGGTAAATGCATGGCTTTATTTCTGGACATCCTATTCTGTCCCAGTGGTCTTTGCGCTAATACCATGTTGTTTAGCTACTTTAGCCTTATAGTAGATTTTGAAATCAAGTAGTGTGGTGCCTCAGCCTTGTTCCTTCTGCTCAAGATTGCTTTGGCTATTTAGAGTCTTTGGTGGCTTCACTGAAATTTTAGGATTGTTTTTCACTATTTCTGTAAAAAGTGTTATTGGAATTTTGATAGGGATTGCAGTGAATCTGTAGATTGCATAGGGTAGTATGAATATTTAGCCAATATTAATTCTTCCAATGCATGAAACAGAGTATGTTTCCATTCAGTTGTGTACACTGCAGTTTCTTTTGTCAGTGTTTTATAATCTTCAGTGTATGGATTTTTCACCTCCTTGGCGAAATTTATTCCTAAATATTGTATTAATATTATTTTGTAGCTATAGTAAATGGAATTGATTTTTTTATTCTTTTATTGGATAGTTTATCAGTGTATAGAAACACTGATTTTTTGTGTCTTGATTTTTGTACCCTGCAACTTCACTAAATGTATTAGTAACAGTTTTTTAGTGGCATTTTTAGAATTTTTTAAGAATATAACATCTTGTTGTCTGTTAACAGATACAGTGTAACATCTTCCTTTCTGATTCAGATGTCTTTTATTTATTTTTCTTGCTTAATTGCTCTTGCTAGTATTTCTGGTACTATGTTGAATACAAGTGGTGAGAGGTGAGCATCCTTGTCTTGATTCGGATCTTAGAGGAAGAGCTTTCAACTTTTTACTGTTGAGTATGTTAACTATATGTTTATCATATATGGCCTTTATTGCATTGAGATATATTCCTTTTATACCTAATTTGTTGGAAGTTTTTTTTTTATCATGAAAGAGTGTTGAATTTTGTTGAATTCCTTTTCTACATCTATTGAGATGATCATATGGTTTTTGTCCTTCATTCTGTTATTATAGTTTATCACATTTATTGGTGTACATTGGCAAACCATTCTTGCTTTCCAGGGATAAATCTCACTTGATCATGGTGAATGATCTTTTTAATGTACCCTTGAATTAGGTTTGCCAATATTTTGTTGAGAGATTTTATATCTATGCTTATCAGGAATATTGGCATATAATTTTCTTTTCTTGTAATGTCCCTTTCTGGCCTTGGTATCTAGTAATGCTGGCATTATGAAATGAGCTTGGATGTTTCCCTTCTCTTCAGTTGTTTTGGAAGAGTTTGAGAAGGATTGGTATTAGGTCTTCTTTAAATGTTTGGTAGAATTCAGCAGTAAAGCCATCAGGTTATGGGCTTTTCTTTAATGAGAGACTTTATTACTGATCCAGTCTCCTTACTTGTTACTGGTCTGTTCAGATTTTATATTTCTTCATGATTAAGTTCTGTTAATTGTATGTTTCTAGAAATTTATATATTTATTCTAGGTTATACAATTTGTTGGGAAATAAGTGTTCATAGTAGTCTTTTATGATCCTTTGTGTTTCTTTCTGTAGTATCCGTTGTTGCTTCCCCTTTCATTTCTGATATTATTTGTATATTCTCTCTTTTTTCTTAGTCTATCTAAAGGTTTGACCATTTTTAAAAAATCTTTTAGAAAACCAATTTCTTAGTTTCACTGATCATATCTATTGGGTTTCTAGTCTCCATTTCCTTTTTATCTGCTCTGATATTTTTTATTTCTTTTCTTCTATTAACTTTGAGCTAAGTTTAGTTTGTTCTTTTCTACTTCCTGAGGCATAGTGTTAGATTGTATATTTGAGATTTTTTTAATGTAAGTGTTCATTGCCTTAAATTTTCGTCATAGAACTACTTTTGTTACACGCTATAAGTTTTGGTATGTTATGTTTCCATTTTTGTTTTTTGAAAAATTTTTTTATTTAAAAATATTTTTAGTTTTTAATTTTTGTGGGTACATAGTAAATGTATATATGTATAGGTTACATGAGATATTTTGATATAGCTGTGCAATAAATAATAATCAAATCAGGGGTATTCATCACCTCAAGCATTCATCTGTACTGTGAACAATTCAATTACACTCTTCTAGTTATTTTAAAATGTAAAATTAATTTATTTTTGACAATTGTCACCCTGTTGTGCTATCAAATACCAAGTCTTATTCATTCTTTCTATTTTTTTTGTACCACTTAACCATCTCCACTTCCCCACCACCCCTCTACTACCCTCCCTAGCCTCTGGTAACCATCCTTTTCTGCTCTCTATCTTCATGAATTCAGTTGTTTTAATTTTTAGCTTCCACAAATAAGTGAGAACATGTGAAATTTGTCTTTCTGTGCTGGGCTTATTCCACTTTGCATAATGACCTCTGGGCCCATTCATATTGTTGCAAATGACAGGATTGCATTCTTTTTTGTGGCTGAATGGTACTCCACTGTGTATGTGTACCACATTTTCTTTATTCATTTGTCTGTTAACGGACATTTAGGTTGCTTCCAAATCTTCATTATTGTGAATAGTACTACAGTAAACATGGGAGTGGAGATATCTCTTTGATATACTGTTTTCCTGTCTTTTGGGTATGTACCTGGTAGGGGATTGCCAGATGGTATGTTAGCTCAATTTTTAGCTTTCTGAGGAAACTCCAAACTGTTATCCACAGTGATTGTACTAATTTACATTTCTACCAAGAGTATACAAGGGTTCTTTTTTCTCCACATCGTTGCCAACATTTGTTACTGCCTGCCTTTTGTATATAAGCCATTTTAACCAGAGTGAGATGATATCTCATTATAGTTTTGATTTGCATTTCTCTGATGATGAACGATGTTGTGCACCTTTTCATATACCTGTTTGCAATTTGTATGTCTTCTTTTGAAAATGTGTATTCAGATGTTTTGCCCATTTTTATATTGGATTATCAGGTTTTTTTTTACCATAGAGTTGAAAACAATATAGAGCTCCTTCTATATTCTGGTTATTAATCCCTTGTCAGATGGGTAGTGTGCAAATATTTTTCACCCATTCTGTGGATTGTCTCTTCATTTTGTTGATTGTTTTCTTTGCTGTGGAGAAGCTTTTTAACTTAATGTGATCCCATTTATCCATTTTTGCTTTGGTTGCCTGCACCTGTAGGGTATTACTCAAGAAATCTTTCCAAGACCAATGTCCTGGAAAGTTTCCCTACTGTTTTCTTTCAGTAGTTTCATAGCTTGAGGTTGTAGATTTAAGTCTTTAGTCCATTTTGATTTGATTTTTGTATATATTGAGAGATAGGGGTCTAATTTCATTTTTCTGCATATGGATATCCAGTTTTTCCAGCACCATTTATTGAAGAGAATGTCATTTCCCCACTGTGTGTTCTTGGCACTTTTGTTGAAAATGAGTTCACTGTAGGTGTATGGATTTATTTATGGGTTCTCTATTCTGTTCCACTGACCTATGTATCTGTTGTTATGCCAGTACCATGCCATTTTGGTTATTATATCTCTGTAGTATAATTTGAAATCAAGTAACATGATTCCTCCAGTTTTGTTCATCTTGCTTAGAATAGCTTTGGCTATTCAGGGTATTTTATGGTTCTATATACATTTTAGGATTGTTTTTCTGATTTCTGTGAAGAATGTCATTGGTATTTTGATAGGGATTGCATTAAATCTGTAGATTGCTTTGGATAGTATGGACAGTTTAACAGAATTGATTCTTCCCATCTATGAACATGGAATATCATTCTATTTTTTTGCATGTGTGTCCTCTTCAATTTGTTTCATCAGTGTTTTATAGTTTTCATTGTAGACATCTTTCACTTTTTTGGTTAAGGTAATTTTTAGGTATTTTAGTTGTACTTATTAATGGGATTTCTTGATTTCTCTTGAAGATTGTTTGCTACTGATTTTTGTATGTTGATTCTGTATCTCACAACTTAATTTATTTATCAATTTCAATAGTTTTTTAGTGGAGTATTTAGGTTATTCCAAATATAAGATCATATCCTCTGCAAACAAGAATAATTTGACGTCTTCCTTTTCAATTTGGATGCCCTTTCTTTCTCTTGCCTGATTGCTTTAGCTAGGACTTCCAGTACGTGTTAAATAACAGTGGTGACAGTGGGCATCCTTGTTGTATTCCAGATCTTAGAGGAAAGGCTTTTAGTTTTTCTCCATTCTCTCCATTATTGAGATGTAAAGTTCAATATGTAGGCTGTTAAACTCTTCATCATTGATTATGTTATTTGGTTGTTTATATCCTTATATATATATTTTTGTCTACATAATTTGTCTCATATTAAGGAGGATTATTTTAAAGTTTTCTTTTTTTACTGTATTTTTATCTGTGTTCTACCAATATCATTTGTGTTTGCTTCATTGAGTGGTGGTTCTGTTATTTATTGAATAGTTATTTATAATTTGTCTTTATTGTGAACTGTGGCTGAAAATTTTGGGTCATGCTTAATGCTCTCTAATTCTATTTTAATATTTGAATCACAACCTCTATTTCTTTTTTCGTTTTTTTTTTAAATTGTACTTTAAGTTCTAGGGTACATGTGCACAATGTGCAGGTTTGTTACATATGTATACATGTGCCATGTTGGTGTGCTGCACCCATTAACTTGTCATTTACATTAGATATATCTTTTTTCTTTCTTTCTTTTTTTTTTTTCTTTTTTGAGACAGAGTCTGGCTCTTTCGCCCAGGCTGGAGTGCAGTGGCTGATCTCAGCTCACTGCAAGCTCCGCCTCCCGGGTTCACGCCATTCTCCTGCCTCAGCCTCTCGAGTAGCTGGGACTGCAGGCACCCGCCACCGTGCCCGGCTAATTTTTTTGTATTTTTAGTAGAAACAGGGTTTCACCGTGTTAGCCAGGATGGTCTCGATCTCCTGACCTCGTGATCCGCCCGCCTCGGCCTCCCAAAGTGCTGGGATTACAGGCGTGAGCCACCGCGCCCGGCATATCCCCTAATGCTATCCCTCCCCCCTCCCCCAACCCCATGACAGGCCCCGGTGTGTGGTGTTCCCCACCCTGTGTCCAAGTGTTCTCATTGTTCAGTTCCCACCTATGAGTGAGAACATGCGGTGTTTGGTTTTCTGTCCTTGTGTTAGTTTGCTGACAATGATGGTTTCCAGCTTCATCCATGTCCCTACAAAGGACATGAACTCATCCTTTTTTATGGCTGCATAGTATTCCATGGTGTGTATGTGCCACATTTTCTTAATCCAGTCTATCATTGATGGACATTTGGCACAACCTCTATTTCTTAATATTTGGCTGATACAACTTTGCCCATTCTTTTTGCCCCCCTCCCTTTTTTTTTTTTTTTTTTTCTGAGACGGAGTCGTGCTCTGTCACCCAGGCTGGAGTGCAGTGGTGTGATCTAAGCTCACTGCAACTGCCACCTCCCGAGTTCAAGCAATTCTCCTGCCTCAGCCTCCTGAGTAGCTAGGATTACAGGCATACGCCACCGAGCCTGGCTAATTTTTGTATTTTTAGTAGAGATGGGGTTTCACCATGTTGGTCAGGCTGGTTTCAAACTCCTGACCTCGTGATCTGCCTGCCTCGGCCTCCCAAAGTGCTGAGATTACAGGCATGAGCCACTGTGCCTGGCCCATTTTTTTTTTTTTTTAATTCTTAGCATTTGATATGGTTTGGCTCTGTGTCCCCACTCAAATCTCACCTTTAGTTGTAATCTCTAAATCCCCACTTGTCAAGGGCGGGATCAAGTGGAGATAGTTGAATCACGGGGGTGGTTTCCCCAATCCTGCTCTTGTGGTGATGAGTGAGTTCTCATGAGATCTGACAGTTTTGTAAGGGACTTCCCCCTCTTCACTCACCACTCATTCTCTCTCTTGCCACCCTGTGAAGAGGTGCCTTCTGCCATGATTATATCTTTTCTGAGGCCTCCCAGGTATGCGGAACTGTGAGTCAATTCAACCTCTTTTCTTTATAAATTACCCAGTCTTGGGTATTCCTTCATAGCAGTGTGAGAACAGACTAATACAGCATTTTTAAATCACTTGTTTTAGGTGTGTTTCTTGTGTACAGGTTATATTAGAGTCTTGATTTGTCAGCCAAGTTTTTAATCTCTTTTTTTAAAGTAGAAAAACTAAGCACATTCTCATTTACTGATATGTGTATTCTGTTTTTTTTTTTTTTGGTTTTCTTTTTTTTTTTTGCTATGTTTTAAAATTTCTCATGGTATATAGGAAGGTTTGTAGTTTTGTATTTACCTCTGTATTTCTACCTTTTTTAATGCCCGTATTTCTTGGTTTCTTATTCTATTACTATCTCATTTGTTAGTTTCTAATGATATCCTTTAATTCTCACCCATTTTTTTTACCATAACCAAAGAGCTTATACCCCTTTTCTTTCTCCTTTTAACTTTGTCTCCTAATGTTTAGTTGCATTTTTGACTTCTTTTAAAATATATTTAATACATAGTATATAACATATAATTAGGTTGTCTTGCACTCTGATCCTTGCCTTTGTTTTAGACTTAGATCTCTAATTAAAGGTATTGAATGCTCACCATTAGTCTTTTTGCTAAAGTTGCCCCAGTTAACACTTGGTTGGATGCAGCTTACTTTTTGGTAGATTCCTCAAGAAGTGTTCCTGAGTATAGAGTTCCCTGAGTTCATTCATGTCTGTAGTCTTGAATCTTCATGCTTGGATGTAACATCCTTGTCTCATACTTTTTTTCTTGAGTTTTTTGTTTGCTTGCTTGTTTGTTTGTTTAGGAAGCTTACTGTTGCCTTGCTTTCTATGTTGTTGTTGAGACATTTGCCAACATAATTTTTTCCTTTTCACAAAGGGAAAAAAATATAACACAAAGATGTTATATTCAATCACAAAGATTCAAGGCTACAAACATGCGTGAACTGAGGGAAATTCTATACTCAGAAGCACTTCTTGATGAATCTACCAGAAAGTGAGCTTTGCGAACCAAGGGATGCCTGGGGAAACTTTAGCAAAAGGAGTAACGTAAGTTATGCAGTAGTTTTGTTTGGAGGCCTTGAGTATTTTTGTTTTTGGAGTCTTATAATTTTAGTAGAATATGTCTTGGAGTTGATCTTTCTAGGTGTTAAATCACATGCATTCTTAAGTTCTTTATTAAGTCCTCTGGTTTTTCAAGATCCTTTTTAATACTTTTTACAAAAGGATGAACTTTTTCTTCCCGGAGGTTATTTTATTGAGACAAGGTCTCACTCTGTCACCCTAGTTGGAGTAGAGTGGCATGATCCTGGCTCACTGCAACCTTTGCCTCCCAGGCTCAGTGATTCTCCCACCTCAGCCTCCTGAGTAGCTGTGACTACAGGCACATGCCATTTTGCCTGTCTAATTTTTGATATTTTGGGTAGAGACAGGGTGTGATGGTTAATATTGAGTGTTGACTTGATTGAAGGATGCAAGGTATTGTTCTTCAGTATGTCTGTGAGGACATAAGCCAAAGGAGATTAACATTTGAGTCAGTGGACTGGGAGGGACAGACCCACTCTCAGTCCAGGTGGGCACCATCTAATCAGCTGCCAGTGCTGCTAGATTAAAGCAGGCAGAAGAAAGTGGAATGAGCAGACTTGCTGAGTCTTCCAGGCTTCATCTTTCTCCTATGCCGGACGCTTCCTGCCCTCAAACATTAGACTCCAAGTTCTTAAGCTTTTGGATTCTTGGACTTACACCAGTGGTTTGCCAGGGGCTTTTGGGCCTTTGCCACAGACTGAAGGCTACACTGTCAGTTTTTCTGCTTTTAAAGTTTTGGGACTCGACTGGCTTCCTTGCTCCTCAGCTTACAGTTGGCTTATTGTGGGACTTTACCCTGTGATTGTGTGAGTCAGTACTCTTTAACAAACTTTCTTTTATATATACCTCCATCCTATTAGTTCTGTTCCTCTAGAGGACCCTGACAAATTCACAGGGTTTCACCATTTTGGCCAGGCTGCTCTCAAACTCCTGAGCTCAGGTAATCCACCCTCCTCGCATCCCAAAGTGCTGGGATTACAGGCATGAGCCACTGCCCTCTGCCCTGATGGTAATTTTAGATCAATCTTAAGCCTGCTGCTAGCTCCTTCTCTCTTCTGGGAATTTTCTCAGTTTTTCTTGGAATGTCCTTGTTTTTCATGAATGATTGTGACAAGAGCCAGTAGGATAGCTTACTGAGATTTGTGTTTGTTTGTTTGTTTATTTGTTTATTTATTTATTTATTTTGAGACAGGGTCTCACTGTGTTGCCCAGGCTAGAGTGCAGTGGTGTGATCTTGGCTCATTGCAACTTCCTCCTCCCGGGTTCAAGCATTTCTCCTGCCTCAGCCTCCCAAGTAACTGAGATTACAGGTGCACACCACCACATCCAGCTTATTTTTTAGTAGAGACGAGGTTTCACCATGTTGGCCAGGCTGGTCTTGAACTCTTGACCTCAAGTGATCTATCTGCCTTGGCCTCCCAAAGTGCTGGGATTATAGGTGTAAGTCACCATGCCCAGCCTTTTTTTCTATTTGCAGATAATTTGAAGTTTATTTTCCAATTATGTTGAGGGCATGAGTTTTATTTGTTCTTTTTGGTTTTGTGTATGTATGTATAATTTATTTTTTTAAGGATATTGTGTTACGACACTCCAATTTATTTGGCCGTCATTACCTAGGCTTGCTGTTATTTTGAAGTCTCAAGTGAGCGAAAGAAAGGATTTAAGAATGATTCTAAGGATTTTTACCTAAGTAATTGGAAGGATAGAATTGTATCAGCTGAAATGGGGAAGGCTGCAGGAGCAACTAGATATAAAGGTAAGATCAGATATTCAGTCTCGGGTTGTGTTTAAGATTTCTGTTTGATATCTAAACAGAGAGATTCAGAAGGTCAGTTGGATAAATGAGCCTGGAATTTAGGAGAGACATCTGATTTGGAAGGAAAATTTGTGAGTTATTAACAATAGATGGTATTTAAAAGCATGGAACTAGATGAGATCTCCTACAGTCAGTATAGACAACAGAACCAGACCAAACACAGAACACTGGTGTCTTCTGCATTAATTGGTTTGGGATATGAGAAGGAATCAGCAAGGGGTGACTGATCAGCTGCTGATTTCTTGGTCAATCAGTAGCTGACTCCTTGGTCAAAAAAGAATGAGCCATAAAGTAGAAGGAAAACTATGAAAGTCAGGTGCCCTGGAAGCCAAATAATTTTTTTTTTAACAAGAAGGGAGGGAGAATGTTACTGATGCTACTGATAGTTCAAGTACGATATGCCGTTAGAATTAAGAATTGGATTTAGCAACATGTAGGTCATTGATAACATTGACAGGAGCAGTTTGTGGAATTAAATTATAATCAGCGTTGCAATACTTTTAAATTAGTCTTGTCAATTTGGTGCCCTTGGCATATGAGCAGGATGAAGATGATCCAAGTAGCTTGGCCTCTGGCCTTCACTTGTTTTAAAAGAACTGCTAATCTTTGTTCTAATTTTGTATACTGGGTTTCCATGTAATATTTTCTTTGGGATTGGTAGTTATAAGGGTCTACTATAAAGTAAATAAATACACTAACAGTTTCAAAAATAATAAAGAACTTTTTAAAGAACACATTACTAGATGTAAATTTTTAAAAAAATTTAATGGGAATTTTTTGTTTTAATACGTCTCTAATTCTAGTATCAAATGAAGTAGACTTTGATTAGAATGTATGTGCTTTTTTTTTTTTCTTAGCTTCTCTTAATGCGTAAGCTTAAAGCTTTTTTAGGCTTTATGTATGCCCTCAGACTCATTCATTTCTTTAAATTTCTCAGACTCTTCTAAGCTAATATTCACATATTATAGTCTTTCTGTCCTCCGCACTTATGTTGATCCTTAACATATAGCTGATATTTTGTCAGTGTTTTTTAAATTGAAGGAAATGGACCCCAAGGGGGTAGACTTTGGCTTACTTTGTCTCATTTCTTTTCTTGCAGTGCTTCTGCTGGCCTGTCTCTTAAGCAGTAGAATAATAAAAAGTAGTTTCTTTGAGGATATAAAAGCCCTTGAGATAGTTTCACTTTAAGCTTAAAAGATTTTCTTGTCATTTTACCTCTAAAATTTGATTTTCATGTTTCTTTTTAGTATGTATTTTCTGAACCCTCCTCTTGTGCATTTTAAATGAACCTATATTTGGTAACTGTTCCCAGCAATGCCTTTTTCTTTTTCATAAGGAACCTGATACGTTATTCTATGCCTATGTGGTATTTAGGGAGGCAGATGGTATAATAGAAGGAGAAATGAGCAGTACATCAAAACCAGGGCCAGCTTCTGCCACTTGCATTCATCTTTTTAGTAAATAATTATTGAATATCTATCTTCTGTGTGCTAGGTATTTACTAGAAGTTTGTGCTTGTGTTTTAATTAATAGACTTTATTTTCTTAGAAATGCCATTTTCACAAATTACTTTCTCTTAGATACTAAGATCTAGTCTGTAATAAAGTATTAAGTACTAAATGAGCAATATTAAAAATTAATATAATATTAAAATATAGGTGTTATAAAAATTGAAAACACTGGTGGAGTGTGGTGGCTCACAGCTATAATCCCAACACTTTGGGAAGCCGAGCCAAGAGGATTACTTGAGGCCAGGAGATTGAGACCAGTCTGGAAAACAGAGTGAGACCCCATCTCTACAAAAAATACAAAACATTAGCTGGGCAGAGTGGCATACATCTGCAGTCCTGGCTACTCTGGAGGCTGGGGTGTTGGGATTGTTTGAGCCCAGGAGTTCGAGATTACAATGAGCTATGATTGTGCCATTGCAGTCCAGCCTGGGTTATGGAGCTGTCTCCAAAAAAAAAGAAAAAATTGAAACAAACGACTTTTCCTTGGTTGTTGGAGATTGGTATATATTGTCATGGAAGATCAAAAGTAAAATTATGAGCAGAGAGGAGGCAGAGCAAAATGGCTGAATAGAAGCCACCAGGCCAGGTGTGGTGGCTCACACCAGTAATCAGCACTTTGGAAGGCCGAGGTGAGCAGATCACCTGAGGCCAGGAGTTAAAAGATCAGACTGGTCAATATGGTGAAACCCCGTTTCTACTAAAAATACAAAAATTAGCCAGGCATGGTGGCACACGCCTGTAATCCCAGCTACTGGGGAGTCAGAGGCAGGAGAATCGCTTGAACCTGGGAGGTGGAGGTTGCAGTGAGCCAAGATCGTGACACTGCACTCCAGTCTGGGCTACAGAACAAGACTCTGTCTCAAAAAAAAAAAAAAAAGAAAAGAAGCCACCAGCAGTCATCCAGTCACCTCCTTCTGGGAACACCAGATTGAACAACTATGCACATGAAAAAGCACCTTTATGAGAACCAGAAGCAGAGATGAGTGATCATAGTACCTAGTTTTAAAATCATAATAAGGAAAGAGGTACTGAAGAGAGTAGGAAAGACTCGTCCCCCATTCCCTGGTAGCAGCTGTGGGCCACTGAGATCATATCTGTGTGCTTGGGGAAGGGAGAGTGCCGGGATTATCAGACATTGCGTTAGAACTCAGTGCCCTGTCACAGTGGAATGCAACACAGGGTGGAACTCAGCTGGTGCCCATTGAGGGAGCATTAAGACCAGCCCTAGTCAGAAGTGAATCGTCTATCTCAGCAGTGGGAACCTGAGTTGTGGCAAGCCTTGATACTGCGGGTTAAAGTCCTCTGGGGTCCTTGATAAACTTGACAGACAGTTGTATTAGTCTGTTCTCACACTGCTATAAAGAAATACCTGAGACTGGGTAATTTATGGAGAAAAGAGGTTTAACTGGCTCACGGTTCTGCAGGCTGTACAGGAAGCATAGTGGCTTCTACTTCTGGGGAGGCCTCAGGAAACTTACAACCATGGCGGAAGGCAAATGGGAAACAGAAACATCTTACATGTCCAGAGCAGGAGCAAGCAGTTGGGGGAGGTGCCATACACTTGTAAACAAGCAAATCTCATGAGAACTCACTATTGCGATGATAGCACCAAGGGGGATGGCGTTAAACCATGAGAAACTGCTTCCATTATGTAACCACCTTCCACCAGGTCCCATCTCCAACATTGGGGATTACAATTCAACATCATATTTGAGTGAGGACACAGACCCAAATCATATCAGCAGTCTAGGACACAAGGACTACAATTCCTGGCCTAGTTTTGGTGCTGTACTATGCTGGGCTCGGAGATGGTGGACTTGCGGTGCCTATGACCTAGTGAGACACCAGCTGGGATGCCCAAGTGAGTGCCTGTGTCACCCCTCCTTTAACCCTAGGGAGTGCAGCTCGCAATTCTAAGAAAACCTCTTTCTCCCTGCTTGAAGAAAGGAGAAGGGAGCGTAAACACGACTTTGTTCTTCCAACTTGGATACCAACTCAGCCACAGTAGATAGAGGACCAGGCAGAGTTCTGAGACCTCCATTTCAGGTTTTAGCTCCTGGATGACATTTCTAGACACATCCTAGGCCAGAAGGAAATCCAGTTTTGAAGGGAAATACCTGGTCCCTGCAGGATTTATTACTTGCTGACAAAAGTGCCTTGGGCCCTGAATAATCAGCAGTAGTAGCTAAGCAGTACTCACTGCTGGCTTCAGATAAGATTCAGAGCTATTCTGGCTTCAGGTGTGACCCAGCACATTCCAGCTGTGGTGGCTACGGGTAATGACTTTTTCTACTTGAAAGGAGAGAGGAGACTAAGGGGATTTTGTTTTGCAGCTTGTGTAACAGCTCAGCCACAGCAGGGTAGAGCACTAAGTGGGCTCATGGGGCCCCCACTTTTAGGCCCTGGCTCCTGGGTGGCATTTCTGGATCTGCCCTGGGCCAGAGGGAAGCCCAGCATCCTAAAAGGAGAGAGACTCAGGACTGGCAGTATTCAGCATAAGCTGGCCGAAAAGCCCTTGGGCCTTGAGTGAACAATGGTGGTAGCCAGACCATACTCCCTTCAGGGTTCGGGCAGTGGTGGCCATAGGGTGAGACTTCTCTACTTGAGGAAAAGGGAGAGAAGACTGGGAAGAACTTTGTCTTGTGGCTCAGGTGCCGGCTCAGCCACAGTGGAATAGAGCAGCAGGTAGATTCCTAAGGTCCCTAATTCCCAACCCTGGCTCCTGAATGGCATCTCTGGACCTGCCCAAGGCCAGGAGCAACTTGCTCCCCTGAAGCAAACAGGACATAAGCCTGGCTGGATTTGTCACCTGCTGATTGTAGAGCCCTTGGACTTGAGAGAACATAGATGGGGTAGCCAGGCATTGGTCACTGTAGTCCTTAGTGAGACCTCGTGTGTGCTGGCTTTCAATCTAATCCAAAGCAATACAACTAGTGGTGACCACAGGGATGCTTGTTTTACCTCTCCCCCAGCTCCAGGCAGCTCTGCACACAGAGACTCTGTTAAGGGAAGAGGACGAAAATGTCTGCCAGGGAATCCAGGGAATTCTGCATATTACCCAAGACCACCAACGTGTACCTCAATAAGCCAGCAAGCACTACAGCATTACTGGGCTTGGGGTACTTCCTAATGCAGATATTACCGCAATGACCAAAGACCAAAGATCATAACACCCTTTGAATACTTGGAAAGCCTTCCCAAGAATGATGAGTACAAACAAGTCTAGACTGTGAAGACTACAATAAATGCTTAATTCTTCAATGCCCAGGCAGCAGCGAATATCCATAAGCATGAAAACCATCCAGGAATACATGATCTCACCAAACAAACTAAATAAAGCACCAGTGACCAGTACTGGAGAGGCAGAGATATGTAACCTTTCAGAGAATTCAAAATAACTGTATTGAGAAAACCCAAAGACATGATGTAATCCTATTCCTATTCCAGAGAAGGAATTCAGTATTCTATGAGATAATTTTAACAAAGAAATACAAATAATTAAAAAGATCAAGCAGGGCAGGTGCAGTAGCTCATGCCTATAATCCCAGCACTTTGGGAGGCTAAGACAGGTGGATTGCTTGAGGTCAGAAGTTCGAGACCATCCTGGGCAACATGGTAAAACCCTGTCTCTACTAAAAATACAAAAAATTAGCTGGGTGCAGTGGCACATGCCCATAGTCCCAGCTACTCAGAAGGCTGAGGTGGGTGGATCACTTGAGTCTGGGAGACAGATGTTGCAGTGAGCTGAGATTGCACCACTGCACTCAAAATATTTTTTGAAAAGCAGAAATTCTGGAGTTGACAAATGCAGTTGACACACTGAACAATGCATCAGAGTCTATTAACAGCAAAAATGATCAAGCAGAAGAATTAGTGAGCTTGAAGATGGGCTATTTAAAAATATACGGTCAAAGGAGACAAAAGAAATGAGAATAAAGAAGAATGAAGTATGTTTACAAGATCTAGAATGTAGCCTCATAAGGGCAAATCTGAGACTCTGAACTCAAAAAGGAGATAAAGAGAGAGATGGGGTAGAAAGTTTATTCAAAGAGGTAATAGAGAACTTCCCAAAGCTTAGAGAAAGTTATCAGTATTTAAGTACAATAAGGTTATACAACAACTAAGCAGGTTTAACCCAAATAAGACTACCTGAAGACATTTAATAATCAAACTCCCAAAGGTCAAGGATAAAGAAAGGATCCTAAAAGCAGCAAGAGAAAAGAAACAAATAACATACAATGGAGCTCAATACATCTGGCAGCCAACTTTTCAGTAAAAACCTTACAGGTCAGGAGACAGTGGCATGACATATTTAACATGCTGAAAGAAAAAATACATATATTAGAATAGTATATCTGGCAAAAATGTCCTTCAAACATAAAGGAGAAATACTTTCCCAGGCAAAATACCTGAGGGACTTCATTGATCTCAGACCTGTTGTATGAAAAATGCTAAAGGGAGTTTTTAAGTGTGAAAGAAAAGGACATTAATGAACAATAAGAAATCATCTGAAGATACAGAACTTACTGGTAATAATATGTACACAGGAAAACAAAGAATACTGTCACACTGAAGTTATGGTGTGTAAACTACTTATATCTTAAGTAGAAAGACAAAAAGATGAACTGATCAAGAATAATAACTAAAACAATTTTTTAAGACATAGTACAATAAGATATAAATAGAAACAACACAAAGTTAAAAAGTGGGGAGACAGTGTAAAGTTTTTATTAGCAGAGCTATATTAACCAAAACAGCATCATAGTGGCATAAAAATAGACACACAGACCAATGAACACAATAGAGAATCCAGAAGTAAATCTGTACATCCACAGTGAACTCATTTTCAGCAGAGATGCCAAGAACATACAGTGAGGAAAAGACAGTCTCTTTAATAAATGGTGCTGGGAAAACTGGATATCCATATGTAGAAAAATGAAACTGGACCCGTCTCTCACCATATACAAAAATGAAATAAAAATAGACTGAAGACTTAAATATAAGAATTCAGACTGTAAGTACTAAAGGACATCTTTGGAGAAACACTTCAGTACTTTGAACTGGGCAAAAATTTCCCCACAAGCACAAACAGCCAAAGCAAAAATGGACAAATAGGATTACATCATGTTGAAAAGCTTGTGTGTGACAACAAAAGAAGGCACACAAACAGCAAAGAAGTAAATGAAAAGGTACTCACGATCACTGATTATATTAGTCTGTTCTCATGCTGCTGATAAAGACATACCTGAGACAGGGCAATTTTCAAAAGAAAGAGGTTTAATGGACTTAACAGTTCCACATGGCTGCAGAGGCCTCACAATCATGGTGGAAGGCAAGGAGGAGCAAGTCATATCTTACATGGATGGCAGCAGGCAAAAAAGAGAGAGCTTGTGCAGGGAAACTCCCGTTTTTATTTTTTAATTTTTTAAATTTTTTGTTATACTTTAAGTTTTAGGGTACATGTACACAACGTACAGGTTTGTTACATATGTATATATGTGCCATGTTGGTGTGCTGCACCCATTAACTCATCATTTAACATTAGGTATATCTCCTAATGCTATCCCTCCCCCCTCCCCCCACCCCACATCAGGCCCTGGTGTGTGATGTTCCCCTTCCTGTGTCCATGTGTTCTCATTGTTCAGTTCCCACCTATGAGTGGGAACATGCGGTGTTTGGTCTTTTGTCCTTGCGATAGTTTACTGAGAATGATGGTTTCCAGCTTCGTCCATGTCCCTACAAAGGACATGAACTCATCAATTTTTATGGCTGCATAGTATTCCATGGTGTATATGTGCCACATTTTCTTAATCCAGTCTATCATTGTTGGACATTTGGGTTGGTCCCAAGTCTTTGCTATTGTGAATAGTGCCGCAATAAACATACGTGTGCATGTGTCTTTAGAGAAGCATGATTCGTAAACCTTTGGGTATATACCCAGTAATGGGATGGCTGGGTCAAATGGTATTTCTAGTTCTAGATTCCTGAGGAATCGCCACACTGACTTCCACAATGGTTGAACTAGTTTACGGTCCCACCAACAGTGTAAAAGTGTTCCTATTTCTCCACATCCTCTCCAACACCTGTTGTTTCCTGATTTTTTAATGATTGCCATTCTAACTGGTGTGAGATGGTATCTCATTGTGGTTTTGATTTGCATTTCTCTGATGGCCAGTGATGATGAGCATTTTTTCATGTGTCTTTTGGCTGCATAAATGTCTTCTCTTGAGAAGTGTCTGTTCATATCCTTTGCCCACTTGTTGATGGGGTTGTTTGTTTTTTTCTTGTAAATTTGTTTGAGTTCATTGTAGATTGTGGATATTAGCCCTTTGTCAGATGAGTGGGTTGCAAAAATTTTCTCCCATTCAGTAGGTTGCCTGTTGACTCTGATGGTAGTTTCTTTTGCTGTGCAGAAGCTCTTTAGTTTAATTAGATCCCATTTGTCAATTTTGGCTTTTGTTGCCATTGCTTTTGGTGTTTTAGACATGAAGTCCTTGCCCATGCCTATGTCCTGAATGGTATTGCCTAGGTTTTCTTCTGGGGTTTTTATGGTTTTAGGTCTAACATTTAAGTCTTTAATCCATCTTGAATTAATTTTTGTATAAGGTGTAAGGAAGGGATCCAGTTTCAGCTTTCTACGTATGGCTAGCCAGTTTTCCCAGCACCATTTATTAAATAGGGAATCCTTTCCCCATTTCTTGTTTTTGTCAGGTTTGTCAAAGATCAGATAGTTGTAGATATGCGGCATTATTTCTGAGGGCTCTGTTCTGTTCCATTGGTCTATATCTCTGTTTTGGTACCAGTACCATGCTGTTTTGGTTACTGTAGCCTTGTAGTATAGTTTGAAGTCAGGTAGCATGATGCCTCCAGCTTTGTTCTTTTGGCTTAGGATTGTCTTGGCAATGTGGCTCTTTTTTGGTTCCATATGAACTTTAAAGTAGTTTTTTCCAATTCTGTAAAGAAAGTCATTGGTAGCTTGATGGGGATGGCATTGAATCTATAAATTACCTTGGGCAGTATGGCCATTTTCACGATACTGATTCTTCCTACCCATGAGCATGGAATGTTCTTCCATTTGTTTGTATCCTCTTTTATTTCATTGAGCAGTGGTTTGTAGTTCTCCTTGAAGAGGTCCTTCACGTCCCTTTGTAAGTTGGATTCCTAGGTATTTTATTCTCTTTTAAGCAATTGTGAATGGGAGTTCATTCATGATTTGGCTGTTTGTCTGTTATTGGTGTATAAGAATGCCTGTGATTTTTGCCCATTGATTTTGTATCCTGAGACTTTGCTGAAGTTGCCTATCAGCTTAAGGAGATTTTGAGCTGAGACGATGGGGTTTTCTAGATATACAATCATGTCATCTGCAAACAGGGACAATTTGACTTCCTCTTTTCCTAATTGAATGCCCTTTATTTCCTTCTCCTGCCTGATTGCCCTGGCCAGAACTTCCAACACTATGTTGAATAGGAGTGGTGAGAGAGGGCATCCCTGTCTTGTGCCAGTTTTCAAAGGGAATGTTTCCAGTTTTTGTCCATTCAGTATGATATTGGCTGTGGGTGTGTCATAGATAGCTCTTATTATTTTGAGATACGTCCCATCAATACCTAATTTATTGAGAGTTTTTAGCATGAAGGTTGTTGAATGTTGTCAAAGGCCTTTTCTGCATCTATTGAGATAATGTGGTTTTTGTTGTTGGTTCTGTTTATATGCTGGATTACGTGTATTGTTTTTTGTATGTTGAACCAGCCTTGCATCCCAGGGATGAAGCCCACTTGATCATGGTGGATAAGCTTTTTGATGTGCTGCTGGATTCGGTTTGCCAGTATTTTATTGAGGTTTTTTGCATCGATGTTCATCAGGGATGTTGGTGTAAAATTCTCTTTTTTTGTTGTGTCTCTGCCAGGCTTTGTTATCAGGATGATGCTGGCCTCATCAAATGAGTTAGGGAGGATTCCCTCATTTTCTATTGATTGGAATAGTTTCAGAGGAAATGGTACCAGCTCCTCCTTGTACCTCTGGTAGAATTCGGCTGTGAATTCGTCTGGTCCTGGACTGTTTTTGGTTGGTAAGCTGTTAATTATTGCCTCAATTTCAGAGCCTGTTATTGGTCTATTCAGAGATTCAGCTTCTTCATCGTTTAGTCTTGGAAGGATGTATGTGTCAAGGAATTTATCCATTTCTTGTAGATTTTCTAGTTTATTTTCGTAGAGGTGTTTATAGTATTCTATGATGGTAGTTTGTATTTCTGTGGGATTGGTGGTGATATCCCCTTTATCATTTTTTGTTGTGTCTGTTTTATTCTTCTTTGTTTTCTTCTTTGTTAGTCTTGCTAGTGGTCTATCAATTTTGTTGATCTTTTCAGAAAACCAACTCCTGGATTCATTGATTTTTTGAAGGCTTTTTTGTGTCTCTATCTCCTTCAGTTCTGCTCTGATCTTAGTTATTTCTTACCTTCTGCTAGCTTTTGAATGTGTTTGCTCTTGCTTCTCTAGTTCTTTTAATTGTGATGTTAGGGTGTCAATTTTAGATCTTTCTTGCTTTCTCTTGTGGGCATCTAGTGCTATAAATTTCCGTCTACACACTGCTTTAAATGTGTCCTGGAGATTCTGGTATGTTGTGTCTTTGTTCTCTTTGGTTTGAAAGAACATTTTTATTTCTGCCTTCATTTCGTTATGTACCCAGTAGTCATTCAGGAGCAGGTTGTTCAGTTTCCATGTAGTTGAGTGGTTTTGAATGAGTTTCTTAATCCTGGAAACTCCCATTTTTAAAACCATCAGATCTCAGGAGACTCATTCACTATCATGAGATCGGCTCAGGAAGGACCCGCCCCTATAATTCAATCACCTCCCCACTGGGTTCCTCCCACCACATGTGGGAATTGTGGTAGTTACAATTCAAGATGAGATTTGGGTGGGGACACAGCCAAACAGTATCACTGATTATGAGAAACATTAAAATCAGAACTACAAGGAGATATCTCATTCCAGCTAAATGGCTTGTGTCCAAAAGACAGGCAACAACACACTGGTGAGGATGTGAAGAAAAGGGACCCCATGTACCATGCTGATGGGATTGTAAAGTAGTATAATCACTATGGAGGATGGTTTGGAGGTTCTTCAAAAAACTAAAAATAGGGCTACCATGTGCTCCAGCAATATTACTGCTATGTGTATACCCAAAAGGAAGGAAATCAGTATATCAAAGAGATGTCTACACTCTTGTGTTCATTGTAGCACTATTCACAATAGCTAAGATTTGGAAGCAAGCTAAGTGTCCATCAAGAGATGACTGGATAAAATGTGGTACATTGTACAATAAAAATGGAATTTAATTTGGAGAAAATCAGTCAAAACTATACAGTTATATGGCAATTAAACATGCTCCTGAATGACTTCTTAGTAAATAATGAAATTAAGGCAGAAAACAAGAAGTTATTTGAAACTAATGAGAACAAAGATACAACATACTAGAATCTCTGGGGCACAGATATGGCAGCATTAAGAGGGAAATTTCTGGCACTATACACTCACATCAAAAATTAGAAAGTTCTCAACCTAATGTCACAACTAGAAAAACTAGACAGGTAAGGGCAAACCAACCTCAAAGCTAGCAGAAGACAAAAAAAATAACCAAAGTCAGAGCTGAACTGAAGGAGATTGAAACATGAAAAACTGGCCAGGCATGGTGGCTCATGCCTATAATCCCAGCGCTTTGGGAGGCTGAGGTGGGCAGATCACAGGGTCAGGAGTTTAAGACCAGCCTGGCCAACATAGTGAAACCCCATCTGTACTAAAAAAATACAAAAAATAAGCCAGGCGTGGTGGCGGGTGCCTGCAATCCCAGCTATTCAGGAGGCTGAGGCAGGAGAATCGCCTGATTCCAGGAGGTGGAGGTTGCAGTGAGCTGAGATTATGCCATTGCACTCTAGCCCGGGCAATAATAGTGTGAGACTCTTTTGTCTCAAAAAAAAAAAAAAAAAAGAAACATGGAAAACCATACAAGGACCAATGAATCCAGGAGATAGTTTTTTTGAAAGAATTAATAATATAGACTGTTAAGTACACAAAGAAGAAAAGAGAGAAGATCCAAATAAACAAAATTAGAATTGAGAAAGAGAATGTTACCGCTGACCCCACAGAAATACAGATAACCATCAGAGACTACTATGAGTACCTCTATATATACAAACTAGAAACTCCAGAAGAAATGGCTAAATTCCTGGACACATACATTCTCCCAAGACTGAGCCAGGAAGAAATTGAATCCCTGAACAGACCGATAATGAGCTCTAAAACTGAATCAGTAATAAATAGCCTACCAATCCCCCATAAAAGCCCAGGATGAGAAAGATTCTTGGCTGAATTCCACCAGATGTATAAAGAAGAGCTGGTACCATTCCTACTGAAGATATTCCAAAAAATTGAGAAGGGATTTCTTCCCAACTCATTCTATGAAACCAGTGTTATTCTGATACCAAAATTGGCAGAGATACAACAACAACAATAGCAATAAGAGTTCAGGCCAATATCTTTCATGAACATAAATGCAAAAATCCTCAGCAAAATACTAGCAAATCCAATCCAGCAGCATATCAAAATGGTAATCCACCATGATCAAGTAGGCTCTATCCCTGGGATGCAAAGTTGGCTCAAAATACACAAATCAATAAATGTGATTCATTACATAATAGAACTAAAGACAAAAACCATGTGATTATCTCAATAGATGCAGAAAAAGCTTTTGATAAAAATTGAACATCCTTTCATGTTAAAAACTCAATAAATTAGGCATTGAAGGAATGCAAATAATAAGAGCCAACTATGACAAACCCTCAGCCAACATCATACTGAATGGGCAAAGCTGGAAGCATTCTTCTTGAAAACTGGCAAAAGACCAGAATGCCCTCTCCTACCACTCCTATTAAACATAATACTGGAAGTTCCAGCCAGGGCAATCAGGCAAGAAAAAGAAATAAAAGGCACCCAAATAGGCAAAGAGGAAGTCAGACTATCCGTTTGCAGAAAACATGGTTCTATATTTAGAAAACCCCATACTCCTGGCCAAAAAGCAGCTTAAGCAACTTGAGCTGATAAACAACTTTAGCAAAGTTTCAGGATACAAAATCAATGTACAAAAATTAGTAGCATTTCTTTACACCAACATGCAAGTGAAGAGCCGTATCAGGAATGCAATCCCATTCACAATTGCCAGAAAAAGAATAAAATACCTAGGAGTACAGCTAACTAGGGAGGTAAAAGATCTCTACAATGAGAATTACAAACACTGCTCAAAGAAATTAGAGATGATACAAAGAAATGAGAAAACATTTCGTGTTCACTGATAGGAAGAACCCAATATTTTTTAAAATGGCCATACTCCTCAACACAATTTGCGATTCAGTGTGATTCTAATCAAACTACCAATAGCATTATTCACAGAACTAGAAAAAAACTTTTAAAATTCATATGGAACCAAAAAAGAGCTCAAGTTGCCAAAGCAATCCTAAGCTTAAAGAACAAACCTGGAGGCATAATGTTACCCGACTTCAAACTACACCCACAGGGCTGTAGTAACCAAAACAGTATGGTACTGGTACAAAAACAGGCACATAAACCAATGGAACAGAATAGAGAGCCCAGAAATAATGCCACACACCTACAACCATCTGATCTTTGACACAGCTGGCAAAAACAAGCAATGGGGAAAGGACTCCCTATTCTACAAATGATGCTGGGATAACTGGCTAGGTATATGTGGAAGACTGAAACTGGACCCCTTTCTTACATCATATATAAAAGCCAACTCAAGAATATAACGCTGTAAATGCAAAATCTAAAACTATAATACCCTGGAAGATGACCTAGGCAATACCATTCTGGACATAGGAACTGGCAAATATTTTATGACAAAGACACCAAAAGCAATTTCAACCAAAGCAAAAATTGAGAAATGGGATCTAATTAAACTAAAGAGCTTCTGCACAGCAAGAGAAACTATCAACAGAGTAAACAGACAATCTACAAAATATGAGAAAATATTTGCAAACTGTGCTTCTGACAAAGGTCTACTATCCAGAATCTGTAAGGAAAATTAAAATTAAACAAATTTTATAAGCAAAACCCAAACACATGAACAGATGTTTTTCAAAAGAAGACATACATGCAGCCAACAAGCATATGAAAAAATGCTGTACGTCAGTAATAATTAGAGAAATGCAAATCAGAACCACAGCGTGATATCTTATATTAGTCAGAATGGCTATTATTTTAAAAATCAAAAAATTACAGATGCTGGAGGGGTTATAGAGAAGAGGGAACACCTATACACTGCTGGTAGGAGTGTAAATTAGTTCACCCATTGTGGAAATCAGTGTGGCAATTCCTCAAAGAACTTAGAACTACTTTTAAACCCAGCCATCACATTATTGGGTATATACACCAAGGAATATAAATCGTTCTACCATAAAACATATGCACATGTATGTTCATTGCAGCACTATTCACAATAGCAAAGACATGGAGTCAAGCACCCATGAATGGCAGACTGGGTAAAGAAAATGGAGTGTATATACACCATGAAATATTATGCAGTCATAAAAAACAAGATCATGTCCTTTTCAGCAACATGGATGGAACTGAAGACCATTATTCTTAGCAAACTAGCACAGGAACAGAAAACCAAATACTGCATGTGTTCTCTCTTATGAGTGGGAGCTAAGTAACAACGCACGTGGACACAACAAAGGGAACAACAGACACTGGGACAAACTTGAGGTCAGAGGGTGGGAGGAGGAACAGGATCAGAAAAAATACCTATCGGGTACTATGCTTAATATCTGGGTGACAAAATAATCTGTACACCAAACCCCCATGAGCTGAGTTTACCTGTATTCCAAACGTGTATATGCATTCCTGAACCTAAAGTGAAAGTTAAAAGAGAAATTTTTTTAAAAAAGAAAATGTGGTACATATATAAAATGGAGTACTATTAAGCCATAAAAAAGAATGAGATCCTGTCATTTGCAACAACGTAGATGGAACTAGAGGACATTTATTAAGTGAAATAAGCCAGGCACAGAAAGACAAACTTCATATATTCTCACTTATTTGTGGGAGCTAAAAATTAAACAATTGAACTCATGAAGATAGAGAGTAGAGTGATGGTTACCAGAGGTTAGGAAGGGTTCCGGGGAGGAGTGGAGTTGTTAATGGTTGCAAAAATATACAGAATGACTAGGACCTAGTATTTGATAGCAAAATAGCATGACTACAGTCAACTATAATTTATTGTACTTTTCACAATAACTAAAAGAGTATAACTGGATTGTTTATAACACAAAGGATAAATGGTCAGGTGATGGATATCCTATTTATTGTGATGTGATTGTTACATATTATATGCCTGTATCAAAATATGTACCCCATAAATATATACACTTACTATGTACCCCTAAAATTAAAAATTAAAAAGTGAAATTATGAGCAATTCATAAGGTATTAAATGTAGAAGTAGAATATATAAATGTTATGTACATTTTTAAATTATTTTATGTATTTATTAAAATAGCATTTAGCTATGTTGCCCAGGCTGGTCTTGAATTACTTGGCTCAAGTAATCCTCCTGCCTTTATCTTTAATGTTTTCACATGAGAGGATTGACTTTGTACTTGTAGTTTTCTATATAGCAAATTTTTACAAAAAGTCTAAGCATAATTTGTATTAAAAAGTATTTCTAATTTAAATATGTTTTAACTCCAATTTTATTTCAGAAATCACGTAACCACCTTGAAGATGAAAGATAAATCATTATCATTAAAATTTTTAATTTTGTGTATTTCTAGGTGTGTGTGTGTAACTTTAAGACGCTATTATTTCCTCCCAGATATGGATTGTCAATGCAGAGCCTTTTGGATCTGTCCTTTTCTTCATTTATGGATGAGGCAGCTGAGATTTGGAGAGTTTGTGACTAGCCCAAAGCTCCTACGAACTCAGGCTGTATTTTCCTGGTATAGTTGAACAAAAAATTTTCAAAGTGATTTTTTTACTATGCTACTTTTTATTAGTGCATACCACAAAATAGACCAATTAACACTTTTGAACTAATTGAAAATTTTCTTAATGCCATTAATATGTGTTGCAGTCTGATGCATTTATAAAGTTTCACCTGTTTTTCTTTTATTTATTTATTTTAAATTAAAAAAATGTTTTTAAAAATGTTTGTGGGTACATAGTAGGTGTATATATTTATGGGGTACATGAGATTATGTATACAGGCATGCAATGTGAAATAAGCACATCATGGAGAATGGGGTATCCATTTTCTTATACATTTATACTTTGAGTCACAATCAATCAATTACATTCTTTAAGTTATTTAAAAATTATTATTGACTATAGTTGCCCTGTTGTCCTGTCAATAGTAGGTCTTATTTATTCTTTTTAACTCTTTTTTGTACCTATTAACTATCCCTACTTACCCTACTACCCTTCCCAGCCTCTGGTAACTATCCTTCTACTGTCTAGCTCCATGAGTTCAATTGTTTTGATTTTGAGATCCCACAAATAAGTGAGAATATGTGATATTTGTTTTTCTGTGTCTGGCTTATTTCACTTAACATAGCAATCTCCAGTTCCATTCATGTTGTTGCAAATGACAGTATCACCTTTTTTTATGGCTGAATGTATCCATTGTGTATATGTACCACCTTTTTTTATTCATTCATCTGTTAATGTACATTTAGGTGACTTCCAAATCTTGGCTATTGTAAATAATGCTGCAATAAACATGGCAGATATCTGTTCGATACACTGGTTTCATTTCTTTGGGGTATGTACCTAGGGGAGGGATTGCCAGGTCGTATGGTGGCTCAATTTTTAGTTTTTTTGAGGAATCTCCAGACTGTTCTCCATAGTGGTTCTGCTAATTCACATTCCCACCAACAGTATACAAGGGTTCATTCTTCTCCACATCCTTGCCAGCGTTTGTTATTGCCTGTCTTGGATATAAGCCATTTTAACTGGGGTGACATGATGTCTTATTGTAGTTTTGATTTAGATTTCTTTAATGATCAGTGATGTTGAGCACTCTTTCATATGCCTATTTACCATTTGTATGTCTTCTTTTGAGAAATGTCTATTCAAATCTTTGCCCATTTTTTGATCTAATTATTGGATTTTCCCCTGTAGAGCTGTTTGAGCTCTTCATATATACTCTGGTTATTAATCCCTTGTCAGATGGGTAGTTGGCAAATATTTTCTCTTACTCTGTGGGTTGTCTCTTCTCTTTGTTGAGTGTATCCTTTGCTGTGCAGAAGCATTTTGACACTTGACGTGATCCCATTTGTCCATTTTTGCTTTGGATGTCTGTGCTTGTGGGGTATTACTCAAGAAATCTTTGCCCAGTCCAATGTCCTGGAGAGTTTCCCTACTGTTTTCTTTTAGTATAATAGTTTCATAGCTTGAGGTTTAGATGTAAGTTTTTTTAATCCATTTTGATTTGATTTTTATATATGGTGAGACATTATTATTTTTGATTAATTCATCATTTAGTCTTTCTACTTATTTAATTCATTTATCGTTTTGTCTTTCTACACCACAGTTACAGTGTTATAATATTCTGTGTTTTTCTGTGGACTTACTATATCCAGTGAGTTTTGTACCTTCTGGTGATTATTTATTGCTCATTAATGTCCTTTTTGATAGAAGTATTCCCTTTAGCATTTCTTGTAGGAAGCTCTGGTATTGATGAAACCCCTCAGCTTTTTTTTTGTCTGGGAAATTATTTCTTCTTCATGTTTGAAGGATCTTTTCACTAGATATGCTATTCAAGTTTAAAAATTTTTTCCTTTAGTGCTTTAAATATATCAGGCCACTCTCTCCTGTCCTGTAAGGTTTTCACTGAAAAGTTGGCTGCCAGACATCTTCTTGCAGGATCCTTAAGGTGTCACTTTTCTGGCCAGAAACCTCTTTGGCCTGTGGCACCTTTGCCTGAGTTTTTCTTGGGACTGTTGGTCTCGTTCCACACACTGGACCTGCAGGCCGTGCTTGGCTCAGGCTACTGGTCTGGATCCCATGCCTGCCAAGGGTGAACCAGACATGGAGCGGCAAGAGGTATGTGAGCTAGTGAGTGTGAGGTGCAGCCACTGCACACAGTCAGGCACACCAGCTGCTGCAGCAGGGCGGGCAGCTCCAGGTGCAGCATGGGCACTGGCTCTTTGTGAGGCTGCAGCTAGACCACACTGCAGGCAGCTTCCATAGCTGTCACTGGGGAACGTGGTGTCGCCTAGCAGCTTAGATACTCCAGGAACCTCAGGCCCCAAAGAGGGAGTCACAGCCCTGGCTTGGGGCACTCCCAAGTCTGGGCTCCCTGAAGAGTTGCAGCTCTTCTGTTCACCCACAATGTGGTGAGCATGGGGTTTGTTTCAGCCCTGTTTGTGTTACAGCTGTTTCAGTCCTGCCATTTGGCAGGTCCCAAGTTCTCCTGAGTCCAGGAAGAATGAGGTATGTGGACAAGTGGAGGGTGAGCAAGGTGAAGAGGAGCATCACTGAGTGACAGAAAAGCTCAGATGAGACCCTGGAGTGGGTAGCTCCTCTCTGCAACCTGGTCATCATGTTAAGTGTTTAGCCCTCAGCAGATAGGAGGCCCTGGAGTGGGTAGTTCCTCTCTGCGGGTGGTCATCCCAACATCTGCAGCTGTCAACAGAGAGGAGGCCCTGGAATGGATAGCTCCTCTCTGCAGCTGATCACCCCGATGTCTGTAGCTCTCAGCAGAGAGGAGTTCCTGGAGTGGGTAGTTCCTCTTTGCAGCTTGTTGTCCTGGTGTCTGCTCAGCTCTGGCTGAGCCCAGGGCTTTTATGGGCCTCAGAGGGGAGGAAGTGCCTACCAATTTGTCCATGAGCAGGTCCTGAAAAGGCACCATAAATTCCCTCTCTGGTCTGCAAGACTGGCAGCCTGGCCTCCTGCCTTTAGGCCCTGCCTGACCTGAAGGTGGGGCCTCAGTGGGGACCTGCTCCCTTCTGCCCAGGCTATTCATGCCAAGGGGCGCCTGCAGGCCAGTGCTGAGCTGCCCTCAGTCCCCCACGGCTTCCCTCCCATGCTCATTGGTGCCCAAAATCCAGAGGGGGCTGAGGTGGCGGGGGCTGGCATGTCAGCACTGCCCTGATCATGGCACACACCCAGCTAGGCTATGACAGTGCCTGGACTCAGTCCCAAACTTGCTTCAAGATAGGAGCAGGCACTAGGAGCGGGAGCAGACACTTCTGAGCCTGTTGGGGCAGGAGGAGCCTTCTCAGTCTCCCGAGAGTGCACAGATGCCCGGCTCTGTAACTGTGGCTTGGGTGGCTGTAGCTGCACCTGGCAGGGTGTGGCTCCTGCCTGCTCCAGGAGTGGGAGGCCCGGGTCCACAGCCACAACTCTGTCACTTGGGCAGCTGCAGCTGCACCTGGGGAACTCCCGCTCCACCAACGTGGAAAGAGCAGGGCTCCCACTTTTTCCCAGCTTCTGCAGGGTCTGTGGAGTGTGTAGCCCTGGCCGTGCTTCCCTGCTGTGGACTGGGTGATGGCAGCAACCACTCCAGATGGCCGCTGCTACCATTAATATTGGAGCTCCATTGTTGTTTATTTTCTTTTGCTGCTTTTAGGATCCTTTCTTTATCCCTGACCTTTGCAAGTTTTATTATTAAATGTCTTGAAGTAGTCTTCTTTGGGTTAAATCAGCTTGGTGTTCTATAACCTTCTTGTACTTGGATACTGATACCTTTCTCTAGGTTTGAGTAGTTCTCTGTTGTTATCCCTTTGAATAAACTTTCCACTTTTATCTCTTTCTGCCTCCTCATTAAGGCCAGTAACTCTTAAATTTGCCCTTTTCAGGCTATTTTCTAGATCCTGTAGGCATACTTCATTGTTTTTTATTTTTTTTCTTTTGTCTCCTCTGATTGTGTATTTTCAAGTAGCCTGACTTCAAGCTCACTGATTCTTTCTTCTGCTTGATCAGTTCTGCTGTCAAGGGACTCTGCTGCATTCTTCAGTATGCCCATTGCATTTTTCATCTCCAGAATTTTTATTCTTTTTAATTATTTCACTCTCTTTGTGAACTATATCTGATAGAATTTCTTCTCTGAGTTATCTTGCATTTCTTTGAGTTTCCTCAATACAGCAATTTTGAATTCTTCGTCTGAAAGGTCACGTGTCTCTGTTTCTCCCAAATAGTTACCTAGTGCCTCATTTAGTTCATTTAGTGAGATCATGTTTTCCTGGATGGTGTTGATGCAAATAGATGTTCTTCAGTGTCTGGGCATTGAAAGGTTAGGTATTATAGTCATCACTGTTTAGACTTACTTTAGCTGTCCTTTTTGGGAAGGCTTTCTAGATATTTGAAAGGACTTGGTGTTGTGTTCTAAGCTGTATCTGCTTTAAGGGGCACCCCAAGTTCAGTAACGCTGTGGTTCTTGCAGACTCATAGAGGTACTGCCTTGATGGTCTTGGACATGATCTGGGAGAATTCTCTAGATTACCAGGCAGAGACTCTTGTACTCTTCTCTTTCTCCCAAACATACAGAACCTCTCTGTCTCTCTGTTCTAAGCCATCTAAAGCCAGGGGTGAAGTGCAACAAGCATCCCTATGGCCATGAACACTATGACTACACTATGTCAGACCTGAAGCCAACACAGCACTTGATCTTGCCCAAGGCCTGCTGTAACCACTCCCTGGCTACACTACTGCCTATATGTACTCAAGGCCCTGGGGCTCTTCAATCAGCAGGTGAAAGCCAGCCAAGGCTGTGTCCTTCCCTTCAGAGTGGCAAGGTCCAGAAGTACCGTCTGGGAGTCAGGGAATAGAGTGAAAAACCTTAGAAGTCTCCCTGGGGTTCTTTTGTATTGTGGCTGAGCTGGCACTCAAACCACAAGATTCAGTCCTTCCCAATGTCCCTCCCCATTTCAAAGGCCACCGCCACCCCAGGCCACAAGGAAGTACTACAAGACTACCCCTGATGTTTCTTTTAGGCCCAAGGTCTCTTAAGTCTGCTTTTGTTAAATGCTGCCTGGCCTAGGACTCACCCTTCAGGACAGTGGGCTCCCCTCTGGTCCAGGGTAGGTCTAAAAATGCCATCCAAGAGCCAAGTCATAGAACTGGGGACTCTAAGAACCTGCTTGGTGCTGTACCCCACTGTGGCTGTGCTGGTATCTGAAACCAGCAAGTCTCCAAGGCTGACCCAAGGTCCTCGATGTAGTACCTGGGTGTTTCTGCTGGTTACTCAGGGCTCAAGTGCTCTTCAATTAGCAGATTATGAATGCTGCCAGGATGTGTCATTGTCTTCAAGGCAGGGGGTTTCCTTCTGGACCAGGGTGTATCTAGAAATGTCATCTGGGAGCTAGGCCCTGAAACAGGTGCCTGACAACTCTGACCATTGCGCAGTCTTGCCTTGGGTGAACTGATACCTTAGATGTAAGACAGAGTCCTCCCGACTCTTCCCTCTCCTCTCCTTAAACAGAAGGAAGGGGTCTATTTTGGAGCAGGGAGCTGTGTAGCATGGGGTTAGGAGAGAGGTGATGCCAACACTCCCTTGGCAGCCCCACAGTGGACTGTGCCCTTCCAGTCCACTGTCGCTGAGCCTAGTTCAACACCAGGATTCATCCAAGAGTTGCAATCCTTATGGCCTAGACTGCCTTCAAGCTTACTTGGAGACAAGAGTGCTACAGGCCTTGGTGGTGAGGTTTGCAAGTACTTAAGTTCAAACTGCTGGGATTAGTGATTCCCCTCTGGCTAGGGCTGATTTTGATGTTCCCTCTGTAGGCGGGCTTAGCTCAATTTGGTCTGGCTTTCTGGTTCTAACAGAAAAGCACTGAGTTCTGTGCCTTACAATTGCTGAGGTCAGGGAGGGGTGGCACTGGCAATTCAGGACTGATTTTTTGTCTCTTCAGTGCCTCTTTCCGGGATATGAAGTTCAAACCAAGTACTATGAAAGCTCACCTGATTTTTGGTTCTCATGAAGGTATCCTTTTCATGTGTGTAGAAGGTTGTTAAATTGCTGTTCTTGTTGGGGGGACAATTGGTGGAGCTTTCTATTTCTCCATCATGCTCTACCCTCTGTCTCACCTGTTTTTCTTCTAAAAACAATCTTCTATTTATCAGAATAATATCAAGCTCTATAGCTAGTTCACCAAACTGAAAACAGATGGTTTTTATAATAGAGGCATTGATGCATATTAACAGCAGTAGCCCAAATAGTGTGTTATAAATGTGGCTTATGTTTATCAACATAAAGGTTTGGTGATTTCATTATAGTTTCTAGTCAGTCCCTTTTGTAACTCATTAAAAAGGTCTGTCTGACCCCATTGTGGAGTATTCTTACAACTGTATATGACTTCACTAAGATGTTTTCATTAGTAAAATAACTGAGACATTGGAAATATTGTAAAAATAATAAGTTAGCTAGAAGAAAGGAAAATGAGTCAAAGCCAATGTGAGAATTTAGTCACCCATATAAGGGATTGTTTAGATCAAACAGGTATGATAAAGATGCTGCTAACGATGGAATTTAAAAACTTTATTGAGCTCTCTTTGTATAACATACCTTTGATTCATAAACTGGAAGGTTAGTCTTGACAACATTTTGATATGACATTAGATTTTAACTAGAAAATAAAAGAATTGAGCATAATTATTCATAACTAATAAAATTATATTTTTCCTTTTTCAAATTAGTTTAAGGACTGCCATTTTACACCCATAAACAAATAAAAGTTTTCAGGATCTGCTTTTCCGTTCTTCACTTCACTGTGCTTGGATTCCCTCCATTGTGCTTGGATTCCCTCCCTCTTATATTCTTTCTTTATATGCTTATGAGAGAACAAAAATTCTAAGTGTGTAAAATAGCTGACTGTAAATGAGGTATTACCATCTTGGGGAAAGGCTTATCATCCTAGATTTTGGTTCATTGGCCACCTTCCAGGCTTCCTACTAAATTATTGGCAGCAAAGCACTAATGTGCCTCCCAGCCAACAAGTGATACCAACCTATGTCTTTTCTTTTAGGGGTAGAAAATAGTCAAAATTTTAAACTCTAGAATTCTCAAACTATAAATCTGGGTCAGGTTTGTAGCCAGCAAAATGAAATTTGTAGGTACTGTTTAAATTGTCTAAAAGCTAACATGTTCAGGAACATTTTGGGCAATGTAAACTTAAATGAATGAATAAATAAACCAACAAATTTAGATCTTTAATTTTAGTAAGGCTAATTGTTATTGGTAACATTTGATAGTGTCCTTTGAGAAACTGATACTGAAGAAACAAAAAAAATTTAATGATTACTTTCTTCTTTCTAGAATGTATTATTATAGATGATTTTAAATGATATTTGGTTTTTGAAAATTATGAAATAAGGTATGTGAAACCTCCAAATAAATTGTTGTAGCAACAAGAAATTAATGCTATTTTGGAACTATAGTAGCTTGATAACCTTTTATAATGTATTTTAAAAAAATTAATATGTGGAGTAGGCTTATAAAATTGTATTTTTTCCCAACATGATGAAAACCTATTTTTATCCCATTAATAGGCATGAATGTTGGAATCAGAGACTTATTTAACAGAAGTCTTTGGCTATTAATGAATAAACTATAAAATGTGATGGGGTTCGAGTCATGTGCTCTCTTCAGAGTGAAAAATGCTATGACTTAACCCTAATCTCTGTGATCATCCTGTTTTTCCTGTAAAAATTCCATTTTTTTTTTCTCCTTCCAACAGTATTCCACAAAGTAGGTGAAACCTTTCTCTGGCTTCCTTCTCAATGTATGACCTAACTGCATAAAAATTTTTATCAATTGTTCATAACTTTTAAATTTATTTTTTGGCTAGCTAACTTGTTGTTAAGGTGAGATTTTTTTCCATATAGGAGACCCATTATATTCAGAGATTTATTTTTTTTAATTTTTGAGAATTTGAGGACACTGTACCAACTTACACTTTTAGTATGCTATGAAGTATGAAGCTACTTCCTATGGTAGAGAAAATGGAATTGGAGGCTTTCAGGGTAAATGTTTTCAATGTAGTAGATTGTGTATATTTCAAATCCTAGAAGACCAATGAAAGTTGAGTGAAAATAATGACACATTACCCCAGATGCATAAGGAGCATAAAAGTTCTCAAATACGTTTTCCACAGAGCAGTCTTCCCACTAGATATTGATTGTTTGATTGTTCCTCAAGTTAAACATTGAATTACCATGGGAACTAGCAATTCCACTCCTAGGTATATACAAAAATTCAAACAGATACTTAAATGCCTGTACACAAATGTTCGTAGCTTCACTATTTACAATAGCCAAAAGGCAAAAAACAACCCAATCATCTATCAATGGATGAATGAGTAAACAAAATATGGTATATACATACAATGGAACATTGTTCAGCCATAAAAAGGATGAAGTACTAATTTATACTTGCTGCCACATGGATGAACCTGTGAACATGTTATCCTAAGTAAAGAAGCCAGACACAAAAGGGGACGTATTGTATGATTCCATTTATATGAAATATCCAGATCAAGTAAATTCACTGATAGAGAAGCAAATTGCCAGGGTTAGGGGAGGGAAGAAAACAGTGTGGCTGCTTAATAGTTATAGGTTTTTCTGTTGGGGTGGTGAGAATGTTTTGGAACTAGATAGAGGGATTAGTTCTGAACATGCTAAATGCCACTGAATTGTACACTTCAAAATGGTAAATTTTATGTTATGTGGATTTTCCCTCAAGTTTTTAAGAAAGAATAACTAGTTACACTAGTTTGTAGGATGAATGCTGTCAATATCAGTGTCTTTACATACAGTATATTTTTGAAAATGTTTGCTATGGAGTCAGAGTACCTTATTCCAGAATTAGAGAAAGTTCTCCAAAAATTAGATCTCTTACTATTTTGCTTTGTTGCATGATTTGGTTTTTGTTGTTTGTGTTTGTTTTTCACTGTTTGCAAATCAGAAAAACTAACAATGTTTAGAATTCCAGATTGAGAGAAATTTTTTTTGGTCTGGAATTTGCATAATGACTTTTGATGGACAAAATAAAAAAGTTTTAGAAGACCATATGATAAAAGAAAAAATTAAACTTGTTATCATTGATTGCTGAGGAGTTTAATAAAATCTTCATAGTGTTTAAGGATCAGTGGTTGACAGACTATGGAATTTGTCAGTATTAAAAATGTACTAATCATCTGCCCAACAAAAAAGATGAACAAGGGAATTAAAAGAGCTTTAGTATTTGGTGCTCTTTTTTGATAGAAAATGAGTAGATTTAGTGTTCATTTGCCACATATGGTTTCATTAATAGCAATTCAGCTTTTCTCTGTCCCATTTCAGGCTTTACACTTAGAGAGGTAAAACCAGCCCCCATCAGATTTACCATGAGATTTCTGTGTGTACTGTTTGTTCAGAGGTTACCTTTCAACACTTTCTAAGCTGTATTATCTGTGTTAAGAAATGCTTTATTTAGAATTAATTTATTTCATGTTTATGGTAAGTAAATGACATGTTAATATTATGTTTGTTAAGAAAGTATACTATATCCAAATAAGGCTGTTAATTATCTATCTCTAACAACAATGAAATTAACTTAGAGTCAGACTTAACCTGAAGTGAAAACACACTGCATTCTTCAGGTTAACCCTTTTGGCTCTCTTTCGGTTCTCATTTAAGAAGACCTGGAACTCCTACCTGCCTTTTGCCCTGTAGATGAGGAATTTTCACCTGGCTCCTTTGTCTATCAGCCACTTTTGTTAGTCTTATGACCAGTGACTGCTGGAGATAGAGCACCTGGTATATGTAGCATGTTTTCTGAAATATTTTGCTTTAGGTTATCAATTAATGAAATCTCCACTCATGTTAGTATAAGACTAATTACAGAATAACATTGAGAGATACTAATAGAGAATGGGTATATGCCTAGAAACCATAGAACAGCTTAAGTTTAAATAAGAGAGAGCATTGGAATGAGGCAGATACACAAAATATGATTTCTGCTCCACTTCTTTCTCTTATTCATCTGTGAATCATTACCATATTATACCATGGCCTTTTTCTAGCAGCACTCTCTTTGGGAGTCCAGCCACCATATGATACTATTCCTGAAGGTTCTATTCTTATTCTCTTTCTTTGGCAGAAACACCCCAGGGAGGGAGCCAACTTGAGTTCCCCTTTCCCAATTACCTTCTAACTATTTCCCCTATCCCACATCCACAGCAATTCCCCTCAAGGCTTTTCTCTGACTAATAAGTCCAGATGGGCCCAACCTCCTTATACTTTTACTTTTAGGTTATATTTGTCTTCTATATCTTTAATGAGCTCTTCACTATTTCACATTTGCCTGTGTTTAAAAATGATTGGGAGAACGCAATGAATAATTTCCCTGTACAACTTTTATTTCTGAAGGGAAAACCATTGTGAAGATTGTGCACCAATGTATATAGACTCATAGTTCATCACGCTTATGTGCTGTCTGCTCTCCATCAGTATTTTTCTTAGGGTTGCCCTGAAAGTATTTTCCCCACCTATGCTATTCTAATAGTCGAGACATACAGAGTTTGTCTTTAAGATACTGAATCCTTATTAAATGTAGTTTGATTAGAAATCATGTCTCGGAAAATATTTTATGACTTTAGATATTTAGTAAAATCTTATTACCTTGTGATGGATAACTTAATAAATAAAAAGTCAGAATTTTTATTATTAAACTATAAAATATTTTTATATTGAAGACATTTGTTCTCTTGCTCCTTTCTCTTTTAGGTACTAACCTCAGGGTTTGGCATCTCAGGCATCATCCACATCCCGTGATCAAACCTTCTTATATGGTCACCTTATATAACACAGCAATGCTGCTGGCCCAATGCCAACAAATACTACACCTTAAAAATGAAACAAAATGATAAATCCTTCTTATTTGACGTGCCCTCTAAAACTAGTATCGTCATATTTCCTTAGCAGCTGGACTAAGGATTTAATGAGTTGAGAAAGAGAGGAAAGGGTTGGTAGGAAAACTGAGTGGCAGTGTAGGGTGGTGCAAGCTGCCTACATGGATCAGCTCCATCAATAAGCAAGAGATGACGATGAGAGCAGTGCAAAAGGACCAACCAGGACAGCATTGTCAGAAAGTATAGGTGGAACTTCAGAGAATCAAAAGGAGCTCAACTCAACTCTTTCCTTAGTTCACAACTCATAGGATTGCTTATTAACTTTAAATCATCAAACAGGTCTCCTTTCAGTTACCTATTCTGTGAGTCCTCTCTAATACTAGCTTAAGATAAGAATTGTAGTTTTACTTTAATGTATCACTTACTTCTCTGTCAGATCAAGCAAGGAGGGTATTCAGCCTTAACTCCTTTAGGATCTTAAGTAGTCATATTTTTTCTTATTCATTCTGATTTAAGATTATGAAAATCCTGAAAACGTGATTTTATATTTCAGAATAGACTACATGTAATTCAATCTGTAAGTTCAAGGACATTGGAATCAATATAATTTATGGTTCTTTCTTCTCCTCAACATGAATAACTTCAAATTCAGTGAAGTGTTCAGCTTTTCTTACCCAAATGGTATACTTATCCGATTCACTTCAATAGTTGCCTATTTTCCCTTTCAGAAATGTCTGTTCTCTCACCAGGAGACTAAAACATTGTGCAGATGTACAGTTGGATACAATGATGCCAATATAATATATGCACTGTTCAATAATTTATTTTGTATCTGGAGTGATGCATCTGTTTCCTTCTTGTGGGAGGGGGTTTGAGCTTCATTTCAATGTCATTTTAGGTACTGGTCCAATTCTTCCATCCAGTTAACCAAAAATGAAAATTTCCATCTGTTCAATTGGCATTCGGAGGAATGTTTTATCTCTGAAGCACATTATGACAACTAAAATTGACAGCATAATCTGTCTGACTTTTTTCTCTTTTATTCCCTCTTCAGATTCTCTTGAGATTTAACAAGAGAGGATTCTTTTTTACAGCTCCTAAGATTATAGGACTTACTCTTTCTTCTGTCTAGTAACTGTAGACCAATAGAACATGAATGGCTGTCCACTATTCACTGCTTTATTATATATTTTTTTCTGTCCATTTGTGACTCTACAGGAAATATACTTGTTAGCATGCTATTAACAGAACAATGCAAACATAGCATTCTCTTTCCATAAATGTCTGCCAGTACTATTTGGCATTCTGTTGAATGCACAGATTCTCTGCAATCAACGTTTGGAAGGTACAGTTACAGGCTGATTTTTATTGATCGTTCCGTACTTTAGAAAACTGGCTAAGAAGGCCTTTGGAATATACTGCTTCTGAAGTTTTTTAACTCTTATAATTCTAAGAATATTGTCTCAAGTTTTGTTGCTGAAATGGCAAAAATGTTTCTTTTTTATTACTATCAATATTCCAATTTAAAATTTAAATAAGGAGAACTCTTTTTATTTATGAGCCAGGTAAAATTTTTCTGGTACGCTGAATAAAACAAGGTACTATCCATCAAATAAAGGGTTATATCCTTGGGGCATCATGATTAGGATAAGATAACTAATTTTTATGGCAGTCCCCTATGTGAAATGTAAATAGCAATACACCAGAACTTCAGATATGTTGAATCCCAGAAAAATATCCTGGATGGCTGGGTTTCTTTGAAAAAAAATCTATACTTTTTTTTTTTTTTTTTTTTTAAGAGACAGGATCTTGCTCTGTCACCCAGGCTGGAGTGCAGTGGCATGATCGTAGCTCACTGCAACCTCAAACTCCTGGTCTCAAGTGATTCTTCCTTCTCCCATTTCAGCCTCCTGAGTAGTTAGGACTACAGGCATGTGCCACCATGCCTGGCTATTTTTTATTTATTTATTTTTTATTAGGAGATTGAGGTCTTACTCTGTTGCCCAGGTTGGTCCTGAAGCTCTGTCCTCAAGTGATCCTTCCACCTTGGCCTCCCAAAGTGCTGAGATTACAAGCACGAGCTACTGTGCCCAGCCCTAAAATCTGTACTTTTAGTAAACATCTCCGATGCCTGTATCCTTTCTTTTTTTTCTTGAAAACATTGCATGATAGTTTACACTGTAATAACGACCACTGCTTACTTGCCTATCCTGTAAAATATTTGTGCCTTTATAGTCCTTTGAAGTTTATTAGGCTATTTGCATCTATGTTATTTATTTATCCTATGTGGCTGTGTTCACTAAGTTTTCTGTCTTATTTGTTTTTATTTTTTCTCTTTTCCCGTGCTATTGGCTTACAGATATCCCTTCTATGTTCATATATCTCATGTACTTTCTTATAGCAAACATGATTTCCTGTGAATTAAATCAATGAGTTAGTACCATATTCCAATTATATTATGCTACCCAATGTAAAGGATAACACTTAAAAAACTGAAATTGATTTTTTTAATAATACAAGAGTCTGATATAATGGATAACCAACTGTAAACTACTATTGAGGAGTATTTCAAAAGCTTTAATTGTGAAATCTACTGGAGTATCATATAAGGGAATAAAAGAGCATTCTTGAGATTGTTAAACATTAGAACTGAAGGATTTTAGATGTTTCAGACATTTTTTAGCTGGAATAACATGAAAATATGTATATTTGTATATTTTATGGGAGGCTGAGTAAATTTAAGTCTACTATTTTAGGTCTTTGGGATCTCACTGAGAAATTCTCCAGACTAGCATGGTAACTGGCACTTTTACAGGTAAATAAACATTGTGACTCTACCAGTCATAGAGAGAGACATGGAAGGAGCTGTTTCAGATCCAAGACACATACAAAAGAAGTTAAAACTTTTCTGAGATAAAGTGAATTACTCATAGCATTGACCCAAAATAGTCCATTTAAGCCCCTAGAACTCTTAATCCAGCAACTGGAATACTAAATCCTATATGGCTATAAAATGTACTTTCACTTCAACAGGGCTTGTAAATTTATTCTTTTTTATTTATTTATTTATTTTTCTTATTATTATAGTTTAAGTTCTAGGGTACGTGTGCACAATATGCAGGTTTGTTACATGTGTATACATGTGCCATGTTGGTTTGCTGCACCCATTAACTTGTCATTTACATTAGGTAATTCTCCTAATGCTATCCCTCCCTGCTCCCCTCACCCCATGACAGACCCCGGTGTGCGATGTTCCCCACCCTGTGTCCAAGTGTTCTTATTGTTCAGTTCCCACCTATGAGTAAGAAAATGCAGTGATTGGTTTTCTGTCCTTGTGATAGTTGGCTTAGAATGATGGTTTCTAGCTTCATCCATGTCCCTACAAAGGACATGAAATCATCCTTTTTTATGGCTGCATAGTGTTCCATGGTGTATATGTGCCACATTTTCTTAATCCAGTCTATCATTGTTGGACATTTGGGTTGGTTCCAAGTCTTTGCTATTGTGAATGGTGCCGCAGTAAACATACGTGTGCATGTGTCTTTATAGCAGCATGATTTACAGTCCTTTGGGTTTATGCCCAGTAATGGGATGGCTGGGTCAAATGGTATTTCTAGTTCTAGATCCGTGAGGAATTGCCACACTGTCTTCCACAATGGTTGAACTAGTTCACAGTCCCACCAACAGTGTAAAAGCGTTCCTATTTCTCCACATCCTCTGCAGCACCTGTTGTTTCCTGATTTTTTAATGATCACCATTCTAACTGGTGTGAGATGGTATCTCATTGAGGTTTTGATTTGCATTTGTCTGATGGCCCTCAATGATGATGAGCATTTTTTCATGTGTCTGTTGGCTGCATAAATGTCTTCTTTTGAGAAGTGTCTGTTCATATCGTTTGCCCACTTGTTGATGGGGTTGTTTGATTTTTTCTTGTAAATTTGTTTAAGTTCTTTGTAGATTCTGGATATTAGTGCTTTGTGAGATGGGTAGATTGTAAAAATTTTCTCCCATTCTGTAGGTTGCCTGTTCACTCTGATGGTAGTTTCTTTTGCTGTGCAGAAGCTCTTTAGTTTAACTAGATCCCATTTGTCAATTTTGGCTTTTGTTGCCATTGCTTTTGGTGTTTCAGACATGAAGTCCTTGCCCATACCTATGTCCTGAATGGTATTGCCTAGGTTTTCTTGTAGGGTTTTTATGGTTTTAGGTCTAACATTTAAGTCTTTAATCCATCTTGAATTAATTTTTGTATAAGGTGTAAGGAAGGAATCCAGTTTCAGCTTTCTACATATGGCTAGCCAGTTTTCCCAGCACCATTTATTAAATAGGGAATCCTTTCCCCATTTCTTGTTTTTATCAGGTTTGTCAAAGATCAGATGGTTGTAGATGTGTGGTATTATTTCCGAGGGCTCTATTCTGTTCCATTGGTCTATATGTCTGTTTTGGTACCAGTACCATTCTGTTTTGGTTACTGTAGCCTTGTAGTATAGTTTGAAGTCAGGTAGCGTGATGCCTCCAGCTTTGTTCTTTTGGCTTAGGATTGACTTGGCAATGCGATCTCTTTTTTGGTTCCATATGAACTTTAAAGTAGTTTTTTCCAATTCTGTAAAGAAAGTCATTGGTAGCTTGATGGGGATGGCATTGAATCTATAAATTACCTTGGGCAGTGTGGCCATTTTCACGATATTGATTCTTCCTACCCATGAGCATGGAATGTTCTTCCATTTGTTTGTATCCTCTTTTATTTCATTGAGCACTGATTTGTAGTTCTCCTTGAAGAGGTCCTTCACATCCCTTGTAAGTTGGATTCCTAGCTATTTTATTCTTTTTAAGCAATTGTGAATTAGAAAACTGTGTTTAAAACATAGCGTATTGTTACCAGGGATGTGTCTAGAGAATGTATTGCAGTACAGGTATTACCATCTAGTTAGTTAATATTGTAATGAAAACTTGAGCTTTTATTTACTTAAAATTAATGATCATTTTGGTCAAGGCGTTTGAATAACCAGAGCTTCCAAAAATACTAGTGGCACTAAGTCTCTGGTTTTGGAACAATATAGTAGAAAGAAGCTGTCAATATTTATCTCTTAAAGAACGGATTTTTTTTCTTGTAAATTTGTTTGAGTTCATTGTAGATTCCGGATATTAGCCCTTTATCAGATGGGTAGGTTGCAAAAATTTTCTCCCATTTTGTAGATTGCCTGTTCATTCTGATGGTAGTTTCTTTTGCTGTGCAGAAGCTCTTTAGTTTAATTAGATCCCATTTGTCAATTTTGGCTTTTGTTGCCATTGCTTTTGGTGTTTTAGACATGAAGTCCTTGCCCATGCCTATGTCCTGAATGGTAATGCCTAGGTTTTCTTCTAGGGTTTTTATGGTTTTAGGTCTAACGTTTAAGTCTTTAATCCATCTTGAATTAATTTTTGTATAAGGTGTAAGGAAGGGATCCAGTTTCAGCTTTCTACATATGGCTAGCCAGTTTTCCCAGCACCATTTATTAAATAGGGAATCCTTTCCCCATCTCTTGTTTTTGTCAGGTTTCTCAAAGATCAGATAGTTGTAGATATGTGGCGTTATTTCTCAGGGCTCTGTGAAAACAAACAACCCCATTAAAAAGTGGGCAAAGGATATGAACAGACACTTCTCAAAAGAAGACCTTTATGCAGCCAAAAAACATATGAAAAAATGATCGCCATCACTGGCTATCAGAGAAATGCAAATCAAAACCACAACGAGATACCATCTCACACCAGTTAGAATGGCAGTCATTAAAAAGTCAGGAAACAACAGGTGCTGGAGAGGATGTGGAGAAATAGGAACACTTTTACACTGTTGGTGGGACTGTAAACTAGTTCAACCATTGTGGAAGTCAGTGTGGCAATTCCTCAAGGATCTAGAACTAGAAATACCATTTGACCCAGTCATCCCATTACTGGGTATATACCCAAAGGACTATAAGTCATGCTGCTATAAAGACACATGCACACGTATGTTTATTGCGGCACTATTCACAATAGCAAAGAGTTGGAACGAAGCCAAAGGTCCAACAATGATAGACTGGATTAAGAAAATGTGGCACATATACACCATGGAATACTATGCAGCCATAAAAAATGATGATTTCATGTCCTTTGTAGGGACATGCATGAAATTGGAAATCATCATTCTCAGTAAACTATCGCAAGAACAAAAAACCAAACACCGCATCTTCTCACTCACAGGTGGGAATTGAACAATGAGAACACATGGACAGAGGAAGGGGAACATCACACTCTGGGGACTGTTGTGGGGTGGGGGGAGGGGGGAGGGATAGCTTTAGGAGATATACCTAATGCTAATTGACGAGTTAATGGGTGCAGCGCACCAGCATGGCACATGTATACATATGTAACTAACCTGCACATTGTGCACATGTACCCTAAAACTTAAAGTATAATAAAAAAAAAGAATGGATTTTCACATCTCTCAAACCTTGATAATTGATGTTACTACAAAGAATAGTCTTTGTAAGAAAGATTAACAAGCAAGTGTATACAGATAGCAAAGGCATTTATTCACATTCTTAGTTAATAACATCCAAAATTTGTATGGAGCTTTACAGCCTTTAGAATAGTTCATCCACACCTTATTTCTCTCAATGTTCAAAACAATCTCAAGGTCTTAGGAAAATTGCTTAAATGCACTGAGCTTCAATTTCATTCCCTATAAAATGCGGATGATTTCACCTATCTTGATGCATTGTGAGTAGTAAATGAGTATGTAAAGGGCTTGGTGTATCAGTATTATTATTACCACCTTTATCTTTACTTTCATCAACCATTTGTGGCACATATTGGCTGGTTAATTTAGTTAATAAGTGACAGAACCCGAATGTAAACATAGATCCTTCTCATTCCAAATCTTATGTTTGTTTCTTTCTATTATCTCTTCCATAGAGGCAGATCATTTTAAGCTCTGTAGAAGAAATATTGACTAGGGCCTTGAAGGATGAGGTTTGCTTTTGTAGCATCCAAGGCTTTTTATGAACTAACCGCCTTCCTTGTCTGTCTTATCAGTTTTTCTTCTTTTATTATTTATTTTCCCAAGTGTGTCTTCTATTTGAGGTTCTTAATTCCTGCCGTTTTTGTCTTTGTACATTATCATTTCTAGGGGGCATGTAAATCTTTTACTGTGGTCTTTTCTACTAATCCGTATCTATTATTGTTATCTTCATAGTTTACAGTGATTTCCTACATTTTTTTAAAAAATTGAAAATCGAAAGACAACATTCTGATATTTTCTACATTTTGTAAAAACTCTTTAACAGCGTTTTCAGATCACAGAATATTTTAGGTGTTATAAGTTAAATGTATTCTGAAGCCAAATAAGTTGAGGGAACAATTTGTTGAACAGAGTTAAATAGGTTATCTAACAAAATGCAGAACCTATTGGAGCATTTAATTTGCTATTGTGCACTGGAATTCTCCAAGAGGGAAAGTAGAGGTATAGGGGTATAGTAGGCAGGATATGGTATGTAACATCTCCTAATCTCACCAAGGAATCAACCCCCTCCCTCAAGAGCATCTCAAGAGATTAATTCATTGGACTGCCCAGATTTATAGCAATGATACTTAGAATACTCTTGACCTGTGACATCAGAATTAAACTAAATCAATTAAATTTAAAGTTACTTTTTAAATTTCAAGATTCCTTGGACCTACCAGTCCTACTAAAACAGAATCTTTGAGAAGTGAAATAAAATGTCTTGTAGTTTTTCTTTTTCTATCTCTTTAGTAATTGGGCTAATTAGAGCTCTGTTCTCAGCTAATTACTAGTCGTACTGTACTTCTTCAAGTCATGGAATTCACTCTCATGGCTCCAGTGCTGATTGCCCTAAAGCAAATCAGATCCATTCTCCCTATGTTCTGATTCCAGACACTTAAAGACAACAGCTTACAATCAGATATTTAATGGGGCCTCAGAATCATCAGCATGTTAAAACTGAAACTAATTATTCCCTTCCTCTAAAAAAACAAAGCAAAGCAAAACAAAAAACTCCACATCTCCTCTAGTATTTCTTGTCTTAATAAATGATGCCACTTCCAGCTAGATGTCCAAGTCAGAAACCTGAGAGTCAGACTTAACTCTTTCTGACTTACTCCCAATGTTCCTTCAATTGTCTGTCAATTAGACTTTGTAACAGGCTCTTGAATCCTTCCACTTCTCTCTATCCTCAGTACCTCTACCCTGGTCTAGTCATCTGTCACTTTCTCCTGAACTATAACTACCTCTTGATTTTCTACCTCCAACCTTGTTCTCCTGTAATCCAGGCTTCACACTCTGGTCTTGGTGAGATTTCTGAGTTTCAAATCTGATTATATGACTGTAGCTTTAATTCAGTGACTTTGTACCATCCTTAGGATCAAGTCTAAGCTGCTGAATTTAGGAGGCATTATTACAAGGTGTCTGGTCTCTGCCTTTCTGACAAGTATTATCTCACTCTACTCTTCCCTTTGCTCTCTATCCTTCAGCCCGCTACAGCTTCTTCAATTCGTTTTCTGTGTATCATAGGTCTTTACACATGTTTTGCTTGCCTCTAGCTACCTTCTCCTCCTTCTCTCCTTTCTGCATTCAACTCTTCCATTTAGCTAACCTCTCATCCTTTATCTCTCATTTAAATACATCTTCCCTGGGGAGGCCTTCCCTATTTTCTAGACTGGGTTAGAATCCTGTGCTATATGTTCTCATAGTTCTTTTTTGTACTTGTCTTACCACTCTCTGTTATTACATATTTTAGTGGTTGCTTTTCACTGTGGGCTTGCTGTGGCTTATGCAGCTATTTGCCTTGCATTATATATTCATCCCTTCTTCTTTCAGTAATAAGAACTCTAATTTTTAGCTGGACATATTGCCATATAGCAAATCACTACATTCGCTCTTTTCTGTTACAGCTAGGTTGGCTTTAGTATTAAATTTTGGGCAATAAGATATATGTTGAGTATGACTTCTGTAACGTATCACTAAAGGGAAAGGGCATTTTCTTCTTTTCCCCTTCCCTTTTCTCCTGCTGGCTAGAATGTGAATGTGCTGGCTGGCCTTTTGGCTGGCCTTTTAGTAGCCATCCTGGGTCATGAGATGGCGCTGTAAGGACAGCAGAGTAGCCAGATAGAAGGAGCCTGAATCCCTTATGATTATGGATCTGTCACCATTTGAGCCCTGGAGTCTTGTCCTCCATATCTGCTTTATGTGAGAGAAAAATAAATATCTCTCTTAAGTTAGTGTTACATAGTTACTTCCTTATGTATTTTTACTTGCTGATATAGCTGTTCTTCATATGAGGTTTTTCCTGTGTTTTCGTAATTCTGTGCCTTATGAGTATTTTTGTTAGGAGGCAGAGCTCTCCCCGCTGCCTCCCCAGAGGAAGAACTGTGTACTCATGCCTCCAGCTTCCCTTGTAGCCAGGCCATGGACATATGATCTAGACTCAACCAATGAGAAGTGTCTGCCCCACTTTTGAGTTCATGAGTTAGTGATACAAATAAATAAATGGGAGCAGCAGATAATTCTTCCTGGCAGTGGTTTTAGTTGGGTAGAACATTTAGGGGAAGAGGGAAGGACGAGCACTCAAGCTTAGGCATCACCTGTTGTTTAGTGCCAGGGAGATTAGTGGTGCAAATTGTAATATCTGTTGCTGCGTGGTGGCTGCCATAAGGTAGGTCTTCACTGAACTAGTTCTGTGGCATCATTTTCAGTGGTTTCCTTTTTCATTTCATAGCTTCTGAACCTGTTTCTTCAGCCTCCCAACAATTATGTGAGCCATCCAACATCTCCTTTTAGGTTTAAACTAAGCAAACGTTTCTATTGCATGCAGTTAAAATCCTCTACTGATAACGTTATCATTGGTCTTCCCTGGCAGGTTGTAGATGCTGTGAGGGCTGTCTTACTCATCAGTATATCCTCAGTGCCTAGCATCTCGTTATACCCGAACTCAATGCCTGGCACATTAAATAGGTGTTTAGTATGTTCTCTTTTTTAAAAAAAATAAATTAGCAGTCCATGCCTCCAATATGAACTTTCTTACCTGCTCTAGCATGCTTCTAGCTCCATTAATCTACTCATACTGCTTTTGATAAGATTACTACTGGTAACCTGTTTGCTGAATTCAGTGAATATTTTTCACAACTCAATTAACGTCTTTAAAGCTTTGATAATGCTATTTCTTCCTTATTCTCATTTTACCATTCACACTGTTTTGTTTTGTTTTGTTTTTTAGGTTTCTCAAACTATTCCTTATTATCTGTCAGCTCTCACATCTTTATGTTCCTCCAGATTTCTTTCTTCAGCTCACCCATCCCTCTGGCTTCAGTTGCTGTATATGATGATGATTTTCAGACCTTATCTCCACCCAGACCTCTCTCTTGAGCTTTAAATCAGTGTATCCAACTGCCTACTCAGTATTTCCACCAAGATCTTCTACAGAACTCTCAAATTCAACATTTTTTACATGTTTAAAATTAAATGAATTTTGTTGTTTCTTCCCAACAGACAAATATTGAAGACATAGCTATTACCTAAATCATATGGCTTACTCTAATTTTCAGCCGATTCACTGAAATTAAGTAAATATGCATGTGTAAATTCACAATTAAAATTTATTCTGTTATTTTTTCCTTTTCCAATCTAGTACTTTATGATTTTTTAATTAGTGTACAATTAAAACTGCTTATAATTTCCAAAATTCTGCTTAGTGTCAAGACTTTACTATTGAATATAGACATGTTGAATAATAATATATATTAGTATTTCATGTTGAGTAAATGTAAATTGTAGAATACATTTGGATCTATATTTCTCTACTTTGAAAAATCATTTAATTAAATTTTAAACAATTTTATTATTTTTGTTTAATAGAATTTTTAGCTTTTTCTAACTAGAATGAATATTTTAGCTTTCAGAAAAATATAAAACATTTTACAAAGAAATGGGGCAAAGTAAATGAAAAAATAGTCAAACAAAGTCACATTTATTTCTTCTATAGTAGTTTCACCTATAATCTCATTTATTCACTTTGACATTTTCAATTAATTGTTTTGAAAATTGTAACAATAATTTGGTTTAATCAAATTTGTATCTTGCTTGAACTCTCTAAGTAGCAATTGTGTGAATAGCATGACAGGGCAATTTCAGTTAAAAACTTCTCCAACAGTTTGGTTACCTTGGAATAAAAAAAAATTATCTTCATATTGGGGTACTATTAAGTCACATAAACAAATAAAAATGATTGTTAGTGTTGCAAGCATTCAAAGAGAGAAGTTGAGAAAATTATTGAAACTTGGAGAGTAGCTTTTTTAAAAAAAATTAATCAGCCCCAGGGAACAGCTGATAAATAAAAAATATGGTAGTACAATTTTGTTCATTTGAAACCCTCAAGCTTAATTAAATTTTTTTTTCAACACTTAATTTATGGAAGAGCAATTGGAGCTTTTGGATTTTAATTTTGTTTAATGTCTTTTGTTCAAAGGTACATAAAAAGAAATTTTTCCCTTTATAATAATTTCTTTCAACTCTCTTAAGGTATTTTAAGATTTTTTCTGTGTTATATTGATTTAATGCTTTGTGCCTTATTTGGATTATATTAAAGCTAATGGATTTATTTCTAACTAGTTATTCTTTTTTATTGGACATCTGCCTGAATGTTTGAAGATTTTGAATAAAGCCAGTTTTAAAAAATTCACTGCTCTGAATTATATAACATTGAATGTGCTTCTCTAGTCATGTATTCTCTGTACTGTTGGTTGTGCATCACTGGAGACTCAGCCAAGATATCTTTTGGTCCTAATGTTCCTAACTTTATCTCCTTTTTTTTTTTTTGGTAGAGTTAGGAATTCCTAGTTTAGGTGAAAAAGAATGTGTGATAATAAAATAAGCATTCAACATAGTAGTTTAGAGAAAACAAAGATAGAAATTTGGAAATATACTAGGAAATTCCTGAGAAGTAATTTATGTGTAGGTCATGTGCAAAGCACCTTTATAGACACGCTAACTTATATACCTGACCTTGGAGTAATTCCTATTGGAGATTATTGAATTTGATTGTAGGTGTGGTACCATGGGAAATACATATTTAATTTTTGTCTCCAGTTTCTGGCACACAGCTCCTAAAACCCTTGGAATCTCTGGAGTGATGAGAGTGTTTCTTGTATGCTCATGAGATGGCTGGTGGCAAGTGTCCCCTAGATAGTTTAAGAATGGGGCTGGTCCCCAGAAAGACCAAGACATGATTAAGATGGTTGAGATTTACAGCCTTACCCCCTCAATCTCTGGAGAGGGGAGAGGGGCTGGACGTTGAGCTAATCACCAAGGCCAGTGATTTAAGCAATCATGCCTATTTAATGAGACCTCCGTGAAAACCCCTAAATGGCAGAGTTTGGAGAGCTTTCAGGTTTTGACAATAGCCACAAGTTGGTGAACACATCTACATGCCAGGAGGGTGGCACACCTCAGCTCCATGGGGACAGAAGTTCTTGTGCTTGGAACCTTTCCAGATTTCACCCTATATATACCTCTTCATCTGGCTGTTCATTTGTATCCTTTATTGTAAGTAGGTGGTAGTGAATAAATTGTCTTCCTGAGTTCTGTGAGCTGTGCTAGGAAATTATCAGACTTGAGGAGGGAGTCCTGGGAACCCCTAATTTATAACTGGTTGGTAGGAAGTACAGATGGCAACCTGGGACTTGTGACCTGTGTCTGAAGTACCAATAGTCTTGGGACGTAACCTATGGAGTCTGCACTAACTCCTAGGACTTAGTGTCATAATTGAATTAAATTCAATTTTAGGACACCCAGGTGGTGTCTGGAGAGTTGAATAATTGGTTGGTGTGAAGAAAACCCCCACATATTTGATTCCAGAAGTTTAAGTAAAAATAACTCAGAGTAGGCCATTCTAACATTTTTGTTTTGGCATAATTGTTACCCTTATTTGCAGCTTTTTTTGAAACACTAAGACTGATAAACTTTCTATTGTCAGTTATCCATATAACAGATCTTTGGTTTTATAAGTTTTAGAAAGTTGTTAAACTCTTAACTATATATAGGGAGAAGAGAATATCTTTTGCATATGTTTAATATTTATTCAACACCCATGATATAGGCATTAAATAATAATGCAGAATTTTTGTTTCTCCTTTTTCTTGTTTGTTACCTCTTGAGACTAAATTGAAGTCAAAGAACTATCACAAGCAAGGCTGACTTTTGGGACATTGGCTTCGTTTTGAAGTAGGCATGCTTAGGCATGAACTCCTATTAACTCTGAAAGTAGGTCATATCTAATGGTAGAGTCTTTTAAAAATTTCAGTGACTAAAACAATATATACTTATCTGACACACTATTTTTAATTACTTAAAAATGTTACTAAATATAACACCCAATTTTTTAAATTAATTTTTTTAATTTTTCAGACAGGGTCTTGCTCTGTTGCCCAGGCTGAAGTGCAGTGGCATGATCTTGGCTCACTGCAACCTCTGCCTCCTGGGTTCAAGCAATTCTCCTGCCTCAGCCTCCTGAGTAGCTGGGACTACAGGTGCATGCCACCACATCCAGCTAATTTTTGTATTTTTAGTAGAGATGGAGTTTCACTATGTTGGCCAGGCTGGTCTTGAACTCCTGACCTCAAGTGATCCTCTCACCTCGGCCTCCCAAAGTGCTGGGATTACAGGCCTGAGCCACCTCACCTGGCCCAATTTCTTATATTTCTGTATTTAATATGAAAGTCATGAAAACTTAATGATTGTTGAAATATTTCTGGATGTCCTTTAGTACTAAGAAATCTTTCCACATTAGTGCACAGAAAATTCTGCATGTCAGAATAGCAATCAGTACTGTAAATTTCCAAGTTTCTATTTAAAAATGATTAAAAAATCTGAAGCAAAAAGGTTAAAAACCAACAAAAATAATTACAGATTATATATAGTTTCCTTGCCCTGTCTTATGGTGGTGATTATGGATTATATTTTAACAATTAGATGTGTGGCTAACAGATTTGTGTTTTAAAAAAGACTTATGGCTGGGTGCGGTGGCTCACGCCTGTAATCCCAGCACTTTCAGAGGCTGAGGCAGGCAGATCACAAGGTCAAGAGATCGAGACCATCCTGGCCAACATGGTGAAACCCTGTCTCTACAAAAAATACAAAAATTAGCTGGGCGTGGTGGTGCACGCCTTCAATCCCAGCTACTCAGGAGGCTGAGGCAGGAGAATCGCTTGAACCCAGGAGGCAGAGGTTGCAGTAAGCCAAGATCACGCCATTGCATTCCAGCCTGGCAACAGAGCAAGACTCTATCTAAAAAAAAAATATATATATACAGAGGTAAAATGATTTACCTTTGGGATTTAAAAGTATTATAGACACATATATATTTGGCACCCTTTTTATATAAAATTCAAAAAGGACCAAAGGCGGCAGAGGAAGGGAGTGGTATGTTATATAAGATGAAAAAGCAAAAGACTGAAATTACAAAACTATATATTGGGGGACATAAGGCTAGTTTCAAAGAAATCCTGTTGGATGATTGCTTTCATTGTATGCGTATTGAAATTATAATGCATTTCTGGTAGGTGGCAGCCATGTAGCATGAAAGCTGGTAAATAACTATGTGGTTGGAAAACTATGAGATAACTGTCAATAGGGAATTTGAAGCTTTCTTCTTTTTTCACTAATTTTGCCTTCTACCACACTAATATATTGTCTTGACAGAGTATATTTCTTAAGGTGGAGATAAATGCTTGAGTAATTACTATGCTGTCCTCCGCTATTGTGGTAGGAGTCTGTGAAACAGTTCTCTCCCCAAAGCCTGAGGATCCCAGATCAAGTGCCTCTGTTTTTTAATCATCTGAATGTCATGTAAAGTGGTCAAAGCTTGTAGTTTTAGGCATCAACATGGCTTATAAATCTCGATAATAATTGAGTCTCAGTTTAAAGGATTGGTAGGTTGTTCGTGCCTGTGTAACCTTGACCTCTCATTGTACCCTTGATGTATCTGGGATATCCAGCACCTGGTGCCTGGCCACACTTGGTAAGATCAGGCCTATCCCGAAGAAAGTAGTCATCCTTAGTATTCTCAGGGGATTGGTTCCAGGCTTCACAAGGATTCCAAAATCTGAGGATGCTCAAGTCCCTTACTGTACTCGTTTTCTCTTCTTCATTTTTAAACTCAACATTTGCCTCAAATCAAAAGCATATTCCTTTCTCTACTTTTCACTCTTGCTTTTTTCTATTCGAATGAGATAGAGGTAGGCGTCAAACAGCTTACAATAGGTAGTAAGTTCTAAAATAACTGATTATGTCCTAATAAGATGATTTTGGAATAAGACAAATTCATACTGATGTTATGTTGACAGGGTATATTAGGGCAAAATAAACACCTCAGACTCAGAGAATTAAGCATGGGAGTCCTTTCTGTATTAATCTAAATTTAAAAATCTTTGTAGAAGCTTTGAACTAAAAATGTAAACAAATAGATTATTGATTCGGGTTTTCTTTGGGCACACTTTTTTTTTTAATTAATTGACTTTTGCTAAATTAGATAACTTTGTAGAATGTTTGAGACAAAAAAATGAATGTATGATTTTATGTGAAATTTCATTATGTAAAATTTCAGAAAGCAAAAGTGTGGGTTTTCAGTGGTGTGGTGGAGCCAGCTTGCACCAGCCCGTTAGAACTGATTGGAAATTTTGTAAACTAGTTGTTAAATATAAACATTAGTAAAAATTGAAGTAGCTGGGCAGGGTGGTATGTGCCTATAGTCTCAACTCTGTGAAACACACAGGCAGGAGTAGAGGATTGCTTGAGCGCAGGAGTTTGAGTTTAGCCTGGGCAACACAGGGGAGACCCTGTCTCTTTGTATTTATTTATTTATGTTTTTTTTTGCGATGGAGTCTCACTCTGTTGCCCAGGCTGGAATACAGTGGCTTGACCTCGGCTCACTGCAACCTCCACCTCCCAGGTTCAAGAGATTCTTGTGCCTCAGCCTCCCGAGTAACTGGGATGACAGGCATGCGTCACCACACCCAGCTAATTTTTTTGTATTTTTAGTAGAGATGGGGTTTTGCCATGTTGGCCAGGCTGATCTTGAACTCCTGACCTCAAGTGATTCGCCCACCTCGGCCTCCCAGAGTGCTGGGATTACAGGCGTGAGCCACTGCATCCTCATATTAACTTATTTAATTATAAGTACATACAAAGGTAGTAAATACTTAAAACTCAGTACTTTCTAATTAGCTTACTACATTTTACTGTTATCTATGCTCTTGAGGTTATTTATGCCTATCATATTTATATGGTAAAATAATATATAATGGCTGGCTACCGGGTGTGTCTTCCTAACTTCACATTTAGTGACATCATGTTAGAGCCTGAACTTAGCCATAAAAGAGTATTTATTTAAACCACAGGAATTGGCAAATGCTACAAATCAGGGCTTAATTTATTCTTTTGTTGATTGTGCTTAAGGAAGTGATAGAGAAAATGTTAATGCATGTCGTGTCTATAGTCATTATATTCTGAATTTCACAAAAATTAAGGAAACAGTCTTCCAATATTCAAATAAGTTTAATCCAATCAGTATTTATGTTGGAACTGTGCCCAGAAGATTATTAAACATTTATCATTATACCACTGGTTTAAGTTCATCAAATTTTATTAATGTTTTAATTAACAAATTAGAATTTAACATAAGTATTTTAAGCTATATAAATGGCAATAAAATGTATTTTTATTTATTCAATACCAGTTTACCACTTAGAACATGAGATGTATTTATGCATTTATAATAAAATGTAGTTTGTAGTGTTCTTAAATTTGTATATTCTCATTCACCTCTATATGGAGGTTCCCTAAGTGACTGATAAAAGTAATGGAAACTTTAAATAAAAACAGTGACAGCAAAACTGAATTTTATACTAGAGATTATGATTCCATAGGCTTATGGATGGTTTAAGAGCCTGCATTTTATTGCATATCTTATATGGATGTTATTAGAATACCATTAGCAATATAGTGAAAAACTTTTTAGTTCCTAAGAAAATTGTTTCCAAATAAAATATCAATATGCACACACAAAAAATAAGTCTTAAGATTTGTTTTCTTGTACTGACTGTCATTTTAGAGTTCTATTACCTTATGTGGGTAATTCTCATTCTCTTTAAAAGCCTGTATTTCCTCATCTGTAAAATAAAGACATTATGCTAGATAATCTTTGAGGTAGAAATGATGATTATCAAAACGTTACCTTTCATTTATAGGGATTAATTTTTAGTGCTGCTTCTGAATCCACTGAGTATCTTATCCCACAAGAAAATTGAAGGATTGTAATTTTTTTCACTTGTTTCTTTAGTTGTATTATGGGGATAACAATAGTACCCATCATCATAGTGTTATTTTGGAGATTAGGCAAGTAAACCTGTTAGTGTTTAGAAGAATGTCTGGCACATAGTAAGTGCTGTATAAGTATTAGCTGCTATTCTACCTTCTTCTTGTTTTCCCTCTTCTCTCCTTTTCCCTATCTTCACTCCCCTCCCTCATTTTACTCTTCCCCTTTCCTTGGAGGGTTGATACTAAACTACAACTCTTTTTCTTTTGTACAAGTAGAATATTAATAAATATTCTTTTAAAAAATGCAGTACACTTCAATAAGTTCATAACAAATTAAGAAAAATTTTAAAGTTTCTTAGAAAGACTATTTTTTTTCCAGCAACAAGGCAATCTAATGTAGCTAAAAAACCCTCCTGCTATAAAATACCCCGTAGTGCTGGATAAAATATAAATTTTGTTTTTTTCAAACATCCAGCGTGAGCTTTAAGACAATAAGGAAAATACCTGGTTTTTAAAAAATGAATGATTTTTACATATATTCTTATAAATGAGATGGGCCTTACCTTTTTCTTGTACTGGCCTCTTCTGATTTTTGGTATCAGATTATGTTCACCTCTTAAAAAGAGCTGAATCATTTCCTTCTTTTTTTCTATTCTCTGGAACAGATTGTGTAAAACAGAGGTTAGATGTTCCTAAGTGTCCTGGAAAATTTAACAGTTAGATATTCTGGTCTTGGTGTTTTTTACAGAAAGATTTTTGACTACAAATTCAATGTCTTTAATAGTAGCAGATTCTATTTAGTTTCTCTAATTCTTCTTTGATCCATTTTGATAATATATGTATTTTGGAAAATTATACTGTTTAAGTTTTCAAGTTTATTTGTATAACATTATTTATTGCATTCTCTTATGCTTTTTACATATATTTGTAAATTCCTAACACTGCCTTTTAAAACTTGACCAATTAATAAGATGTTTGTCTATAATTATTTTCAAAGAACTAGCTTTTAATTACATCGTTTTTTATTTTGTTTCACTAAGCAATAATTGTCCTCTTTTATCTCATATATTCTACTTTCTCTGTTTCCTTTTCCCACCAACCCCCACTGGTATTATTTTTCTGATTTCTTGAATTAAATTTTAGATAATCAGTTTTTAGTTTCTTTGTTTTCTGTTATAAACAGGGCTGTATATTTTACTATAAATAATAATTTAGATGCATCTCTGAATATTTGATACATTTATGCTAGGCTTCTCTGATAAGTTTTAATTATCTTATAATTTCCATTCTGTCTTCTTTGACCCATGAATTATTTTGAACTGTGTGGGTTTTGTTATGTGTGTGTGTGTGTGTGTGTGTGTGTACACATGCACGCATGTGTGTGTTTAAGAGATGAGGTCTCGCTGTGTTGCCCTGGCAGGCCTCCAACTCCAGGGCTTAAGCAATCCTCCTACTTCAGCCTCCTGAGTAGCTGGGAGTATGATCTTTATTTTTTTGAGACAGAGTCTCAACTCTGTCGCCCAAGCTGGAGTGCAGCAGCACAATCTCTGCTCACTGCTCACTGCAACCTCTGCCTCCTGGTTCAGTGATTCTCCTGCCTCAGCCTCCTGAGTAGCTGGGATTACAGGTGTGTACCACCACGCCCAGCTAATTTTTGTATTTTTAGTAGAGATGGGGTTTCATCATGTTGGTCAGGCTGGTCTCGAACTCCTGACCTCGTGATCCGCCTGCCTCGGCCTCCCAGACTGCTGGGATTACAGGCATGAGCCACTGCGTCCAGCCTTTTTTTTTTTTTTTTTTTGCTATTTAAAGAAGTTTCCAAATATATTAGGAAACTTGATTTGGTGTTACTTTTATTACTCGTTTCTCATTTCTAACTTTGTGGCATAGTATTAGTTTCCTATTGCTGCTGTCAGAAATTACTGCAAATTTAGTGGCTTAAAACAACACAGATTTATTATCTTACAGTTCTAGAGGTCAGATAGCCAAAATTAGTCTCTCTGGGATAAAATCAAGTTGTTGGCAGGGCTGTGTTTCTTCTTGAGGATCTAGAGGATAATCTGTTTTTTTCCCCTGTTCTAGCTTCTAGAGCCTACCTGCATTCCTTGGCTTGTGATCCCTTTGTCCATCTTCAAACAGATCTGTCGCTGACTCTCAGACCTCTGCTCTTCCCTCACATTTTCTGTAACTCTGACCCTTCTATCTCCTTCTATAAGGATTCTTGTGATTACATTGAGTCCACCCAGGTAATTCAGGATAACTTCTTCATCTCAAGGCCCTTAATTTAGTCACATATACAAAGTCATTTTTGCCATGTAAGGTAACAGTCTCAGGTTCCAGGAATTAGTACATAGACATCTTTAGGACGCCCTTATTCTGTCTATTCACATTATTTATATCATTTTCCTTCCCCCACCTTTCCCACTCTGTTGTTTTGGATGTTATACATTCTGTTTCTTTTCCTTGGTATTGATATTATTTATGTGTTTAACAGTATTTAATATTATGCCTTTTTACCTTTGCATACCATGCTCATTTGTACTTTCCTTGCTTGTGTTGTTTAGCATTTTAGTTTCCCTTTGTTTCTAAATGCCTTCTGCATTAATCAGGCTTCTCTAGAGAAACAGAACCAACAAGTGAGAGTGAGATTTATTGTAAGGAATTGTGATTGTAGAAGCTTGGTAAGTCCACAATCTGCAAGATAGGCTGGTGGGCAAGAGACCTAGGGAAAAATTGTGGTTCTAAAGATATTATGTTGGCAAAATTCCTTCTTGTTCAGGAGAGGTTGTCCTGTCTTTGTTCTCTTATGGCCTTCAATTGGTTGGATGAAGCCTGTTCACATTATGGAGGTTAATCTGCTTTACTCAAAGTCTACTAATTAAAATGTCAACCTCATCTAGAAAACAACTTTACAGAAACATCTGAATAACGTTTGTCCAGGAATCTGGGTATCATGGCCCAAACAAATTGACAAAAATGTTAACTATTACTCTTTCCAAGTTACTTAGTTTTTCTGTTACTGTTATTATCAATATTATGTACTTATTTAACTTTCTAATGTGTTTACCAATATCTTTTCTCGTAACATATTCTTGCATTCCATTCTCCTTTCTATGCTCAGTTTTCCTTCTTTACACATATATTTCCCAAGAAACTGGGAGAAATAAATTCTCAGTTTTTATTTGTCTGAGAATGTCTGTTTTCCTCACAGACCTGAATGATGGTTTAATAGGGTATAGAATTCTTGGATAACACTTATATTTCCTTAGCTCTTTGAGGATATTATTCTGTTGTTTCCTAGCATTTGTTATTGCGTATGAGACATCTACCTTTAATTATCTTTTCTTTGTAGATAATCTGACCTGTCCTTTGCTGGTTGTTTTTAAGATCCTTTCTTTGCCATTAGTGTTTTTGTTGTTGGTGGTGGTGATGTTGTTTGTTTGTTCGTTTTGAGACGGAGTCTCGCTCTGTGGCCCAGGCTGGAGTGTAGTGGCGTGATCTCAGCTCACTGCAACCTCTGCCTCCCAGGTTCAAGCGATTCTCCTGCCTCAGCCTCCCAAGCAGCTGGGATTACAGGCGCATGCCACCACACCCAGCTAATTTTTGTATTTTTAGTAGAGACGGAGTTTTGCCATGTTGGCCAGGCTGGTCTTGAACTCCTCACCTCAGGTGATCTGCCTGCCTCAGCTTCCCTAAGTGCTAGGATTACCGGCGTGAACCACCATGCCCGGCCTGCCTTTAGTGTGTTACATTTTCACTGTACTTTATTTAGGTATGAGTTTCTTTTCTTTTAATTTATTTATTCTGATTTTTGTTTTTCCTAGACCCGGGAAGGGATTCATGTGGCTCATCAGTTTTGGAAAATGTCAGCCACTGTCTTTTCAAATAGGTGTTCCCCCCTTCTTCTGTCATTTCCTTCTAGAATGCCTAGTAAAGATACAGATTGTATTCTGTCCTCCATATCAGCTATTCTAATCTGTCATTCCTTGAGGTTTTCTTTTTCTTAAGTGATTTTTTTTTATTGAATTTCTCTTTGGTTCTTTTAAAAATATTTTAGTTCTTTTTTTTGCATAACCAGTGTTGTCATTGTGGCTTTTCTGTCTTTGAAAAATCATTCTAAACATTTTTACTGGTTTAGTCATTTTCAGATTCTATTTATAGTTTTAGATTATTTTATTTGTAGTATTTGAAGGGTAATTTGCCTATTTATTACATCAGCTAAAGCTTTCTCCTCGTGATGGTTTCTTCAATTTATAATTTTTTATTATGAGCTCATCTTTACTAGGGACTATGTATTCTATGGAAGTCCAGTATAGTATGTGAGTATCTTTGTGGGACTATTTACATCTACATCTTTTGGTCCTTAAAAATTTCAAGGGTCCAGTCAGATTTTATGTTACTTTTAAATTTTACACCACGGAATTATGTAAATTTAAAACCCTCACATATATAGGATACTCTTGTAGAGTTTTTTATGTTTTAGTGGTGACTGTTTTCCCTCTCTCATTGAAGGCTTCAAATTAATGACTGGCTTCTTTCCTCTTAGAGTTCATGGGCCACGTTTTTCTAGTTAATTTTTCTTGAGTAGCACACCTCTTTGATTCTGTGAGCTTTAGGTGGATGCTCAGTTCTTGATCCCCCACCTCACATCAGCTATGGGTATGTTTTCACTCCTGCAAGTGATTTAAAGGTGTATGTCCAAGCACTTAGCCCTTAAAGCCTAGAGCTGAGTTTGAAACCCCGGGGATTGCTACAGTGTCTGTTTAAGCTTATGGCTCTGGCTTTGACTTCTATTTGTTTCCAGCACTTGAGGAATTTTTGTTTCTTATTTTTAGCAAAGTATTATTTTGAAAGTATTTTATCCAGTATTTCTCTGTGTTTGGAGCAGGAAGGAAGCCCTTACATATTGGCTTGGACTATACCATGTTATAAGAATTTTCTGTTTTTTTTAACATTGATGTAATTTGATTGACTCTTAATTTCTTTCTATTTTAAGGATATTGGTTGATTCTCTAATAGCTTTTTAAAAATTCTGTTTTGGGATTGTTTTAACTTTTCTTTTCCCTCCAGTGCGTTTTTCAAACATTTTTTGTTTTGTGTGTATCTGGTACCTAATAAATATTCAGTAAATGTTTTCTAAGTGAAAATAAGTCAAATGTTTAGTTTGTGCCAAAGGACGTTCTAGGTGATTTTAATAAGTTTATTTGTTTTAGGCCTCATATATGTTAAGTTAGACTGATAGACCCTACCAAGTTATAAAATGATAATAATAATAGTAATAATAATAGCTTCAAATAATTATAAGACACGTCATTTTCATTCTAACCCTGCAATATGTAGTATTATTATCACTGTTTTACTGTTGAGATAATTGAGAAATAGAGAAAGTAACTTATCCCAAATCACATAGTTAGCACATGGCAGAGCTCTATTTAAAGTAAGTCTGGCTCCAGAGGCTTGTATTCTTAATCATTATACTGTAGCTTTTATATCCTGTTGAGAGATATCCTTGATTATTATTATACCTCTGCTTAAAATATTTTCCCACTGCTTTCTGGATAATGTTTAAATAAACATTTTATTATTTAAAAAATAAATGTTTAAATAAGTATTTAATATTCTAGCCTACCTTATTCTATCATACTACATATCAGCCTTGTTCTCTGTTTCCAATTGCTAACAGTTTTCCAAAGGCCCTCTATTTCATGCTTCCATGTGTTTAATTGTATTCTCCCCTCTGCCTAGAATGTCTCTCCTTCTGCTTCTCTCCTGGCTAACTCCTATACGTCCTTAGAAACTACAGCTCTTTTTGAAAGCTTCTATAACTGCTTATTGATATAGCTGTCCCTCTCTTCAGCGTTCCCCTAAATTTGTCCTCCCATAATGTGTCAGCTTATAGCATTTATTTTACTATGTTTTAATATTTTTTTTTCTTTTTGCCTCTCAACTAAACTGCCTTCTCTGAGGTAAAGGACTGTATTCTGCACATCTCCATAACCCCATGACCTCATAAACATAACTGGCACATAGGAGATGTTCAATATATATTTATTGAATGAATCGATAATTGTGATTTCATTACTTGTTTTACAGATCATCCGTAAGATTTGTCTACTGCATTGTCTTGTTGAATTTTTAAATAGGACTATGAATTATTTTGTTAGTAATATTAATAAAAGATGTTTATAAAAACAAGTTAGTATCTTGGAATACAAGTTACTTAATGAATTTCTTAAGATATCTTTTTTAAACATATAACATTTTTGCTTATTTAGTTGTGAAAGAATATGGTTTCTATAATAGTGTGTTATTTAAAAGCAGTTCTATTTAGCTATTTAGTTGAAAATGATTCTTTGGTGAAAAATTAACTCTGTAAATATGTATTAAGAGGAATGCCTGCTCTGTTTTGATTCTATGTTTTAATATTTTTACTCTTGGCAATATTTAATGAAAATGTGTCTCATTAACCTTGAAGTTACTAGTCATTATTTTGTGACTGCTTTTGATTTATTTACTGTCTTGACTTCATATATAGAAAACACTAATTTTATCAAAGCTTATTGCATTGTTTACCACTAATTACAAAATAAATAAGTAAGTAAATAAAGATCACATAGAAAAAATAAGTCTCTTGGGGTGAAAATTTATTTGTAAAACATATATTAATGGTTTTTATATGCTCATTTTCTTATAATAATATAGAAAATTTAATTGTTCACTTGGGGGCAGATGTTTTATATCATGGCTTTTTAAAAAAGTTAACTCTTTAAATGGAATGAAGGAATAGGAGAAAATTACTTGTTTGAGCCTTATGGGAAATATATCTGAGATAGCACTATTTTGCTGCAACTGAAATTCAAACATGAGGAAATTGCAGAAATTTACAATTCAATATGTGTTTCATCAGGGAGAAATCCACAGATTGTTTTGACACTCAGTTAGAAATTCAGCATGAAGATGGACGTCTCATGAAATTTGCAGCTGCTGATTGAATTTATATTTCCATAAAGGCCATCAACAGTAGCAGCCTGCAGGGGAGGAGGGGGGAGAAATGACAAAAATCGTGAGGCTAGCATTTTTCCTCAGCATTATAGTCACAAATTACTGGTAATAAGGGTTTACACTGACCAGGATTAAAGAAAAATATAGACAGCCAGAGGGAAGGACTTCTCAGTTTAATTGATTTTAACTAAATATGTCCACATTTGATATCTAAATATGTGTTTAGTCATTTGTAGAAAATCTAATATGTGTGTAAAAATCAGTTTATCTTTACTATTTAAACAGAAAGAATAAGATAGCTCTTGAAGTTAAAAAAGGTTGTATAGTACAGGTTTTCATAAGAGCCTTTCAAGATAGAAGATGAGTATTGTAGGAATATAATACGAGCTTGTTTTCTATGTCACTGAAATAATTATTTCATGTTCTTGCAAGTAACCTACAGTTGATGTTTTTGAGAATAACAATTATTATTTTAAAATGTGTTTTAAAAATTTTTTGAATGGATATCCAAATAATAGTGACAGAGAACAAGTTACCTTTTCAAGGAAATTATTTCATTTTCAAGTGTGGTGGGTTTTTTATTTTTAGCAAAATGTACAAAAAGTTCTTTCTTTTGTTTAATGCATATCTTGTGGAGATTTCATATTATACATGATTTTAAAATATTCATGGATTGTAGGTGAACTGAAGGACTTAGGAGTGTGTTCATTGTTCCTGCAGAGTTCTTTGTCTCTGTGGGCAGTGTGTACTTTTAACCATAACAGGATGCCCTCAGATAGCTTTATTTGAAAATTAGAATTTTCACAACTATATGTAAAAATATTATCCTTATTAAGAAAAATTATATTTAATTTAATATTAGTTTATAAAAAGTGAGAACATTACCCAGAAAACATGTAAATTAAATTAAGTGTTGGTCTTTATTTTTTCACATACTCAATTAAGAGTTTAAGAACATAGTGTAACTGATTACAGTTGTTTTGTTATGTTTAATTATATTTGAGACCATCTAATTTATAAACTATTGTAATTGGAAAAGAAGAGTATATATTTCTGCTACCTGTGCTTAAAAGGTACACGTGGACTTTTTTTTTTTTTTTGAGTTTCAGAATTTTCTTTAGGTGTTAAATAAGCATAATCAGGCTAGATTACAAGAATGTGCTTATTCTTCTAGGAGTCTATAAATGCTTGCTTTGTCAACATCACTTCCTATTGTTTTACTTTCTGTATGTTAATACCAAAATCTACCAGTTAAATATATTTTGACTTTTTATACATTGGTTTACAAACCAAAGCAAAACTGTTTTGTGAGAGAAGTACCACTGTGTCCAACAGATAAAGTTTGTAAGTATTTGGAAAAACGATTTTCTCATTTGTGCTTTCCTTTCACAGCATTACTCAGGCATACACATTTTAGGTCATTCATGTAATCCAGACTTCCCTCTCTTTCTTTCTTCCCTCCTTGCCCACCCCACTTGAGAATTTGCTATTTTCAACATTCCAAAATATATTAGCTTAACTATTTAATTTACTACTTATTAAAAGCCTCCTTTTTTTCTTCTTATCAGTTGCTGTCAATTTCATCACCCGATCAAATCAATGTCTTTATTTCTCTTTTAGCTTGTTGTCCCTGCCCATATGTATTTTTTGTTTTTATGTATGAGATATAATTCATTCACTCTTGAATCAACAGATATTTATTGACTGCCATCTTTGTATCAGACATTATTTTAGGTTCTGGGGATATGTTAATAAACAACACAAAGCCTTCTTTCCACCTTCATGGAGTTTGCCTTTTAGTAAGAGACACAAGCAGTAAACAAATGAGTATATAATATGATGTCAAGTAGAAATGTGCAAAACTTACAGTGCCAGGTAAAAGGCTAGAATGTGACAAAATTAGAGTGCAGCAACTACATAATAACTTCCAGAAGGATCTCTCTGAGGATGTGGCATTTGAAAAGAAACCTGAGTGAAATAAGAAAGTGAGTAACATTATAGAGTTCTACATATTTTCCTTTTTCTTTATAGCATGAACATCCCCCCCACCACAATTTGCTATGTGCATATTTGTTTTCGACTTATCCCCTTCTCTTATCACATTCAATATTAGAAGTCTGAAATGATGCTTCTACAGCTCCCATCACTTCTCCATGCTCATAAAATTTCTATATTCATATACAGATACAAATAAGATTTTCTGGAAGGGGTATTATTTGTCTTTTACAAAAATGGTGTTATCCTATTTACCTTCTTCAACACTTGCATTTCTTAGTAAACAGTAAATAATAAACATCACTTAGGTCGGACCTAAAGTATTATTGTTAATAACTGCATATTTTCCATAGTATGGATATACCACAGTTTATTTAACCTTTGATTAATGTATTGATGAACATTTTAGTTGTTTGCAGTTTTTTTCTACTAAAAATGATCCATAAACATCCTGTACAAATATCCTTTTCAACTCATGCTTTTACCTTTTGTAACATGAATTCCCAGAAATGGCATTGCTATGGCAAAGAATATGTGTAACTTTTATTAATAAATATTACCAGAGTACTTTCCAAAAAGACCTTAGCAGTTCACATTCTCACCAACAATGTAGGTGAGTGTCTTTTTCCCCACAGCTTTATTAGCACTAGGTAACTTTGTTTTATATTTTGTGTATTATCTCTGACGGTTTTTAATCCATCTGTCATCTATCTTCCTGATGCTCAGTTTATGTGTACACTAGGCTTACTCTTTGCAGTCTTGTGGCTTACTCTTTGCCGTCTTATGGAACTCTGTGCCCTTATAAAACTGTACAGACCACTTTTCAGCAATCTTAGCATGTTGTATTTTAGTTACACATTTAAGTGTATATCTTTACCCACTCTGACCCCCAACACCTAAATAACATGAGGCCTAGCACAAGGTAGATGGTCTAGGTAAATACTCACTTTCAAAACCAAATGTATCTGGTGGAGAATACTGATAATAGGATAGGCTATACATGTATGGGGGCAGGTGATATATGGAAATGTCTCCACCTTTCTCTCAATTTGGCTGTGAACCTAAAACTGCTCAAAAATATCTTTAAAAATAAAAATAAAAGGTACAAGATTTTTTGATTGCCATGCGTGTTGAATTACTCGTGCAATTGATTTCTCTGTGTGAAAGCAGATGAGCAAGAGTTCACTGCATTTTAAAGTTGTTACCTGAAAGGTCAAATGTATTCCTTTTTTGACACTATTTCCATTTGGGGTTTAAGCAAACATTTATATTAGGTTGCACATTACTGTGTTCAGGATACAGTTATTATATTTATCAGATTGTTGCCAGCTACTCTGCATTTTTTTTCCTGGCTCTGAAAGCACATGCATATTCTAGGCCTGTGCTCTGAAATTTTTTGAAGTACTATTGTTGACATTTAGAGCATTCTGTGCTGCAAGTGTCTTCACCCCAGAATGCGACGTGCACCAGTGAACAGAGGTCAGGCAAGGCGAAAAGTTGTTTGTCATCTGCCAAGCTGTTTGTAACAACCAGATAAAAGTATATTCCTATTTTCAGATTTAAAATGTAAACATACATCTCTAGTCCCAACCAGTCTCTTTATTTTGGAATGTTAATGTAGAAATGTCCCCTTGCCGGCAGCTAGCCCAATCTTCTTTTCACAGTCACCCGTTCCAGAGGTTATGTTTATAGCTAGAACCAGTGTATTTTGGCTTTTGCCTTTATTTATTCTTTATGAGAACTGGGAACTATGGTGACCCAGCAAAAGCCTGGGTGACCATGGAAGTAGTCTGTATTAGCGCCTGGACACCAGAGAAAAGGGAAAATGTGATCCTCATTCAGCCCTGGTTGATAGAGATCATGCCTTTAAATGGTCAGTCTCAAAGACATTCAGTTGTCACAAGTGCAGATTTACCAGTTGGCAGTTCAGATTGTTACTGTACAGTGAGTGTGAGGGTCTTTAGAACTGGTTTTAGTAATGTAGCATATATACAGGAATCTTAGGGGATGTGTCATACTGTTTTCAATAGTCAGGGATAGCATATTGGTTAATCCCAGGCACTTCTGACACATATGGTTCTGATTGTGTAGGCAGAATGGGCATGACAAGGAGGGAACCTTATCAGCTCTTTAAACTAAGTCTGGGTTACATTATACAGACCATCCAATTCTTTGCCCTCCTATTCCCATTTTCTCATTCCCCAGTTTATTCATTCTTACCATTTTAATGAAAATGGTAAGCTCTGCTGTCAACAACAGATCTCAGCTCTTGGATCCTTTTATTGGATCTTACTATTTAGTATGGACCACTTTTCTTTTTGAGGTATCAACTCTTTAATTTAGGTCTTTTATATATAAAACCATTGATTTTGTTTTCAGGTTAGTTTTCTGCCTTAGCTGTTTTCTTTCTTAGCATTTTAAAAGTGTGAAGTCAATCTATTTTATTAAAAGTTCAATACATCTAAATTCACAAGTAAGAGATGTTATGTAATGTCTGGATAGTGTAATGATTATTTGTTTCTGGTTTCCTCTTCTTTCTTCTTTCCTTTCTTTTTAAAAAATACTTAAAAGCATATATGAAGATTACTTACAATTCTTCATATAACTAATGAGGTCTTCTGCAGCAAAAGGCCAACCAGTTTACATAATATAATCTTTTTATTTTAGATGAGAACGTTGCTATTTCCTGAACCTACTTCTGCTCAACACCTATTTCTCTTTTAGTTACCATCATCCTTTGCCTTAGGTATCCCACCTTTCTATTTTGTTAACTTTTTTCTCTGGTCATATCACCAGCATCTCTTCTGGTTAGTTCCTTTGGCTGCTTTTTTAAACTTAGTTTTATATAGACTCCTTGAGAGTATTCGTTATTCTTATCAACCACTTGAACTCAGAGTTATTGATATGGGCGGTAGGCTCTTTACTCTTAGCAGCCATCAAATCACTATTATGTTTTCTTTTTTTAAATTATTATACTTTGAGTTTTGGGATACATGTGCAGAACGTTGCAGGTTTGTTACATAGGTATACACGTGCCATGGTGGTTTGCAACTCATCATCTACATTAGACATTTCTTGTAATGCTATTCCTCTCCTAGTCCCCCACCCCCTGACAGGCCCTGGTGTGTGATGTTCCCCTATCTGTGTCCATGTGTTCTCATTGTTCACCTCTCACTTATGAGTGAGAATATGTGGTGTTTGGTTTTCTGTTTCTGTGTTAGTTTGCTGAGAATGATGGTTTCCAGCTTCATCCATGTCCCTGCAAAGGACATGAACTCATGCTTTTTTATGGCTGCATAGTATTCCATGGTATACTGCATAGTATTCCATGGTATACTGCATAGTATTCCATGGTATACTGCATAGTATTCCATGATATATAAAATGGTACCACATTTTCTTTATCCAGTCTATCATTGATGGGCATTTGGGTTGGTTCCAAGTCTTTGCTATTGTGAATAGTGCTGCAGTAAACATACGTGTGCATGTGTCTTTATAGTAGAATGATTTATAATCCTTTGAGTATATACACAGTAATGGGATTGCTGGGTCAAATGGCATTTCTAGTTCTAGATCCTTGAGGAATTGCCACACTGTCTTCCACAATGGTTGAACTAATTTATACTCTCACCAACAGTGTAAAAGCATTTCTGTTTCTCCACATCCTCTCCAGCATCTGTTGTTTCCTGACTTTTTAATGATTGCCATTCTAACTGGCATGAGATGGTATCTCATTGTGGTTTTGATTTGCATTTCTCTAATGACCAGTGATGATGAACTTTTTTTATATATGTTTGTTGGCTGCATAAATGTCTTCTTTTGAGAAGTGTCTGTTCATATCCTTTGCCCACTTTTTGATGAGGTTTTTGTTTTTTTCTTGTAAATTTGTTTAAGTTCCTTGTAGATTCTGGTTATTAGACCTTTGTCAGATGGATAGATTGGAAAAATTTTCTCCCATTCTGTAGGTTGCCTGTTCATGCTGATGATAGTTTCCTTTGCTGTGCAGAAGCTCTTTAGTTTAATTAGATCCCATTTGTCAATTTTGGCTTGTGTTGCCATTGCCTTTGGTGTTTTAGTCATAAAGTCGTTGCCCATGCCTATGTCTTGAATGGTATTGCCTAGGTTTTCTTCTAGGGTTTTTATGGTTTTAGGTCTTATGCTTAAGTCTAATCCATCTTGAGTTAATTTCTGTACAAGGTGTAAGGAAGGGGTCCAGTTTCAGTTTTCTGCATATGGCTAGCCAGTTTTCCCAACACCATTTATTAAATAGGGAATCCTTTCCCCATTTCTTGTTTTTGTCAAGTTTGTCAAAGATCAGATGGTTGTAGATGTGTGGTATTATTTCTGAGGCCTCTGTTCTGTTCCATTGGTCTATATATCTGTTTTGGTACCAGTACCATGATGTTTTGGTTACTGTAGCCTTGTAATATAGTTTGAAGTCAGGTAGTGTGATGCCTCCAGCTTTGTTCTTTTTGCTTAGGATTGTCTTGGTTATAAGGGCTCTTTTTTGGTTCCATGTGAACTTTAAAGTAGTTTTTTCCAATTCTGTGAAGAAAGTCAATGGTAGCTTGATGGGGATAGCATTGAATCTGTATAAATTTTGGGACACTACTGCCCATTAATGGGATTACTCAGTCAAATGGTATTTCTGGTTCTAGATCCTTGAGGAATTGCCACACTGTCTTCCACAATGGCTGAACTAATTTACGCTCCCACCAACAGTGTAAAAGCATTCCTCTTTCTCCACATCCTCTCCACCATCTCTTTTTTCTCATTATTTTGGGCAGGATGGCCATTTTCATGATATTGAGTCTTCCTATCCATGAGCATGGAATGTTTTTCCATTTGTTTGTGTCCTCTCTTATTTACTCGAGTAGTAGTTTGTAGTTCTCCTTGAAGAGTTCCTTCACATCCCTAGTAAGTTGTATTCCTAGGTATTTTATTCTGTTTATAGCAATTGTGAATGGGAGTTCACTCATGATTTGGCTCTCTGTTTGTCTATTATTGGTGTATAGGAATGCTTGTGATCAAATCACTATTATGTTTTCACATAGATGACTTTAAAAAGTTGGGCTTACATAGGTTTTATTTGAACATTAATTATTACACTATGTGAAGACAGTGATGTGAAATTTTTTATGCCATCTATGTATGGCAATACCTAATTAAGTTAGTACAGTAATAACATAGATGTTAAAGACATCATTTCAAGTAGGGGCTTTATTACATATCATCCCTCATGGTATAAATGTTTCGTCTTATTCCACATGAAACCTATTTTGTGATATAGATTTAATTTTTATTAAAGAATTGTTTACATTTTCATTTAATGGAAGCTGTAATTAGTAAACCTAGAACTACTTAAGACACTAGTTTATGATAAGATTGAAAATATGTATACATACAAATTCATTTATTTCCATGTTTTTTCAGCAAAAATTCATGTTGTTTTGGCTATAGTAACGTTAAACTCTCCTTAGGTAGAATATTTTTTCTTGGAAAGTGTTTTGGTTCAAATATATTTTTAGAAGTCCGAACAGGGATAAACCGAAGCTGTACTAAGATGACTACTTAGAAGGAGTTACAACCTCAAACAAAAAAAAGTTGTAGTGAGAAGTTAGGCAAACAAAAGAGATGCTTTTATAGTTGACTCTCTTGGGAAAAACTATACATAAATAAATACAACCTGTTTCATTTGATAAATTAATAGCTGACGTTATTTTCATATCAGAAGGAGAACTAGACATCTGTGACTTATGGCCTAATTCTGATCATCAAGGAGAAAATTGACTGGTAAAGTAGAATCTTGAGAGAAATCAGTATGTAATTTGTGAGTTTATTACAGCCAAGGAAGGCAGTGCTATAGGGATTTGGATGCATATTCTAATTTAGACATTAGAAGAGGAGCCTTCAGAAAGTTTTGCAGAAAAAAAGTAGGTGTTGTATTTCAAGAGGAATGGAAAGATCTTTTTGTAAACAAATATGGGCAATATACCTGTTAGCAATCTTGATGAGCAGGAGATGGAAAAATGGCTAAAGGGAGTGCTTTGACTAACTAGTACAGTTATGTGTCACTTAATGATGGGGATAAATTCTGAGAAATGTGTTATTAGGAAATTTTGTCAGATTATATTTCCACAAACCAAATGCACCTAGGCTATAGGGTATAGCCTGTTGCCCCTGTACAACGTGATACTGTACAGAATGCTGTAGGCACTTGTAACACAACGGTATTTGTGTATCTAAACATAGAAAAGGTACAGTAAAAATGCAGTATTATAATCTTACAGGACCACTGTCATAGATGTGGTCCGTCATTGACCAAAATGTTGGTGTGTGGTTCATGACTGTATTTTAAGTATACAAAAATGTCTGTAACCATAGCCATAAAGAAATGTGATGGCAGCAAGATAGGGAGCTTGAATCATTACACACACACCATATATTTTTGATACATTATATATGTAATAATTGCCAAAGGAATTTAAAAACAAAATTCAACAAAACAGCATGTTCAAACTATGAAAGGAACACAAAGCCAAGGACAGTTGCTCAAATTAGTAAAATATAATACCAGAAAGACTAAATCTCAGAAAGAGATGAGATATGTAAAAGTCTCAAATGACACAAAATAGCTGTCTGCTTTTATATGTGAATTCATGTATGTGTACATATTTGGGTTTTTTTAGGTAGGCAAATATATATGTGTGTGTGTGTGTGTGTGTGTGTGTGTGTAACAAATATGTTCTCTTTTGTTAACATTCCTCTGTCTAAATATGAATATTAAATATCCACGTGGAGCTAAAACATTGGGAGCATAAACATCTGAAAAGCTTAACCCACTGCTTGAGAAGATAGTGTATTTTTTTTTTTTTTGAGACAGAGTCTCACTCTGTCGCCCAGGCTGGAGTGCAGTGGCGTGATCTCAGCTTACTGCAACCTCTGAACCCCGGGCTCAAGCGATTCTTTCACCTCAGCCTCCCAAGTGGCTGGGATTACAGGCATGCTCCACCATGCCCAGATAATTTTCGTATTTTTAGTAGAGATGGGGTTCACCATGTTGGCCAGGTTGGTCTTGAATTCCTGACCTCAAGTGATCCGTCTGCCTCGGCCTCCCAAAGTGCTGGGATTACAGGCGTGAGCCACTGCACCCAGCCAATAGTGTATTTTTAATGGCTGGCAGAGAATAAGACAACTCTCTTTCTCTCTTGCTCTGTTTTTTTTTTTTTTTTTTTTTTTTTTTTGGTAAAGGGCTTTTAAAACAATATTTAAAAAACAAAACCAAGATGGTATTAAACATAAAGGAAATATCCAGCAAAACTGAAAATGGCCCAAGCTTCCGGAAACACCATTTTTTATACCTTGTTCTTTAAACCACAGAGCAGTCTCTTCTCTCCTTCTCTTCCCCACTACACCAAAAAGGACAAGACACAAATCTGTGCCAGGGGTCTCAATTTAGAGGTAGCACTCCTCCTAATCATCACTTCATTTTATAATTATTTTATTCTTAGACTTACCGAATGCTAAACAAGTAAAAAGAATGTTTTAGTTTTTTCCCAATTTGTCAATAATAAATTATTAAGATATTTATTTTCATTTATAATATAGTCTAGAGCATATGATGAGTCTACATTCTATCTTGAAATAGCAAAAATTTTCATAAGCTGTAATAGCTAAAGAGAAGTTAAAAATCCGTCATACTATTTAAAATGTTAAATTGTTATAGAGGATACTTGCATGCTGTATTAGATAAATAATAAATAAACCACAAAACTCACCGGTTTAACAGAAGTGTGTGTTTGTTTGTTTTTTAATCGAGTAGATCTCATTTATCTTATTGACATCACTTGGAAAAGTTTTCAGCATTGACAAGAGAAGAAAAGAGTCAAAGGCTCACTTGGGATGATGTTAAGGGCAGGCCTGGAAGAAGCATACATCACTTTCACCCTTGTTCCACTGGCCAGACCCTAGCCACTTGACCCCCACCTAACTGCAGGGGAGGCTGGGAAATGTATACGAGCTTGTGCATATTTGGTGAGTGCTGCTTCTATCATAGACTGTTAAATTAGTCAGATGAATGTTTATTGCAAACAGTGTGCATGGGACTTTTCTAGGCACAGGGCTGAATACAAAGATGAATAAGTCATGGCTTCTTCACCCAAGTGGATCATAATCCAGCACTCATTGTAGACTATAGCTTATATTTAGTTTTAGATTCTCAAAACAAATTCATTGCCTATTCCTAGTGTTATGAGACTAATAACTATTTTTTTAAAACAGCCAAGCAATTTATATCTACCATCTGTATCAGTTAAAATTTAGGCAAGAAACAGATGGCACATTCAAATTAGGTAATTTGAAGACTGCTAAATAAAGGGACTATGTAAAGGTGTGGGCTGGGCCTAGGAGGGAAACTACAAGGTATAGGAAACCACCACAAATTCAATACTGGAAGGATGACAGCAGGATGTCTTTACCATTTCCAGTGCTGAAACAGTGAGGGGAAGAAGTGGTTTCTGGGATCTAGAGACAGAGTTGTGACCTTGGGCCAGTGGGAATAGCCTTCTCCCCATTTGACCTTGCAAGAAGAGAGCCAACAAAATAAATTCTCTAATGTTACTGTCCTTCTGGTCTCCTGTTGGTATTGCCTATTAGCTGGATCCCACTGGAAGCCAGAGGGCAAGGGAGGCTGTTGATGTAATTTATGTAGGTTACCTTTCTGGGGCAGGGGTCAGAAGGGTGGATCCTTGATCTGGAGAAGCAAATAGCACACCATCCTAAATTTTTTTTCATCTATTTGGCCAGTATTATTGAGGCCCTGCTAATTGCAAAGCTGTAAATAGTATAAGACCATATACAAAAGACATGACTTTTCTTTCAGGGATCTTGCTCTCTTGTGTGGGAGAAGAGACCACCACCAAAAACAAAATTTAAAGATAAGTCTCTGGAAGATTTGTGTTTAGGCGGTGATTGAGTGCCACATGGACTATAAGATGAAGTGAAAGTGGTATCATTCAAAAAAAGAAGAGATTCATATGCACACAAATTGTTAGGGAAGGCTTTGTAGAGAAAACAAAACTTAAACTTGGTTATAAAGGGTTGACAGTTTTTGTAGATAGGATGGCAGTCACACATGCATATAATTGGCTCAAAGTACAATGAGTGTAGACTCTAGATGAAGGTGGAAACTCATACAAAGTTAATGAGAGATTTTTTAAATAATTTGAGGTCATACTTTAGAAGGTCATAAGGAGAAATCTCAGGGTTCGTGCTTTTTAAAAACTGTCCTAATGTTCTGGGAGAGGTTACAAGGTGCCATGTGGTAAAAGTGTTCTGCAATGAAATAAATGTATAAAATGCATACTTTCCAACCCTTGGATGTATGCAATGTGTATTCAACATATTAAAAGCTCTGAAAAATCTTGCTATAAAGAAACCACTTTTTCCATTTATCTATACTTGGTGAAAGAACCCATCCCCTTTCCCCTACTCGCTTTTAAAAATCAAAACATGGTGAAAATCATATGAAACTTCAGTATTCTATAAAACATATCTTTGGAAATGGTTCTATAAATAATGGGAAGCCTTTGAATAGTTCTGAAGGATTTATGACATGATTAGAGGGGTATTTTTAGGGTATTATTCTGACAAGATGGATTTTAGTGCACATGATCATTTAAGAACAATTGTTATTGCAGTAATACAGGCACATGGTGCAGGTCTGAAGTGAAGGGTAGTAGTTGAGCTGCAAAAAATGCAGACTTCTGAGGGCCATTAGGAAAGACATGACAGCATGACTTGGTGGTTGATTGAATATGGGTGATGGGAGGGACTGAATATGGGTGATGAGACGGGGGGTGGGAGGGAGGGAGGCGGGGGAAGAGAGAGAGAGAGAGAGAGAGAGAGAGGGAGAGAGAGAAAGTCAGCAATGTTACAAACTATAACTTTAAGGCCTAAATCTTCCAGTTCTGTGGGAGTTTGTTAAACTGCAATCTATAATGTACATAGATCATCAAAAATAAAATACTCTAAAAGACATTTGAGAAGACTAAGTGAAAGTATAAAAAAGGCAACATAATGCCTATTCTGCAAATGAGTGTAAAAGAATATATCCTGCAAATAATTGTGCATTATTACCCTGGTATTAAAATTGATTGTGATTCAGAGACTTAGAAGAGCTGTGTTCTGACCAAACAAGGTTTATGGACCAGACCACTGGGACTGTAGCCAGCTCAAACTGTACTCATTGGTCACACCTGTAAATGTAGAACTTTTATTAACCCCACCCCCCAGAAAAAGAATTTTGGCATAGTTTACAGTAAGAGCCAACTCTATCTTGTTTATTTGAGGTATTATTAGGAGTGATAATCTAAAAGCATTGCTAATTTTTATAGTATTTTTCTCTCTTACCTTTTAAACCAAAATCATGTTAGGGACCAAATGCTTGCTTAATGTTTGATTTGAGCCACATACTAAAAGAAACTGATTGGTGTTGGATAAAGAGGTAAATGCTAAGTAAATCTTTTCAAAATTATTTGTTATTAAGTTATTATTAATCATCCAAAAAGGGTGACAAAAACCAATAACTCCATAACATTTGAGGTCATGTTTCTTAATTGATGCTCTCTTTGCAGCTATAACTTTTTTTTTTCATTTCATTTTATATGCTTGCTGTCATTTGCCCATTTCTCTTCTTTGCATGAATGCTTTTTTGTTTATCTTGTTACATGTGTTTTTATTTATAGAAGACAAAGTACAATGTGATACTTCTTCATTATTACTTGCTAAATTCCTTGTTTAAATGGTAAGTCCCTATTTTAATATAGTTTTGGGGATAAATTTACTGAAAATATTCAGTGCTTATATTTTCAGTTTTGAATTTATTCATATTGTGACAGTAATTGGTAGAAAACTGTTTCTCACAGCTGACAGGCCAAAAAAAAAAAAAAAAAAGTCTTGGGGACAAAGCTACCACATGCCAGAGTGCTGAGGACCCATCAGATATTTAAGGAAGTGGCATTTGTACTCGCATTATTTAAGTTACTGTTGAAAAAAAGAGATGGGAAGAGACTATATTTGTAACAAGCATATTATAGAATTCATTTTCTAAAAAATCATGTTTCTGAAGAATAGAACATCTATCAGATGTTTTATAAAGCACATGTAACTAATAGATAATAGTTCTTCTCCAAAAGAACTGGAAACCATGAATGCTATCTTTTTTAGAATCCCAAAATTTAAAGAAATATTTCTGCTTCCTAGAAAATAGTAATTAAGCCCAAATTTCCAACTGAATCTCAATCAATAGTTGTACTATTTTCTACCACAGAAATGCTATTCAGTAAATGGTATAAGTGATGATATAATGTATACTTAACTTCTGTTTTGCCAATTAACTTAGATCATTCTCAAACTGTGATTTAGGGGACGGCTGGTGTCCTTAAGAATCCCTCAGGTGGTGAGATAGCCAGTCATTAGTTTTAATGATTATGGCTGTATTTCTCTTTCTGGCAAGGATGAATAATTATGCTTAGTAAGAACCATAGCATCTCATTGATTTCTCATCAAAGAAAACAAACATTGCCCTTAATTCTGATGAGGTATGCTGGACAAACAGGAATGGGTGGAACAGTCATCCCTACTTTATTTTATTTTTAATAGTTTATGAACTAAATTTTGAGGAGCCATTACTATAGATCAAGATACTATAACTCTTTAGAACTTTGAAGATATTCTGTTAAATCATCTCAGATCCATTACTGAAATGAAGACTTTAAAACCTTCTTAAGAAGTTGCTAAGCTGTTGAACACTTGAACTTGAAGTTTACACAACCTGGCAAGTATTTTTTTGTTCTTTTTCCTCATACATGGTCAATATAGTGGGTTGAATAGTGTCCCCCCAAAAAATGTATATCCATTTGAAACCTCAGAATGTTATCTTATTTGGAAGTAGGGTGTTTGTCTATACAGTTAAGTTAAGATGGGATCAGATTATGGTCGACTCTAAATCTAATGACTGGTATCTTTATAGGAAGAGGAAAGGACACACACACACACACACACACACACACACACACACGCGCGCGCGCGCGCGAAAGTTGAAAGCAGAGATTGGAGTAATGCAGCTACAAGCCAAGGAAGGCCAGGAGCCACTAGAAAAGGCAAAGAAAGATTCTTCCCTAGAGCCTTCAGAGGACCCTCCCTCCCTATACTTTCATTTCAGACTTTAGCCTCCAGAACAGAGACAATGAATTTCTGTTAAGTCACACAATTTGTGATTCTTTGTTATGGCAGCCCTAGGAAACCAAAATAGTCAGTATTCCTGAACATTCTCCCATAAATATATATTTTTTTGCCTTTTTTTTTGTACAAATTTCTATCATTTACTAAGCTATGAAGTACTTGAGAGGAGAACTGTGTCACACTCATTCTATACCTGATTTCAGAACCCCACAAGTATTTATTAGCATATAACTGTGGGATAGTCTTATTTTTTAAGATTCACAAATATATTCTTCATGAGAACACGTTAGTTTTTATTAAGTATGCATATTAGAGAGAGACTGGAGTATAAATAACTGTAAGGATATTTTGTATGAAAAAATAATTGTAGATAATTACCAGGTTTGGGTTTCTATAGTTAGCAAAAGTAGGATAACTGTTGTTATCATGTTTATGTCCCATTCATATGAAAAATAAAATCCAAAGTGGGTTTTAAGTAAATGAAATCCCTAAGGGACTGTCAACCTGAATTATCCAGAGAATATTCAGTTTGTCATAATTTTGCTCCAATATTATAGAGCACAGCTGAAAATAACTGCTTAACTATCAAAATTCTATCCAAAGCACAGATCATTTATAAAGATTAACATTTAGTAAAATGACTTACAAATGTGTTTAAAGTAACATGGTATTTTATGAAGAGCTAATATTCAGAAGTAACATCTAAGAGGATATATACAAATTTAAATTTTTTAAACTTTAAAGGATTGGATTATAGCTTACATTTCTGAGATATGAAAAATTACCATCAAGTAATATTCTTATCTCAATGTAAACATATTCTCCATTTACTAGTATAATTTTTATCTCTCTTTAAATAGAAGTAGTTTTATAAGTATTTGAATATTTTTGATCGAAGAGTTGAAATACTACCAATAGAGGTACTAATGACTATTTGAGGTGGTTGTAGGTTGTTTTTTCACCCGTACCAGTTTTTTTCATGAATTTTAATACACAAAGATTCCCAGTGTTGGTTTTAAATTCTTACAGGCTAAGAGAGACTTAGTCTTAGAGAGATTGTAGGTAAGAAATATAATTAATATTTTAACTCATTACTGAGAATAGACCAATACTTTCGAGTTTAAAACTTGGTAGACTTAACTATGTGACTCTTTCAGTTACTGCAAGTAATAAATTATGAATTATAAGCAACGTTTAGTTTATCCAATCAGGTGAATAAGCATCACTTGTAATGGTTAAATCTTTATGTGTCCATGGGCAGACATTCAAGTTATCTTCTACTAATAAGGAGAAAAGAGTCATTGTTCTTAGTTGGTAGGTGACATTTTTTCCCAGATATTTGTTCACCATGTGTCTTAGAGGAAAGTGAAGATTTTAAGGGCTACTTAAAAATTATTTTCTCTCCGCTTTCCAACGATGCTTTCACATGCCATGAATCAATCTAAAAATCCCCATTGCAGTCATGGGCAAACCAGATGTGCTTCTTGAAGTCTGACAGTTTTCCTGACATATCATGTGAGTGAATCATATGGGTAACATTTTTCATAATAAACTCCAATTTGAAATCCAGGTATGACCACGTAGATTTGTCACTAATACGCTAGAGTCTTTTTTAGACTATATTTGTACTTTTGGACTTAGAACTATTATTTTAAATACCTAAATTAGCACAGTAACTTTGATAGCACTGTTTTAGCCATAGGAGATTATTTAACCTTATTCAAAATTCATTGGTCCTTTATAAACAAATAATTCCATGATTATAATTTAAATTTTTTATAAACTCACATGATCATTATTAGAGGACCAGTTCCATAAATTATGGTACATTTACACAATGGATACAGCTGTTAAAAAAAGATATGTTCTATGTATTAATATGAAAAAATCTTCAACTATATTATTGTATAAAAAGGAAAAGTACAGAACAATTTGTAGAATAAACTATTTGTGGAAAAACAAAAGTGAGGAAATTCTATGTATGTATGTATTTGTGTGTAATATATATATAGAGAGATATACATTTATATTGACTTTATATGCATAAAAATAATCTGAGAAAGGATAAACTAATAAAGAGGGGTTGCCAGTTGTGTGTGTGCATGGGTGGGAACTTACCAGATGGGACTGCATGAGGGAGTTTTTTTATTATATACTATTTTATGCTTTATTCTTGAACCATGTGAATATATTAGTCCAAATTTAGACAGATAGATAATGTTCTGTTTTTAAAACTATGGTAGTGAATTCTGTTTTATGAAAAATCCAGTAAACAGAAACCAACTTTAAAAATGGTTACATTCATTCAGACAATGGGATATTATTCAGTACTAAAAATAAATGAGCTATCAAACCATACAAAAACATGGGGAAACCTAAATGCATATTACCAGAGGAAAGAAGCCAATCTGAAAAGGCTATGATTCCACCTACATGACACTTCTGGTGAAGGCATAATTGTGGAGACAGTGAAAAGATCAGTGGTTGGCTGGGTGCAATGGCTCATGCCTGTAATCCCAGCGCTTTGGGAGGCCAAGGCAGGCGGATCACTTGAGGTGAGGAGTTCAAGACAAGCCTGGCCAAGATGGTGAAACCCCGTCTCTACTAACAATACAAAAATTAGCCAGGCATGGTGGCGCATGCCTCTAATCACAGGTACCCAGGAGGCTGAGGCAGGAGAATTGCTTGAACTTGGGAGGCAGGGGTTGCAGTGAGCTGAGATCACGCCATTGCACTCCAGCCTTGGGGACAAGAGCAAAACTCTGTCTTGGGGGAAAAAAACAAAAATGATCAGTGGTTAGAGGGACAGAGGGATAAATAAGCAAGCCAAAAGTATTTCGAGTGCAGTGAAAATACTCTGTGTAATACTATAATGGTGAGTACATGTCATTATAAATTTATCTGAACCCATAGAAAGTACATCCCCAAGAGTGAACCCTAATATTAATATAAACTAAGTAGTCACCATGATGTATAGTCTCTTGAACTTTTTCCTCCTAACTGGAGCTTTGTGCACTGTGATCAATATCTTCCCAAACCCCTCACCCACAGTTTCTGGTACCCACAATTTAGCTCTGTTTCTATGATTTTGAGCTTTTTACACATCACATGTAAGTGAGATCTTGTGATATTTGTCTTTCTGTGCCTGCTTACTTACCATAATGTCTTCAAGTTTCATCCAAGTTGTTGTAAATGACAGGATTGCCATCTTTTTGAAAGCTGTATATATGTGTGTGTGTGTGTGTGTGTGTATGTGTGTGTGTGTGTGTGTATCTACATCTATATTACATTTTCTTTATTCAACATCCATTGATGGACACTTAGGTTCTATCCATATCTTGGCTATTGTGCTGCAATAAACATGAGAGTGCAGATATCTCTTCAGTACACTGATTTCATGTCCTTTGGATATATAACCAGTAGTGGGACAACTGGATTATTTGGTAGTCTTATTTTTAACTTTTTGAGGAACCACCACACTATTTTCTGTAAAGGCTATACCAATTTACATTCCCACCAACAGTGTGCAAGAGTTCGCTTTTCCCCACATCCTTGCCAACACTTGTTATCTTTTGTCTTTTTGATACTAGTCGTTCTAACAGGTGTAAGGTGATATCTCATTGTGGTTTTAATTTGCATTTCCCTGATTATTAGTGATTTTGAATATGTTTCATATACCTGTTGGCCGTTTATAAGTTTCCTTTTAACAAATGACTATTTAGGTCCTTTGCTTATTTTTTAATCAGGTTATTTTTTTTTTTACTGTTGAATGAGTTCCTTATATATTTTGGATATTAATCTCTTATGAGATGTGTGGGTTTTCAGGTATTTTCTCCCATTCTCTAGGTTGTATCTTCACTCTGTTTTACTTTGTTTGTTTTACTGTGCAGAAGCTTTTTAGTTCAATGTAATTCCACTTGTCTATTTTTGCTTTTATTTCCTGTGCTTTTGGTATCATATCCAAGACATCACTGCCAAAGCCAATAAGCTTTTTCTTGTTGTTTGCCTCTAGGATTTTTACCATTTAGGTCTTACATTTAAGTCTTTATTTGGAGTTGACTTTTGTATATGGTGTGTATTCTTTTTCATGTGTATATCCAGTTTTTCCAACACCAATTTATTGAAGAGACTGTCCTTTCCCCATTGTGGATTTTTGGCATCTTTGTGGAAAAGCAGTTGACTGTAATATGTGGTTTTATTTTGGGGTTCTGTTTTCTGTTTCATTGCTCTTTGTGTCTGTTTTTATGCCAATACCATGCTGTTTTGATTACTATAGCTTTGTAATAGATTTTCAAATCTGATAGTGTGATGCCTCTGGCATTGTTCTTTTTGCTCAAGATTGCCTTGGCTATCTGGGGTCTTTTGTGGTTCCATTCAAATTTTAAGATTGTTTTTTCTATCTCTGTAAAAATTATCCTTGGAATTTTGAAAAGGGTTGCATTGAATCTAGATTGCTTTGGGGAGTATGGACATGTTAGCAATATAATAAATCTTTCAATCCGTGAACATGGGATATCTTCCCATTTATTTGTGTATTTTAAAATTTCTTTTATTAAAATTGTATTAAATTTATTAAATTTTAATTTAATTAACATTTTAATAAAGTAAAATAAAGTTTTATTAAAATTTAATAAAATAAAATAAAGTTTTATTAAAATTTAATAAAATAAAATAAAGTTTTATTAAATTTTAATAAAATAAAATAAAGTTTTATTAAATTTTAATAAAATAAAATAAAGTTTTATTAAATTTTAATAAAATAAAATAAAGTTTTATTAAATTTTAATAAAATAAAATAAAGTTTTATTAAATTTTAATAAAATAAAATAAAATTTTATTAAATTTTAATAAAATAAAATAAAATTTTATTAAATTTTAATAAAATAAAATAAATTTTTATTTTAAAATTTCATTTTAAAATTTCTTTTATAGTCTTCAGTGTGCAGGTTTTTTGCTGCCTTGATTAAATTTATTCCTAAGTATTTTTTGTAGCTATTGTAAGTGGAATTGTTTCCTTGACTTTTTTTCTATTTTTAATTTTATTTAAAAGTTTTTTTACTTTATTTTTTTAGAGACGGGGTCTCGCTATTTTGTCCAGGCTGGTGTTGAACCCCAGGCCTCAAGCTGTCCTCCCACCTTGGCCTACTAAAGTGGTGAGATTACAGGCATGAACTACCTTACTTGGCTGATTTCTTTTTTGAATAGTTTACTGTTAGTGTATTTTTGTATCCCACAACTTTACTGAACTTGTTTGTTCTAACAGTTTTTTGATGGAGTCTTTAGGATTTTTTAGATATAAGACCTTGTCATCTGTAGAGACAATTTAACATCTTCCTTTCTGATTTGGATGCCTTTTATTTATTTTTCTTGTCTACTTGTTCTTTCTAGGACTTCCAGTATTATATTGAATAGAAGTGGTGAGAGTGGGTATTTTTGTCTTGCTCCAGATCTTAGAGGAAAAGCTTTCAACTCTTCACCATTGTGATGTAAACTGCGGGCTTGTCATATATGGCCTTATTGTGTTGAGGTACATTTCTTCTATGTCTAATTTGTTGAGAGTTTTTATCGTGAAAGCATGTTGAATTGTGTCAAATGCTTTTTCTGCATCTACCGAGATGATTATATGGTTTTTAGCCATCATTCTGTTAATATGGAGTATCACATTTATTGATTTGTGTATAATGAACTGTTCTTGAATGCTTGGGATAAATCTCAACTTGATCATGTGAATGATCCTTTTAATATGATGCTGAATTTGGTTTATTAGTATTTTGTTGAGGAATTTTGCATTTGTGTTCATCAGGAATTGGCCTGTGTTTTCTTTTCTTGTAGTATCCTTGTCTGGTTTTTAGTATTAGGGTAATGCTGGCCTCATAAAATGAGTTCAGAAGTTTTTTTGGAAGAGTTTAAGAAGGATTGGTATTAGTTCTTTAATTGTTTGGTAGAATTCAGCAGTAAAGCCATCAGGTCCTGAGCTTTTCTTTGATGGGAGACTTTTTTATTATTGATTTACTCTCCTGACTCATTACTGATCTGTTCATATTTTCTACTTTTTCCATGATTTAGTCTTGGTAGGTTGTGTCTCTTATATTTAACCATAGTCTTAATATCCATTTTGCTATATATTATCTATCATAAAATCTCTTCTGAAGGGCTTAGTGATAACACATCTGAGAAAGAGGGAAAGTTAAGAATTTGCATATGTGTTTTGTGAGGGAACCAGAATTAAAATTCAAGATAACCTTGGGAATAAGCAGTTTTAAAGACCAAAGTAAAGTAAGTATCCCTTCATTTATGCCTGGCAAAGAATTCATGCATACTTATGCTATTCTTTGTGGATCCAAGCTGGGCTACATAATGATATTCTCTACTGTTTTGCACTGTAATTGCACTCCAGATAAGTGAGGGACTCCCCATGCTTGGAAAGTTAATAGTGTTGCCCAAAATCATATTTGTTCCCCACCCACCTACATTTATTTCTCTTTTGATCTTTCTACCAGCTTTTCTGAAAGTTTCTTTGATCCTAAAATCACTACAGCTTTCTAGGCAGAAGAAGTATGGCTGCTCTACAGAGCGCTAGGGCTAATACGAATTTCAAGAGCATCAGGACTTACTCTTGCTCACCCCTCCCCTTCAGCAGCACAATGGCTAGGTCTTAAACATGATTTTAACTTTCTGTGGTCAAAACCTGACTTATGATGATTCTTCTACTTTCCCATCCCGAGAGTATTAATACAAACTGATAGTACAAAGCTAATACATATAATGCTTACTAAGTTCCAGATACTATTCTTGGCACTTTACATATAGTAACTAATTTCATCCTATGATCATATTTTATTATCCCTACTTTTTATATAGGATAACTGAGGCACAGGGAAGTTAAGTAACACTAAAGAATACAAGTTTCAGAGCCAGGTGGTCTGGCTCCAATATCTGCACCTAACCAATTGCCTTGCAGAGAAAAAAAAAAAGTTTAAGTTGATTTGTTTGTCAGCATTTGTCTGTCAGCTTAGCTAGTGTCAAAGCATTCCCAGGAAATATTAGCCATTTCTAGAGACTTGAGAGGCATTTGAGTTAGGGGCTGACCTCAGCAATTTCTGAACCAGCCATGGCTGTTCCCACTAGATGCACATTGCTCTTGGATCTCAGTGTTGTAACATCCATTATCTTCTTTCTGATGTTTCATGTTATTTAAACTGTGATGAGACTCTTGTCTTTATCTGGTAGGATTATAACCTGCCACAGAGCCCAAAAGTGAAAAAAAAAGAATCAACCCAGCTATTTCCAGAATCATATTTCATTCCAGTAAGGTTTCCTACTGAGATATTAAGGTCAGGAAAAGTAAAAAGAGTAAACTAGAGTATTTTGGTGATGCTGTATGTGCCTAGAGTTAAAGTGGCATTTATGCAAGGGTATATACTGTCATTACAGTGAAAGGAAAGCCTTTCTAGCCATTTATCAATGATTTTATAGTCCTTACTTCATGGCAGATGGAATAAAAGAACAAAGAAAGTTTACTTCCAAAGCAATTTAATAAACATGAAGTGAAAAAAATCAAGATAGACTTGTTTCTTTTCGCATTTCCCTCTCACAAGTGCCTTATTGACAAATGAATTCATTTCTTTTTCATATCACAAATTTAAGTGTGTCCCTGAATAACACCCAGCATCTAATACTTTTTTTAAGTTCTAATGTGTACTGGAACTGAGTTTGAAAATTCATTCCCTTGGCTGTTTCTTCCCTTTACAATTTGGAGAGTTTTGAAATTACCTTTGGATGGCTTTCACTGAGGAGATATGTTTGCTTGTTTATCTATTTTAAATCAAGAAAAAACAGATAAATATTCATATTATTTCTCGCTAACTAACTCAGTTGGCAAATTATTTTTTTATCCTGGGGTTAGTGCCTACTCACATTAAACTTTAAAAAGGAGATTGAGTTTAAAATGAGGCCACTCTTTAATCAGGTAGGATGCCTGGAACTATTTCAAAGGCATATATGGTTTTTGTTTTTATAGGAAGTGAAGAATGAGACATTAGAGTTATGAAATTAAGATTCTTGTTGAATAAGTAAATTTGCCTAAGGTTGGGGATAATGGAAGTGTGTAATGATTTGCATTGAGAGGTTAGTGTTGTCAGAAGCTATCTCCCAGGCAGCTTTCTTCAAGCCATTACACCTGGGCCAATAACCTTGTTTCCCAGTCTCAGCAAAGTTGATCTTAATCCTAACATCCAAATAAGAATTCTTCCTGTAACCTTTGTGGTTTTTTTCTTCAAGACATTTGAGTGAAGAACCACCATTCCTCTCTATGACTTAGATGTTACTCATCTTGTTGCTAGAAGGCAGTCAGGCAGTGGAAAATATCATCTTTGAGACCATACAAACATCATGGTTCTGACCTAAGTGGATTAAGATGGGTGATTGGAGAGGGGAGTGGTGGTAGAACCACATTCACAATGGGGCGCACTTTTTCAGGCTGCGTGGTTATGTCTCGTTGTTTTTGACACAAACATGCAAGGTAAACATGCATCTTCATCATCTGTTGGGGCCAAGGTATATTTTAAAAATCAATGTATAATAATGTCCAAAATTCAGTATATTATATTAGAGTTTTGTGTTCTTTTTATATATATAGAATTTTAGTTTGGCAATTTTAAGGATCAATTATATCCTTGTGGATAACAGCTGGTAATTATATACTATTTGAGTCAATATATTGATGTAACCTTTTATTAAAACTGTTATAAATAAGTCCCTAGAGTATGTAGTAATTTTTTATTAACCCAGCCTTACTTGGTACAAAGAGTTTTCTTTATTAAATATCTTTTTAAATCACAGGTAAAAGTTTTTAGTCCAAATAATTTAGGATCTCAAAAAGGACCAAAAAAGCCGTATAAGGAATAAGACACGGATTTTTACCCTCCGAAATTTGAAGAATTATCAGAACAGGGTTACAAAATCTGTAGTTTGTGAATTTTTATTTAGTTGTGGTAAAATACACATAACATAAAATTTACTATCTTAATCATTTCTTAGGCTGTAGTTCAGTGGTATTAAATATATTCACATTATTGTTCAACCAATCTCCAGAACTCTTTTTATCTTGCAAAGCTAAAACTCTGTATCTGTTAAACAACAAGTCTTCATTCTTCTTCTCCCCCACCATTCTGCTTTATGTGTTTATGAATTGAACTACTTTAAGTACCTCATGTAAGTAGAAACATAGTATTTGTCTTTTTTGTGTCTGGCTCATTTCACTTAGCATAATGTCCTCAGGTTCATCCATGTTATAGCATGTGTCAGAATTTCTTTCCTTTTTTAAGGCTGAATAATATTTCATTGTATGTGTATGTGTGTATTTATATACATATATATAAATACACACATACACAATGAAAATTATATATACACAAATTATGCAATTTAAATTATACACACACACACACACACACACACACACACAGTCTGACATGTATAGTCTGATGAGGGACACTTGGGTTGTTTCCATCTTTTGGCCCTCCGAAAGTTGAAGAATTATCACAATTTTGGCCATTGTGAATAATGCTGCAATGCACATGGACATACAAATATCTTTTCGAGACTCTGCTTTCAATTCTTTTGGTTATATACCCAGAAATGGAATTGCTGGATAAAGTGGTAATACTATTATATATATATTTTTTTTGAGGAACTGCCATAATGTTTGCCTTACTACATTATTTTACATTCCCACCAACAGTGCACAAGGGTTCCAGTTTCTTTACAACCTCGACAACACTTGTTATTTTGTTATTCTGGGGTTTTTGTAGAAAGGATAGTAGCCATCTTACTGGTTGTGAGGTGGAGTAGTGTATTTTAAATTCAACTTTAACCTAGAGAAAATTATGATGGAAATGATGATGAAATGTACAATCTCATTTACAGATTATGGCCAAAGTCTAAATTTGAATACTGTGCTGACTGACCCTTTTCTACTCTATTGTTGCGCAAATGATACTCTTCAAGGAAGGATTATGGCAGCCTGAGAAATCAGGAAAGCATGGCTTGGAACTGGCCAAAACAAAATCCAGCAAGATCTCTTTGAAGGTGGTATTTAAAAAAAAAATCATAAAATTTATGCACTTTGAACCTTGTACAGAATACAGCTGTCCTCAGACTAGAACTACTGACTTGGTGTAGTAGGTAAGGTGAAGGATTTAGCAAGTTCAGTTTTCCTTTCATTACCAATTTATTTCCTTAATTTTCTACATGTAAAAGATTGGAAAAGGGCTGACAGACAGTAGTCAGCAGTAACACTAATTGACAATAAGAAATATCTTCATTATTGCAAGGTGGAAGAATCATTTAAAAGTCAAAAAGTCACAGTAGGACACTATTTTAACATAGTGGACTATGTTGTGTTTATAATTAGCATGTGATCCAAAGAGAAAGTGAGTACACAAAGGATGTTTAGTTCACTAAGGCAGGAAAAAAAGAACTCTAAAGTATTTTTAAATTCTTTTCATTAAAACAATCAGACTGAGAATATTTGCTTTTCAAAGGAATTGGCTTCATTTATCTAAAAAATGCTATCATATGGATTAGCTGATTTTCCAGTGACGCAGAAAAGATGACATATGGTACAGAGTAGCATATATTCAAGTGTCCAAAAATATTCTCATAATCTTTCCCATGTAAAATCCAATTGTTCTCTTAATTTTAATTTTCTAGAATGATGCTTCTAATCTCCATTAGCCTCCTCTTTTGCCCACCTAACTGCTATTTGATAGATACCTCTCACAGAAAGTTTCCCATTTCTCTTTACTTCACAATTCTGGGTTCCTTATTTTTCCTGTGTGGTATCACAGCACACAGCATTTTCTTTCTTGTACTTATCGCTCTCTATTGCAGTCAATCTGTGTTCCTAACCATCTGACCCCTGAGACCACCAGTGTGTCCCAGATCAGTAATAGCCAAAGAGACAAAGTTGTTATCATGCTGAGAATTGTATATAGCATACATCTTGGTATGCCTCCAGGAATGTGAGGCCATTAGGTTGTCAGATATGAGTCATAGTGGGAAAAATATTAGGGTCATTGAACCAGAGTGTGAACAACTTGAGCCTTCTTTCTTTTTCTCCCACATATAGCAGTGTTTGACCTAGGCATTAGTATAAACACTAAAGTGAAGAGTTTGGATTTTTGCTGTATTAAAAAAAATGCATTGTAGAATTGAGTTTTGTATAGGGATGGTGTTAGAATTGTGGTACAATAAAACTATTATAAGATCATTCTCTTCCTTCTTCCAGAAAGGATGTAAGATTGAAGACTCAAAGATAGAGGCATAAAATTGCAGTGAAAGGAGGAATGTAAAGTCAGGGTGGGGAAAAAGTAGAACCAGATATGAGGCACTAATATAAACTCTGATTAGCTATGCATTTTCTAAGAGTGGACTCAAATGCAATTCTGACCTTTGTAGCAACCAACTCAAAAAGGAGAAACCTTTAAGTCAGAACCTCACAATGGCTCTGAGGTCAATCAAACAACTACTTAGAGAAGTATAACTATTTTTTCTTTTCCAAAAATAAAGTAGCTTTATTTTGCTTTCATTCGAAAAACAATATGTTACTTATTTTAAAAAAATCAAGCAATAAAGTACAAAATCTTATATAATTACCCCACTAGAGCACTTGTGGTCATACCCCTAAGCTTCTTGGTAGTCAGTCCAGAAAAGGAAACAGTTGGTCGCACAACTCATACTGCTCAATTTATATTCCAAACAGTATGAGAGCTTGTTAATTTTCCTACACTCTTAATAACACTGGGTCTGTGTTGTTAATCTTTCCTGGTCCTATAAGAGAAAAATTATATTTGTTATTTTCTCTTTTTTTCTTTTGAGACGGAGTCTTGCTCTGTCGCCCAGGCTGGAGTGCAGTGGTGCGTTCTCTGCTTACTGCAAGCTCCGCCTCCCGGGTTCTCGCCATTCTCTTGCCTCAGCCTCCCGAGTAGCTGGAACTACAGGCGCCCGCCACCATGCCCGGCTAATTTTTTGTATTTTTAGTAGAGATGGGGTTTCACCGTGTTAGCCAGGATGGTCTCGATCTCCTGACCTCGTGATCCGCCCGCCTCGGCCTCCCAAAGTGCTGGGATTATAGGCGTGAACCACTGCGACTGGCATATTTGTTATTTTCTATTATCCTTAATACTAATGTCTGATGTGACTTTTTCTATGGTTTTTATAAGTAGACACTAATGTAATGAACAAGTATTCTTGATAACATACTTTGATTAATTTGATAAGTTTTTTTCTGGAGTATTATAATAACACTGAATTATGGGTAATGGTATTTCACCAGGTTTTTAATTCAGTAAAACCAGTTTTTCTGGGGCGAATATGATAGTGTTCGTTATTCAACCTTTTTGTTGATTTGGCTTTATTCAGGAACATATTTGTGGTAGAGACCACTAGCTTCCTACCAAAATCACTTTTTCCTTCTTCGTGGATACACAAACTACCTTTAGCAGCTCCATTTGAAATTAAGTGTGCTATGTGACTAAGTTTTCTCTAGTGCATTGTAAATGAAACAGATGTGAGTCACTTCATTGGCATGAGCCATAAAAATCTCCATTATGTGTTCCTGGGTGCTCTTTTTCTTTCTGACTAAATGAAATGGCAGTGTTCAGGGAAGCCTTAGAAGTCATGTGTTGAAAATGACTGAGTAGCCATCAGCCTGGATCTTTGAATGACTGCATGGAAAGAACTGCATGGCCTACCTGAACATTCACCCAGCACTGTTGCATAAGAAACAAATACACTTCTAATTATTTAAACTACGTAGTTTTTTAGAGTCTGTTTGTTACTGCAGCTTAGCCAATCCCAATTAATACAATATTTTAGAAAATATAACTGAACAGAAATTGAGCTAGATTCAAATGATCCATGTCATCAGGATATGCACCATCTCCATAACATGACTCTGAATTGGTTTCATTCATAGATAGATTTTCTCCACATAGTAGAATAGATGGCCCAGCAATCACAGGTCTTACATGGTCTTTATAGCTTATGATCATAGAAGCTGAGAAAGTATCTTTTCCTGGAAGCACCAGCAAAAGTTCTAGGAAGACTCTTCATTGGCCCAGCAGGGGTCATGTACCCATCCCTGAAATAGTTTCTGTGGCTAAAAGGATAGAATACCATGGGTCAAATTTGGTTAACATTCCTACCTCTAAGTAGAAGGGTGATAGTCCCACACAACCCCATGGACAAAGTAGGATCATATGGAATGGAGTAGTTTCCTAAAGAAACAATAAAGAATAGACATCAGAATACAATATGGTTAGGTTTTTAAAATTAATATAGACATGAAATGAGAGGGACCTGGATGAAGGTCTTGGTGTGGATATAAAGGGAAATATTGAAATAAAATATATTTTGTTGAAAGTTTGCATTGTCAGGGAGGGAAATAGTAGAAAAAACAACTGAACTTTAAAAAACAATTAAAAATTTTAATTTTGGTAAAAAATAAAACATATGAGGTGGTAGGATCACTTGAGGCCAGGATCAAGACCAGTCTGGGCAACATCACGAGACCCCATCTCTACAAAAAATTTAAAACTTAGCTGGGCACGTTGGCATGTGCCTGTAGTCCTAGCTACTCCAGAGGCTGAGGTGGGAGGATTTTTAGAGCCCAGGAGTTCAAGGCTGTAGTGAGTCATGATCACACCACTGTACTCATTCCTGGGTGACAGAGTGAGACTATGTCTCTAGAAAAAACAAAAATAAAATAAAAATATAACATCTTAAGCAGTTTGAAGTGTACAGTTCAATATTTTTAAATATATTCACATTGTAAAAACAACTGTAGTTTTTGAATTAGGAAATGAGTAAAGTAATAGTCCTATCAAAATATTTGAGAGATTTGAAAGGAAATGCAGTTCAGGCCTGGGAGAGGTGGGTGTCATAAACACTGATCAAGCAGGCCAGACCATAGGTTTCCAAGTCCTAGGGAGCCAATAGAATAGTCCTGGGCAGGTGATTTGTGAGACAGGAGTAGCTAACAGTGAGGAAAATGGTCTACACCTGGGCAGTTGACGTCACCATTAGACCAAATCTCAGTAGCATTCAGTAACGATTTCTAGAACTGAGATACAGGGCAAAATCCAAGGAACAAAACCCCCTTGCTACTTAATTGGTACCAGCAACAAAAGTGACTTCATATTGACAGACTGACTTGGGATATCTTACATGTTCCTCTGCTTCAATGCAAAATTCCCACAGGTAGGAACTTATAGGCCTTACTCATAAAGATCAGACAATTTCAGGGACTAGATGCTAAGCTCAGTATTACAGGAAGATACAGAACTCTGTGTAGCAGAAGTATAAAGACATACAAGTAGAGAGCATTGCTTTAAACAAAAGTTTATGACTGGAGCTCATTGAGTGGTTAGAGTTATAGATGTAATCCTGTTAGTTTCCATCGCTGAGATAAAGTTAAAATAATGAGAGCTGTTCTCTCATGTGTCATTAGTATAACTTTAAGGGGTCACTGCAAAGTAGGAATGGACCTTATTGTTATCAACAAATATTTGAGTGTTTCATTATATGTAGTGTAAGATTTAAATTTCACAAGACAAGGAGATGTATATTAACTCTTAAGAAGAGGAAAATATATATAGTATTGCTTTGTTTTAGCATTCTATTCCTTTATTTACCATGTATGCCACTACAGAAGACTTTATACTTTTATATGTTTTAATAATATGGCAAGTTTCCCAACTTACAAATCAGTTGAATCCTAAAAATTCCATGTATGTAGCTTGTTGAAATTCAACACATTTTAAAATAGAAATTGTGTTGTAAATTGTAGTTCTGTTTCCAGAATAATTCACAAATTGCTTTTAATTCACAATTCATCTTCATTGCTTCATATTAGCAAACATTGATTAGCAGTGAAATCAAGTGGTAAAGTAACTCTACAGGTTTTTGAAAGGAGATATGAAAGATAAAAAAGGAGTTGTATGTGTATATGAGAAAAACACTTTTTCAGGTGGGTGTGAGTGAGCTGAAATAAAAAAGGCAGAATAAAAAGCCCAAATTATGCATTATCTTTCTAAAGGTAAGAAAGCAGATACTGATTTCAGATTTTTCCAATACCTTTGCCAGCCAATAAGTGGTGCTATTGTCACAGAATAGTTAGGTTGTTCTGCAGCACAAAGCAAAGGGGGAAGATGTGGAAAGTATATGCCAAGTGGTTGTAAAATGGGTTGTGAAAAGGAGGCAGAAATAAAAAAGGGAGGCAGCATGAACCTGACTATATGTGGACACTGTTTTTGTAGTATAGGAGGTGATTATGCTAGTACATTTTCTTAAATTTCCATGTAAAAATTAAACATAATTCAAGACACACCTTTCCTTATCCATTCAATTTTCTTTGAGCTTTAGTTTCCTCAATTATAAAAGTGAAGATTGTTGTGAGAATTAAGAAAATAAAAATAAAGTGTCTATTAATATCATATACATAATGCTCAATAAATATAATTCTGCTCATCTAAATGAGTCAGATAACATTAATAAGCCAAATTAACATAATATTATTGACACGTTGCTAAATTAGCCTAAATTACATGATCTTCAGAACCTGGAAGCTTATAAGAAAGTAGCAAGAAATAGGGAAAAAATGTTGAGCTTTGTCATTTGCTACTAAGAATAAAGAATTGTTCAACTCCAATTATTTTATTCTTTTGTAGGTAAATATCCAGGCATGGGCTATCAGTACATCCTTGAGTAGAGAGGCAGGCTCCATTTTTATATGCACTCTGTTTTTGGAGACCCCCATCTTAAAGTAATACCATGTGGCATATCTTACTATTAGTGACTGTAGTGTTTATCTTTTTGAGCATCATTGAGAAATAATGAATAAGTAGGTAAAAATTGCAAGATTAATGGTCTTTTTGCAGCCTTCACAAGCAAAATGGAATCAACTTTTCTTTTTCATGCTCCTACAGCCTGCCTTTTGGTGCAATCACAGCTTATTAGCATATCTTTCTAACAGCGAACTAAAATAGAGAACAAAGATAAAATTCATGTCATCCAATTTTGTTAGTTATTAGCCAGGGTAAAGTTTGTCATAGGAAGAGTTTAAACGAATGACTAAAATCATATGATGCTATGGCTGGGCACGGTGGCCCACACCTGTAATCCCAGCACTTTGGGATGCCAAAGCAAGAGGATCACCTGAGGTTGGCAGTTCAAAACCAGCCTGGCCAACATGGTGAAACCCCGTCTCTACTAAAAATACAAACATTAGCTGGGCATGGTGGCGCGTGCCTGTAATCCCCAGCTACTCAGGAGGCTGAGGCATGAGAATCGCTTGAACCAAGGAGGCCGAGGTTGCGGTGAGCTGAGATCACGCCATTGCACTCCAGCCTGGGCAACAGAACGACACTCTGTCTCCAAAAAAAAAAAAAAAAAAAAAAAAAAAAAAATATATATATATATATATATATATATATATATATTTATATGGTGCTATATAAAAACTTTTGATGGAATTTTCTATCCTGTCTTTCCTTTTACTGCTGGTAATTGGCCTCAGACTACCTAAATCTTTCCCTTCACAGCAGCCTGCAGTTCTGGGGAGTCAAAGTATTAAAAATGCCTCTCCAGTGAAGGCCTGCTTGCTTGATGACAAGTGAATTGGAGAGTTGTTTTTCCCTCTTGTTGTTCAGACTTCTTTGTCTTTTCCTAAGCACTTCTTATTCCAACATGAGAAAATGACTTCTCACTGAACTCATCCTTTCTGAACACTGGAAGCAAGCCTTAAATCAAGTTCTAGCTTTAAATCATAGATTCACAGCTGAAGTAGGCTTTACATGTTCTTGGAAAACAGGATTGTAGGGAAAATGCTACATTGTCTTACAACCAGTTACTCAGTAGTTTGTGAAAGATTGCTTGACTAACTAAATGAAGAATAGTATAGGGAAAGAAGTAAATGTATGGTGGTCTTTCTGCCCATTGGCAAGATCTTGATTTTGTTTAGTAAATGAATATATGTATTCACAGATGGACTGGGGAATCTCAGAAGTACAGTACTTGGTCTGAATCAATGATTTTCACAGGACTCTTTAGAATCCTAGGAGTGTGAGGAGGTAACTACATGTAAGGGGAGGGGAGAAAAGGTGGGTGGTACTCTGAACCCCTCCCTTAACCAGAGAGGCTCTGCTTGAATAGTTTTGTAAATTGAACCTCTAAAGAGGATATTTTTAAAGACAATAGTTTGAAAATTATTGGCATCCGAGACTTTTACCAACTAAACCCAATTTTTGAGCTTGGGAATCTGGTTCACAAATACTAGTGTAGTTCCTGTTAACTTGATAACTATCACATTTCATTAGATGATTATGTGATCTCCTTCTATATCAGAATGTTTCTATTTATTAGTGATCAGTGGTGCCTGGTGGCTAAATTAAATAGATTAATGAAGGGTATTAGTAATTTCATGGATTAATAAATATAATTTTTTAAAATTGAGAACTAATGTACCACAAAATGCAATCTGTTTATTTTTATTAAATTATTCATATTTAAAACTGCCACATATTCTGTGAATTAGTAACAGTAGATAACAGTACGGTCTTTGACTCTTTTATGGTCTGTGATTAATGACCAAGTATTTGATTTCTATGAAACCATTTGGGTCTAGAAGTCAATCACATAATCAGCTGTATCTGCTACATTTCGAATCTGAAAATAAGTTTGGGCTTGGCCCAAGCTTTTCACATACTATAATTTTATAATTCTCTAAATTCTAGTAATATTTGCCATCATTTTTAATTATTTCCTTCCATCTCTCTTTTTACCTATATATTGAAAGCCCTAGTGTTCAAATTAGATTTTCAAAGTGAAAATTAAATACTTGATTATATTATTTTATACCACACTATGAATATTTACTAATTTTGAAAGAAAATACTCTTTTTATATATATTTTTATATCAAGGGTGTACCAGATTGGAATTTGTTTGCTTGAGTCACTATAAAATAAGATTTCCAATCACATTCATAAATGTCCTCTTATTGTAAAATAGTTTTGTTAAAACTTGAAATTCTTGTATAATGTCTTAAAGCCTATTTAATTTAGCTAAAAAAATTTTCATCCCCGCCTTTTTTCCTTCCTTTTTGTGTGTGTTTAAGACATCTTAACTCATGTTATAATTTAGATATATTCATAGCAGAATCACCTAATATTCATTTTTCTGACATTTTGTTAAATGTTCACATTTTCAATTATGAATATACTTCATACATTGTAGACAATTTAGCTTTACAAAAAAGTATAGAATGTATTAAGTGAGTGAAGTACTTTCAAAAGTTGATTTCTACACATCAATCAAAACCTGAAATGACTACTTCTTTCAGCTCTTCATAGTGAACACATTATTACATGGACTAAATAGTCATGCATTCATCATTTATATTTTTTGTTTGAATGGTTACCTTCTTTTGGAGAGTAGATCAGGTGTAATTGTAACTGCTTTTTCAGCAGATCAAAAATTCCTTTCAGTTTGGAAAATAAATGGTTTTTCAACATAATATTCAAGTGTTATTTCTTTGTTTTTTAAAAACAGTTTTTGATGTGTGATTTCCACAGTAATGGAAGGGAAGTAAATGAAGTAAAGGCATTTCTAAGACTTACATGTTTGATTTGGGAATATAATCAGAAGACCTGCTTAACTTTTAATTATAAATCTTCTTAGATTAATGCAATAGACTATTCAGTGTATATTTGTTGGTTGAATTACAGATGTTTTTAGAACTTTGAAGTTTTGTTTGAATATAATGCTCTCATGGAACCTTTAAAAATTAACGGTCAATAAGAGTTTATTGTCCTTGTGCAAAGCACAAACACAAATTTACAATAGGTTAATCTTTTTTCTTAAATTGTGATATTCTTATGTATTTTCAGATTGAAATTTTATTTGTGGCTTTAAAAAAAATTCATTAATGAAGTCCAGTTTAAACGTAATATTGGTGTGCTATAAACTTGCCACAGGACATTTTCACTAATATAGGAAATAGGTTACTTGGAATTGTTCTGCTGTCTTTCTGGGTGTAGTTTAAGACCTTTTATCTTTTCAGATCTGAAAAGCTAAATCATATTATATAAAGCATTTCAGAATAACCAAGCATTTTGATATAATATTGGATTTTCTGTGATAGAACAAGTTGAGATTCCTTATAGGACACTTGTAAATATGAGGAAGCTAATAAGATTTTAGGTAATTCATTGAACTAGTAGGCAGTCTTAAAAATTCTGAAAGCTTATCTGTAAGACTTCTATAATTGCTTTAAAAATATTATCTGTGGAGATAGTCTTACATGTTCACATAAGTATATGTAGGACATGTCAGATTATAGAATCATCACATTTTCAAGCTGGAGTGCCTCCTTTAATTACTGTGAGGAATAATAGCTTATGATAGTCATGCATAAGATGTTAGTTTTTAATTGGGTATCTGTAATAATACTATATGCAAGCTTTATAAATGCTAATTTTAAAATCTTAAACAGAAAGAGCTTATGCTTGGAGTCATAGAAATGCTTAGGTTCAAATGCTAGCTATACTACTTTAATCAGCTGTGAACATTTGGATAAGTTAACTACCCTATACCTTTTTTTTTCTCATCTGTAGAAGATTGTTTTAAAGATAAAAGATAAAACATGAAAGGAACCTAAACATTGCTTGGTGAACAGCAAGCTCTTAATAAACAGATGCTGCAACTGAGTAACTTTAGTCAAATTACACTTCAAGTCATGTGTAAAAATGGCTTTCAGTATAAGAATTCCTATTTTAGTGCTCTTAATTTGTGTTCATTTTATTTGTAATGGTTCAGAATAACAAAGTTTGAAAGCCCACAAACCTAATATATGTAGCGTGGTGCTTGGCTTTCAGTAGTTCTCACTTTCATACATTGTGCATTGATACTTCTAAACCTCCTTTTGTATGCAGAATTCAGTCTCTTATACATCACCACCAGTCAACAAACTGATTTAGAATTATCACCTGATTGTACTGCTTGCTGCCACTGCTATAAAAGGAGAGACATCAGTCAGACTATAAGGATCTTATTCTGGTTGTCCTACCTATTTGATCACCATTCCTCCAACCCAGGAGCTCGTGTCAGGTTTGCTTATATACAAGGGAACAACTATCTCAGAAGTATGTCACCTCACTCAGCCCAGCCTCTCTTTCAACCCCAAAGTCACCTCCAAATTCCACTTATCTCTCCTCATGCTACCCCATCAATGTAAAATATTGGGCTAGAAGTAGACAACTGGTTGAAAACTATCACCAAGAATTATATATGCTTGTGGGTTACAGCTCTATAGCCCTCTACCTTTGATTTGGTACTAGTGGAAGAAAATCCCTCCTCCACGGTCTTAGATATTTTATGAGCGCTGAAACTCTGAAATGTAAAGATTAAAGGCTGCCCAAATATCTCTCCTGGCCTGTGTGAATGGATTAGGAAAGGAATAGTGGCTCAGGAAAGGAGAGATGCCTGAGTCTGCTGTTTCATTCTTAGGAACCATTGGTGTCTCCTGCCACAGGTACCTTCAAGAGTCATACTCACCTACAGGGTCACTGAAACCCTAGGAAGGCAGTATTTGTAAGTAGTAATATTAGAAATCTTATTTCTAACCATCCTTTAAATAATATCTTGCGCAGCTTTCAAATGTGTGAGAACACTATATGCAGAAGAAAGGGAAACTTTCTAAATAAAAACAATCCCTTTCCATTAATAATTTTTATCAGAACTAGTCATGATAGTTAGAAAATGATGCTTTTCCAACTCTGGTACTTGTTCCACATTTACTATTCATCATCATGGTAAGCAAGAGCCCTTTTATCGCTCCAATTTTTATTTATTCATCTATTTATCTATATTGTTTAGTGCTGTGGCTTTATTAATTCCTGGGTTTTTCTCAGTGTTATATATAGTGCTCAGACATTTTGGTTTCAGAATTCCTTTAGACTCTTCATAATTATTGAGAGAACTTTGTTTATGGAATATGTATTGATATTTTTTATAATAAAACTAAAGGGTCAGAACCATAGCTATATCTCAGCCCCTTGGGCCCAGGATGATAGAGTGTGCCTCAGAGCAATAGACCATGGCTTAGTGAGAGAATTGCATTCACTTGTACCTTTGAGAGTGAACCTATACATCAGGTCCCAGGTGCTATAGTGGTTTTGAAAGACCTTGAGCTGAGGAACCCAACTCTCCAGACACTCTGAGCATCTGTGCTCTGGATCCCAGTGCTGCCTTGGCAGCCTGTGAGCCATGTCAGATCTGACACTGAGAGAGATCCCCTAAGCTAAGACTCACCACTGTGAGGATAACAAGAATGAGAGGATTCCTAAAGCCTGTGCCCTAATAACCTACACTGCTGCAGTCAGTACCACAAACTCCTGAAGCCTAGACCAGGGAGGCACCTGAAGTTATTTCCAACATTGGTCACTGCTGAAGATGCTGCATGGAATCACATTACTGTGGTGACATAGAACCAGAGCCACCACATTCTGCTTATCTGGTGGCATCCTTGGTACCATCTACATGTGAAAGTCTTCACCTATAAAAACCACTCTGTAAAGTTTGGAAGAGGTGACTGTACCAGCAGATGTGCAGATATATCAACACAGATACACAAGAAACATGGAAAAGCAAGGAAATATGACACCACTACAAAACAAAATAATTCTTCAGTAGCTGACCAAAGAAATGGAAGTTTACTAATTGTCTAAAAGAAATTCAAAATAATGAACCTGAGGAAACTCATTAAGAAAGAAGACGGTGCAAATAGGCAATTCAGTGAAGACAGAAAAGAGTTTATGATCTGAATGAGAAATTCAATATAGATAGATATCATAAAAATGAACAAAACAGAAATCTTGGAGCTGAAGAATTCAATCAATGAAATTAAAGATACAATTGTCGGCTTCAACAGCAGGCTAGATCAATCAAGCAGGAGAAAAATATCTGTGAATCTGAAGATAGGTCTGTTGGAATGACTCAGAGGAAAAAAGAATGAAAAAGAGTGAAGACTGCCTATAAGACTTATGAGACACCATTAAGAAAATAAATGTACTATGGGAGAAATGCACTTAGAGGAGAAGAGACAGAGAAGGGGACAAAAAGCTTATTTAATGAAGTAATTGCTGAAAATTTGTCAAGTCTTGGGAGAGATATGGATATCCAGATCCATGAAGCTCAGAGCTCCCCAAATAGATTGAACCCAAAGAGCTCCTGTTTGAAGCACATTATAATCAAACTATCAAAAGTCAAAACCAGAATTGTAAAAGAAGCAAGAAAAAAGCATCAAGTCACATATTAAGAAATCTCCATTAGACTGTCAGCAGATTTCTCAGCAGAAACCTTGCAGGCCAAGAGAGACTGAGAAGATATATTCAAAGATGTATCCAAAGAAATAAACTGACAGTTAAGAATACTATACCCAACAAAGCTGTTCTTCAGAAATGAAGGAGAAACAGTCTTTCACAGAGAAGCAAAAGCCAAGGGAATTCATTACTGCTAGTCCTTCCATACAAGACATACTTAAGGGAATTCTTCAGGCAGAAACAAAAGGATGACAATTACTATCATGAAAACATGTGAAAGTATAAAAACCACTGGTAGAAGCAAATATCCAGAATACTTTAGTATTGTAAAGGTAGTGTGGAAATCATACTAATCTCTAGTATAAAGGCTAAAAGTCAAAACCAGGTTGGGCATGGTGGCTCATGCCTGTAATCTCAGTAGTTTGGGAGGCTAAATGGGAGGATTGCTTGAGTCCAGGAGTTTGGGATCAGCCTGGATAATATGGCAAGATCTTGTATCTTCAAAAAAGTTAAAAAAAAAAAAAAGTTAGCTGGGTGTTGTGGCACACACAAGCTACTCTGGAGGCTGAGGCAGGAGGATCATTTGAGACTCAGGTTGAGTCTGCAGTTAGCCATGTTCATGCCACTGCACTCCAGCCAGGAGTTTGGGTGATAGAGCAAGACCCTGTCTCAAAACAAACAAACAAGTCAAAACCATCAGAAATAATTAAAACTACAATAAGTTGTTAAGGAATACAAAAAGATGTAGACTGTGGTATCAAAAATGTAAATTGGTGGGGAGGGTAGAAGTCCAGAGTTTTTGTATGCATCAATGTTGAGTAATTATCAGCTTAAAATAGTAGATTATAACCATAAAATATGTTATTTAAGCTTCATTCTGACCACAAAACAAAAAACTACAGCAGATAGATGAATGATAAAGAGAAATGAATCAAAGCTCAGCTACAGAAAATTGTGAAATCATAAAGATAGGCAAAAAGAGGAAGAAAAGAACAAAGGAACTACAAAACAACCAGAAAACAAATAGCAAAATGACAGTAGTAAGAACTTATTTATCAGTAATAAACTTGAATGTAAATGGATTAAATTTTCCAATCAAAAGTGATAGAATGGTTAGATGGAGTTAAAAAGAAAAACAAGATCCAACTATATGTTGCCTACAGGAGACCTACAACAGCTTTAAGGACACACATAAGCTGAAAGTAAAAGAATGGAAGAAGATATTCCATTTAATGGTAATCAAAAGAAAGCAAGCGTGGCTGTACTTACATATGATAAAATAGACTTCAAGTGAAAAACTATTGCAAGAAACAAAGAAGGTCATTAGTTAATGATAAAAGGGTCAATTAATGAAGAGGACATAACCATTGTAAATCTATATGTACCCAACATTGGAGCACCTAAATACATTAAGCAAATATTAATGGACATGAAGGGAGAAATAGATAGCAATACTATAAGAGTAGGAGACTTTAGTACCCCCACATTCAAAAATGGGCAGATTAATCAGACAGAGAATTAATAAGGAAATACTGGACTTGAATTGCACTTTTGACCACTTGGAACTAACAGACATCTTCAGAACTTTGCATCCAACAACAACAGAATACACATTTTGCTCTAGCACACATGCATAGAACATTCTTCAGGATAGACCTTGTGTTAGGCCACAAAAGAAGATTGACCATATATCTAGTATTGTTTCAAACTACAGTGATATGAAACTATAAATCAGTAGCAGGAGGAACCTTGGAAAATTAACAAATATGTGGAAATTTAAAAACATGCTCCTGAATGACCAGTGGGTCAAAGAATAAATCAAAAGAGAAATTTCTAAAATGTCTTGAGACAAATGACAGTGGAAGCACAGCATACCAAAACATGGGATGCAGCAAACGCATTTCTAAGAGGGACATTATAGCAATTAATGCCTATGTTAAAAAGAAGAAAGATTTCAAATAAATTGTCTAACATTACACCTCAAGGAACCAGAAAAAGAACAAACTAAACCCCAAAAAAGCAGAAGGAAGGAAATAATAAGATTCAGAACAGAAATAAATCAAATAAGGAACAAAAAAAACATAGAGTCAATAAAACAAAGAGTTGGTTTTTTGAAAAACAAAATTTACAAACCCTTAACCAGTCTAAGAAAAAAAAATTCAAACAAAATAAAAAATGAAAGTGATGAAATTATAGCAGATGCCTCAGAAATAAAAAGGTCATACAGTACTATTATGTACAAGTATATGCCAACAAATTGGATAACCTAGAGGAAATGGATGAATTCCTAGAAAAATACAACCTACCAAGATTTAGTCAGGAAGAAATAGAAAGCATGAATAGACCAATATTAATAAAGACATTAAAGAAGTAATAGAAAACCCCCCAACAAAGAAAAGCCAAACACCAGATGGCTTTGTAGCTGAATTCTACCACACAGTCAAAGAAGAATTAATGCCAATACTTCTTAAACTCTTCTGAAAAATAGAGCTTCAGAGAATACTTCTAAGCATATTTTATGAGGTCAGCATTACCTTGATACCTAAGCCAGACAAAGACATCAAAAGAACTACAGGCCAATTTTTCTGATGAACATTGGTGTAAAAATCTTCAGTAAAATATTAGCAAACCAAATCCAACAACACATCAAAAGGTGTATACACCAGGACCAAGCAGGGAGATTTATTGCTGGCATGCAAGACTGGTTTAACATACACAAATCAATGTGACACTTCACATCAACAGAATGAAAGATAAAAACTACATGATCATCTGAATTAGTGCAGGAAAAGCTTTCGACAAAGTGTGATATTCTTTCTTGTTAAAAATTCTCAACAGTTTAGTTATAGAAGGGAAGTTTCTCAGTGTAATAAAGGCCATTTATTAAAAACGCACAGTTAACATTATAATCCATGGGGAAAAACTGAAAACGTTTCCACTGAGATCTGGTGCAAGGCAAGGACATGCACTCCTGCCACTTCTGTTCAGCGTAGTACTAGAAGTACTAGCAAGATCAATCAGATAAGAAACAGAAATAAAAGGCATCCAAATCAGAAAAGAAGTAGAATTATCTCTATCTGTAGAAAACATGATCCTATATATAAAAAAAATTTTAAGATTTTAGCAAAAATAAAAAACCCGTTAGAACTAATAAATGAATTCAGTAAAGTTACAGGATACAAAAATTAGCATACAAAAAAAATCAAGATACAAAAATTAGCATTTTAATACACAACCTAACTGAAAAAGACGTAAAGAAACCATCCCATTTATGACAGCATTAAATAACATAAGATACTAAGGAATAAATTTAAGCAAGGAGATGAAAAATCTGTACACCAAAAACTATAAAACATTGATGAGAGAAATTAAAGAACACACAGATAAATGCAAGGATATCCCATGCTCATGGATCAGAAGAATTACTATTGTTAGAATGTTCATAGTACCCAAACCAGTGTACATATGTAACACAATCTCTATCAAAATTCCCATAGCATTCTATACAGATATAGGAAAACAATCCTAAAATTTGTATAGAACCATAAAAGGCCTCAAAGAGCCCAAACAATTCTGAGAAAGGAAAACAAATTTGGAAGCAACTTTGATTTAAAATTAATAAACACTTACTTTCTGATTTAAAATTTTATTACAGAGCTATAGTAATCAAAACAGTACGGTACTGGCATAATAATAGGCACATAGATCAGTGGAACAGAATAGAGAGCCTAGAAATCAATCTATACATATATGGTCAACTAATTTTTGATCAAAAAAAATTTGATGAAAAATCTGCGGATGATCAATTCACTTATATAACATGGCATAATATTTGTATATAACCTATCCACATACTTCTGTATACTTTAAATTATCTCTAAATTACTTATAATACCAAATATAGTCTAAATGGTATGTAAATAGTTGTTATACTGTATTTTTTAAATTTGTATTTTATTGTTGTGTTGTTGTTTCATCATTTTTTTCCCCAAGTATTTTCAGTGGTGGTTGACTGAATCTGCAGATGCAGAACCCATGGATACAGAGGACTGATTGTATACAGAGACCAGGAACAAAACAGTGGTTACCTGGGACAGGAAGGGGTGGTTGGGAGAAGTAGGGAGATGTATGTCAAAGGATACAAAGTAGCAGATATGTAAGGTGAACAAATCTAGAGATCTAATGTTCATGAGGACTGTTGGTAATAAAATTGTACTGTGTGTGGGATTCATGCTAAATGAGTAGATTTTAGTTGCTCTTGCGACACACAAAAAGGGATAACTGTGAGATGATGTATATTTTAATTTTTTTTATGACTAGATGTTTCTTTTTTTTAATTATTATGCTTTAAGTTTTAGGGTACATGTGCACAACGTGCAGGTTTGTTACATATGTATACATGTGCCATGATGGTGTGCTGCACCCATTAACTCGTCATTTAGCATTAGGTATATCTCCTAATGCTATCCCTCCCCCCTCCCCCTACCCCACAACAGTCCCCAGTGTGTGGTGTTCCCCTTCCTGTGTCCATATGTTTTCATTGTTCAATTCCCACCTATGAGTGAGAACATGTGGTGTTTGGTTTTTTGTCCTTGCGATAGTTTGCTGAGAATGATGGTTTCCAGCTTCATCCATGTCCCTACAAAGGACATGAACTCATCATTTTTTATGGCTGCATAGTATTCCGTGGTGTATATGTGCCACATTTTCTTAATCCAGTCTATCATTGATGGATATTTGGGTTGGTTCCAAGTCTTTGCTATTGTGAGTAGTGCCACAATAAACATACGTGTGCATGTGTCTTTATAGCAGCATTATTTGTAGTCCTTTGGGTATATACCCAGTAATGGGATGGCTGGGTCAAATGGTATTTCTAGTTCTAGATCCCTGAGGAATTGCCACACTGACTTCCACAGTGGTTGAACTAGTTTACAGTCCCACCAACAGTGTAAAAGTGTTCCTATTTCTCCACATCCTCTCCAGCACCTGTTGTTTCCTGACTTTTTAATGATTGCCATTCTAACTGGTGTGAGATGGTATCTCACTGTGGTTTTGATTTGCATTTCTCTGATGGCCAGTGATGATAAGCATGTTTTCATATTTTAATTTGCTTCACTCTAGTAACCTTTTTACTGTCTATTCATATCCCACAACATCATGTTATATCCCTTAAATATATACAATGAAATTTATTTTAAATACATAAAAGTGAGATTTTTAAGTGTTTATTAATTCATTTTAAAATATCACTAATAAATCCATTACATGTTAACATAAAGAATGTATGGATCACTATACTTTACCTCTTTCTTCCTCCCGGATCTTGAAGTTCTGCCTTAATTTGTAAAACTTCCTTTGTATAGCATATCTGATACATATCTTTAATTGGCATACATTTTCATTTTTAGTATTTTTTAACTTGCTTTACTGCCTATGCTTAACAAGGCAATCTTTTTTACTTTTATCTTCACATTTTAAACACAATTGAACAAAAGAAATGTTATTAACACACTTTTACAAGAAATTTCTTTTTCCTCAGAATGTCAGAGTAAGTTCAGAAACTGAATATTGATTTTCCTTTTTAAGTTATGCAACAATGACATGAAAACCTTTATATTTTCCATGTGGTAGGAAAAAGGATATAGGTACAATTTTAATCTCATAAATACATGCGCACATGTATATGTGTTTGTGTATTTATAATCTATTAGTTACAATAGTCTGAAAGGGAACAATAACATGTTAATATGATATTTTGAGTCACGCGCTTACAGGTCATTTTTATTTTTTTCTACTTTTTGGTATTTTCCAGATTTTCTTCAGTGAAGTTTTAATGAATCTATTATTAGGATTAAGTTAATTGATTTAAGATGTGTCTTCCACATTCTGAAACACCTTAATGAAAGGCAGTGGTTTTTCTTTTTTGGAAAGAAATAGTGATTTTTACTCTTTTACTTTTAGCTTAGCCCTTGTATTTTACCAACCGAAATGTCAGTTTGTAGATGTAACATTTGTAGTCATCTGAAAGTCTGGCAACATATCTTAGTGGTTAAGTGTCTAGGATCTGGAGTCAAAAGACCCATGTTCAAATCCTGATATCTGTTTGCTAGCAAGTAAATGTCTTAAGTTCTCTTAAGCCTCAATCTCTTTATAAATGAAATGTACAAATTGTTTATTTAAATGAAGTAATAATAGTACCTCATAGCATTGTATAGCTTAAATGAAATTACTCATGCAGAGCTAAAACTTAGTTCAATATCTGGCACATGGTAAACATGCCATAAATGTTAGTGCTTTTTTTTTTTTTTTTTCCTGACTCTGGAAATCTAGGACCTCTCCCTTCTTCCTTCAAACCTAACAAAACATTGTTGTGAACTACAGGATTTTTTGAAATCAAGGGTAAATGTAATCCAAGCAAGACTTTGATATTCAACACCCATTACCTGTCCATAGGAGTTTCCTGCTGGTTGTATTGGTTTCTATGCCCTGTAACACCATATGTGTGGCTGGGCCTGTCTCTACAACCCAGTGTGGTCTGCAGTGTGGTTTCCCAACTGTGGTCTATAAGATGACTTTAGATGACACAAAGACAACCCTTTAAATTTTTTAAATCTATTTTTATGGGTGAGCAAAAAACACAACTAGCACATTAAGTCAGTGATTACATGAATATTTTTTAGAGTAAGGTAAAAATGAGTATTGAGGAAAAATGCAAATCACTGTAAAGAAAAATATTAGGTTATAGTACTCTAAAGTATGGCAAAAATTGCAAAGATGGTACTTGAATGGCTGAAGTTTAGGTTTCTGCTCTAGAGGCTCCTTCCCATATCTGTGTCCAGGGTGCTCATACACTGTCCCAGAAGCTCAGTAGTACATGTGAAACCTGTCTTTTACCTAAACCCTTGTCATCTACGATATGCCTTGGGATCTCACCTTTTATTATGTTTTCTTCCTTCCTTTCTTTCTTTTTTTAAAATTAAATGGGCTCCATATATTTCTAAACAAAGAAATAGGAAATCTACCATCCTCCTAAGGCAATTAGCTCAACAGCAGCTAGCTTTTTCTTTTTTTAAAGTTTGGAAAAATATACTGTTATATCTACAGTCTTTAAATACATAGATTATTGACCATTACTACCTTCCTGAATTCAAACCCTGTGTTTCAATTAAATATAATATTGTTTAGTATTAAATAAAACAACTGTGTACTGTTTTATTTAATAATACTCATTGAGTCCACCAATGTCAATTATTTTTGTTGTATTAGGACTTATTGAACCTACACATATATTGGATTAAATGTTTTTGTCACCAAGTTAATTTTTAAATGTAAATTAGAACCTAAAATTTTGATGCTTGAGCAGGTACTTAAATTTGCTGTATTCACTACGATGGAAATTTTTTTGCTGTGATAAATAGAGTTGTCTTTACAAATATTGCATGAAAGCATATTAGTATAAGTAAGTGTACAGTTTGTGCATAATTCCTTACTCAGTGGGAGGCATAAATTCCATTCCCAATTCATAAAAATTGAACAAGTAGTATTTATTCCAAAAAAAGGGAGTAGTTTTACAGTGATTTATTGAGGAGATAAACATATCTGATTACAAAGAATTTATTTAATAAGCTAATAGCTTTATTTTATATTACTAAAGATGTATACTTTTTTAAAAAATCTTTATTTCAACTATTTCTAAATAAAGGTTTATTCAGTGATTGTCCTGAAATTAAACTAGCTCATTAATTACTCTTCCTGTCTTTGCATACACACACACACACACACACACACACACACACGCACTCACATACACACAAATAGGCATAACTTTTGATTTTTTAAATCCTTGGGAGACCTTACATGAAGTTGATCGACCTAAGAGTAGGAATAGAAAGTTATTTTTTTTGTTGCAGATATGCCTGTAGTATATATGCATTTAGTAGTGCTACTGAGAACGATAGACCTGTCTATCCTCTCCCCATGTGCTAAACTTTATGGATGTACATTTAAAAACTTATAGACCATACATGTACTTTGAGGATCCCATGTATTTGCATTTTTATTTTAGACAATAGTTTTCCTTTCTATAACTATTACTCCAAAAAACATTCTTACATTTTGGTAATTAGATAAGGACTACATGAAGACATCGGTATTTGACTAACACATTTTGAAAATTGTCACATAAGCTTACTTTAATATATGCTAAATTATAAATACTAAATTTATAGTAACTTGTTATGATGTATTTATATATGTGAATGTAAATAGCATTTTAGTAAACATACATGTACATATATTGAACCTCTACTGTGAGAGAAATGCAGTTGTCATTGTTATATGCTCCTTGTACCCTAATCCTTGTTCCTACCACTTTTAGTATCAGTCCCTTGTCCTACTGTAAATTTATTGGGTAAGATAAGCAAAAGGTAACTCCTCTTTGTAGAACTTGGGGAACCTCTGCGTTAGGATTAAATCAGCCTGATTAAATGACTTCATAATGAAATGCAGAACTTCCTGACCACATACTTAAGATTTATTAGCCATTAATGGGTTGTCTATGAACTCCCAGCCTTTCACTTAATATTACTAAGATGGAAGAAATAAAACCAGCCATTCAGCTTTCTTAGGCTTTCCTTTTATGTCGTCCTTTCTCCTGCACAGTCACTCCCAGGAGTTTCCTGTCCACACTTAAATGAATTTACAGCTAATAGAATATCAGGTAGTGTAGGAGAGAGATTTGCAGGCATCAAGGTTAATTTCTTTAATTATGTAAGTCAGTATATTTAGCATAGTGTAAGATTGGCTTAGGAGTGGTAAGAGAAAGGAGTATTTTGTAAGGTCCAAATTTCTCTCCCTGACTGGTCTGATCACTGTTAAGCCATGCTGCTCCCTTTATCATTCCTCACTAATGACTTCTCTGTCTCAGCTCACATTCCCTGGAGTAGGCAGGCACACTTGTTAAATAGTAGGAAGTAGAAAGCCTACCTGGTTTCCCCAGGCTCAAAGGTTCAGTGAGAAAGAAACATGTTTTGAAGCAACCATTTTGATAAAGCTGCTTTGAAAGATATAATGAAGACTTTCTGAAAACAGAAGAAAATAACAATTAGTTTTATGCCTTCTGTATAAACTTAAAATATGCACTAATCAACTTTTATTGAGAAATATAAGCATTAGGCATTCTCATTCCATTCTTGACTTCTCACCAACTTTTACTTTACTGTTCTCTCTGTTTCATGTTTCTGCATTGCTACTATTCCACTCCAGATATTAATCTCTCATCTGAAGAACCATAGACTTTGAAATTATGATAAAAGATCAAAGGGAGACAAAACAGCAGCAGCTGGTCTCTCAATGTGGCTCTAACAGTAACATACGAACTTAGTAGCTTGTAAGTGGTCACCATCAGTCTACCATAGCCATAACCAAACCAATGACCAGTTTTGTTAAATTCTCTTAAGAGGAAGTGATTCAGATGGGCCACAGAATTCAACCCATGGCTTGGCTCCCTTGGGTTTGCCAGTGTATTAGGGAGAGGGTGGCTGCAGGGTCTTGTGGTCCATTACATACTTAGTAACAGCAATGAATATCGATTTTCTTGGGTGATTGCAGCAGCCATTGCTTCCTCTAAGATATATACATGTAAGTCAGAAGAAGTTGAACTTGCTGTTGATTATTAAAATATTTTTTATTGGCCATTAGTGCTCTATAGGATTAATTGGTTGCTCTTTTTCTGTACATTAAATCTAGATTTATTTATTTATCTATTTATTTATTTATTTTTTGAGATGGAGTCTCACTCTGTAGCCCAAGCTGGAGTGCAGTGGCTCGATCTCGGTTCACTGCAGCCTCTGCCTCCCGGGCTCAAGTGATTCTCGTGCTTTAGCCTCCTGAGTAGAGTAGCTGGGACTACAGGTGTGTGCCACCATGCCTGGCTAATTTTTTGTATTTTAGTAGAGATGGGGTTTCACCATGTTGCCCAGGTTGATCTTGAACTCCTGAGCTCAGGCGATCCACCCACCTCGGCCTCCCAAAGTGCTGGGATTACAGGCGTGAGCCACTGCGGCTGGCCTACCTTTAATTTTTGTAGGCTGTGGTAAATAATTATAAATTTTTACAGTAGTTTAGAATTTGCCTTTTGTAATATACCTAATTCAAAATGGAAATCTATTCTCGTTTTCCTGTTAATTTAATTCTTTTACTATATAAGGGGTTATGCAATATTCAAAGATTAATTGTAGAACTACTGTATCATAGGTTCATTTAAAAATGTATTAATGACTTTTGTCTTATAGGACAAACTATTCGAGAGAAAAGAATTGTAGAAGCAGCAAATAAAAAAGAAGTAGACTATGAAGCAGGGGATATTCCAACAGAATGGGAAGGTAAGTTTCTGCTTTTAGTAGAATCTCATGGGAGGTAAGTTATATAACAGTATACAAATTCAATAAGAGCATATATAGTTATATACTGTTTCTCTTTGCAAAAAAGTTTTAGTGTCTGAATGTTTGAAACTTTGTTTTTTTAACATTGCATTTCTTTGAAAGTTGTGAAGGTGCTGAATTTTAGTAAGCAGATGCATGTATAGCAAAAAGAACTATTAAGCATTATCAGAGCTGAGACTAAGGTGAGGCAAGCCAAAATCCTAAGATGCAAAATTTAAGCAGGCACTCACTTTCATGTAGTGACCCAGCACTTGCACAATCCTAGGATTTGAATCCTGTTTCTGGCACTCATTACACACATGAACTTGCAAAGTAACTTAAACTTTTAGTTTTTTCTTTTATAAATTATGCATAATACTTGCTGTAGATACCATTTGGAGTATTTTTTCAACTCACAATAACTCTATGATAACTGACTGCCTGTTAAGACAAGGATGGATGCTCGATCCCTTTCCTAAGACTTTGAAGTTAAAATAAAAGATCAAAGGGAGACAAACAGCAGCAGTTGGTCTCTCAGTGTGGCTCTAACAGTAACATATGAACTTAGTAGCTTGTAAGTGGTCACCTTCAGTCTACCATCAAAGTTTTATTGCATAAAAAGCTAATTGATTTTAGAAAAGCTAATATTGCAGAAAAAGCTGATTTACTGAGAAGAAAACGGAAACTAGTTCACAATGAGAAGTACATAGAGAGAATATTTCCTAGTTTTCCAACAGCTTTCTGGTTCCCAGTTCAGTTTCTCTCTGAATGAAGTTCATCTGCAAGACTGAGTTCAAAATGGCACCTCATAACCATGTTATGTATTTCTGTTTTTTGCTTACCAGTTCCTAGCATAGTGCCTGGCACATTGTAAGGCACCTAGTAGGTAGTTAATCAATATGTATTGAATACCTGAGGCCGGGAGTGGTGACTCACGCCTGTAATCCCAGCACTTCGGGAGGTCGAAGTGGGCGGATCATCTGAGGCCAGGAGTTCAAGACCAGCCTGGCTAACATGGTGAAACCCCGTTTCTACTGAAAATATAAAAAATTAGGCCAGGTGTGGTGGCTCATGCCTGTAATCCCAGCACTTTGGGAGGCCAAGGCGGGTGGATCATGAGGTCAAGAGATTAAGATCATCCTGGCCAACATGGTGAAACCCCGTCTCTACTAAAAATACAAAAATTAGCTGGGCATGGTGGCACGTGCCTGTAGTCCCAGCTACTCGGGAGGCTGAGGCAGGAGAATCACTTGAACCCGGGGGGCAGAGGTTGCAGTGAGCCAAGATCACGCCACTGCACTCCAGCCTGGTGACAGAGTGAGACTCCATCTCAGAAAATAACAAAAAATTCAAAAAATTAGCCAGTCGTGGTGGCACAGGCCTGTAATCCCAGCTACTCGGGAGGCTGAGGCAGGAGAATCGCTTGAACCCGGGAGGCAGAGGTTGCAGTGAGCTGAGATTGCGCCATTGCACTCTGGCTTGGGCAACAAGAGCGAAACTCCGTCTCAAAAAAGAAAAGAAAAGAAAAGAAATACCTGAAACTGGGTAATTTATAAAGGAAAAAGGTTTAATTGACTCACAGCTCCGCATAGCTGGGGAGGCCTCAGGAAATTTACAATCATGGCAGAAGGCGAAGGGGAGGCAAGCACCTTCTTTGCGTGGCAGCGGGAGAGAGAATAATGAAGGAGGAACTTCCAAATACTTATAAAGCCATCAGATCTCATGAGAACTCACTCACTTCACAAGAACAGCATGGGGAAACCGCCCCCATGATCTAGTCACCTCCCTCCTTCGACACAAGGGGATTACAATTAGAAATGAGATTTGAGTAGGGACACAGAACCAAACCATATCACCCATTTAATAGATGGAGCACCTAAGGCCTAAAAAGGTTAGTTAATTTACCTGGGTTATATAGCTTCATACGTGGGTAAACAGTAGACTCATTGCTTCTTGGTTGGCATAGCATGATACCTTACATGTGGTAGCTATAGGCATTATGTTACTTTTATGCCAGCATGTGAATGTAAACATCATTTCAGTAAAAATATTTTTCCATTTCTGCTTACTACTAGAACTATGAGGAAAAAAAAAACCATAAAAATAAGTAGATACCAAAGGTTTTTTGAAGAAATACAGAATATAAATTGGCAACTTCTAGGAGGGGTAATTGAGCTTTCTTATTTTAGCAGACTCTCCAGTGTTATAAACTACATTTACAATTCTTGGATAATGCGTGCACCTTCTTAGAATGAGTTTGTTTTTATCATTTTTTCCAATAATAGTATAGAATTAAGATGTTTATAGAAATGTTATAAATAAATGAGTACGTAATGACTCATTTTTCAGCCTTTGAGACTTTCAGAGAGTTTGAATGAAGTTCTAATCTTTTTATGGCTGTCCTGATCTAGTAATTTGGCATAACTCTCCCATGGGACATATGTTTAAAACAAATGTATCAATCAAACACTAAACAAAAATTATTTTTATGGTGGTACACATCAATTAAATGTGAAAAATAACTCAGCACCATGAAAAAGTAAATTAAGTATTTTCAGGTTCAGATGAATATTGTATTTGTCAATTTTACTGGGACCTGCAAGTTGCATATTCTCCCACAATGTAGATTAAACAATGTGCCCTTTTTCTTCGTTTATTTAGTAGGTATCTATTAAGGACCTCTACATTCATAGAGCTTATTTTCTAGGGTGGGAGAAAGACAATACACCAGATAAATAACTAGACTATATTGTATGTTAATGGCCACAGAAAATAAAGCAGGGAAAGGGCATAGGGAGTGTTGGGGAAGGTTTTGCAGTTTTTTTGTTTGTTTTTTAAGATGGAGTCTCGCTCTTTGCCCAGGCTGGAGTGCAGTGGCGCGATCTTGGCTCACTGCAGGCTCCACCTCCCAAGTTCACGCCATTCTCCCGCCTCAGCCTCCTGAGTAGCTGGGACTACAGGTGCCCGCCACCACGCCCGGCTAATTTTGTTTTTGTATTTTTAGTAGAGAGAGGGTTTCACCATGTTAGCTAGGATGGTCGCCATCTCCTGACCTCGTGATCTGCCCGCCTCTGCCTCCCAAAGTGCTGGGATTACAGGCGTGAGCCACCGCGCCCGGCCGTTTTGCAGTTTTAAATAGTGTTCAGAAAAGGCTTTACTGAAATGACTTCTGAATAAAAACAGAAGGAGCTAGTCATGCAGCTAACCAGCTGAAGAGCATTACTGGAGAGCAAGTACAAAAGCCCTGAGGCAGGAACATGCTCAGATGTTTGAAAAACAGCAAGGAAGTCAGTGTGATTGGGATAGAATGAGAGAGAAATTAATAGATAAGGTTAGAGAGTTAATAGGATTGTGAATCTGGGGGGCCTTGTAGGCCATTTTAAAGACTCTGGCTTTTACTGTGAGACTGGAAGCCATTGTAGGGTTTTGAAAAGAGTAGTCATATGTTCTGAGGTATATTTAACAGGATCACTATGGCTGCTGCATTGCAAATAGACTTAGGGGAACATAGGCAAAATATGGAGACAGGAAGCTCTTGTAATAATTTAGGCAAGAGATTAATTGTGACTTGGGCCAGAGTAACAGTGGGAGTGGAAAGAAGAAGTTGCATTCCGGATCTGTGGTAAAAGTAGGACCAACAGGATTTGATGACATATTGGATGTGGAGCATGAGAGGAAAGCAGACAGTAATTACTCTTAAGCTGTTTTGGCCTCACCTGGAAAAAGGAGTTGCTGTTAACTGACATGTGCAGTTAAAGGAGTGCAGTGAAAGGAGCAAGTTAGGGGTGGAAAAATGAAATCAATTTTGGACATGCTAAGTTTGAGATGCCTATTAGACATCCAAGTAGAGATGTTAAATTGTGTATGAGCCAAGAACTTAGTGGACATATCTGTACTGGAGATAAAATTTGGGAGTTGTCAGCAAATAAATGGTGTATAAAGCAATGAGACTGAAGAGATCACACACAGAATGAGTGTAAATACAAAATGAGAAATTCAAACACTGACCCTTAGGCTGCTCCAAAGTTTAGTTAGAGACAATGGAGACCAAAAAGGAGCTGCCAGAAACATAGGAGAAAAAAAAAGTGTCATGTACTAGAAGCCAAATATCAAGGAGGAAGAAGTAATCAAAATGTCAAATGAGGTCTGAAAATTAACTCTGCTTTAAATACAGGAACTATTTTGTCTGACAAAAATAGTTCTGTAGAGTGGTAGGAGCAAATGCATGATAGAAAAAGAAGTATAGCAAGAGAGAATTTGGAGAGTCTGAGAATAGACAGTGTTTATGAGGAGTTTATCTGTAAAGAAAAGGAGAATGATGAAGCAGTACTTGGAGAGGAAAATGGAGTCAAGAAATATTTTCTTTTGTTTTAAAGACAGAAGAGAATTTTGTAATAGTGATGGGAAAGATCCAGTCAGAAAGAAGAATTGCAGGAAAGAGGAAGTCCTTGAGAAGACAAGATGAGGCAGGACCTAGTAAACAGGGGGAAGAGTTGACCTTTGAACAAAAGCTTGGAAAATTCATCAATAGTGATAGCAGAAAAAGAGTCTGTGGGCATATATGCAGGTAGATGGGTAGATGTGGTAATGAGAAATTGTGTAAATTCTCTTCTAATTCTTACTAATGAAGAAGAGTGATTTAAGTAAGTTCCTAAGTATCAATAGCAACTAGAACCCAGATTTGAACCCAAATTATCTGCTTCCAATTTTTTACTCAATATTATACTGCCTACATCATTTATAACTTGGCTAACTCCTATTTATTACTCAAGTTTTGGAGTAGACATTACTTCCCTTTGTAAGCTTTTTCTGACCTGGCCCGTCACCCCCAGTGATAGGTGAGATGTTCCTTTTTTTTGTTTTTATCTCACTTTGGACCTCCTCCAATCATGACATTTAACACACTATAGGGGGTTCCTTGTTTACTTATCTGCATCCTCCGCCCTAAACTGGAAGATTTTTTAGAATAGGATCCTTACCTTATTCATTTTTGTATTCTCAGGGCCTAGCTCAATAGTTAAGTAAATATAAGCTCAGTCAACATTTGTTGAATGAATGCATTTCAAACTGAAAGTATGTTATGTAAGTATGTTTAAGGAAAAGGCATTTTGGGGAGTCTGCTGGCTTGCTGAAAATAGTCTGTTTTAAGAAGAAAGACATGGAACAGTAGACCAGACCAATTTTTTTCAAACATATAGAAGATTTGATCAGGTGCACTGGCTCACACCTGTAATCCCAGCACTTTGGGAGACTGAGGCAAGCAGGTCACTTGAGTCCAGGAGTTCTAGACCAGCCTGTACAACATGTGAAACGCCATCTCTACCAAAAATACAAAAAATTAGCCAAGTGTGATGGCACACACTGGTATTCCCAGCTATTCAGGGGGCTGAGGTGGAAGGATTGCTTAAGCCTGAGAGGCAGAGGTTGCAGTGAGCTGAGATCGCGCCACTGCACTCCAGTCTGGGTGACAGAGTGAGACCCCGTCTCACAAGAAAAAAAAAAATAGGAGATTCTTGGACAAGATTCAGCTGTGGGAGATAGTATAGTACTAACTACTGGGCAATGTTATAAAGTTTCAGTGAACCTTGTAAGTTTAATTCATGGCATTATTTGTAGTTCTTATGTAGAGGCTCTCATATTTGTCTCTCTATAATTCAGATTGTTGTATTTATCTTTCATTTTTGTTATTTTTCTTGTTTTTGGTAAGTTTAAGCTTGTTTCGTGTTAACAGTAATAAACATTTTTTATGAGAACCCTAAAATACATACAAAGCAGAATATAGTTGGAGGAGGCAGAAAGGCCCTGATCCAGTTAAGCTTTACTTATCACATATACTCATTAAAATAGAAGATTAATGCCTCAGAAGAGAAATAAAAATTACTTTTTAGGTATATTAGACCATACCTGTCTATCATTAACACTGTTAATAATTAATATCTCAGTATAAAATGTCATACCCACTTTTATTGCTTTTAAGTTAATAATTGTTCATAATTATTCAACATGTCTTTCTCAGGCCACAGGAACTCCTTATAAAGAATTTTCAAAGTAAGCTTCATAAAATAATAGACCAGGATGTTGCTATCCCTGTTCTAGAATCAAGACTTATGTTATATCCATGTTCTGCAATGGTCATTTACTACCTTGGTCATTTTGGCAAAGGGATTTACCTCCTATTTTTCATCTATAAAATTAAAACGCTGAGTTCATAACCCTTTAAGCCTCCTATCTATCTCTAATGCTCTATGATTCATGACCCAAGAAGTATCTCGAATAAACTCACATTGCGACGCAGAATCTCTGGACTTCCAGAACAATTTGGTTGAACCTCCAGTACACTTGAATAGAAAAGATTAGAGAGAATATTCTTGCATTGTTTCTGACCTTAGCATTCAATCTTTCACCATTAAATATGTTGTTTGTAGGTTTTTCTCATAGATGCCTTTATCAAGTTGCAGAACTTCTTTCCTTGATGGGGCCCTCTGCCAATCCTCTAGGGTTTGTTCTCTATGTAGCTGTCACCCAACTGGTACTCTGAACTGTGAACTTGCGTGACCTTGGTCTCCCTAGACTCCCAGCTCCATCTTCTTAACTTATATAGTCTGCTGGATTTTGACAGGATTCCCTCCCTGGGGCACAACCGAAACTCAAAGTAGTAAACTGGGGCGATCGTGAGGTCAGCCTTCGTTTATTTAACGTTCTCTGAGACCACTGTGTTTCATTATTCAATGTCCATTGTTTTGAAGATTGTTGTTTTATGTAATTTGTCCTTGTTGCTCCATCTTGACTAGAAGCAAAAGGCAGCTTTTTTTTTTAACATACCTTAATACATTTGAGATTTGTTTGTGTACTTGCATGAATCAGTAAGTTTATTCCTTTTTATTGCTGACTAGAATTCTGTCATATTGATATATCTTTTTGCATTAACTAGTTGAAAGACATTTGAGTCCTTTCTACTTTATAGCAATTATGAGTAAAGTTGCTATATTAATTCATATACACATTCACGTACAAATCTGTGAACAGAAATTTTCTTTCAAATAAGTCCTTGGGCAGGATTGGTAGGTTTTATTTTAAGTATAGATTTGATTTTATAAAAAACTGCCAAGATATTTTTCAATGTGGCTGTACCATTTTGTATTTAAGTGTAAGTTTGATTTTATAAAAAACTGCCAAGATATTTTGCAATGTGGCTTTACCATTTTGTATTCCCATTAGTAGTGTATGAGAGTTCAAGTTGTTCATCATCTTCTCCAGCCATTGCTGTTGTCAGTTTCATTACATTTGAGCCATTCTAATTGGTGTGTTTTGATATCTCATTGTGGTTTTAATTTTTATGTCTCTAATGACTAATGACCTAGATCATCTTTTCATGAACTTATTTGCCATCTGTATATCTTCTTTGGTGTACTTTTATATCTTTTTGCCCAGAATTTTTTTAATTAAAAAAATTAGTTTTGAGAATTTCCTATGTATCATAGATATAAGTCCTTTATCAGATATGTGATTAGCAAATATTTTTCACAGTCTATGGCTTGTCTTTTCATTGGCTTGTCTTTTCATTCTCTTGACAGTGCCTTTCAAAGAGCATACATTCTTAATTATAATGAATTCCAGTTTATCATTTTTTTCTTTTATATATCATGGTTTCAATGTTGTATGAAAGAAATCTTTGCCTAACCTGAGGTCAAGAATATTTTGTCCTGTGATTTCTTCTAGAAGTTTGGGGTTCTACAGTTTTGGGTTTTACATTAAAGTCTATGATACATTTTTATCTGTTTCATGTTTTTTATGGCAATCTAATTTTCCAGCACCGTTTTTTTAAATGACCACTATTTTTTCCATTGAATTGCCTTAGCACCTTTGTCAGACATCAATTGACTATGGATGTGTCTATTTCTGCATTTTCTATTCCATCCATGGAGTTATTTATCTTTTTGCTAGTGCTGATTGTCTTGATTACTGAGGCTTTGTAACAAGTCTTGAAATAAATCATTTTGAGTCTGCCAACTTCTTTCCCAAAATTTTTGTCTTGGTTAGTCAGGGCCCATATAATGTTTTTACACTTTAAATATGTGCAGTTTATTGTACATCAGTTATACCTCAATAAAGCTGTAAAAGAATAACATAGTCATCTTGGAAAAATAAGTTACTGAATGAGGATAGTAATAATGATACAAGCAAGGGATACAACAAAAAAGTGTCAGAACTGACTCTTTTCCCAGTCTCAGGATTTGACTTAATCTAGAAGACTATTTGAAATGTGGATTTGCCCCAATCTCTTTAACTGAAGAACGTCACCTTGGGCATAGATTAGTCTTGAGATACTAAGTTATATAATATGAAGTTATCCCAAGTAACAGAGCATGTAAAGATCAAATGCCCAGACAAACCTCTATAGTTTTTCCAGAGATATTTAAAGTTGGTGTCATATTCAATCCAGGACTTTCCAAAGTTTCTTTAAATTTAATGATAAATGTTTTGAAATCTTTTTTGAGGTTTCTTAATAGCGAAAGCAAAAACTTACATACCATTGGGAATCATTTATTTGTTCTTCCTGTTGTGATAAAAATGTCTGTAGTAAAAACTTTAACAGAAATAAAAAGCAATCTGGCAAGGAACTAAAATATATTTCTTCATCAGCATACATTATTGGAAAGCCAGCAGAAAGCATGGCTGAAGGAACATGTATTTGGACAAAGTATGCAGGGCACTGCACTGCCAAATGGATGTTACAAATGTTTTTAGCATGTCTTCTCTTATAACAGAAAGACCATACTTCTTAATTTTTGTTAGTCCCCAAAGCAAAGATAAACTAGAGAAGATATAGCCTCAGCAGTAAATGACCCACTTAATAAAAACAACGATTCACAGGAGAAAAAAAATGTGCATGAGTGTAAGATTGATGGAGCTGCTGCTTTAGGCTACAAGGACCTGTAATGAAGTTCCTGAGATTGTGCAAATAAAATTCATCATTCTTGGGGATGAAATAGAAGCCAAGAGTGTACATATATACTTTATTTTTTAGAGATGGGGATCTTGCTCTGTGGCTCAGGCTGGTCTCAAACTCCTGGCCTCAAGCAATCCTCCTGCCTCAGCCTCTTAAGAAGTTGGGACTACAGACACACATCACCATGCCTATAAGTACACTTTACTTTTTTCTTTCTTTCTTTTTTAAATTTTAGATTCAGGGGTTCCATGTGCATGTTTCTTACATGGATATATTGCATGATTCTGAGGTTTGGACTTCAACTGAACCTGTCACCCAAATAGTGAACATGGTACCCTCCCTAGTTTCTGTTGTTCCCATTTTTATGTTGATGTATACTCAGTATTTAGCTCCCACTTATTAGGGAGAACATGCAGTATTTGGTTTTCTGTTTCTGCATTAATTCACTTCAGATTATGGCCTCCTGATGCATCCATGTTGCTGCAAAGGACATAACTTCATCCTTTCTTATGGCTGCATACTATTCCATGGTGTATATGTACCACATTTTCTTTATCCAGTCTACAATTGATGGGTATCTAAGTTGATTCCACTTTTTTGCTATTGTGAATAGTGCTGCAATAACCGTGCGAATGCATGTGTCTTTATGGTAGAATGATTTATTTTTCTTTGGATATATACTCAGTAATGGGATTGCTGGGTCAAGTGATAGTTCTATTTTTATTAGTAGTTCTTTGAGAATCGCCAAACTGCTTTCCACTTAGGCTGAACTAATTTATAGTCCCACCAACAGTGTATAAGTGTTCCCATTTCTTTGCAACTTCACCAACATCTCTTATTTTTTGACTTTTAATAATAGCCATTCTGACTGGTGTAAGATGGTATCTCATTGTGGTTTTGATTTGCATTTCTCAGATGATTAGTCATATTGAGTATTTTTTCATGTTTGTTGGCCATGTGTATATCTTTTGAGAAGTGTTTGTTCATGCCCTTTCCCCACTTTTAATGTTGTTTTTTTTTTCTTTTTGATTTATTAAAGTTTCTTACAGATTCTGGATATTATACTTTGATGTCTTACATTTAAGTCTTTAAACCATCTTGAGTTCATTTTTGTATACGGCGAAAGGTAGGGGTCAACTTGCATTTGTCTATATATGGCTAGCCAGTTATCCCAGCACCATTTATTGAATAGAGTTTTCATTCCCCATTGTTTATTTTTGTTGCTTACTGCAAACTCTGCCTCCTGGGTTCAAGCAATTCTCCTGCCTCAGCCTCATGAGTAGCTGGATTACAAGCACACACCATCATGTCTGGCTAATTTTCTATTTTTAGTGGAGATGGGATTTCACCATGTTGGCCATCCTGACCATGCTGGCCATCCTTTCACCATGTTGAGATCCTGACCTCAAGTGATCTGCCCACCTCGGCCTCCCAAAAGTGCTGGGATTACAGGTGTGAGCCACCCCTCCGGCCTGTAGTTTTCAACTATAGATCTTGCACATGTTTTATTAAACTAATACCTAAGTGTTTCTTGATTTTTTTGGTGCTATTGCTAGTTGTTTTCTATTTTAATTTCAAATTATTCATTGGTAATACATAGAAATACAATTGATTTTGTATATCAACTGTGTACTTTTAAGTGATATTGTTAAACTCACTTATCAATTGTATCATCTTTACTGTAAACTTCTTGTGGTTGTCTGCATAAACAATCTTTTCCTTCTGTTTCTTCTATTCTCATGCGTAAGCCTTTGTTTTTTCTTGCCTTACTGCACTGGCAAGGAACCTCCACAATAATGATGAGTAGAACTGGTAAAAGTGAACAACTTTGCCTTGTTCTTGATCTTAGCAGGAAAGCATTCAGTTTTTCACTGTTAGGTATGATATTAGCTGTAAGGTTTTTTAGATGCCTGCTGTCAGATTAAAAAGCTGTCTTCTATTCCTCGGTTGCTGGGCATTTTTATCATGAATGCTGTTGGATTTTGTCAAATGTATTTTCTTCATTTATTGAGATTATTTTTATGATTATTTTTTTTCATTCTGTTAATATGATTTATTACATTGATTGATTTTATTTTTAAATTATCCTCCCTTTTCATTGTGGTAAAGTATACATAACATAAAAATTTCCATTTTAGCCATTTTTAAGTATACAGTTCAGTGGCTGTAGGTACATTCACTGTTTGCAACTATCAGCAGCATTCATCGCCAGAACTTTTTTCATCTTCCCAAACTGAAACTTCATGCCCATTGAAAAACAACTCTCCATTTCCTCCTTTCTCCCAGTCTTTGGCAACCACCATTCTACTTTTTGTCCCTATGAATCTGACTACTCTAAGTACGTCATAGAAATTGAATCATACAGTATTTGACCTTTTTATGTCTGGCTGATTTATTTCCCTCAGCATAATGTCTTCATGGTTCATCCATGTTACAGGATATATCAGAATTTCATTCCTTTTTTGGGCTGAATAATATTCCATTGTATATAGATACCACATGTTGTTTATCCATTCATCGAATGATGGACACTGGAGTTGCTTCCCCCTTTTGATTATTGTGAATAGTGCTGCTATGAATATAGGTATACAAATATCTGTAGATTTAAACCTATGTAAATAGGTACAGTAAATTTAAGTGGTCTAGAAATGCCACACAAAAAGCAGAAGTTGTCAGAATGATATATATAGAAGATAGCTACATCAGACAACATGACCCAATTGACATAGGACACTCCACTGAGCAATTGTAAAATGCACATTTTTTTCCATATGCTCATGGAACATTCACCAGGATGGGCCACATATTCTTTCCAGAAATGTGGGAGATAGGAATACTTCTCTACTCATTTTATTAGGCCCTGTTTAACCTGATATCAACCTGACAGAAACAATAAAGAGATACTACAAACCAGTATCCTACATAAACATAGATGTAGAAATCACTAACAAAATATTAGCAACCTGAATCCAGCAATATATAAAAAGGGCAGTATACCATGACCATGTGGAGTTTATCCCAGTAATACAGATTGGTTTAACATTTGAAAATCCATTTATATTCAGCATAATAACAAAAAGGAGAAAAATCATGAGTTAATTCCAGTTGGTACAGAAAAGAATTGACAAAATTCAATATACATTTATGATTAAAAACTCTCCACAAACTTAAAATAGAAAAGAAGCGCCTCAACCTGATAAAGGGCATTAAGGGGGGAAAAAAACCTACAGTTAACCTCACATTCAATGGTGAAAGGCAGAACACTTTCCCCCTAAGATTGGGAACAAGACAAGGATATCTTCTTTGACTATTTACATTTCACATCATCTTGGAAATTCTTGTCAATGCAATAAAGCAATAAAAATAAATGAAATGAATACAGATAAGAAACAGATGACATGATTACATGTAGACAGTCTACAAAAAGTACGTAAAAATTAAGTGAATTTTGTAACTTTTCAAGATACAGGGGAATATAAAATCAATTATATGTCTACATAATAATACCAAACAATTTCTAAGTAAAAATTTAAATTATATTACTTCAAATACTATTAAAAACTTGAAGATTTAGGGATAAATTTACAAAAATATATCCAAGACCTTTACATTGAAAAACATAAAATATCAGCCGGGTGAGGTGGCTCATGGCTATAATCCTAGTACTTTGGGAGGCTAAAGTGGGAGGATCACTTGAGGCCAGGACTTGCAGTCCAACCTGGGCAACATAGTGACACCTTGTCTCTACAAAAAGTAAGCACTTTAGCCAGGTGTGGTGGTGTGCACCTGTAGTCTTTCCAGCCTACTCAAGAGCCTGAGATGGGAGAATCACTTGAGCCCAGAAGTTTGAGGTTATAGTGAGCTGCAATCATTCCACAGCTCTCCAGCCTGCGTGACACAGCAAGATCCTATCTCTTAAAAAAAAAGAAAGGAAGAAAAGAAAAATATGAAATATTGCTGAGAAAAATTAAAGAAGACTTAAATAGAGAGATGTACAATTTTCATAGATCAGAAGAGTTAATATTTAAAAGACAGTATTTCCCTTCAAATTGATCTGTAAATTCATTGCCCTCCAATCAAAATACTAACAGCCTTTTTGGAATTGATATGCTGATTTTAAATTTTGTATTAAAATACAGAGAACCTAGAATACTCAAAACTTTTTTGGAGAAAGAACAAGATTGGAGAATTTAACTTAATATAAATCTACATTTATCAAGGTGGTTTGGTACTGATGTAAGGATAATTATACAATTAATGGAACCAACCTGAATATCCAGGAATTTTCTCACACTTATATGGTCAATTGATTTTTCAATAGCAAGGAAAATTCTTTTCAATAGCTTGTGTTGAATAACTGAATTTCCATATGGAAAAAATATAAACCTTGAACATTACCTTATATAATCCTCCAAGAAATTTAACTTGGGATTTATCACAGACCTAAATATAAAGCTAAAACTAATAAACTTTTAGAAGAAAAAGATGAACAAAAATCTTTCAATTATGAGTAGTCAAAAACTATTAAATAGGACCCTAAAACACAAACTTAAAAAAAATGATAAATTGGACTTCACCAAAATTTTACAGATTCTTATTTTTAACAGATTTATTAGAGCAAAGGAAAATACAAGCCATAGACAGGGAGAAAAATTTGCCATACATGTCTAACATCGAACTTATATTCAGAATATGTAAAGAACTCTCATACCTCAGTGAGAGAAACATTAATTTTAAAATGGACAAAAGGTATAAACAGACACTTTACCAAAGAGGATTTATGGTGTGGACTAAATGTGGTTCCCCCACACTCTTCTACCCCATTCATGTGTTGAAGCCCTAACTCTAAATATGGTGGTATTTAGAAATATGGGACCTTTGAGAGGTAATTAGAGTTAGATGAGGTCATGAGGGTGAGGCCTTAATGATAATATTAGTGCCCGTAGGAGAAGAGGCACCAGAGAGCTGTACTCTCTCCCTGAGCATGCACAAAAAAAGAAGTCATATGGGTACACATTGAGAAGATGGCTGCCTACAAGCCATGAGAAGAAGCCCCAGAAAGAAGCTGATTATACTGGCATCTTGATCTCAGACTTCCAGCCTCCAGAACTGTGAGAAAATAACTTTCTGTTGTTTAAGCCACTCAGTCTGTGGTGGTTTGTTATGGCAGCCGAAGCAGACTAAGACAATACATAAAATCAGTAGTCATCAAGGGATACTAATTAAAACAACAGTGAAGTACCACTACATACAACTAGACTGACTAATATTTTAGAAATTGATAATACCAACAAAACTGACAATACATTCATGAAGATGTAAAGTACCTGAAACTTTCATATATTTCTGACTAGAGTGTAAAATGTTACAACTACTTTGGAAAACAGTTTATTAGTTCTTTATCAGTTTAAACATACACACTTATCCTACAACCTGGACATTTTATGGCTAAGTATTCACCCAGAGACATAAAGACATAAGTCCAAACAAATTCTTGTACCGGAATTTTCCCAGCAGCTTTATTCATAATAGCCAAAAACTGAAAACCACTAAAATGTCCAACAAGTGAGAGGATAAACAAATTGTCATACTTCCATGCAAAGGAATACTACACATCAATAAAAAATAATGAACTGCTGATATGCTCATTATGTTTGTTTTTATTGCTGTATGTCAACATTACCACAATAATAATAGCTTAAAATAAGACACATTTATTATCTTACAGTTTCTGTGCATCAGGAGCCCAAGCACAGCCTAGCTAGGTTCTTTAGTTAAGGGTTTCACTAAGCTGTAATCAACCCAAGGCTGGGTTCTCATCTAGAGACTTGATTAGGAAAAGCTCTACCATCCCACTTGTGTGGTTGTTGGCAGCATTCAGTTCATTGCTGTTGTAAGACTGAGAGCTTCACTTTTTCACTGGTTGTTGGCCAAAGACCACACTGAGTCCTAGAGGTCACTGGCAATTTCTTGCCAATGGTGTTTCCCAATATGGCCACATTTTCCTTACAGCCAGCCAGGGGGAAAAATACTCCAGCCAAGATGAGCACCATAATCTTATATAACGTAATCACATGAGCACATATATCCCATCACCTTTGCCGTGTTCTTATAATTAGAATTCATGGGTCCTACCCTCATTCAAGGAGAAGAGATAATACAAATGTATGAGTACCAGGAGGTGGTGGTTGTGTAGGCTACCTTAAGAGTATCACTCATTGCCTGGGGACTATGGGTAGGATAAGGTGGGTGTTTCCATGTAAACAGACTGGGGAACTTTTATAGGTGATGGAAATGTTCTGTCTGTTGATTGTGGTGCTAATTACAGGATTGTAAATATTTTTGTTAGAAGTTGTGGAATTGCACACTTGAAATGGCTCACAGTATTTTGTAAATTATACCTCAATAAAGTTAAGAGAAAAGACAGTAATAGCCATGAGCACCACAAAATTTGTAACTTAAAGATGCCAACTTAATAATATCCCTAAGATATCCTTAAAAGTCAATAATTGGAAAATGATTTGTTTCATAATATATCCTTTGAAGGATTTTCACAGTAAAAACTGTGGATCTCTTATTTTTATAGTCCTTTATGAAGTGTCAGCACTCAGAACTAGCAAAGATCATTTTTTTAAAGATGAGGCTTTATTACAGTCTCTTCTGTAAGTGAAGTAAGCACATATTTCTAATGCAATATCTTTTGGATGCAGACTATTGATAACCTTTCCGTAATTTTGGTTCTGAATGGTTACCTACTGGATCTGGTGATAGAGTATTTCATTTACTTTAGCCTCTATTGACAACGCTTCTAAAGGTGTACTTGCCATTTTTAGCACCTGTGGAGATTTGAAGAGTGTATGCTTCATGAAGTATTTTCTTGCTTGATTCTTCTAGTCTCTTTAAGTGATTAAAGGGTGCTTTAATTTGCATACTCACCTTTAATCTTATTATAGTGGCTTATATTCTAATAGGAATATTAAAGTTCAGTGAAAATCTCATACATGCTGATGAGAATGCAAATGAATATTGACGAAAGAATGCTAGGATCATAAGGTGTAAACTGTCCAGTTATCTTGCTAAATTCATTTCAAACAATGTTTACATTATAATGAGGACTGATACAGATTTCACCACATAAATATCACTAGCAGTGGCAAAATTATATAATTTATAATTGGATAATGGTTCAGTTTCAGACTGTTTTGAAGTTAACAAAAACAACAAAGTAATGTCTTGATATTAATGCAAACTTCAGCTGGTCATTTGTTGTATGTAGTAGTTGGGAAATTGGGTATGATTTTACAAATAAGTGGTCACGTTGAGCATTTCCGGCTGTAGCCTTTACAGGATGCATAACAAATAGTAGTGGCATCACTCATCATCCCAACAGGACATTTCAAGTATCTGGTTATTGTACAATTATAAATATACAAGCTTATTTCAGTAGTTATGTTTATGTATCTGTGTAAAACCAAGATTCATTAAATGGTCATTGAAAATGAAGCTAAAAGAAGTCCCCTGACAGTAAATAGACTAGGCAATATTTATTATAATACATTCAGTATTTAAGTTCTATTACATTCTTATATTAATGGATGAATTTTATAAACTTATGCAAAACCAGTAAGCTTTAGAAAACATATAACAGAGTTTCTCCAACCTCTTTAACTACTTTGGAATTTTTTTAATGATTTGTATTCAATTGAAGTATTTTTTTTTTCAGCCTTACAAGAGAACTGAAAATGCTGTTTTATAGACTCATCAGTAGGGCAGATTGTTATTTAGAGTTGTTTTTCTCATGGTGACGATAAGTGTGCATTATGCCATTATACTTTTTCAGCATGGTCTTATGCCCACTGGTGTGTCTTCATAGACTCTAGAATACATGGTAATCATTAGTTAAAAGTATAATAATCAATAATGATTTTTATTTTAAATAATATGAAAGTGTTTTTGCATCAAAATATGTATTTTTCGCTAAAGGGATTATACTTAATTGTAGCCCTGGCACAGGAGTTGGCAAACTTTTTCTTTAAAGGTCCGGATGGTAAATATTTTAGGTTTTTTATGGGCCACTTAGTCAGTTACAATTACTCAACTCTAATGTTGTAGCACAGAAGCAGCCACAAATAATATGTAAACAAATGTTTGTCTGTGTTCCAATCAACCTTATTTCTAGACACTGAAATTTTGAATTCTCTATGATTTTCATGTCATGAAATACTGTTCGTCTTTTGATGTTTTTGCAACCATTAAAAAAATGTAAAAAGTGGTAGGCTAAACTTGGCTTGCAGGCTATACTTTGCTGACACCTGTCCTAGAAGTTGATTTTTCTAAAGCTAGAATTAACTTCTACTCTACATTAAAACTGAAGATATATTGCTGAAACCTTTTATAGATATATAGTTCATGTTGAGTTATTTTAAAAGGAAGCTGTTTTCTAGAAAAAAAATCATAATTATACATAAGTAACTTTATTTTTAAAAAAACTTTTATTTTAAGTTCAGGGGTACATATGCAGGTTTGTTACATAAGTAAATGTGTGTCTGGAGATTTTGATGTGCAGATTATTTAATCACCCAAGTATTCAGCCTAGTACCCCATTAGTTATTTTTCCTGATCCTCTCCCTCCTCCCATCCTCCACCCTCCAATAGGCTTCAGTGTGTGTTGTTCCTCTCTAGGTGTCCATGTGTTCTCATAATTTAGCTCCCACTTATAAGTGAGAACATGCATTATTTGGTTTTCTGTTCCTGTGTTAGTTTGCTAAGGATAATGGCTTCTGGCTCCATCCATGTCCCTACAAAGGCATGATCTTGTTCTTTTTTATGGCTGCATGTATTCCATGGTGTATATTTACCACATTTTCTTTATCCAGTGTATCGCTGATGAACATTCAGGTTGATTCCATGTCTTTGCTATTGTGAATAGTGCTGCAATAAACATACACATGCATGTGTGTTTATAATAGAATGATTTATATTCCTCTAGGTTTATACCCAGTAATGGGATTGCTAGGTCAAATGGTATTTCTGTCTTTAGGTCTTTGAGGAATCTCACACTGTCTTCTACAATGGTTGAACCAATTTACACTCCCACCAACAATGTATAGCATTCCTTTTTCTCTGCAACCTTGCTAGTGTCTGTTATTTTTTGACTTTTTAATAATAGCCATTCTGACTGGTGTGAGATGGTGTGATTTGCATTTCTTTAACAATCAGTAATGAGCTTTTTATTTTATGATTGTTGACCACATGTATGTCTTCTTTTGAGAAGCGTCTGTTCATGTCTTTGGCCTACTTTTTAATGGGGTTGTTTATTTTATTTTCTTGTAAATTTGTTTAAGTTTCTTACAGATGCTGAATATTAGACCTTTGTCAGATGCATAGTTGGTAAAAATTGTCTTCCAGTCTGTAGGTTGTCTGTTGACTTTGTTGATAGTTTCTTTTGCTGTGCAAAAGTTCTTCAGTTTAATTATATTCCATTTGTCCATTTTTGCTTTTGTTGCAATTGCAACAAAATTGCAAATTTTGTTTTGAGAATTGGTGTCTTCTCATGAAATTTTTGCCCATTTCTATATGCTCAGTGGTATTGCCTAAGTTGTCTTCCGAGGTTTTGTAGTTTTGGGTTTTACATTTAAGTCTTTAATCCATCTTGAGTTAATTTTTGTGTGTGTATAAGGAAGTGGTCCAGTTCCAATTTTCTGCATATGGCTAGCCAGTTATCCCAGCACCATTTATTGCATAAGAAATTCTTTCCCCATTGCTTGTTTGTGTCAGGTTTGTTGATCAGATAGCTGTAGGTGTGCAGTCCTATTTCTGGACTCTCTATTCTGTTTCATTGGTCTATGTGTCTGTTTTTGTATCAGTACCATGCTGTTTTGGTTACCATAGCTCTGTAGTATAGTTTGAAGTTGGGTAGTGTGATGCCTCCAGCTTTGTTTTGTTTGTTTGTTTTTTGTTTTGTTTGTTTTGTTTAGGATTGCTTTGGCTATTCAGGCTCTTTTTTGGTTCCATATGAATTCTAAAATATTTTTTTCTAGTTCTGTGAAGAACGTCAATGGTAATTTAATGGGAATAGCATTGAATCTGTAAATTGCTTTGGGCAGTATGGCCATTTTAGCAATATTGATTCTTCCAGTCCGTGCGCATTGAGTGTTTTTCCATTTGTTTGTGTCATCTCTGATTTTTGGGCAGTGGTTTGTAGTTCTCCTTATCGAGATCTTTCACCTCCACTGTATTCCTAGGTACTTAATTCTTTTTGTGGCAATTGTGAATGGGAGTTAGTTTGTAATTTGGCTCTCTGCTTGAGTTTTGTTGGTGTATAGGAGTGCTAGCAATTTTTGCACATTGATTTTGTATCCTGAGACTTTGCTGAAGTTGCTTATCAGCTCAAGAAGCTTTTGGGCTGAGGCAGTGGGGTTTTCTAGATACAGGATCATGTCATCTGCAAACAGGGATAATTTGACTTCCTCTCTTCCTATTTGGATGCCCTTTACTTTTTTTCTCTTGCCTGATTTCCCTGGCCAGAACTTCCTATACTATGTTGAATACAAGTAGTGAGAGAGGGCATCCTTGTCTTGTGCCACTTTTCAAGGGAATTGTATTAGTCAGAGTTCTCTAAAGGGACAGAACTAATAGGATATATGAATATAAGAAGGGGAGTTTATTAGGAGAATTGACTCACACGATCACAAGGTGAAGTCCCACAATAGGCCATCTGCAGCTGAGGAGCAAGGAAGCAAGTCTGAGTCCCAAAACCTCAAAAGTAGGGAAGCTGACAATGCAGCCTTCAATCTGCAGCTGAAGGCCCAAGAGTCCCTGGCAAATCACTGGTGTAAGTTCAAGAATCTAAAAACTGAAGGACTTGGAGTCTGAAGTTCGAGAGCAGGAAGCATCCAGCATGGGAGAAAGAGTAAGTCCAGAAGGCTCAGCAAGTCTGCTCATTCCGCTTTCTTCTGCCTGCTTTATTCTAGCCATGCTGGCAGCTGATTAGATGGTACCCACCCAGATTGAAAGTTGTTCTGCCTCTCCCAGTCCACTGACTTAAATGTTAATCTCCTTTGGCAACACCCTCATAGACACACCCAGGAACAATATATTTTATCCTTCAATCCAATCACGCTGACACTGAATATTAACCATCACAGGAATGCTTCTAGCTTTTGCCCATTCCATATATCGGCAGTGGATTTGTCATATATGGCTCTTATTATTTTAAGGTATGTTCCTTCAATGCCTAGTTTATTAAGAGTTTTTAACATGAAGGGATGCTGATTTTAATTGACAGCCTTTTCTGCATCTGTTGAGATAATCATGTGGTTCTTGTCTTTAGTTCTGTTTATGTGATGAATCACATTTATTGATTTGCATATATTGAACCAGCCTTGCGTCCCAGGGATGAAGCCAACTTGATTGTGGTGGATAAGCTTTTTGATGTGCTACTGTATTCAGGTTGCTAGTACTTTGTTGAGGATTTTTGCATTGACATTCATCAAGGATATTGGCCTGAAGTTTTCCTTTTTTGTGGTATCAAACACTGCCAGGTTTTGGTATCATGGTGATTCTGGCCTCATAGAATGAGTTAGGGAGGAGTCCCTCTTTTTTAATTTTTTGGAATAGTTTTAGTAGGAATAGTTCCAGCTCTTCTTTGTACATCTAGTAGAATTCAGCTATGAATCTGTCTGGTCCTGGGCTTTTTTGGTTGGTAGGCTATTTATTACTGCCTCAATTTCAGAACTTGTTATTGGTCTGTTTAGGGATTCAGTTTCCTCCTGGTTCAGTCCTGGGATGGTGTATGTGTCAGGAATTTATCAATTTCTTCTAGACTTTCTAGTTTATGTGGATAAAGGTGTTTATAATATTCTCTGATGGTTTTTCTTTCTATGGGGTCAGCGATACCCCGTATCTTTTAGATACACCAATCAATCAGATTTGGTGTGTTTACATAATCCCATATTTCTCAGAGGTTTTGTTCATTCTTTTTCATTCTTTTTTGACTATTCTTGTCTGCCTGTCTTATTTCAGAAAGACCGTTTTCAAACTCTGAGATCCTTTCCTTAACTTGGTCTATTCTGTTATTAATACTTGTGATTGCATTATGAAATTCTTGTATTATGGTTTTCAGCTCTATCAGGTTGGTTACATTCTTCTCTATACTGGCTGTTTTGTCCGTCAGCCTCTGCAATGTTGTATCACAATTTTTAGCTTCTTCGCATTGGGTTACAACATGCTCCATTAGCTCAGTGAAGTTTGTTTTTATTCATATTCTGAATTCTACTTCGGTCATTTCAGCCATCTCAGCTTAAGCGCAGTTCTGAGCCCTTTCTGGAGAGGTGATGTGGTCATTTGGAGGAAAGAGGCCACTCTGGCTTTTTGAGTTTTCAGTGCTCTTGCACTGATTCTTCCTCATCTTTGTGGACTTATCTACCTTTGATCTTTGAAGTTGCTGACCTTTGGATGGGTTTTTATTTTTTAGTTTGTTTGTTTCTTTTAATAGTCTAGTCAGTTTTCCATAGGGCTACTGCAGTTTTCTGGGGATCCACTCCAGTCCCTAGTCACCTTGAATTTTCCAGTACCTGTAGACATCACCAATGAAGGCTGCGAAACAGCAAAGCTGGCAGCCTGCGCCTTTCTCTGGGAGCTCCTTCCCAGGGAGATACAGACCTGTTGCCGGCCTGAATGCACTTGTAGGAGGGGGCTAGAGACCCCAGTTAGGAGGTCTCACCCATTTAGGAGGAACAGGATCAGAGACCTGCTTAAAGAAGCAGTCTAGCTATGCTTTCATAGAGCAGCTGTGCTGTGCTGGGATACCGCTTCCACCCCTGGTCAACTTGGACTCTCCAAAGCCCGGAGCCTGGAATGGCTATGTCACCGAAACAGCAAAGATGGCGGCCTAACTCTCCCTCTGGGAGCTCTGTCTCAGGAAGTTCTCAAATCTCTGTCAGCCTGAGAACATGGGCAGGGTGGCTGGAGGCCCCAGTGGGGAGCTCCTGCCCGGGGAGGAGGAACAGATCAGGGGGCCACTTTAAAGAAGCAGCCTGGCCACATTTTGGTAGAACAACTGTGCTGTGCTGGGAGATCCCTTTTGTTTCTGGTCGGTTTGGACTCTCCAAAGTTCACAGGTTGGAACTGCAGAGTTATCCAAACAGCAAAGATGGTGGCCCTTCCCTCCCCCAAGGAACTCTGTCCCAGGTAGGGGGCGACACTGTTGCCAGTGGTTGGCTGGAATTCTAAGCCAGTGGGTCTTGTCCTTTGAGGCACTGTGGAAGTGGGGCCTGCGGACCATCACTGCTTAGCCCCCTCGATTCAGCCTTCTTCCTAGGGGTATGTACAGAGGTCCAACCTCCTGCCTTGACAGAGCTGCAGTCACTATTGCCAGGAAGTGTGGAGCCTAAGTATGTAGAGCTGCGCCTCTGTGCGTGCCTGAGTGGCTGCTCTGCCAAGAGTCCACACAGCTCTGTGTCAGACCAAAGGCCCTGGTGGAGTGGGTTTAGGAGGAGATCTCCTGACTCAGGGTTGCAAAGATCCATGGGAGAAGCATGGTTTCCCAGGGTCACACATTTGAATACTCACCACTTCCCTAGGTGGGGGAGGTTCCCCTGGCTCCATGTCGCTCCAGGGTGGGCTGTTGTGCTGTCTTGCTTTTCTTCATTCTCCAGGGGTCGAGTTGTTTCCTTGATTAGTACCAATGCGAGTACCTGGATGTTTCAGTTGAAGGGGCTATATTTACTCGCCCCTTTGGTTGCTCTCCATGAGAGCCACGTACCCTAGCTGTTTCTAGTCGTCCATCTTGGCCTGAATCTAAGTAACTTTAATTTGGGCCATAAAGAGGCAATTGAAAAATTCCCAAAGTCACTTATTTCCTTGACTACACAAAGGAATTGTGGTATTGCTAAGCTGGATTTTCTAATAAAGATCAAAATCCTGATAGAACAAATATTTTTCAAAATATTCATTCAATAATTTTTAAAGTACCACCTCTTTTATAGCATTTAAAAGAGTAAATACCCCAAAAGAGTAGGTACTTAAAATGACAGAAAAATAAATCTCCCATGGGTACCTCCTGCCTTTGACAACCTTACAGACTCACAAGGGAGATTAAAACCTTTGCAAGTTGGCCAGGTGTGGTGGCTCACGCCTGTAATCCCAGGACTTTGGGAGGCTGAGGCGAGCAGATCACGAGGTCAAGAGATCGAGACCATTCTGGCCAACACGGTGAAACCCCGTCTCTACTAAAAATACAAAAATTAGCTGGGCGTGGTGGCGAGTGCCTGTAGTCCCAGCTACTCGGGGGGCTGAGACAGGAGAATTGCTTGAACCAGGGAGTCGGAGGTTGCAGTGAGCCAAGATTGCGTCACTGCACTCCAGCCTGGCAACAGAGTGAGACACCATTGCAAAAAAAAAAAAAAAAAAAAATCTGTACAAGTTTTGGCTAGAAATTGGCCAAATAGGAGTAAAAGCTAATAGAAACAGAATACAGGCTGGGTGCAGTGGCTCACGCCTATAATTCCAGCACTTTGGGAGGCCAAGGTGGGAAGATCACTGAAGGTCAGGAGTTCAAGACCAGCGTGGCCAACATGGTGAAACCCCATCTCTACAAAAAATACAAAAATTAGCTGGGCATGGTAGCGAGCACTTGTAATCTCAGCTACTTGGGAGGCTGATGCCAGAGAATCACTTGAATCCGGGAGACAGAAGTTGCAGTGACCTGAGATCACACCATTGCACTACAGCCTGGGTAACAGAGCGAGACTGTCTCAAAAAAAAAGAAAGAAGGAAACAGAATGCAGAAAGAATAACAAGGGTAGAAATTTAGAAACAGTAGTAGAGAATGGAGAACACTGGAACTGTATTGGAGATACATGTAAGGGATAAGTGCAAGAGAGAATAGAGCAGGGGGAAATGACTGATCCCAAGCCCGCAGTTGAATGTTGCTGTTTCCACCCCCACAAACCATTCAGTGCTGGGCTTTTTATGAAGACAAGTCCTGGTGCTATTACAGATGATCCTTGGTTTGCAGTGAGGTTATGTCCCAATAAGCCTATCATATGTTGAAAATATCATCATGTAGAAAATGCATTTAATACACCTAGACTACTAAACATCATAGCTTAGCCTAGCCTACTTTAAATGTGTTCAGAACACTTACATTAACCTACAGTTGGGCAAAATCATCTAACACAAAGCTTACTTTATAATAAAGTTTTGAATAACTTATGTAATTCATTGAATAAGTACTGAAATGAAAAACAGAATGGTTTCATACCATGGTAAAGTCAAAAATCCTAAGTCAAACTACTGTAAGTCAGTGACAGTCTGTGCCTAAATGAATAAGGCTGGCTGTTAGAGCTGGTCACAAGAGATAGTGGCTGGTGAATGGATAAAGCTAAGACTTTAGAGCCAGTTCAACCAGGGTTTAATTCCCAGTCGCTAATTATATGGCATTAGGAAAGTTTCTTAATCTCTCTGGGCCTCAGTTTCCAAATCTCTAAAATGGGATCAATAATTCTTATTTTTCTAACATGTAGTTAGGGTCACACCTAGCCTGGCTTTCTCTTTCTGGTTTAATATTCTTTGCATGTTGTTCATAAACTTTGAAAGACTGCTTAGTTGAGCGTGGATGGTTTTTAGAGCCAGAGACAGGGTCAGATCTGAATTCAAATACAACCATTACTACTTAATGTATAAATTTGAGGAATTCATTTTATTTCTATTTCTTCAATTTTGTAGTGAAGAGTGAATCAACTGAAATGATAAAACAGTGGCCTTCAAGATCATATTCCCTACAATATATTTTCTCACAGTCTCCTATACAACATTGCAGGCTAAGCAGATATTATTGATCTTTTGTTTTTTGAGTCTTATTTTTAAGAGATTTATTGAATAATAGTAATAATTATACTAATAACTTAGACTTATGTGCCAGGCTTCAAAGTAAACATTTATGTATATTATCTTATATAATTTTCACAACAACCCTGAAGTGTAGATACTTTTATAATTTCCATTTTATAGATGGGAAGCCTGATGCTTAGAAAATTAAATAACTTGCTCCAGGTGACACAGACAGTAAGTGATGAAGCTGGGATTTGAACCCAGAAAATCTGACTTTAGAATCTCATAAGCACTATACTATACTGTCTTCCATGTGATTCTGATAACTTCCCTAAAGGCAGCTGCCCCACTCCCTTCCCATTGCTGCAAAGCATCCAGCACAGTACCCAGGCCCCAGCAGCCACTTAACAAATGTGGGCTCTATCTCTGCAGCCCATCTGCCAAGTGTTAGAGCTAAGGCCTGATGATATTTTTGCTTGCTGGAGCAAATCAGAAAAGAAACCTCTGTAAATGAAAAACTTTTCTAAGTCCCTTCCTTTATAAATTGAACAGTAACTAATTCAAATTTCCAGAATAATATAATTTTGATATTGTCTTGAAGTTTGCTGTATTTTGGTTTGGCTTGTATGCCATAAATATACCCAGTCGAATTTAGATGATTAGGAGGTATGATTTTAAACATATGAAACTGTCCCCTCTTTATCTTCTCTACACTATTATATTCTCTTCATGACACATATCACCACCAACCATATGTTTGTGTGTTTATTTTCTGCAACCCCTTCAGTAGTACATGTGCTACAGTAGAGAAGGGACTTAATCTGTTTTATTCCCTGCTGTATCTCCAGTACCTAAAATAATATGGAGTAGGTACTCAAAAAAATTTGTTTTATGGATAAAAATGTTTGTGTAAATTATGGGAAACTGACATTTAAATATTATTTTTCTTTCTAGCTTGGATTAGAAGAACAAGAAAGACTCCACCTACTATGGAGGTAAGACTACACAAGGAGGATATCATTTAGGAGTATATATTCCCAAGGATATACGAAGCTTCAGAAAAACTATGATGTATTTTCTCAAAGTGTTGATTTTATTCCATCACAGAAAATAACTTAAAACATTTTATAATAAATTAATATATAAACCTATATTATTAATAAAATAATATATGATAAAATAAATGCTCATATTATGGAATATAACAAAATTTGTATAAATTTTAAAGTGAAATAATAAAAATTTAAAACAAAATTAAAACACTCTGTAGAAAGTCTGAACTTGGAGCAGTTTGCACCAGGTTATTTCCCCTGGGCCCTGGGGGTTCTCTGTGCCAATACTCAAGCTTTTGTGGAAAAGTTTGAGAAACACTGAATCTCTTTGTCTTGTCCAAATCATGCTCTTATGTTTCCCTTAATATTATGTATTTAAATCCATCAAGTATCCAAAGAAACTTTAAAATACAGAATTAGCAATTATTTTATAACAGTAATTATTAGTTGACTTTTTATTTAAAACTAAAAAATTTGTAGTCAGTGATAAACAATAAAAAAACATAGAAATGCTATGGTATATATGTTTTACAATATAATTTTTATATAGATTATTTTATAAAAATTATAATTTTAATTTTAAAAATATGTAAAGACCTCTAAAGTTATTTTATAAGAAGTAATTTCATAAAAGGAGAGTCTCTAAATGCATTAGTGTACTGCCTTGTTTACTTTTTGTCTAGAGGCATTCCCTTTCTTCTACTATTTAGGACTTCCCTCCTCTCTTCTGTTGCCTATTCTGTCACTACTACAAGCCCTGATGACAACATAAATGGGCTCCGGTACTCAATCCCCATTTGTTGGGAAGTGGAGTGCTCTAGAGCAGGATAATGATGATACCTCAACTGGCATGCTTATGTTTATTTGCTCCATACATTTGTCATATACTGAACCCATTAATGTTCATTCGGCCAGGGTCTGACTGAGTACATCTCTTGACCCATTTCTAGCTTTGTATGTTGCTTCTGCCTTGGCCTACTTTTCGCAGACCCTTCTTTCCAACATTGATAAAATTTGGAATAAAAGCTGTTTTGGGGGGAAAAAATAAAAGGCAATATGATCCAGGATTCAGAAGTATGCCCAGTAGTTTACAGTGAAGGATGGATTGAAGAGCCTTCTGATTCTCCTTCTCTTGGTCATAATAAGAGCTACTGTTATCATTTGCTTCATCCATCCTCAGAACTTTGAAAGCCTTATTCATAGAAACATTAATATGCAAAGTGATTAATGGAGGCAATTGCAATAGTTGGGCCTCAGGCACAACTTCTGTAAATTTTAGGTAATTTCAGCACCTCAAACAATCTCTAGCCAGAACACACCAAGTCCTTCCATCCCTGAGCTCACTCTTGTTAATTTTGATTATCCAAAATGAGCCCTCTTTTGTTGCCTCCCTTTAAGTGTACTATCAATCACATTGTTCTTTATGCTGCTTCGTACCCTCCCTAATACACACACACACACACACACACACTCTTTTCCTTCCTCTTGGCCCTTTCCATTGTGTTTCAGGAATTTCTGTTTCTTTGTTAGCAAATTACCATTCACCATTAATATTTTCCTGGAAACTTTCTCTACCACAGAACCTCAACTGAAATCCGTCTGTGCCTGCAAGATAGTGAGTTCCTTTTTTTCCTTGAAGTAAGTTGTGCTCGCTTTCCCACGCCCCACATAAAGAAAGTGAGTTCAACTGCTTCTTGCTTCCCCAAATAGTCTTTGTTTGTGGACCCAAGAGAGTGGAGGACCTTTGTAATCCATGTGTATTTCTCTGTACCTGACCATCATTTTTATGTTTGCCAACATCCAAGCCAGTCTACCTTACTGATGGTCGAGATTAGAACCTGGAATATGGTCTTCTCCTTTCAATGCTTTCCCAAATTTTAGCTTTCCAGTTCTTTGACTTCATCCATACTAGTATCCCTGCCTCAAGTGAACAACCACTTCATTAGGCACACTTTAGTTTTTATCAAACACAGTTCTTACCACTGTAACTTTTACACTCTTCAAATCCAAATTCTAGATACATCATATTAAGAGGAAAAAATTTTTCTTAATGTAAAGTAAAACATATATTTATAAACCGTAACAAAAAAATAGCTTATTTAGTTATTAAGCTGTGAAATTATAAGGCAAATTCCACCCAGGTCAAGAAACACAACTTTGCCATCTACTTCAGCCCCATATATCCCATCCTAATCACAACCTTCTCTCTCTTGACAAAAGAAAACCTTAAGCCAACTTTTATAGTAATCATTTCCTCTCATTTTAAATAGTTTTTTCACCTAAATGTACATTATAGTTTAGACTTGTCCATTTCGTAAAAACTTCGTATTTGTTTTAAATCTTTCAGTCTATCCTCTTCCATTTCTTTTACTTCCTTAGAAATTTATGTGTTAAAATACCCAGCCCAGTTGGCCTACAGAATTTGCCACAGTCTAGATTTTGCTGATCTTATGTTCCTGGTGCACTTCATCATGTTCCTCTGTCCACTGTTTTCCTTCCAAGTTGACAACTGGATCCAGAAACTAGATTTTTTTTCCAGATCTTTTAGTGAATACCCAACTCCAAATAAACTTTCTTTCATATCTCCTATATATTATTGCTAAAGGTTAGCCAGCAGCCATTAGAATGTCATTTACAACAGTATTAGAAAACATAGAATACTGTGGAATTTAGTGAGCAAAACATGTGCAAGATCTGTGTACTCAAAACTACAAAATGTTGGTAAGATACATTAAATAAGACCTAAATAAATGGGGAGAAGTATCTGTTCATGGATTGGAATGTACAATATTGCTAATGTATTCATTCTTCCCAAACTGATCCACAGTAGTTCTTATGCTTTTATTTTGCATCTGCATCACCTGAAAGACTTGTTAAAACACAGATTGCTGGACCCCAAGCTTAGAGTTTTTGATCCATTAGTTTTGAGGTAGGGCCTGAATATTTGCATTTATAACATGTTGCTGGATGATGCTGATGCTGATGGTTCATAGCCCATATTTTGTGAACCACTGATTTATAGATTTAATAAAATGAATATCCAGTTAAAACCATGTCAGACTTTTTTGATAGAAATCAACATGCTGATTTGAAAATATATTTGGAAATGTAAAAGACCTAGAATAGCTGAAAGCAGCCATGAAAAAGGAGATGAAAATTAAAGGGCTAATACTGTCTGACTTTAAGAATTACTTTAAAACTATAGTTATCTAGACAGTATGATACTGGCATTAGGATACTGGGTAAATAAATCAATGGAAAAAACAAAAGTCCAAAAAGTAGATACTGTACAACCAGTTGGTTTTTAACAATGACATCAAAACAACACAATTAGGAATGGAAAGTCTTTTTAGCAAATGGTTCTGGAATAACTTAATATCCATATGGGGAAAAATTGATCCCTACCTCACGTCATACACAAATATTAATTTAAGATGGATTATAGACTAGACATAAAAGCCAAACTATTGTGCTTCTAGAAGAAAAAAACAATGGAATATCTTTGCAATTTTGAGGTAGACAGGAGACAGAACAATCTGTAAAGGAAAAATACAGATTAATCAGATTTAATCAGAATTAAATTCTAATGCTCATTATAAGAGAACATTAGGAAATCAAAAGACTAGGAGAAAATAATCATAGTACATATATCTGACAAAGGAATTGTATCTAGGCTATATAAAGAACACCTCAACTCAGTGTTATAAAAAAGAAGCTAACAAATATTGGGCAGAAATCTTGAACAAGCACTCTGTAAGACACGTTTTAAGTATATGAAAATATACTTAGCAACACTAGTAATCAGTGGAACCACAGTGAGATACCACTACACACCCATTAAAATGGCTTAAATTTAAAAGATTGACAACAGCCATCACTGGAGCACCCACAACTTTTATACAGTGCTGGTTGGGGTGAAAATGATACAATCATGTTTGAAAACTGACAGTTTGTTATAAAATCAAACATACATATACCCTGTGATCAAACAGTAATTCTCCCGGCCACCTTGAAAACTGAAGGGATCAATTTTTAGTCACACTTTCTGGGAGCTCTGGCCAACAGTAGGTCTAACACCTTGGCATACTATGCAAGGCTTCCTGATTTGGGCCCAGCCCGACTTTCTAGCTTTGTCTCCTTAGGCTACCCTACTCTTCTGTACCCTACTCTACCCTACTCTTCAAGGAACTCCCTGCTGTTTCTCAAGTTTAATGTCTTCTCCTTCTCCCATCAACTGGCATACTCCTGCTTATGTTTAATTCCTTTTAAAAGGCCCTTTAAAATCCTTGGTTGTTTTCCTCACCTTTTTTTCCCTCAACTTCTTAACTGATAGAGCTAATCACTACTTTCTCGGTATAACTACACTGCTGTGTACTCCTGTATAACTCTTTAAGTTCAATATTAAAATTCTGTGTTTTATTTGTCCATATTTCTAACTATTAGCTGTTTGGCACAGGGATTATAACTTATTCATTTGTGTGTCATAAGCACCTAACACAGAGCCTGATTCATTATTGGTTTCATTGGCCATTATAGACTTAAAAATCTCAATACTATGTAATTACATGGTTTCTGTGAGATGGGTTTGAATTTCTATCAGCCAACTACAAAATAATGTTGTAAAAGTAAACATATTTCCAAATTGATTGTTGTCTGTATTTTGTTCATAGGAATTCACATTTACCTGCAGGTTACCAGTGAAGGCGGTCCCTTACTTAGGATAGTTCAGCTTAGGATTTTTTAACTTCATGATGGTGAAAAAGCAATATGCATTCAGTAGAAACTATACTTCTGAGTACCCATACAGCCATTCTGTTTTTCACTTTCAATACAGTATTCAATAAATTACATGAGATATTTAACACTTTATTATTAAATAGGCTTTGTGTTAAGATAATTTTGCCCAACTGTAAGCTAATGTAAGCGTTCTGAGCATGTTTAAGACAGGTTAGGCTAAGCTATAATGTTTGGTAGGTTAAGTGTATCAAATGCATTTTGACTTAAGATATTTTCAATTTTGTGATGGGTTTATAAGGACATAACCCCATCATAAGTTGAGGAGCATCTGGTAATAGTTCAGCATGTGTTCTTCAGTGTTGTATAAGGTGAATTCACATTTCACAGAGCTAATGAGGTAGACTTTTCCTAGTCCTAACTCTATTCCATTAGAAGCCACTTATAGCAAATACTTTGAAATATTGCTTCTTTTTTTTATACTAACACAATAGGAAAAGTGTAAAGTTTTTTGTTTGAACAAGTGGTTACATTTATTGCCAATTTTTGACAAATTATATGGTTTATTATAGGTTTACAGGCAGTAGAAAAAAGTTACAATATTAGAGTTCAGCCTACTTCATTTTTAATATACATACTCCATAAAAAAGAAAGAGGAGATTCTAGAAACGAATAGAGAATGGAGTTGGAGATGGTGCTGCTGTTGGAGATGATACTGCTGCGGTCTAAAAAAAGGTTGGGATGGCTGGATAGGACAACACATCATAGTATCTTGTTTACTTGACCATATTCTCAAATCTGGGCTGCAGGCTCCAAAGACTTACTTTTGTTCATGTCTAAGGTTGCTTGGCCCTAAAGGACATCACAGTGACTAAATGCATGTGAATTTGAGATGGTGGCCAATCCCCATGTATTAATTTACAGTAAGAAATGAAATTGGCACAGAAAAAAAAAACAGGAGACTGCTTGGTAAATATGACATTGGAATAAGGGGAGTTAAGTAAAATAAATGTTTAATTGCCTCAGGCTTAAAATTTCATGTTGCATTCACCTTACAACAAGGATAGTCTGACCCCTAGCAATGGAAACATTTAAAGAGAATTGGCTACAATTTTCAATTCTATCTCTGTATTAGAAATAGCCTTACGAATTGTAATAGAAAAATTGCCAGGTGCTGGTTAAGCCTCCTTTTCCCATGGACAGTGTTTTTATGGATTGCCAGCATTTGTCTCTGTGATTCTATTTTTTTCTTTGCTTCTCGGTTCTGGTTGACATATTTCCTATGCCATGACAGTAGTTATACTCTGGTCAGATGTTACTGGCCCTGCAGCTATTTTTTTGTTTTATCCTTTTCCTATTTCTGCTCTGGCTTATGATGTGTTGATCTTATAGTTTAACATTCAGAGAGGAATCTTATTTCTGGATTTTTCAGGCCCATTTCAGTGTTGTCTCTAAATAACTGGCATTCATTGAGTAAGTTATCTGTGCCCAATATTACTAGGTTCATTTTATAAGTTACAGAATTAAAATGTCTTAAAATTGCCATTTTATGTATAGAATCCTACTTCCTGATGACTTAAATTGCAAAGAGTGTATGTATGTATTTATGGTTAAATGGACCTCCCACTCCTCACCCCAAACTTCACAATATCACTTTTAGTAACATAGTGGAAATGAATAAGAAAATTGCAGCATGTTCATACCTGTTAAACATCATTCATTAAAATGAATGAAAAAAAAAACTTAAGAATGAACTGGAGCTGTATGTTTTAACATGGATAAATCTCAGAAGCAATGATACTGAGCAAAAAAAAAAAAAAAGCAGCTACAGAAGATGTCATACAATATACCATTTACATAAAGTTTGAAAGCAAGGAAAGTATAAAGGGCTTTCAAGTAAAGATAGTGGGTCAAACATGTAAGTTCACTCTCAAGTCTAATGAAAATGATAGTGAAGGAATTTATTTTAAAAGACATAAACCCACAAGGTCATAGAAACGTGAGTATGCAAACCATCAATAAAGTTTTGGAGGCAGGAAAGCAGATGGACAAGAGGTAATGGATTTAGTGAAACTGAGAAGAATGAATCCTAATCTGGCAAGGGAGAAATCTGAGAAGTAATCCAATTTAAACCATAGAACCACAGAATGCTCAGTAACTGGCAGTGCCAGAAAACTCTGAAAGTGGAGTTTAAGCTCGCACTAAAAACAATGACCTAGTTAAAAATCCGTTTAAGAAGCAATTAGATGCTAACCAATAAATATAGAAGAAATAACAGAGTTGGAAAATCACCACTATTCAAGTGATAATTGGGAAAAAATTACCAGCAGATACTAAAATCATTGAGTCAAACTCTGTTGGGGAGCAGGCTGTTTACATGGTCTAAAGGCATTTCCCTACAGATTACTTATCAATTACAAAAGGGGAAAAGGGACCTTTCTAGTAGACAAATCTGACAGATACCACCTTAACTAGATGGTCAGAAGTTGTACTAAGTAGGGCAGATTTATATTATATGTGCTTCTTTCTATGATGCACTGAGGATTAAACATTATTCACATAGTATTCTTTTTTTAATTTTTGATTTTGTGGGTACTTAGTAGGTGTATATACTTAGAAGGTTCTTGAGATATTTTGATACGTGCATACAATGCGTAATAATCACATCAAGGTAAATGGGGTATTTATCACCTCAAGCATTTATCCTTTCCTTGTATTACAAACAATCTTAATTATACTCTTTTAGTTATTTGAAATATACAATAAATTATTGACTGTAGTCACTCTGTTGTACTATCAAATACTAGATTTTATTCATTCTATCTAATTATATTTTTGTGCCCATTAACCATTCCCACCCCCCCTAACACCCAGACTACCCTTCCCAGCCTCTGGTAATCATCCTTCTACTCTCTATCTCCATAAGTTCAACTCCCACAAATGAGTGAGAACATGTGAAGGTTATCTTTCTATGCCTGCCTTATTTCACTTAAAATAATGACCTCCAGTTCTATCCATGTTGTTGCAAATGGCAGGATCTCATTCTTCTTTATGGCTGAATAGCACTTCACTGTGTGTATATATCACATTTTCTTTATCAGTTGATCTGTTGGTGGACATTTAGGTTGCTTCCAAGTCTGCACTATCCTGAATGGTGCTGCAGTAAACATGGGAGTACAGGTATCTCTTCGATATTCTGATTTCCTTTCCTTTGGATAAATATACACACACACACACACACACACACACACACACACACACACACACATATATGCCTAGCAGTAGAATTGCTAGATCATATGGTAGTTCCATTTTTAGTTTTTTCAGGAACCTCCAAACTCTTCTCCATGGTGGTTGTACTAATTTACATTCCCACCAACAGTGTACAAGGGTTCCCTTTTCTCCACATTTTCACCAGCATTTGTTATTGCCCATCTTTTTGATAGAAGCCATTTTAACTGGGGTGACGTGATATCTCGTTGTAGTTTTGGTTTGCATTTCTATGATGATCAGTGATGTTGGAGCACTTTTTCATATACCTGTTTGCCATTTGCATGTCTTCTTTTGGGAAATGTCTATCCAGATCTTTTGCTCATGTTTTAATCTGTTCATTAGATTTTTCCTATTGAGTTGTTTGAGTTCCTTATATATTCTGATTATTAATCCCTTATCATATGGGTAGTTTGCAAATATGTTCTCCCATTCTGTGAGTTGTCTCTTCACCTTGTTGATTGTTACTTTTGCTATACAGAAGCTTTTTAACTTGATGTGACCCCATTTGTGCGTTTTTGCTTTGATTGCCTATGCTTGTGGGGTATTTCTCTTTTTTTAATTATGATTACTATTATTATTATTATTATACTTTAAGTTTTATGGTACATGTGCACAATGTGCAGGTTAGTTACATATGTATACACGTGCCATGCTGGTGCGCTGCACCCACTAACTCGTCATCTAGCATTAGGTATATCTCCCAATGCTATCCCTCCCCCCTCCCCCCACCCCACAACAGTCCCCAGAGTGTGATGTTGCCCTTCCTGTGTCTATGTGTTCTCATTGTTCAATTCCCACCTATGAGTGAGAAGATGCGGTGTTTGGTTTTTTGTTCTTGCGATAGTTTACTGAGAATGATGATTTCCAATTTCATCCATGTCCCTACAAAGGACATGAACTCATCATTTTTTATGGCTGCATAGTGACATGAACTCATCATTTTTTATGGCTGCATAGTATTCCATGGTGTATATGTGCCACATTTTCTTAATCCAGTCTATCATTGTTGGACATTTGGGTTGGTTCCAAGTCTTTGCTATTGTGAATAGTGCTGCAATAAACATACGTGTGCATGTGTCTTTATAGCAGCATGATTTATAGTCCTTTGGGTATATACCCAGTAATGGGATGGCTGGGTCAAATGGTATTTCTAGTTCTAGATCCCTGAGGAATCGCCACACTGACTTCCACAATGGTTGAACTAGTTTACAGTCCCACCAACAGTGTAAAAGTGTTCCTATTTCTCCACATCCTCTCCAGCACCTGTTGTTTCCTGACTTTTTAATGATTGCCATTGTAACTGGTGTGAGATGGTATTTCATTGTGGTTTTGATTTGCATTTCTCTGATGGCCAGTGATGGTGAGCATTTTTTCATGAACAGACACTTCTCAAAAGAAGACATTTATGCAGCTTATGGGGTATTTCTCAAGAAATCTTTGCTCAGTCCAGTGTCCTAGAGAGTTTCCCCAATGTTTTCCTTTAGAAATTTCATAGTTTGAGGTCTTAAAGTCTTCGATCCATTTTGGTTTGATTGCTGTTTATGGTGAGAGATGGGGGCCTCATTTCATTCTTCCACATATAGATATCCAGTTTTCCCAGCACCATTTATTGAAGAGACTGTCCTTTCCCTAATATATGTTCTTGATACCTTTGTTGAAATTGAGTTCACTGTAGATGTGTGGATTTGTTTCTGGATTCTCTAATCTATTCCATTGGCCTGTGTGTCTGTTTATATGCCAGTACCATACTGTTTTGGTTACTATCACTGTATAGTGTAATTTATGCCAGGTATTGTGATTCCCCCAGTTTTGTTCTTTGTGCTCAGGATAGCTTTAGCAATTCTGGGTCTTCTGTGGTTCCATAATAATTTTAGAATTTTTTTTCTATTTCTGTGAATGTCATTGGTATTTTGATAGGATTTGCATTGAATCTGTAGATTGCTTTGGGTAATATGGACGTTTTTAACAATATTTATTCTTCCAATTCATGAACATATAATATCCTTCCCTTTTGCCTGTGTCCTCTTCATTTTCTTGCATCAATGTTTTATAGGTTTCATTGTACAGATCTTTCACTTCTTGGTTAAGTTAAATCCTAGGCATTTAGTTTTGTTTGTAGCTATTGTAAATGGGATTACTTCCCTGATTTCAGATTGTTTGCTGGTGGCATATAGAAATGCTATTGATTTTGTATGTTGATTTTGTGTACTGCAACCTTACTGAATTTGTTTATCAGTTCTAACAGTTTTTTGGTGAAGCCTTTAGGTTTTTCCAAATACAAGATTATATTGCCTACAAACAAGGATAATTTGACTTCTTCCTTTTCAATTTGGATGACCTTCATTTCTTTCTATTGTCTGATTGCTCTAACTAGGACTTCCAATATTATATTGAATAACAATAGTAAAAGTGGGAATTCTTGTCATGTTTTAGATCTTAGAAGAAAGGCTTTCACTGTTTCTCTATTCAGTATGGTTAGGCTTTGTGTCCCCACCCATATCTCATCTTGAATTGTAATCCCCAGGTGTTTAGGAAAAGACCTAGTAGGAAATAATTGGATTATGGGGGTTGTTTTCCCCATGCTGTTCTCATGATAGTGAGTAAATTCTCATGAGATCTGATGGTTTTATAAGTGGTAACTTTTCCTGTGCTGACACACACCCTCTCTTGCCTGCCACCATGTAAGACATCCCTCTTTCCCTTCCACCATAATTGTAAGTTTCCTGAGGCCTCCCCAGCCGTGCAGAACTGTGAGTCAATTAAACCTCTTCTTTTAATAAATTACCTGGTCTCAAGTATGTCTTTATCGCAGTGTGAAAAATGGACTAATACAAGTATGACACTAGCTGTGGGTCTGTTGTATATGGCTTTTATTGTGTTGAGGTATGTTCCTTCTATACTCAGTGTGTTAAAGGTTTTTATCATGAAAGGATGTTGAATTTTATCAAATGCTTTTCCAGCATCAATTGAATGATCATAGAGTTTTGTCCATCCTTCTGTTGATATGATTTGCATATGTTGAACCATCTTTGCATCCCTAGGATAAATCCTACTTAGTCATGATGAATGATCTTTTTAATATGTTGTTGAATTTGGTTTGCTAGTATTTTGTTGAGGATTTTTGCATCAGTGTTCATCAGGGATATTGGCCTATAGTTTTCTTTTCTTCTTCTTCTTCTTCTTTTTTTTTTTAAATGTATCTTTGTCTGCTTTTGATATCAGACAAAGATTTGGTATATTGACCTACTAGAGTGAGTTTGGAAGTATTCCCTCCTCCATTTTTCGGACTAGTTTGAGGAAGATTAATATGAATTCTTCTTAAAACGTTTGGTAAAGTTCAGCAGGGAAGCCATTGGTTCCTGGGCTTTTCTTTGCTGGGAGACTTTATTATGGTTTCAATCTTATTCTTATTGGTTTGTTCAGGTTTTGGATTTCTTTATGGTTCAATCTCAGTAGGTTGTATGTGTCTAGGAATTTACCCATTTCTTCTAGGTTTTCCAATGTATTGGCTTATAGTTGCTCATAGTAGCCTTCTTATGATCTTTTGAATTTCTGTGTTATTGTAATGTCTCCTTTTTCACGTCTTATTTTTTTGTATTTTGGTCTTCTGTCTTTTTTCTTAATCTGGCTAAAAGTTTGTTGATTATGTGTATCTTTTAAAAATGACTTTTCTTGTTGTTGGTCTTTTGTATTCTTCATATTGTTTTCTTCAAATTTCATTTGTTTCTGCTTTGATTTTTATTATTTCTTTTCTTCTACTAATTTTGGGTTTGGTTTCCTTTTGCTTTTGTAATTCTTTAACTTTCATTGTCAGGTTAGTTGAAGTTTTTCTACTTTTTTGGTGTAGGCTCTTATAGCTATAAATTTTTCTCTTTGTACTGCTTTCTCTGTATCCCATAGGTTTTGGTATGTTGTGTTTCCATTTTCATTTGTTTCAAGAAATTTTTCAATTTCCCTTTTAAATTCTTCATTGACCCACTGATCTTTCAAGGAGCATATTAATTTCCATGTGTTTGTATAGTTTCCAAAATTCCTCTAGCTATTGATTTCTAGTTTTATTCCATTGTGGTCAGAGAAGATACTCGAGATAATTTCAACTGTTTTGAAATTTTTAAGAGCTGTTTTGTGGCCTAACGTATAGTCTGTCCTTGAGAATGATCCATGTGCTTAACGAGAAGCATGTGCATTCTGCAGCTGTTTGATGAAATATTCTGTAAATATCTATTAGGCCCATTTGGTCTGTAGTGCAGATTAAGTCCAGTGTTTCTTTGTTGATTTTCTGTCTGGATGTTCTTTCCAGTACTTAAAGTGGGATGTTGAAGTCTCCAGTTATTTATTTATTATTTATTTATTTATTTAAAATGGGGTCTCACTCTGTCACCCAGGCTGCAGTGCAGTGGCATGATCTTGGCTCACTGCAACCTCCACCTCCTAGGCTTAAGCGATCCTCCCACCTCAGCCCCCCAAGTAGCTGGGACCACAGGTGCTCGCCACTACACACAGCTAGGTTTTTTTTGTTTGTTTTTTTGTCTTTTTTTTTGAGACAGAGTCTCACTCTGTTGCCCAGGCTGGAGTGCAGGGGCATGATCTCAGGTCACTCCAAGCTCTGCCTCCTGGGTTTACACCATTCTCCTGCCTCAGCCTCCTGAGTAGCTGGGACTACAGGCAGGTGCCACCACGCCCGGCTAATTTTTTGTATTTTTAGTAGAGACTGGGTTTCACCGTGTTAGCCAAGATGGTCTCAATCTCCTGACCTCATGATCCGCCCGCCTCGGCCTCCCAAAGTGCTGGGATTACAGGTGTGAGCCACCGTGCCCAGCCTAGTTTTTTTGTATTTTTTGTAGTAGAGACAGCGTTTCTGCATGTTGCCCAGGCTGGTCTTGAACTCTTGAGTTCAAGATGTGCCCACCTTGGCCTCCCAAAGACCTGGGATTACAGGCGTGAGCCATGGCTCCTGTCCTCCAGTTATTTTTGTATTGGGGTCTGTCTCTTTAGCTCTAATAATATTTGCATTATATATGTGAGTGCTCCAGAGTTGGGTGGATATATATTTATAGTTCTTAGATCTTCTTGCTGAATTGATCCCTGTATCATTATATAATGACCTTCTTTATCCCCCCCCCTTTTTTTTTTTTTGAGACAGAGTCTCTCTCTGTCACCAGGCTAGAGTGCTATGGTGCCATCTCGGCTCACTGCAACCTCCAACTCCCTGGTTCAAGCAATTCTCCTGCCTCAGCCTCTCGAGTAGCTGGGATTGCAGGCATGCACCACCATGCCCAGCTAATTTTTGTATTTTTAGTAGAGATGGTGTTTCACCATGTTGGCCGGGATGGTCTCGATCTTCTGACCTCGTGATCCGCCCACTTCAGCCTCCCAAAGTGCTGGGATTACAGGCATGAGCCACTGCACCCAGCCCTTTATCTCTTTTTATAGTTTTTGTCTTAAAATCTATTTTGTCTGATATAAGTATAGCTACTCCTGCTCTTTTTTGATTTCCATTTGCATAAAATATCTTTTTCCATCCTTTTATTTTCAGGCTATATGAGTCTTTATACGTGGTGTGTTTCTTGTAGACAACAGATTGTTGGGTCTTGTTTTTTAATTCATCAGCTAATTTGTCTTTTAATAGAGAATTCATGCTATTTACATTTAATGTTTTTATTGATAAGGACTTACTCTTGACATTTTGTTGTTTCATGGTTGTTTTGTGGGTTTCTCTTCCTTCTTTCCTTTCTTCCTGTCTCCCTTTTAGTGAAGGGGATTTTCTGTGGTGGTTATGTTTTAGTTTATTCTTTTTTTTTTTTTGTATCTGTTGTATGTTTTTACATTTGAGGTTACCATGGAACTTGCAAATACTGTCTTATAACCCATTACTGTAAACTGCCGACAACTTAACACTGATTGCATAAACAAACAGGGGAAGAGAAAACTAATAAAAACTGTACACTTTAACATGTCCCCTCTGTTTCTTAAGTTTTGTTGTTTCAATTTATATCTTACTCTACTGTCTTGAAAGATTATTGTAGTTATTATTTTTGATCAGTTCATCTTTTAGTCTTTCTCCTCATCATATGAATAGTTCACAAATATTACAGCAAAATTGGAGTTTTACAATATTCTATATTATTCTGTTTATTTACTATTACTAGTGAGTTTGTTACCTTCAGATGATTTGTTGTTGCTCATTAACATGCTTTTCTTTCTGATTGAAGAACTCCCTTTTACATTTTTTGTAGGAGAGGTCTGGTGTTGAAATTTCTTAGCTTTGTTTATTTTGTAAAGTCTTTATTTCTCCTTCATGTTTGAAAGCTATTTTCGCTGGGTATTCTATTCTAGGATGATATGGTTTGGCTGTGTCCCCACCCAAATCTCATCTTGCATTGTAGTTCCCATAATCCCCAGGTGTTGTGGGAGGGACCCAGTGGGAGGTAATTGCATCATAGGGGTGGTTACCTCTGTGCTGATCTCATGATAGTAAGTGAGTTCTCACACAATCTGATGGTTTTATAAGGGGTTTTCCTCCTTTTGCTTGTCACTTCTTCCTGCCATCATGTGAAGAAGGACATGTTTGCTTCCCCTTCCGGCATGATTGTAAGTTTTCTGAGGCCTCCCCAGCCATGCTGAACTGTGAGTCAATTAAATCTCTTTCCTTTAGAAATTACCCATTCTCAGGCATGTCTTTATTAGCAACATAAGAACAACTAATACATAGGATTAAAGTTTTTTTTTTTCCCTTCAGTACATTAAATGTGTCATGCCACTCTCTCCTGGCACATAAGATTTCCACTGAAAAGTCTGCTGCCAAGTGTATTGGAGCTCCATTGTATGGTATTTCTTCTTGCTACTTTTAGGATCCTTTCTTTATCCTTAACCTTTGGGAGTTTGATTATTAAATGTCTTGAGGTAATCTTATATTTGGGTTAAATCTGCTTGGTATTCTATAACCTTTTTATACTTGAATATTGATATCTTTCTTTGGGCTTGGGAAGTTCCTTGTTATTTTACCTTTGAATAAACTTTCTTCCCCTATCTTTCTACCTCCTATTTGAGACCAGCAACTCTTAGATTTGTCTTTTTGAGGTTATTTTCTAGATCATGTAGGCATGGTTCCTTGTTTTTTATTCTTTTTTCTCTTGTCTCCTCTGACTGTATATTTTCAAATACCCTGTCTTTAGGCTCACTAATTCTTTCTTCTGCTTATCATTTCTGCTGTTAAGAGACTCTGATGCATTCTTCAGTATGTCAATTGCATTTTTCAACTCAGAATTTCTGTTTGATTCTTTTTAATTATTTTAATGTCCTTGTTAAATTTATCTGATAGAATAGTGAATTCCTCCTCTGTGTTATCTTGAATTTCATTGAGCTTCCTCAAAATAGCTATTTTGAATTCTCTGTCTGAAAGGTCACATATCTCTGTCTCTCTAGGATTCTTTACTGGTGCTTTATTTAGTTCCTTTGATGAGGTTTTGTTTTCCTGGATGGTCTTGATGCTTGTGGACATTCATCGGGTCTGGGCATTGAAGAATTTGGTATTTATTGTAATCTTCACAGTCTAGGCTTGTTTGCACCTGTCCTTCTTGGGAAGGCTTTCCAAGTATTTGAAAGCACTTGAATGTTGTAATCTAAGTTTTTAGTCACTGCATCTGTATCTGCATTAGTGGGGACTCAAAGCCCAGTAATGCTCTGGTTCTTGCAGACTTGTAGAAGTATTGTCTTGGTGGTCTTGGATAAGATTTGGAAGAATTCTCTGGATTACCAGGCAAAGGCTCTTGTTGTCTTCCCTTACTTTCTCTCAAACAGTCTCTCCCTCCATGTTACCACCAGTGATGTTCACTCAAGGCCCTAGGGCTCCACAGTGAGCAGGTGATGAAGCCGGGCAGGCTTGTATTCTTTTCTTCAGGGAGGTGAGTTCCTTGGTTCCAGGTGGATCTAGAGATGCCAAGCAGGAGCCAGGGCCTGGAGTCTAGAACCTTAGGAATCTATCTGTTGCTCTATTCTACTGTGGCTGAGCTGGCACCGGAGCCAGAAGAGGAAGTTCTTCCCACTCTTCTCTCCCCTTTCCACAAGCTAAGGAGTTCTCCCCATGGCCACCACCACCCCAGGCTCATGGCGAGTACTGCCAGGCTACTGCTGATGTTTATTTAAGGCCCAAGAGGGTTCTTCCATCAGTTTGTGGTGGATGCTGCCAGGCCTAGGACTCTCCCTTCAGGGCAGTGGGCTTTCTTCTGGCCCAGGGCAGGTCCAACATTACTTTCCAAGAGCCAAGGCCTAGAATCAAGGACCCCAGGAGACCGCTTGATGCTCTACCTGACTGTGGCTGAACTGCTGCCTAAGATGATTTTTGATTCTTATGAAGGTGCTTTTTTGGTGTGAATAGTTTTTCAATTTGGTGTTCCTGCAGTGAGGATGATTAATGGAGGCTTCTATTTGGACCTCTTGCTCCCCTCTCCTCTTATAGTATTCTTGCTAATAATTCATAACCTTAATCTAACCAGAAGGAAAAAAACCGGAAAGAAACAACTGGAAATCCTAAATTGGGAGACTCTCATTTCATAAAACACCAGGCTTGTCATGTCAGTGACATGAATGATTAAAAAGGACTGATACATGACAGCTAAATGTAACATGTTATCCTAGATTGGAGAAAAAACTTTGCTGTAAGGAAAAGTATTGAGGTAACTGGTGAAGTTTGAAGAGGAACCTTATTAAATAATAGCATTATATCAATTTTAAATCTCCTAGAAAAAAGGAAAAGGATGCTGTTATATTCCCTTTGTGATATCGTACAACGAGACAACTGCCTCTTCTCTATCCATTTCAAAACTAGAAATTTACTCATGGGAAAGAGAAAATAGTCCAGACTATGTAGCACTGCTTTCCTAATTTGAGAGAAGATATACCATTCTGAAAAACAGAGGAATTAAATGAACATGTACATACTGAAAATGAGACCTCTAGATCTTTTTCCCTACTGGGTTTTCAAATGAAGACAAACAGGCCTTTATGCTCCAGGCAGAGTATTAGAAGATTCGTCTTTGCGGACTCTTACCAACCAAGAAAAAGGACCTGAAACCCTTATTAGGTTATAGTGAAACTGAGCTTGCAACAAGCTTCACCTGTGGCATCAAAGTTTCCAGCTAGATTTACCTAGGAACACTAGACATCTGAGAAATGAAAAACAGAGACCCATACAAATAAATAGGGTAAAACACTTGGATAAAACAGACTACTTAAAAACTTAAAATAACTGCTATCCTCAGCGATTCAAGAAGTTACTACAGTCATGAAATGAGAACTTAATGTTCCAAAATAAAAGGAATATTTAACAAAAAGGAGTACTTGGAAAAATAAAAATATAATAGAAATGAAATGTTTAACTGAAGGGTTAGAACCTTCTATTCAATTTCCTGTAACATAGGGCAGAAAGAAACAGAAAATAGAAAAGAAAAATTAGAGGACTAGTAATACTAGAAGCTAGAAGACAGAGAAGTAACGGTGCTTTCAACATTCTGACAGTTCTAGTCTAGAATTCTATACCTAGTTTTATGATTTAAGCTTGAATGTAGGCTAAACACATTTTAGACATGCAAAGTCTCATAGAATTATCTCCTACAAACCCTTTCTCACAAAGTGACTAAAGGAGTAAACAAAGAAAAAGGGAGGGGTGAGATCCAAGAAATAAAACTGCAGCATTGGCAAAGGGTACTAGAGTATGAAAGGCAACCAGTCCAGGCAGAGTGAATGGAGAGATTTTTTTCCCCAAAAACATGAAATACATAGAGTACCTGATACATCTGAACATACCAAGTGGGGCTGAATTATCGATAAGTACATGAGAAATAAACAAAATTCATTTATTTGCGGAAAAAACTTGGGAAGGAAAAGGAAAAATAATCATTTTCTACTACATAACTCACTTGTTGACAGTGTTTACTCATAATATGTGAATCCACAACTATACTAGGGTATTAGGGAACACAAAGAATAAGGCAAACCCTCATTTTCAAAAATGAGAAGTTAATATATAGTGCCTAAAACTGAAAAAATAACTAACAGTTTTAAAATATTAGTTAGCTATTATGGAGTGTTTAAGTGCAGAGCCTGCTTTGTAACTGTCAGACACTTTTAAGGCTCCTTGGTTTGGCCTATACTATGACCATAAACATCAGCTTAAAGAATATAAAGTATTGCTTTTGAGAAGAGGCAACTATTATTTGTCATAACAAGCCTTTTAGAATGAAATGGCCCTACAATAAAAAGATGTATAATTTTTTTAAGAGACAGGGTCTTGCTCTGTTGCCCAAGCTGGAGTGCAGTGGCACTGTCATAGCTTACTGCAGTCTTGAACTCCTGGGCTCAAGAGTTCCTCCCACTTCAGCCTCCCAAGTAGCTGGGGCTGCAAGTGCACACTACCATGCCTGGCTAACTTTTTTTGATTTTGTAGAGATGGGGTTTCACTATGTTGCCTAGGTTTATCTGCAACTGTTAGACTCAAGCGATCTTCCCACCTCAGCCTCCCATAGTGCTGGGATTATAGGCGTGAGCCACTGTGCCCAGCCCAATGCATATGATTGACTTTTTTTTAAAAAAAAAAGAATGTTAAAAAGCACATATACAATGATATGGATGAGCAGTGGCAATTTTTTTCGGCAGGGTATCAGATAGCAAATATTTTAGGGTTTGTGACCCAAATGGTCTCTGTTGAAACTACTAAGCTCTGCCATTGTAGTATGAAAGCAGTTATAGATGGTATGTAAATAAGTAAGTGTGGCTATATCCAATAAAACGTTATTTACAGAAACAGTTGGCAGGTGGATCCTAGTTTGTCAATCCTGGTAATGATCAATGGTTTTCAAATTGGGATGCCTATACCACTGGATACACAAAGACTTCCTATGGGATATACCATTATGAATAGCTTTAAAAAATTAATTTCCTCATTCTCTCTTTCTATATGGAGTCCTTCCTAAAAACTATCTACCTGAGAACTCTTTCTGGTCTGCCAGTTCTCCTTTCTCACTTCTTTCAAAATCATCTGTCTCCCACTTTTCAGAAGAAAAGCTTACCCCTTTTCCGTACTAAATCTTACTATGGTGTCTTGCCTTGCAGTTTAAAAATCTCCCGGGCACCACACAAGGAGACAATTGGAGAGTGAATCTCTCTTGAGGGATAGTCCTTTGAGAGCAAAGCAAAGAAAGCATCAATAAAAATTAGTGAAGGGGTAATACATTATTTCATGCAGGCAACAAACTCATGGCCAGGCTCCGTGCCTTATATTATAGTTTCTCTGTCTACCTAGCTAGCTAGCTGTCCATTTATCTATCTTAAAATTAAAATTCACAAGTGAGAAAGTTGTCATGGGGATGAATAATAACACGTTTATTTGAATTTTAAAATTAAGTCAGACTTTTTCTGACAGATAGTAAGTCAGATTTGGCTGGTTGAGTTTGACAATGAGGACTAGCCTTGCCAATTAAGTTATATTGTTATATTCTCTGTGTATTGAATAAGCTGAACTGCAGCTCCAAGGCTTTGACAAAGATATACTTAAAGCATGCATTCAGTATACAATAAGCTAGAAAATGCATCCTTTGTCATTACTTAAGTGTCAACTGAAATGTGCAAGATGGTGCATAGTTTTTCAAAAGTCTTTGAAGATAAAATGTGCAAAAAACGAAGAAAAAACACTGCTACTATTATTTATGGATATATAGAGATATTGTAAAAGTATGAAAACATTCATGAAAATGATAGATGAGAAACCGGGTAGTTATTATCTCTGGGGAAGGAAAATGTTAGGGTTCACAGTCATGGAGAGCTTTGGTCATGTCTGTAGTGTTTTATTTCTTAAGTTGGATGGTGGGTTATAGGTGTATGTTATTAGTTATGTTTATTTTTAACACATGAAATACTTTATTTTAAAAGAATATACCGAAACCTTATAATTACATATTTTAAAAGAACATATTGGGTCCCTGATAGAAAAACAAGTTACTCAGGATAAACTGAAAAATGGGATACTTGAAATTTGAAAATACCAAAAGCACTTGAGGAATTGTCACAGTAATGTGCATACAGAACGAATCAGTATAGTTTAGTTCTTGAAAGTCCTTTTAAAAGCCTTAAGGCTTATATATTTGCATTACTAATTCAAATACTTATCATCAGGCATCTGGTATATGCTCAAGAGCTAACAATTTCTTTGCATGTAGACTTCTTTTGTACATACCAACCTGCCCTGGACACTACACTAGACATAACAGTTAATATATGTCTATAATTTAGATTCTGTTTTTAGTATTTTTTTTCTATATGAAAATTGCTCTGATACTTTACATTTTCAGGGAAAATACATTCATATATTGTTTTCAGAAATTTGATCTTATTGCAAATTTACACAGAAGCATGTTTTCAACAATAAAGTTATTCTGGGATTTCTGGCTTCCAAAGCTGGAAAGGATATATCCTGAGCTTGGTCAACATCCCATTTTTTTATTTACCTACTAGCATTTCTACCTCCCCAAAGGAAAAGATGTGGTTGAATGGGTTAACCACCATCCACAATGGAAGGTCCCTGTTGGGCAGTTTTATGCCAGTCATTTGACCTACCTCAGGCCTAACCATTTGTTCCTGCCTTTGATCAGGCAAAGAGGTAGGGTTGTCTGCACTCAGAGGTGCCTGAGGCTCTGCAATGCACATCTGCAAGTGTAACTGTTGAGCACTTTTGGGACTCTCTGGCTTAGCCAATACTATGATCTTACTTGATTTATTTTCCTTTATTTTATTAAAAATTTAATATAACAGTACATTTAAAAATTTTTTTAAATAGAAGTAATAGATTACCTGAAATCCTATGTCTGGCTGCTACCTGAAATCCTATGTCTGGCTGCACAACTCTTAATTTTAGCAAGTTAATTTGCCTATGCATACATTGGTACATAATTGTAATTTTTGAAAACTTACTCTTTTGTATTCTGCTGTTTTTACTTAACTACCGTAATAAATAAAGAAAAACAAGCACTTGAAACATAGTAACAAAACACATGGAGACCGCTTTTCTCTATGTACCTTCTTTGATAATGACCTCTACCTCTGTGAAAACTAAGAGAATATAAAATTTATCATACTTCTTTAGATAAATGTGGTAGGCAGTGATCATGAATCATTTGAATGTTTTGAGCTCCTCAGAATCTGTACTCTTACCTGGTAAGCTATTCTGCCTCTCAAACTGTAGATGTTTATTTATTAATTGTACAAGAAATGTTTATGCTAGTTTGTGTTATAAATCTTTTTGGTTTTGAAAACATTTATTTTAGGCAGGTCTTCCTAAGAAGTAGTATCTCCAGTTTCAAGGATCCCACCTTTCTCAGTCTAAAAGGACGGTTTCTTACATACTTCTATACAAAGCTGAGGTCTGAGTTTAAGCTTATTCTTAGCATAATTTTCCCTCTATTTTGACCTTTATCTGACTTTTAAGGGGCAAAATATAAAAGGTTTTTAAAATAAGTTGAATATAAATAAGGTGCTATTATGAATTATTTTTAGATATACTCCTGCTCACGTTCTTTTAAGAGTCATCAAAACTTACTAGGTGCATATTAAAAGTATACAGAATTAGTTCTGAAGAGTTAACCTTCTGAGTCATCATTAGTCACTAAGACAAGTCTCATTTAAGTTTTAAAACTGGGTTTAGATCCAGAGTGAAAAGGGGTTAAAGGAGTTAAAATGAGGTTAGGTGTTTTTTGGTTTATTTTTTTTATCCATACATTTTTTCTCAGTTGTCTCACCAAAACAATTTATGTTTTTCCTCTTATTCTCTCCATGCTGAAGAAGTAATGATTTTCTCAATCTAAATTTTAAATAAATTACTTGCTGATCACTTTTATCAGATAAATTTGACATTTTTTTAATGGGCGGAATAATGGTGTTTAAGAGAATTGTATTGATCACATTGGTGATAACCCCTATAGGATACTAAGCAACAGTTGATTGCCTCTGATCTTATATCTTTAGGCATGCCTGATTTTATTCTCAAATATTTATCATGATGGTGATAAAATACTATGCCCATATGTTAGTCCTATAGTCATAAAGAATTAGGCATTTTATATATTTTTCTTATATACACATGTTCATTATATTTCATGTGTTCAAATGTACTCAATTTCCTTCTCAAATTTATATTCTGGTGTCACCATGATACATTTATTTACCAGTATTCTAAAACATCAGTAAATAGATGTATCTAGAGCAGAGTTTTTGAATCTGTGTAATACATTTGGGGCTGGGAAATCAAATTGATGGGTTACAGCTTGTTTTTCTTTTTAATGAGCTAGAAAAACATGGAATAGAAAGTATCAGTGTACAAAGGCTTACTGGGAGTACTTATTGCTTTCTGAAACTCTTGTTGTAGATACACTTGCACATATGTTTTGTTTGTGAAGTTGTGGTGTCAAATGTATTTCTTACTGTATAGGTTAATTTTGTGTCAACTTGGCTAGACTGTGGTACCCAGATATTTGGTGAAATACTAGCCTAGATTTTGTGTCAAAGTATTTTTTTAAGTGAGATTAATATTTAAATCAGTATACTTTGAGTGAAGCAGCTTACCCTCTATTAAATTAGTAGGCCTCATCCAATCAGTTGAGGACTTTAAGGGAAAAAAACATTCCCTCTAGGAGGAGGGAATTCTGCCTGAAGACTGGTTTCTTTTCTTTTCTTTCCTTTTCTTTTCTTTTTTTTTTCTTTTTTTTTTTGACAGTCTTGCTCTGTTACCAAGGCTGGAATACAGTGGCATGATCTCAGCTCACTGCAACCTCTGCCTCCCAGGTTCAAGCAATTCCCGTGCCTCAGCCTCCCAAAAAGCTGGGATTACAGGCATGTGCCACCACACCCAGCTAATTTTTGTATTTTAGTAGAGATGAGGTTTTACCATATTGGCCAGGCTGGTCTCAAACTCCTGGCCTCAAGCAATCTACCCACCTTGGCCTCACCAAAGTGTTGGGATTACAGGCATGAGCCACTGCGCCCGGCCTGAAGACTGCTTTCTGATTTCAACTCTTTCCTGGGTCTCCAGCCTGCCAGCCTACCCTGCAAATTTGAGCTTGGACTTGCCTTTCTCCATAATCATGAGAGCCAATTCCTTACAGTCACTCTCTGTTTCTCTGGAAAACCTTGACTAATGCACTCACTAAAGGTCATACTCTTAAAAAGTTTGAAAACTTACTAATCTTGAGAGTCATTTTTTAATCTAATGAACTGGTATATAAAGTGTTTAGCCAGTGCATAACAAAATATGATAGGTGCTGTTATTTTACTATCATTTGTACCTGTTATTTAAAGTCAACAAGAATCCTGATTTGATGTGAATTTATACAGAAATAATTCTGAACTCTACACTCATTTAACTATCTTTTGAAAAAGATTAATTTGTGTTTATGAATACTTCTGTGGTATTTTGAAGGTTTGCTTTGCAGAAATTATTGTGAAATTTTCTTCTATGTTTTTGTCTCCCCATTTGTATGGCCTAAGAGCCACCTCTGTTTTCTCATCATAATATTCAGGACAATTTAATATATTTGAATTTTTTAAACTACTTTCTTCTGTAGTCCAAGATGATTGTAAATTCTCAATTTCAGTGGAAAAAGAGACAAGCATATAAAAGTCCTGTGGCAGACACCTCTTGTGCCCTACCTCACATCCTTTTGTATTTTTACTCCAGCCTTGCTGCAGCAACCAGCTGCTAACAGGTGTAACCTCATTACAGCTCTACAGAATATATTTTGCTTTCTTCTCTGACACTGTGGCATGGGATGTCTGTGGGGAATCAACTTGGAAGTGTGAGAGGGTTAACATACCAGATAAACCTTGATACCTGGTATCAAGGGGATAGAAGCTAATGGATAAAAGTTCCTTTCCTGTCCATTGAGCACATAGTCCAGGTATATTCAACATGACTTCTCAGAAGTTCTCAGCAGGGATTGGGTCCCAGCACCCAGAGCAGTGACCAACTCCAGAACACACCTTTTATTTTGGCTTTCCCTCCTTCCCTGTTTCATATTCTCCAGTATCTTGCTCCCCTTCCCTGGATTACTTGTTCAACATAAGCCATAAAAAATTCAGAACTGTTGTCTCTAACAGATATGAACTCAAAATGTAAATAGTACCAAGTACAGTCATGTGTCACTTGATGACAGGTAGGTCATTTCGTCGTCGTGCAAATATCAGAGTGTACTTAGGGAAAACTAGATAGTATAGCCTACTACACACCCTGTCTATATAGTATAGCCCATTACTCCTAGGCTATAAACCTGTACAGCATGCTATTGTACTGAACTGTATGTAGGCAACTGTAACACAATGGTAAATATTTGTGTTTCTAAGTATATCTAAACAGAAAAGGCACAGTGGGACCACCGTCTTATATGCTATTCATTGTTAACTGAAATGTCATTGCATAGCACGTAACTGTAATTAAATCCAACTTACTTTGTAACCGTAGTGCACGTTGATCCTACTGGCATAAAACTGAGAAATGAAAGACTTGTAAATTTACATGTACTTGTAAAATGTAAGTACATTATCGCTTATTGATAAATGCTGCTAGCAAATTAACTCCTGGAGACCTTCTTTTCAAACAAGTTTATTACAATTAGCAATGAAGGTGTAAATGTGAATCTAATTAGTCATTTGGCTTAGCCTGTTTCCAGGCTGATGTCTTCTTTATGTGTTTAACCTTTATAAACATATTGTATGAGAATGAATTTTAAAAAGAAGAAAATTATGAAATATGCCATATGATCTGACCCTGTTATTTTAGGTATTTTTTAAATAAAGGGACTCTTTGTATGTAGAAAAAAGACTGGAAGGAAACATAAATACAAAATTATAATAATTATTTGGGTGGTGAGTTGATTTTTATTTTGTTGTTTATGCGTTTTTGTATTTTATGAATTTGCTACATAAAGGGAACATTTTTCTTTAATCAGAACAATATTTAAGTTTTAAAAAGGAAATTAAGAATGCTAGCTGAATAGTTTCTTTTTCTCAGTAACTGACTGACAGATGGTGCAAAGGACATGACAAAGAAGAGGCCCATCATAATAACTACCTCATTTCAATTCAGCAAATATTTATAAAGTGCTGTTGTGCTCTTTTTATCAGATAATTAATGCTTTTTGTCTTTAACATGATTGTTTATATAAATTCATTTTTACTCTTTACTTTTTTCCATTATTCTTTATATACTTAATTTCTATACCTACTTCTTTGAATGGGTATTGTTTCTAGTTTCTAAAGATTTTTATTCAAATGTCAGATTATGGAAAGATTTCTATTTTGGACATATTACTCTCATGATGGTTCTCAAATTTTATTTTTATTATAACTTATAAATCTTTCATCTTAAAATTTCTCTTAGTTACTAATATTTCTCATCTTTGATCTAGACTGTCTAGTCCTGTGTTTTCCAGTAAAATATCTACTGTATTGTACATGTAGCTATTACAATTTATTTAAAATTAAAATTAAAAATTTAGTTTCTTGGTCACCCTACCACATTGAAATGTTCAGTAGCGATGTAGCTAGTGGCTACCATATTGCACAGTACAAATTAGAACATTTCCATTCATCACTGTGTTCAATTGGATAGTATTCCTTTAGCCTCACAGTACTTTTTAATTCTAAACTTTCTTTTCATTGTACATTAGTTCGTTTTCACATTGCTATAAAGAACTACTGAGACTGGGTAATTTATAAAGAAAAGAGGTTTAATGGACGCACAGTTCCCCATAGCTGGGGAGGCCTCAGGAAACTTAACAATCATGACAGAAGGCAAAGGGGAAATAAGGCACATCTTAGATGGTAGCAGGAGAGAGAGCAAGGAGGGAAGTACTATACTTTTAAACCACCAGATTTTGTGAGAACTCACTCACAATCATGAGAACAGCATGGGGAAATCCATCCCCATGATCCAATCACCTCCTACCAGATCCCTCCCCTGACACCTGAGGATTACAATTGAACATCAGATTTGCATGGGTACACAGTGCCACACACTGTGTCACATTGTTTCTGTATTTCTTTTTTCTACATTCCCTTTCATACTGTATTCAATTTTTTAATGGAAAATGTTAATTTCTACTCAAATAATTGTTACCATTTCCTCTCCTAAATTCTTGGATGCTTTGTAGTTTCCATCACTGAATATTGTCAGCTCTTTTCTTATGCACTGTATTTTTTTTTATCATGGCAAAGAAATTGAAATTGTGGTTCTAATAGCATCTCTAGAAGAATACAGTGGCAGGCTCTGGAAGGGAGAAGTAGGTAGCTGGGCATGTGTAAGGGGGAGTGTTACTTTTTATCTCAAAATCTTTTGCATCATTCACATTTCATGCCATGTGCCTATAGTTCTTATTTTAAAAAGAATAATTTTTTCAAGTCCATCGAATTCAAGGTCCACATCAATAACTTGGCCTTAATGTTTAGGTGGTCCCACAAATAAATTTAAAATAGAATAAAATCTACATTTAAAACTGTGTATTGACAAGGCAGATGGTTTAAAGAAATAGAGATTCCCACATCTTCAGATCAAAGTAATTAAATTCATTCCCCAAAATGAAAGGTAAGCCTGTTGCCAGTTGGATATTAAGTATGACAGTGTTATATATTTAAAATTTAGAAATGACTGCTTTTATTTGTTATAGGCCAAGTCTTTTGATTTTGATTACCTAAATAATCTTGGATAACTTTAAAGCCTGGCTACCATAGTAATAAATAACCTACACAATATAAAACAGTAATACAGCTCAATGTATTCTGCACTAAGTGTGCCCCAAGTCCTATGCATCCAATCATATTGTTAGCATAGAAATTCAATTATACAGAAAGAGAAATAATACAGTAGTACCAAAGGAAAGATCCATTTCTGAGGGAAGGTGTGGAAAGATCTTCTGCTTAAAATAAGTGTCATAAATCTAGGTATTTGCTTAACTTGATTTCTTTTTTATTTAAAAAAATATGTTTTTCTTTCATTCGTTTTCAAAGTATGAAAAACATTTGGGTTAAAAATTGATTGCTTTTCATCTTTAATGTATGAAGTTCTTGCTATGTAGTAATAAAATTAAATGTTTTCTGATTTGCACAACTGGATATAAGGTGAAATGTTGAAAGGAAAATAAAGTTTTTGTGACAGGTCCTGTCTTCAAACTGTTTCTAGCTTTTCTATAATTATCTGTTTTGACAATGTCTCTTCTTAAAACAAGAAAAAGGTTTATTTTAGTGAGGATTAATAAGCATAAGTTTTCAGTAATTGTCTCCTTCACAAAGTCAAACTAATTGTATGACGGATTAGCACCAAGTTACATGGCAGTTTATCATAAAAACATTTCATTATGTATGTGTTCGTTGAAAATAATCTCACTAATAAGATTTTCTGTAGAATGATTTCCACACTTTAATTACCAAATTGATGTTGTTATCAGTAAATTTACATCACATTGTGATTTAAATGTAATAATTTTTAAAAGTCAGTACGTATTTTCACACCAGAATAATACTTGCTAACAAAATTTATTTGCGTATTGGCAAAATACTTACATGTAATAAGTCCAGTGACATATTCAGGGAAGATTAATACATTCCATGGATTCACCTAAGAAAACATCACAGTTGCCTCTGAATTTAAGAAGGAAAAGCACTACTGAAGCAGATAGAGACACAAAAAAACCCTTCAAAAAAATCAATGAATCCAGGAGCTGGTTTTTTGAAAAGATCAACAAAATTGACAGACCACTAGCAAGACTAATGAAGAAAAGAGAGAAGAATCAAATAAACACAATAAAAAATAATAAAGGGGATATCACCACCGATCCCACAGAAATACAAACTACCATCAGAGAATACTATAAACACCTCTACGCAAATAAACTAGAAAATCTAGAAGAAATGGATAAATGCCTCAACACATACACCCTCCCAAGACTAAACCAGGAAGAAGTTGAATCTCTGAATAGACCAATAACAGGCTCTGAAATTGAGGCAATAATTAATAGCTTACCGACCAAAAACAGTCCAGGACCAGACAGATTCACAGCCGAATTCTACCAGAGGTACAAGAAGGAGCTGGTACCATTCCTTCTGAAACTATTCCAATCAATAGAAAAAGAAGGAATCCTCCCTAACTCATTTTATGAGGCCAGCATCATCCTGATACCAAAGCCGGACAGAGACAAAACAAAAAAAGACAATTTTACACCAATATCCCTGATGAACATTGATGCAAAAATCCTCAATAAAATACTGGCAAACTGAATCAAGCAGCACATCAAAAAGCTTATCCACCATGATCAAGTGGGCTTCATCCCTGGGATGCAAGGCTGGTTCAACATAAATCAATACACATAATCCAGCATACAAACAGAACCAATGACAAAACCCACATGATTATCTCAATAGATGCAGAAAAGGCCTTCAACAAAATTCAACAAATTTTGAATTAGGTATTCAATAAATACCTCTCAATACATTAGGTATTGATGGGACGTATCTCAAAATAATAAGAGCTATTTATGACAAACCCACAGCCAATATCATACTGAATGGGCAAAAACTGGAAGCATTCCCTTTGAAAACTGGCACAAGACAGGGATGCCTTCTCTCACCACTCCTATTCAACATAGTGTTGGAAGTTCTGGCCAGGGCAATCAGACAGGAGAAAGAAATAAAGGGTATTCAGTTAGGAAAAGAGGAAGTCAAATTGTCCCTGTTTGCAGATGACATGATTGTATATCTAGAAAACCCCATTGTCTCAGCCCAAAATCTCCTTAAGCTGATAAGCAGCTTCATCAGCAAAGTCTCAGGATATAAAATCAATGTGCGAAAATCACAAGCATTCTTATACACCAATAACAGACAAACAGAGGGCCAAATCATGAGTGAACTCCCATTCGCAATTGCTTCAAAGAGAATAAAATAGCTAGGAATCCAACTTACAAGGGATGTGAAGGACCTCTTCAAGGAGAACTACAAACCACTGCTCAATGAAATAAAAGAAGACACAAACAAATGGAAGAACATTCCATGCTTATGGATAGGAAGAATCAATATCATGAAAATGGCCATACTGCCCAAGGTAATTTATAGATTCAATGCCATCCCCATCAAGCTACCAATGACTTTCTTCACAGAATTGGAAAAAAACTACTTTAAAGTTCATATGGAACCAAAAAAGAGCCCACATTATGAAGTCAATCCTAAGCTAAAAGAACAAAGCTGGAGGCATCACGCTACCTGACTTCAAACTATACTACAAGGCTACAGTAACCAAAACAGCATGGTACTGGTACCAAAACAGAGATATAGACCAACGGAACAGAACAGAGCCCTCAGAAATAATACCACACATCTACAACTATCTGATCTTTGATGAACCTGACAAAAACAAGAAATGGGGAAAGGTTTCCCTATTTAACAAATGGTGCTGGGAAAACTGGCTAGCCATATGTAGAGAGCTGAAACTGGATTCCTTCCTTACACCTTATACAAAAATTAATTCAAGATGGATTAAAGACTTAAATGTTAGACCTAAAACCACAAAAACCCTACAAGAAAACCTAGGCAATACCATTCAGGACATAGGCATGGGCAAGGACCTCATGTCTAAAACACAAAAAGCAATGGCAACAAAAGCCAAAATTGACAAATGGGATCTAATTAAACTAAAGAGCTTCTGCACAGCAAAAGAAACTACCATCAGAGTGAACAGGCAACCTACAGAATGGGAGAAAACTTTTGCAATCTACTCAACTGACAAAGGGCTAGTATCCAGAATGTACAAAGAACTCAAACAAATTTACAAGAAAAAAACAACCCCATCAAAAAGTGGGCAAAGTATATGAACAGACACTTCTCAAAAGAAGACATTTATGCAGCCAACAGACACATGAAAAAGTGCTCATCATCACTGGCCATCAGAGAAATGCAAATCAAAACCACAGTGAGATATTATCACACCAGTTAGAATGGCGATCATTAAAAAGTCAGGAAACAACAGGCGCTGGAGAGGATGTGGAGAAATAGAACAGTTTTACACTGTTGGTGGGACTGTAAACTAGTTCAACCATTGTGGAAGACAGTGTGGGGATTCCTCAGGGATCTAGAACTAGAAATACCATTTGACCCAGCCATCCCATTACTGGTATATACCCAAAGAATTATAAATCATGCTACTATAAAGACACATGGACATGTATGTTTATTGCAGCACTATTCACAATAACAAAGACTTGGAACCAACCCAAATGTCCAACAATGATAGACTGGATTAAGAAAATGTGGCACATATACACCATGGAATACTATGCAGCCATAAAATATGATGAGTTCATGTCCTTTTTAGGGACATGGATGAAACTGGAAGCCATCATTCTCAGCAAACTATTGCAAGGACAAAAAACCAAACACCACATGTTCTCACTCATAGGTGGGAATTGAACAATGAGAACACTTGGACACAGGAAGGGGAACATCACACAATGGGGCCTGTTGTGGGGTAGGGGGAGGGGGGAGGGATAGCATTAGGAGATATACCTAATGTAAATGATGGGTTAATGGGTGCAGCACACCAGCATGGCACATGTATACATATGTAACAAACCTGCACGTTGTACACATGTACCCTAGAACTTAAAGTATAATAAAAAAGGAAAAGTACTTATAAGTAAAAAATAATAGTAGAAAATAAATGCTATTATCATACACTATGCAAATAAAACCCAGCTTTTTGTTCAACCTAGGCATGTTAAAAAGACTTTCTAATTCTAATATTACAAGTATCCTTGAGAAAATTTTCCAGATAAGAGCTGTTCTAATTCCTGCCACACTTAAAAGATAACTTAGTATAAAAGAAAAGAAACATTCTCAAGAATTATTCTAGAAAACATTCATCTAATCTGAATACCACGAAGCTTTTTATTGCCAGAATGCAAAGGAACCAACCTTGATGTCTTTTAAAAAAATGGTTTTACCTAGCAAATGGTAAGACAAACTTTTAGTTTGTATCTTTAACTGGTACTTTTCAAGGAATTGACTATCACTGTTGCTGAAACTTGTACTTAAATATGTAACACAAATATCACTTTCCTTGAAATGAGTTATGAATTGCCATCCCAGAGGATATCAGTAGAACCCAGGGTACAAGTTCCCAACTTTTGGGGTGCTCTGGCATCACAAGACTCTTCCTAAATTTGTTGTATGGCATGTAATTCATTTTGAAAAGGGAACAGTAGATTTTGAAACCATCAAAATTCTTGAGAAACAGGATTTGGATGCACTCTTGGTTATCATGAAAGCAACATTACAGGTTATTGAACCGGAAGAATTTCCCCAGAGATCTTATATAACTTGCCTGACTCACTTGCCATATTGCAGTGTTCAGTCAAGCCCAGTCCAAGATTTTCTGACAAGTCTGGTTCAGCAATGCCTGACTTGATGTGTTTTTTCGGAGAAGGAGTCAATGAGATTTACCTTCCCTCCCTCTAAATTACTTCTTATAGTGAAGGGTTTGTTTGATTCCCTTAATATTCATTTGATCTCTGAGAAGGAACATTGTTCCAGGGAAAACTAGCAGTAGGCCCCAAAAAGGAAGACTCTAAAATTTATTCAACAAATAACTTATAAATGCCTATTCTGTGTTAGATGTTGGAGATATAGAGGAGAATCTGCAGATGGCCAAGGGAGTTTATGCTCCAGTGAGAAAGACAGACACATAACAATACGAAACAGTACCAGAAATGGGACATTACAAATGTGAAAACAGGTTCAACCTTCTTTAGGCTGAAAACTGAAGGATAAAAAAGGAATACACGAGAGAGTAGCATGACACTAAAGCCAGATACTATGATGAAAAGATTGACAAATTTGACAACATAAGAAGTTTCTACTTTTTGATAGTTAAAATCCTAGACAAAGTTAAGCCAAAGACTGAGGGGAAAAGTTTTAAAATACAGAATAAAGACTTCTCTTTTTTGTATTGACAAAGTTGTGGGGAAACAGGTATTCTCATTCACCATAGATACAGGTGTAAGTTGATGTTAACTTTTTTTTCTTTTTTTTTTTTTTGAGGCAGGGTCTCACTTTCTTTCCCAGGCTGGAGTGCAGTGGAAAGATCATAGCTAACAGTAACCTCAAACTCCTAGGCTCAAGCAATTCATCCTCTTCAGCCTGGCACAGGCCACCACGCCCAGCTAATTGTGTTGTTTTTTTGGGGGGTTTTTTGGTTTGTTTTTTATGTTTGTTGTAGAGACAGGGTCTCACTTTGTTGCCCAAAATGGATGTTAACTCTTTAGAGAGCAATTTTCCAAATATATGAGAAACTTTTAATGCAGCAATTCCAGTTCTGAGAAGGTATCCTAAAGAATGAATGGCAAATGTATACAAATTTTATACAAGAATGTTGTTTGTAGTATTGTAAAATATGAACCATTCTAAACATTCATCTATAGGGGATTGAACGAATAAATTACAATGGAATACTAACTAGTATGCAGCCATTATGAAGGATAATGTACACCTATATATATTGACACAAAAAAGATGTCTGAAAAATATTGAGTGAAAAGCAGTTTATGGAATAGTATTCGTAGTATATATTTTATCTATAATTATAAACATGTAAATGGGATACACTATATTTATATTATAAACACATGTATATGCAGGGGGAAGTCTATAATGATTAGACTTTTTAACAGTGGATATGAAATTATGAGATATTTTCTATTTTGTAGATTTCTGTTGTTTACATTTCTGTATTTTTTTCAAGATGTATTACTTTTGCAGCTAAAAGAACAGTGATTTCCATTTTAAGAAAGAGAAAAGAACATTCTGAAGGAGCTTTTAAAAGTTCTGCTTTTCCCCTTGGCAAATATGTACTCCCACACTATTTCAAGTTTCTTGTTTCTTTGCTAAACCAAAATGGCAAGCGGATTAAATGAGAAGTATATGGCAACACAGCCAGTCACCTATTTACTTACATTCACTAGCTGTGTGATTTGTCTATTTATAGTTTGTTTCTTCCTACTAGAATCTAAGCTTCATGAAAGCAGGACTGTGTTTTGGTCCCTGCCATCTCTCGAGGATTTAGAACAGTACCTGGCTCAGAGTTCATGCTCAATAATATTGAGTGATTGTGTACATGAATAAGTGAAAGAAAGAGGGCTTCAGCCTAGGTCTTTTGGTGGGTTCCTTCTTTACCCTTGATTCTCCGTCTCCTTTGTTCTTATTTCCCAGTGATCTTTTTGCTTCCCTCCCCCACCTCCTTTGAGAATTCTCACCTCAATTTGTTTCTTCATATTGCTGTCTCCATCACTGCTGGAACATCGCTGAGCCTCTCTTTTTCTCCTGACACCAAACTTAAAGGAAGCCTGTCTCCTGGGCTACCACTGATACCCACTTGTACTTACACCTGATGGCCCAACCCTTAGAATTCACTCTACAACCCTAATTAGTAGTCTAGCCTTTTCAGTTTCTCTTAGCAGAAGAGATGTTAGTGTGGTTCCTCCCTTTTACCTTTCCTTCCTTCCCATAATGTTATTTCAACTGGTTTCATCAGCTGCTGCTCTGCTTGGGAATTCTACTCCCTTCTCAGTATAGTTGTTTCGAGTAGTAACTGCTTGTTAGTGCTATTCACATTGCCTGAAGTGGATTTTATTGTTATTGCTGCTGTAGTGTTTGTGGTTTATCTGACTGCTGTACTTCTAGTTGGCCACAAGGTCACATTTTCCAAATTCCTGCTACTGTATCACTTTATATCCTAGGTTATCCTCTTAATCCCACCTTCTCCAATCCCATAATAAGAAGGGAAAAGCTTGCACTGTCTTCATAATGGTGGCGGGGGTGGGGGCAATAGAGTCCTGAGATCCATTTTAAGTAAGGGGCACTTGCCTATCTGCCTTCCCACAGTATCCTTGCCTCTTTTGAGAAACAACACCAGTAGTCCTTCTGAGATGTAAGCAACCTCTTTCCAAGTTTTGGTCAGTCACAGGCACTATGGATGATGTATTGTAACCCATCATATTTGTATTTGTTATTGTAGTTGTGCTACGCTGTGGGTAAATTCCTTAATGTGTACTAGACAGGGAATATAACCACCATTATAGCACTATTTCTTTGGGGAAAAAAAAGTGTTTTGGGTCCAAAATAGTTGGTTGACTTTAACTTTCTTACCTTAAGCTATTCCTAAGTTAGGAAGTCCTTATATGAGTGGTGATATATTTTAAGCCACATACTTGGTGATTGATAGGTGGCAGGTACACAAAGAAAAATAGAGAAATATTTTTTCTTACTTAATTTTCAAAAGTAGTAAACCGAGTCATTTTACCACATTGATGTTTTTAAACTAGTATAAATTTCCAAGAATATAAATAAGTTTGTATCTATCTTTTCTCAATTTTCAGCGTTACAAAGGGAAGGGGTATAAGCAATTTAAAAAAAGGACTTCCTTTATTAATGATGGAATATGATATATTCTTGATTAGCTATTTAAGTTTACATTTGGATTTATAATACAACTGCACTATACAAAGTCAGATTATCAGTCAACAGTGATTGCCCTCTCAGATGGTCTACTAAAAAGGAAACCAATTAACAGTGAGTAAACACAGACAGAGCCACATTCATTCATTTCGCAAATATGTGTTAAGCACCGATTATGTGCTAGACATTGTTGTAGGCCCTGAATTGTGGGAGACAGAAAGGCATAAAGGGCAGGCAAAAACCTATTTTCATACAGCCAGCATAATACATACACTTTTACCCTCTGCCCTAGCAATCTAAGTTCTAGTAGAAATCTACTAAAAATTATCTGGTGAAAATACGTAATTTGGCATAATTTATAGGGCTATTTGTAATAGTAGTAGTAAATACGTCATAGTAAAAGAGCAGAAACAACCCAAATATCTATTAGTAAGCCATGATATAGCTACACAATGGAGTCCTATGAGGCTAAAAAGGAGTGATGAAAATATCCTTCTATAGAATGTTCGTGATATATTGTCAAGTAAAAAAAGTAAGATGAAAAACAGTTGATAGTACCTTTTATGTAAGGGTGGAGAAAGAGATGCACATGTATTTGCTTATTTTATAAAGAAAAAATGGGAGGATAAACAGAAAATTAATAAAAATGACAGGTAGAGGGAGGGAACAGAGTAGAAGAGCAAGGATGGAAGCTAGACTTCTTTTATTATATCTGGTATAATTTTGCCTTTGGAACTATATAGATGTTTTACACAATTTCAAAATACATTAATCCCGCCAGGCGCGGTGGCTCACGCCTGTAATCCCAGCACTTTGGGATGCCAAGGCGGACGGGTCACGAGGTCAGGAGATCGAGACCATCCTGGCTAACACAGTGAAACCCCATCTCTACTAAAAATACAAAAAAATTAGCCGGACGTGGTGGCACGTGCCTGTAGTCCCAGCTACTTGGGAGGCTGAGGCAGGAGAATGGCATGAACCCAGGAGGCAGAGCTTGCAGTGAGCTGAGATCGTGCCACTGCACTCCAGCCTGGGTGACAGAGTGAGACTCTGTCTCAAAAAACAAAAACAAAAATTAAAAGAAATTAATTCCCCCCCCAAAATTTTTTTGAATCCCTGAAACAAATAAACGTGTTTATCAAGTAGATAGCAGAATCACACAGGAAAAAATGATTTCACATGACTTTAAGACATTGTACATCAGTGAGTGTATTCATTATTTATCCTTTTTTAAAATTTTAAAAAATGTTTGTCTTACTCTTCTTACTATCATTCCCAATTCAGTGAGTATATTCCAAGGACAAAAAGAAAGGAATACAAAGAAATCCTCAACTATATTTAATAATTTTCTTAGCAGTAATATTGGCATTTTTATTTTACACACATATTTAAAATAAATATATTAATATTCTCAGGAACCAAAGCTTATAGCATAAAAGAAATTAAATAAAAACCTACAATATTAAATTTGAATTGGAAATGTCATTATGAACTAATGACATATTTTTTCTGAAAAAAAAAAAAGCATATTTCCTACTTCGGTCCACTGGAAAGACCTAACAGCAATGACAGTCCAGTAGCAATTAACATCTCATCTCAGACTATGAACTTTTTACCATTTTCTATTCTAAGGAGCCAGGGCTCCTTAGAGAAATAGCTGATGTCAAGTCTCGGGCAGGAAATGTACAAGGAGAGTCTAGGACATCTTTTTACACCAGAGAGCAAAGAAACCAAGAAGATTATGTCAAAAGGATATAGGAGCCAACTGGAAGGGGCTCCCACTGGCCAAAGATGGGTCAAGTTTGAGCATCAAAAATAGAAATACTAACCAAAACAATTGATTGAAACATTCAAATATATAAATATGAGTTCATTATATTAAAACATATTAATTGGTCATGTGTGATCTCTGGACCAGAAGCATCAGAATCACCTAGTAACTTGTTAGATGTGCACATCAGGGGCCCTATCCTCAGTTATTGAATCACAAGGTAGAGCCCATCAATCTGTGTTTTAATAAGTTTCCAGGTGATTCTAAAGCATACCGAAGTTTGAGAACCACTGCTCTGGATATAATTGCCAGTTTACATGAAATACAAGGGTAAAGAAACATGTTAGATGATACCACCAAGGCTGTAATTAGCCAGAATCACGTGGGCAAGGCTACAGAATTAATGACCTTTACTAATAAATCAGTAGGATTGGGGTGGATTGTGTATTTTTAGCTGCTGGCCTTCTCAAACTAAGTGGATATAGGAGCTTGAGGGTCTCACCATTTGGAATGCAGATTTTTACTTAGCCATCTTCCACTATCCCCATTTACAGTGTGGCACTTCAACCTAGCCCTCTTCTTGGTCCCTACATCTAAGCCTGTCTTTATATATATATATATATATATATATATATATATATATCTAGGGTGGATTGCTTTTTTTCTCACCAGTATCCCTGTTTGCAAACATTTAGGATTGTTCCTTTTCTACTCTGCTGAATTATTTGTTGTTCTATTTATTTCCATCTTTTTATGTTGTCATTTGCTATTTTAGATGACACTCTGTTTATCAAAAAAGGGCTTTGAGTTTTTCTAATCTTGGTATCTCTTTTATTTAAGGGGTAGGTTTTCAAAAGGAGTAGGGGAAATTTTGGGACTCTTGAACTGGAAAGTCTGTTTCCCAATTTGATTTGACCATACAACTTTTTGGCATGTCAAGCACCTTTTAATTTCCTGGAAAGCTAGTGTGATCTATGGAAGACTTATTTGGGAAGTGTTTCCTCTCTCTCCAGTACAGTCTGCATCTGCCTCCATAACCTCCTTCAAACTTCTCTCTCAAGGTCACCAAATACCTCTTTAATGCTAAGTCCGTTGAATATGTCTCAATTCTAACCCCACCTGCATTTCATAGAGTTAACTGCCTCCCGTCTTGAATTTCCTTCCCCTTGTGGCTTCTTTACTTAATTTTGTGTTCCCTTCAAACCAGGATCTGAGACAAGGATTTGGATACAAGTAACTTATTTGCAAGGCCACTTCTAAAAGCATTAGAGTTGAACAGTAAGAAAGGGAAAAAAAGAAAGTCACTAAAAGGTGCCTTAATAAGCTGGTTAAATGCTGTGGGCAAACGAGCTCAGTTTTGCCAGCAGCCCTCTGAGAGACTGCGGAACACATCACAGAGTTGTTCCATTGAAGAGCAAGGAAGCTGGGGTATTTATCCACCAATTTCTCACTAAGGCTCACTCCTGGGGAGTGTTAATAACTCCCTGGTATTTTCATCCTGCCCATTATATAAGGTGAATATGGTCCTCAGACCAAGAACTGCAGAAGTTTGAAGTAAGAAACAAGCTTCATCTAAATAAGCTATTTAGAAAGCTACAGAGTAAGCTGAGAGAATATGGATGAGGCATCAATATTTACTACTTTTACCAATGCCGTTTTTATTATCCCCTCACTTTCTAGACCATTCTTTCTCAACATGTTGTTGGTTCCTGTTTTTCCCTTACCTCTTAAATTTTGGTGGTCCACATGAAGTATCTGTTCTTGACCTTTGGCTCTTCTTCTCTACTATTTCTCTGGACAATCTCATCCTTGTCTTGGCTTCAGCCACTACATATACTTCCAGATTTCCAGCACTGGCCTCTCTCTTGAGCTAGACCCATGGAGTCATTTATTCATTCAACAAATTATTTTTCAACACTTACATAATATGCTAAACTTGATGCCTGGAATGTTAACAGTGAACTATACATATTCCTGGCCCTTGGAGTTTATATTCTAGTCAAGCCATATAAACAAATACATAAATAATAAGGATTATGAGATATGATAAGTGCTACAAAGTAAACTGGGTGTTGTTCTTATGTCTGGTTGGAAAGATCACTTTACATAGATTAGCCAGGGAAGTTCTCTTTAAGTTATTGGTCTTCCCTGAAGTATGAGATTTAGCTAGCCATGTGAAGAACTGAAAGAAAAAGACTTTCCAGCAGAGAGCTAAAAGAGGCCAAGTGAAATACAGTGTGTTTAAAGAACAAAGAAGCTAGTGAGGTTGAAGTATAATAACCAAAGCAGAAAATGACATGAAATGAGATTGGAGAGGTCGGCAGCAATTGGGTCATTTGGAGCCTTGTTGTGTTCTTCAGAAGCAGACATTGAGATAAAAGGTATTTATTAGGCATCCTTATGAAAGGAAGAGGAAGAAAATAGGAATGGACAGAGGACAAAGTCGAAATGTGATGTAGGCCCAACAAAGCTTCAGCCAATTTAGTAGGAAGCTCTGGAGCAAGTATTGCCCATCAGAGTCTTTGTACATCTGGTTGAAATAGCTGGGCCTTTATGGCCCTGCCTGCCTGCCTTATTCAGTTACTGGATGTGGGCTGCTCTGGAAAACCATTAGAAAGGTGGCTACAAGCTGTGGCACATGCTAAAATTGTTGACAGCTGCAGACTGTCTGCTCACAGCATTCACTGCAGCTGGGAAGCAAGTCCTTCCTTGAAGAAGGGCTTATCCAAATATCTCCATATTTGCCACAGGCAAGTTTGGATTTTGTTGCAAGGACCCATTTAAAGGGTTGTTAGTGAGAAGTGGCATGAAAGGTCACTCTGATTTCTATGTGGACATTAGATCATAGAGGACCAAGGAGACTTATTAGGAGTCCAAGCAAGAAATGCTATTGGCCATAGAGATAAAGAGAAATGCACAATTCAAGATAAATTTTGAAGGAAGAATTGATAAAATTTAGTGCTAGGTAAATGTAGGAGGTAAAGAAAAATAGGAATCATTTAAGTAAATGTATACAGTTGCGTAAGGGAAGGTGATTTAGCTGCTGCTGGCTAAAGTGCTTCTTCCCACCATGAGGACATCCCAGTAACAGCCTCCTCCCCCCCAGATCGTGCCCACTGGTGTGCATTTGATATGTCACAGAGACTACTTTGAGAGTATAGTAATTAACTTTTAGGACTTCCGGTTAGCTGGAAGGCTCCTCTCTATGTTCATGAAGTAGGGTGTTGCCTTGGAGCTTGCTTTTATCTTAGCATGTGAGGAAAGGGAGACCAGGCCCTATTGAAACAAGGCAAACCTTCTAGGGGTCAGGGAAACACTGTAGTCAGGCAGCAGGATACCTGTATGCAAAGCCATGTGTGTGGCTTGCTGAGAACTGTGCAAAGAGTAATAAGTAGTAGAAGGAAAATATGGTGGAGGCAGAAACTTGTTTCAAGTGTAGTCTAATTGTATGGCCTTAAGTTAGCCCTCTGAGCCTAAGGCATCTTTGGACATATTTAATTTAACATGTTTGTTAGACATCCACCTCCACCCAGATAGTTGGCTATATTATTCTGGAGCTTGGGGAGCAGTCAGGCTTGAAATGAATTTGAGCTTCTTCAGCATATGTAGACAATATTTAAACTTGGGATAAGAAATGATTACTTTGAGAGAGAATACAGATACTCCTTAACTTACCATGAGGTTATATCCCGATAAACCCATTGTTAAATCAAAAATACATTTAATACACCTAACTTACCAAATTCATAGCTTAGCCTAGTCGACCTTAAACCTGCTCAGGACACTTACATTAGCCTGCAGTTGGGCAAAATCATCTAGTAACACAGTACACTGTAGAGTGTGGATTGTCTACCCTTGTGATCAAAGTGATGACTGGGAGCTGCTGCTCAATGCCACCACCTAGCATGATGAGAAGGTATTGTATGGCATATCACTAGCCTGGGAAGAGATCAGAATTCAGAATTTGAAAATACAGTTTCAACTGAAGGCATGTCGCTTTTGCACTGTCATAAGTTGAATCATTGTAAGTCAGGGACCGTCTGTATAGTAAAAAAGAGGGCTAGAATTGAGTCCTTGAAGCATTTCAGTGTTCTGAAGTTTGGCCAAGAAGGAGCTAACAGTTTGATAAAAAGATATTTGGATATTTTACAGACAACTTAAATTTGGTATGTTTAAAGCAGAACTCTTTTTCTGTTTCCTACCATGGTTAATGGCATTATCTGTTGATAGCGACAGGAGGCAGCCAAATGCCTAGGCTAATAGGGGCGGGTCCCTGGTGAAACCCCACCTTCAAGCCAAAAACAGCCTGGAGGCTGAAAGACCAGGCTGCTGGTCCCAGATGAAACCTGCAACCCAGAGTGAGAACTTATGTTCCTGTTTGCCTGCCCTTTCCTGATTAATTTTTTTTGAATAATGCCTTTTAACAATTGAATGTTGCCTTTTCCAATACTCCCTACAGCCTGTCCCTTTCCCATTCTGAGCCCATAAAAGGCTCCTGACTCAGCCATATTAGGGGTACTTTCCCACTTTCGGATAGGGGGACCACCCCTACATCCCCTCTCCACTGAAAGCTGTTTCATCACTCAGGAAAACTCCCTGCCTTGTACACTCTTCGAATGTTAGCACATCCTCATTCTTCTTAGGTGCAGGACAAGAACTCAGGAACCAGTGTGTAAGCCAGACTTGGCCCAAGTGGGCCGAGTAGGTGGGCTGTCTCCTGCAGCAGGTAGCGTGGTCAAGCAAGGCCTGGGCAGGGCATCGCCAGCCAGAGTTCCTCAGCTTGCAAAGTGTCACTGTCATCACTGATTAGAAACAGGGATTGTCCTCATCTCCTTCACCTCTACATATTGGTGACTAAGACCTTTTTCCTATTGAATATCTTAACAATCTTTTTTTGTCTGTCTCAATACCATTGTCTTGGTTCCTGCCCTAATGATTTTCTTACTTGCATTTCTGCAGTGGCCTGCTATCCGATTTCTCTGTTCCAGTCTTGCACCTCTCCAATCTAATTTCTATAGTTGCCAGAGTCATCTTTTTTAAAATATGGGATAAACATATAAGTCTCCTGCTTATGGTTGCCAGATTTAGCAAACAAAAATACAGCATACCCAGTTAAATTTTAATTTCAGATGAACAAGGGATAATTTTACATGTATGTCCCATATAATTTTTAGGACATAAATACTAAATTATTTGATGTTTGTATGAAATTCAAATTTAACTGAGCATCCTGCATTTTATCTGGAAATCTTGCTCTTCCTTCAGAGCCCAAAAATGTTTCACCATCACTTTCAGGGTGAAACCTAAATATCCTAACACTGCATTACAAGATTCAGCATGTTCTAACCCCTGTATACCATATGAACCACTCAGTGTCCTGAATTTGCTTTGCTGCTTTACTCCTTCATACCTCTGATCACATGCTTACTTTTTCCTAGAATGCCCCTCTCTTCTTAGTTCTCTGGTTGATTCTGATTGATTGTTTAATACTGAAGTATCACCTTCTCTAACCCTCCAGTCCACTCTGGATAATAACTGGGACACCAGGGCTGGGTGTGGTGGCTCACGCCTGTAATCCCAGCACTTTGGGAGGCCAAGGCGGGCGGATCACCTGAGATAGGAGTTGGAGACCAGGCTGACCAACATGGAGAAACCCCCTCTCTACTAAAAATACAAAATTAGCCGGACGTGGTGGCACATGCCTGTAATCCCAGCTACTCTGAAGGCTGAGGCAGGAGAATCACTTGAACCTGGGAGGCGGAGGTTAAAGTGAGCCAAGATCACACCATTGCACTCCAGCCTGGGCAAAAACAGCGAAACTCCGTCTCAAAAAAAAAAAAATTAATTAATAATAATAATAATAATTGGGACACTAGCTTTTCTTCTGCATTCTCATAACATTCTTTGTTTTATATGATTGCAGAATTTATCATATTATAATTTAATTTTTTTAAACCTGCCTCTCTTCCTTAGATTGTGAGTTCTTTGAGCACAGGGTAAAAGTTGTGTCTTTTAACTCAATCCTTGGCACTTAGTGGGCTCTCAGTTAATATATGCATGAACCAATCAGTTAGTGAATGGGAAAGTAGGAAAGGACCCATAAGCATTAGCCACATAATTGGCCATTGGAGCTTACCCAGCTCTTCCCTATGGTACCTCCTTTGACCATCCTCTTTGTTCCTCAAAGATGCTTCATAAGAATAGGAACTAGGTTTTAATCTCTGTATCCCTAGGCCCTTAAATTGTAGGTGCTCAGTATATATTAAATGAATGAATGAATGAATGAATGAATGAAAAACACATGAATGAATAAGTATATCTTTCAGGGCCACAGCTCCTGTTGTCCCCTGCAACAAGTCCTAGAGGGTGCTGCCTCTGACCATATTTTTTATTCTCTAGGGCAGGCTCTATATAGCCTAAGTTGTAGCTTCTTTATGTCTTACTTCTTCTCATCCAACTCTTCTTCCCTCTCTCATCCTAGGCCAGAAGAATTCTTTTCCCCCGACAGCAGCTGGCACATAACAGCTCAATGAATGTTAGCAATCATTCACAGATGGAGCCTTTTCTTTCCTCCAGGGCTCTTGCCTTTCTGCCATTTCTTTCTCTCTCTCTGAGGCCAAGCCTGGAAAGCCATGGGGATCTGACATTGCTTTTTCTCCCAGGGATTATGGTCTTTCCTCTTCCCACACAAGGGAGCAAGGTTTTCTTTGTCTCCCACCAGGGTAGTTCAATTAAATAGGACTAGCATTAAGTGACTCTAATTATTTTTTATTAATGTTTAACTGCTAAATTTCTTTTTCAATTAAATAATTGTGTCTTTATGCTTAGAGGCCCTTTTTGCGTATATATGGGAGTTCATTTATTTTAGTAAAGGAAATACCACCTGAAAAACTGTTAATGACTTGAGCTCTGTGATTAGTTCATTTTAGTGACATTTTGAGATTTAATAATTAATCTGGCTCAGGTTCAAAGAAAGAAAACTTAATGCCAGAAATTCCTAGCCAGCAAAGAATATAAACAAACCATACAATTGTCCCCTCAAATAACAGGAATCATTGAGATAGCCTTCTTGCAATTAGAAATGTTTTGAAAAAATGCATGAGGAAGGTTCAAGAAAGCATGTCAAAACAACAAAACTCAGTGTACATTCTCATTATTGTAATTGATCAAAGGATGTTTGCAATAGATTTGAATTTGAATAAATTAAATGTGACATTGATTTGGCAGAGGCGTACTAGTGATTGGCAAGAACATGTAGCAGGAGCAGCTTCTGCTAAAGCATAACTCACTTGCCTCTTGTTTTATTCTAATAGATTTCTTAGCAACCCAGTACTATCATACTAACCTAAGCTCTGTCACTTATTTACTCTTTGGGTTTCTACTCCCATCCAGGCAAGATTAAATTTATTTTTGATTACTGATCTAGCAGGTGTTCTCTTGGGCCTAAATACAGAATACCTTTTGGTGATCTATGCACCTCCCTCTTTTTTCTTCTTTCTTTCGTAGATGAAAAAGGGTGATCTAATAACTTATTTCATCCTGGCAGTTCAACTTGTAGAACTAGAAAATGTAGTTTAATTAAACAACTTGGCAATAAAATTCGAGCTGAGACATCACTATAGCATTTGCTAGGCTTGAATTGTTTCTCAGCATGTTACAAAATTAACACTGTAAAAGAATATTCAACTCTGAACGTTTTGAAACAACAAATTCCCATTATAATTTTATAATTATATTGAGGATTGGGGGCTGTGTGGTATATTCTGGGAGGCTACTTTCTGGGCATGACTATCTAATAGTAAACAAATGTTACTGGTATGGGGTCCCAAAACATACTTCATGCCAAATTTCACTTATAATCTACATAAATCGTTTTGTAGTCTATGAAAAACATTTTAATTGACTCAAAGGCAATGTACTCATACTTTAAAAATTTTAATATTTATTAAAATAAAAATTATTCACTAGTATATATGGTTTAAATTATGGAAAGAAATTAGTGGAGCTGTCAAGGTCAAATTTATGTCTGGTAAGCAGTAAAAAATGTATGCATTTGGGTATATTTAGTAATTGAAATACTTTTACATCTTTATCTTATGTGTACTTTGAAAAGTATGTCTAGCTCCAATAGATATTAAAGATATATGTACATTTAGCTTTTGTCACAAATGTACCGCTAATGTATAATTTTAAATTATAACTTTTTATAAATCCGGTTTCTCATTTTTTATATGTAATATAACTTGAACTTCATAAATAAGCTATGGTTTTGTTCCCACAGAAGACTGAAAAAGAACCCAGTTACATGGGCCTAAGACTGACTCCTGAGCCTTAACTTGCTCTTGAAAATAGTGAACTTTCTAACAATGAAGCACTGTTGAATTTATTTTAAATTATATTTAGATTTTGTCTTGGCATGTGTTTTGAACTTCAGTTTGAACATAGTTATATATGATATACTTGGAATTCACAAGTACTTGAAGCTAAATGGAGACCATTTATAAATACTAAACTTTAGAGGAGCCTGGAGCCAGAACATTAAAGATGAAATGGCATATTTTTGTGTGTGTGTGTGTGTGTGTGTGTGTGTGTGTGTGTGTGTGTGTGTGTTCAACCTGCCTTTTTTCTACCTGGATTCATAACATTTTTAAAGCAAAGTTCTAATTCCCTAATAAAGGGCTGAGCATTAACTCTATTCCATTTCCATGTCTATCAATATAAAAATTATTCAAATACTTTTGAAGTCTATTATTATGGAATTTTATGCTTACCATGAATATTACACCATCAGCATCATATATATGTACATATAAGGTATTACTGAAACACTCCTTCATAGAAGAATTCTCAGTTGACTAGGTTTGAGCCTTTTAAGGAGAAAAATTGGGCTAAGGGATTGAAATCTTGAATGATGGTTTGAAAACAGTTATTCATTTTTATTTATACACACATTACACACAACATAAAAAATACTAGTGACATTTTACATATCTTAAATTAATAAAAATGGGTAATTTATAATTTGCATAATTTGTATTTACCTTTTCTTGTTAAGTATATGTATAATAACAGATAATATTCCTAAAAAATATTTTGTATATATACTTAGATCTGCATCTAAATATTTGATTCCATTTAATAGTATAGACTGAGGAATGTTCACTCCCACACCTCTGGTCTGAGTGTGGCTCCAGAGAAGCAGAATGGTGGATACCTGAGGTTGAAAACTCTTTGGGTAACCTTTGAACCTATTCAGATATCTCTCAGCCCTTCCCTTTCCCCAATACTCATCAAGTAATCTAAACTTATCTTCCAGTCATGATAACTTCATCAGAGAGCACTGGTCATCAGCTCTTAGCCTTCCCTCAGATATTAGAGTGCATTTCCAAAGCCCAGGTTTAAATAGCTTTAGTTTTCTTTCTCTCTCCCAACACATCATTGCAGAGACCTCTAGTATTTTTCTACCATTTGTTTTACCTCCTCTTTATAATTCAAATATCCACGCATGTTATCTAATAACTTCCATAGCAGTAAGTGTATATTAAAGCTGAATTCCTTGCCTTTATGGAAAGTTAATGTATAGTAGGATTTTGCATGAGGGACTGTATGATTGGAGCAGAATAACTACTTATTATATCATGCCTAATATCTGTGAGTGAGCTATAAGTCAGCATGTTAGTAGATTCCATATTTAAGCTTTGTTTTTTAAAAAAACAAACTTTAAATCTCTTTTGTCATTACTACACATAGCAAGTTGCAGCATTGAATGCAACAATAATACAGCTACCAAAAGGGCTCTTAACCAGGGCTCTTAGCAAAGTAACAGCATTGGAAAGGACTTGAGCCACAACCTTTTGGGGGCTTAAGTTCACATCACTGAGTAAATGAATAGTGCACTATAAATAACCATTAACTACATTACAAAAACAATGATGAGCTTGTTAAAGGCATTTAGATCTTTTCGCTTTTTCTCTTTTTTAATCTAATCCTTCACAAACAATGATAATTTATATTAAATTTTGACCAGAAAAATATATAAATTCAAACATTAAATACATGCAAGTTGAGCAGCTCAAATTCGAAATCCAGATTGCTCCAAAATCCAAAACTTTTTGAGCACTATTAAGGCATTCAAAGGATTTGGGGATACTTAACTGGTAAGTAAAAAGCAAATATTCCAAGATCCAAAAAATTCCAAAATCCCAAACACTTCTGTTCCTAAGCATTTCAGATAAGGGATACTTACCCTATAACAACATAAACAACTCAAGCCTAAACTAATTTGCTCCAGCTGAACACCCCTGAAATGAGAGAGATGCTCACAGAACATTGGTCATTCATAACATATACATTTAAGGAAAGTTTTGACACACCGATTTTGATACAGCTCATGCCTTTTTTTAATTTGTCAGTATGGTTTCTTTCTCTTCTTCCCTGAGATTGGTGGAGAATGATATTCTTCAATATTTCACTCCAGGAGACTCTTTAAATGACCCTTTTAGAAGGGGTTGACCTCATGCATGACTCTCAATTGTCAACTCCATGAGGTTCTGCTTCAGGTGGACAAGAAGGCCATTGTTGATACACTGCTCTATATCCCTAGTCAGGGGAGCCAAGACAGTGGTATAAAACATGGAAGCTTTGGTGACTAGAGACTTTTTGTTGATGGGAATAAGGAGGTAATAAGGCAGAGTGTTGCTAATTTGAGGGCTGCACGTGGTAACAACAGCCCTTTTGTCTCAGGCTGTGCGTCTCCTGAACCAGGTTCACAAAGCTTGAGAAGTTTGCTTGGCAGTATAGTCATCACTGGCCTCAAAATCCGTATTGGTATTTTCAATGGACAGTGTAACAATGCTTCTCATGTGCTCAGGGAACTTAGATTTGGTGGACGTAGAGTTTTAGGGTATCCAGCACCTGGCAGAGTGTCCAAACCTCTGGTGTTTTTCCTCTGCAATGAAGTCCTTCATTCTGATCATTTCCAGTGCTATTTATTCTACAAGGTTTCCATCTTGTATCATTTTCCTTCAGTTGAAGTATGTCCTTTAATTTTTCTTATAGTAGATATTTGTGACAAATTCAGCTTTTGTCTGAAAATGTTCTTATAATACCTTCATTTTTAAGATGTTTTCACTGGATATAGGATTCTAAGTTGTTTCTGATGAGAACTCAGTGTTATTTCTTATCTTTGTCTTTTGTATAAGTGTCTTTTTTCCTGTGTCTAGTTTTAAGATTTTATCATTAGTATTTAGCAATTTGATTTGGATGTGCCTTGGTTTTATGATTATCCTGCTTGGGGTTGTTGAGCTTCTTAGATCTGTGAATTTATATTTAGTCATTATTTTCTCTTCTCCTTCCATGACCACATGTATATCAGACTGCATAGTATTGTCCAATAGCTCACTGAGGCTCTGTTCATTTTTTAGCCCTTTTTTAAAACTCTCTCTTGCTTCAGTTTATGTATTTTCCATTGTCTTATATTCAGATTCACTGTTCTTCTACAAAGAAGCACTCAATTTTTTTATTTCATAGGTTGTTTTTCACCTTGAAGTTATATTTGGTTCTTTATAACAGTTCCCATTTCTTTCCTCATGTTGATTTTTTTTCTTTAATTCTTTAGACATTTTTATAGTAATTGTGATAAAGTCCTTGTCTGTTGATTTCATCATTTCTATCATGTGTAGGTCTACTTCTGTTGACTGGTTTTTAGTCATCCTTTCGTCTTCACCTCTTGATTACATGATGAACATTGAAATATTATGTTTAGTATCTCAGTTGTGTTGTCTTCCTTTAAAAAATACTGAGTTTTGTTCTGGAGGGCCATTAATTGACATGTGAACCAGCCCAAACTTTTGGAAGCTTTTTTTTTTGAGACAGGGTCTCACTCTGTTGCCCAGGCTGGAGTGCAGTGGTGTGATCTTGGCTCACTGCAGCTTTGACCTCCTGGGCTCAAGTGATCCTCCCACTTCAGCCTCCCGAGTAGCTGGGACCACAGCTGCATGCCACCAGGCCTGGCTAATTTTTGTATTTTTTTTTCTTTCTTTTTTTTTTTTTTTTTGTAGCAACAGGGTTTCACCATGTTGTCCAGGCTGGTCATGAACTCCTGGACTCAAGAAATCCACCCACCTCAGCCTCCCAACGTGCTAGGATTACAGGCGTGAGCCACCACGTACGGCTAGAATCTTACTTTTAAGTTTTGTTAGAGTAGATCTAGAGCAGTGCAGTCCAATCCAAATTTTTGCAATGATGGAAATGTTTTATAACTGTACTTTCCAATATAGTGGCCATTAGTCATATTTGGCTATGAAATACTTGAAATGTGGCTAGTATAATTCAGTAACTGAATTTTTTATTTAATTTAAATGGTATGTGGCTAGTGCCTACTGTATTGTACAGCATAGGTCTCCAATAAGCTGTACTCTCGTGCCAGTTTAGTCCTACACCTAAGGAGTGACCCTTCCGGGATCTTTACAATGTCTCAGGTGTTCAACGAGCTCTCCCTGGCTGGTTAGAACTTGACTTTTTCCTAGTCCAGTGCAAGCTCCAGCAATTTTCAGCCTATAGTTCCCCAGTATTCTTTAGTGAGAAGTTGTCCTTCCTGCTTTATGGAGTTTCACCGCGCACATGGACAGCTTAATATTCAGCTGAACACTCAAGTGGGTTACTATGCAGATTTCTAAAACTTACTCTGTGTATTCTGGTACTCCGCCTAACATATCCCAGCATATTCCAGCTTTCTCAGGCTCCCTAAACAACCATCTCTATCTCTCCATAAACCACCATCCTCTGGTTGGGTTCCCCCACCCTGTGTAGCAACCAGTAATGTGTCTCCAGCCAGAAAGCTGGGATGATATAGGGTTTATCTAATTTGTTACTCATTGATGCCCTTCAGGGATCACACTACTGTGCTGCCTATTGTCCAGTATCTGAAAAATGTATTTTTGTCCAGTTTTCTAGTGGTGCCATGGCAGGAGGACTAGCCTGGTACCAGTTATTCCATCTTTTGTCTGAAACTAGTAGATTACCTCTTACTAACATCTCTACCCATTTCAGAGAGAGATGTGTACAAGTTTGCTATGTTTATTTTTTAATAGAATGAAATCACTATTTTAAGATATATTTGTACCTTCTGTTGTACTATCACTGCCCAGTAGCCAGTTCTTTCCCAACCTTTACAACAGCCCATTGAAGAAGACAACATTATCTCCATTTCACACAACATGAAAGTGAGACACAGGGAAGTTAAATAATATTCATAGAGTCACACAGCTGGTAAATGGTAAAACTGGGATTTGTATTCAGTGGTCTGGCTTCAGAGCCCAAATTCTATGCCACTATTGAGAAACATTCAGTGAATAACAATGTGAAGAGTATACATATGAGTAATTTGAGGTATAAATATTTATACTTACATAGTCACATATAAACAAGATTCAATTTTTAAATCAATAATGTTTGGCTTACATTAGAATATGGAAAAATCTGTAATCTGCATAAACTTTTCAATCTTTAAGGGAACTCTAGAGGTTACTTAAGGGGAACAAAAGGAAGATACTTCCATTTGGTATTGTTGGTTTATTCATTTATTTTTTGAGACAGAGTCTTGCTCTGTCACCCAGGCTGGAGTGCAGTGGCGTGATCTCAGCTCACTGCAACCTCCACCTCCCAGGTTCAAGCGATTCTCATGCCTCAGCCTCCAGAGTAGCTGGGATTACAGGAGTACACCACCACACCTGGCTAATTTGTGTATTTTTAGTAGAGACAGGGTTTTGCCATGTTGGCCAGGCTGGTATCAAACTCCTGACCTCAAGTGATCTGCCCGCTTTGACCTCCCAGAGCGCTGGGATTACAGTCGTGAGCCACCACACTGGCCCATTTGGCATTGTTTTATAAAAGCTTACTCACCTTGTAATACATAACTATCTTAGGAAACATAATACTGTTATGAGTATAAGCCCCATTTTCAGATAAACTGAGACTAAAAAAGTTAAGTAGCTTTCTTGGTGTCACACGGCTAGCAAATGGTAGATTTGGGATTGGAACCCTGTCTGAGTCAAAGAATTACCCATGTGGATTGTCACCACAGTGTTATTTTTTTTAATGAAGAAGTGAAATATTGGAAGCAACAGTAGAGGTAGTTGTTAAGTAAATCATGGTACAATACTAGTGATAAAATAACATTCAGCCATCTTTTTTTTAAATGTTAAAGAAAAATATTTATTGGCAACAAGATAAATAAGTAAAATGATGAATATTTGTTTTTAAAATACAAACATTTATGTGAAGAAAGATGCCCGTTCCTGCTTTATCCTTACACAAACACTGAAACATACTGTTATTTGATAAACGTATGGAGATATAGGGTGATATTGTTCCAAGGAATTGGAAGGAAAAATACTTGCTTTTTGGTAGTTTGTATTTGCAAATAGACTTTCTTAAAAGTCCTTAAGGTCTACAATTCCTATCCTGTTTTCTCCACCTAACTACTTTCTTATCAATTCCAAATATTTTCATTGTTGTTGTTTGGGGGTTTTTTTGTTTTGTTTTATTTGAGATGGAGTCTTGCTCTGTCACCTAGGTTGGAGTGCCGTGGTACAATCTCAGCTCACTGCAACCTCCACCTCCCAGGTTCAAGTGATTCTCCTGCCTCTCAGCCTCCCGAGTAGCTGGGACTACAGGCATGTGCCACAATGCACAGCTAATTTTTGTATTTTTAGTAGAGACAGGGTTTTCCCATGTTGGCCAGGCTGGTGTTGAACTCTTGGCCTCAAGTGATCTGCCCGCCTCGGCCTCCCAAAGTGCTAGGATTACAGGCATGAGCCACAGAACCTGGCCCTTCAATTCCAAATATTTACAAGACCGTATTTCCTTTCATAAATGATTTATGTTCTGTTTAATTTTGCCTGGTACCAGTTATGTTTTTGGTACCAGTTTTGTTTTTTCAGAAAAACAAAAGGAAATTCTTTTTTAGGAAAAACTATAGTCTCCATATTTTTTAACTCTGAAATCTTTAACCATCTTCATATATAAAAATAATTAATATATTCAGATTGGCTTTTCTTTTGCCTCAATAGCTATTATAAGAAAGTCTTAGAAGAGTAATGTTGAATAAAGAGAAATTATGTGAAGGCAGGAGAAACAAGAACAGATCTTTGCCCTCCATTTTCTTTTCATCAAAAAGCATATGCATGTACCAACTGTAAGACTGCAACTATAGAGGTGACATAAATAAAGTAGGCAGGGGCACAGCTTCAGGTGACATGACTGATCTATTATACAAAATCCAAGCAAGCTCCATACCAATTTCTGAGTATCCTCTTGCTGCTTGAGGTCGGTTACTAGTGGAAGTTTAACCTGGTCCTGAACTTTTCATTCCGCTCCAAAGAACGAACTTCCATTAAGACACAGGGACTTGAATTTTTGTCTACTTCCACTATTTCCAGTATGATATTGAGGAATTTCCTTTGTGATACATCATCACCTTATATAAGAATTCTAGAGGGTATAGGAAGAAGAAAACCTGATTTCTCTACTCTCACCCTCACTTGGAGCAACCATACAGAACTCGCTTACTGTGGTGATTAAACTACTCATGGGGAATTGCTATGTGTTGTGAAAATTACAAGAATATTTATAAATATTGTTCTTTCCTGCACATATTTGCTTTGAGGGAGAAGTTTCATTAGATGGGCCCTTCTTCACATCTAAAACTAAGTCTTAACACTAAAACCACAAAAACTTTTCCCCCTTTAAGTACAAACTATTATTTTAAATGTTACTTTAATATCAGAGCTTACCTTTTTAAAGGACTATACAATCAATATTACTTGAAATTCACTTGAGAAACAGAAAGGTGATATCATACATTTAGATATCCAGATGTTGCCCTTTAAGTGACATTTTTTGAAAGTTTTGAAATTTTAAAAATACTTGACAGAACTTTTTTTTTTTTGGTCAGTGTTGTCAGATATTAGTTACATTAACATTCTAATTTCACATTACAAATAACATATTCTTAAAAATTAGATAATACAGGTAAGCAAAAAGAACATTAAAAAATTTCACACATTTAGAAATGCATTGTAAAATCAGAAGGAATGGACCAGGCGTGGTGGCTCATGCCTGTAATCCCAGCACTTTGGGAGGCTGAGGCGGGCAGATCACCTGAGGTCAGGAGTTCGAGACCAGCCTGACCAACATGGAGAAACCCCGTTTCTACTAAAAATACAAAATTAGCTGGGTGTGGTGGCACATGCCTGTAATCCCAGCTACTCGGGAGGCTGAGGCAGGAGAATCACTTGAACCTGGAAGGTGGAGATTGCGGTGAGCCGAGGTTGCGGTAAGCCGAGATCACACCATTGTACTCCAGCCTGGGCAACAAGAGCAAAACTCCGTCTCAAAAAAACAAAAAAAAACCAAAACAAACAACAACAACAACAAAACACAGAAGGAATGAATAAAGACCAAAGATGTAATTACTGTATTGCATTTATTTTTAAGATACGTATCTTTTCAAATATTAATATCTCTGAAACTATGTGTGGAATTTGCCTTTCTTAATGCTATAGTGATGCTTCTTAAATGTGATGGTCTTTTATTCAAGGAAATACAGTAACAAAGGATTGATTGTAATTTTGGGTATAGATCCTCCTAGATAGAATTCTGAGGAACAGAACTGCATTGTACAATCTGTTTGCACAGATTTGAGAAAGTATTTCCAATAGCAAAGAACCTCTCTGCAACAGTGTCTAGGGCATGCCAAACCCTGATTCCATTCCTATCCTCCTCCTTTCCTGCCATACCACTCCAGAAGAGAAAGGGAAATATTAATAGATGAGGCTTGGTTCTGGTACTACAGAGGGTGACGTTAGCATTCACACATCTGAATGGCAAAGAAAAAAAAAAAAGGGTAGTCAGAGCACTTCTTTCTCACCAGTGGAAAAGTACAGTCACTGAGTTTTAGGGCAGAAATCAGTGTTAAGCTTAGGAAATCTTTCATAGAGTGTCTCAGGCTTCTGTGTAATATTTCACATTTGTTTGTTTCATTTTTTGAGTAGTAAATATTTCTACTGTGGGGTGCTTCATGTCTATTATAGCATAAAATCAGGACAGAACTGTTTATGTAACATTAGTATGTAATCATACAGCTTTTTCAAACTTATATACATATCTGTATATTATTTAAATGCAAAGTATGTATGTATATATTTATATGTATATAATGTATTTTATTTTTATTGGCTATTTTTATAAAAACTTTTTTTAACTAGAAATTTAATAATTTCTTCCATTTATATATACATGCAGGAAATACTAAAGAATGAAAAACACAGAGAAGAAATCAAAATAAAAAGCCAAGATTTTTATGAAAAAGAAAAACTCCTTAGTAAAGAGACCAGTGAGGAACTCCTGCCTCCACCAGTTCAAACTCAAATTAAAGGCCATGCCTCTGCTCCATACTTTGGAAAGGAAGAACCCTCAGTGGCTCCCAGCAGCACTGGTAAAACCTTTCAGCCAGGATCCTGGATGCCACGAGATGGCAAGAGCCACAATCAATGAATGCATTATGGTCAAATCTTTTCATGTATATGGATGTGACTATTTTAACAAATAAAAGAAGTGAAAAGTTATTTACCTTGTATTTTCTGAATGTACAATAGTTTCCTATTCTATTAATCTTGAGTTCATTTTTAGTATGCACAAGAAATGTGAGATTATGTACTGTAGAAACCTAACTTCTTTTAGACTTAAATCCTTCATTTGACTTAGTCATTGTTATTTATGAATTTGCTTAGATTTGTTTTTCCCTCTTTGGATTACTCCCTTGAGAAGGATCCTGTAGCTGTGAATGCTTAGTACATTTTGGATCTTTATGATCATTTGGGAACCACTCATAGATAGAACTGGGTACAAATAATGAGGGTAAATATTTTTCCCTCTTTGGATTACTCCCTTGAGAAGGATCCTGTAGCTGTGAATGCTTAGTACATTTTGGATCTCTATGATCATTTGGGAACCACTCATAGATAGAACTGGGTACAAATAATGAGGGTAAAATAGTGAGCTCTCCCAACTGATCAAATATAGGAGAAAAAAGAATGAAGATTCTTATTTCTGGAGAGGTGACCTGTAAGATTCTAAAAGACTAATCAAAAATGTGAACTTGGATAAAACATGTAGAGGCAAAGAAAACTTAGTTGATAAGTGAAAAAAACCACTAAGACCTTGATGAGAGGATGGGACAAAAGCTAGCTTATGGTGGGACTCTGGTTGGAATTTGAAGAGAGGAATTAGGACCAATAGAAGTATACAATCCATAACAAAGTCTGAAAGGACAGTAGAGAAAGAAATAATGCAATAACTGGAGTTCCATGAGAACGAAAATTACTTTGAAAAAATAGAAAATTGGGGAAAGCTCTCAAAAAGCAGAAATTAATTTCACTAGAAGACAGAAGACAATGTACATGTTAAAACATTACATACAAAAGTACATTAAAGGGCCACACATTTTCTGGAGTGTACAACCAAGTTTTTGTTGTTATTCTAAAAGTTTTTCTCACAATGTTTGGCATACAATAGATGCTCAATATTTGCTGAACGAATGACCCAAATGTGTGTGTGTGTGTGTGTGTGTGTGTGTGTGTGTGTGTGATTACAAATGCTTTTCTTTTGTATTTTTTTATTATTATACTTTAAGTTCTAGGGTACATGTGCACAACATGCAGGTTTGTTACATAGGTATACATGTGCCATGTTGGTTTGCTGCACCCATCAACTCATCATTTACATTAGGTATTTCTCCTAATGCTATCCCTCCTCTAGACCCCCACCCCGCAACAGGCCCCAGTGTGTGATGTTGCCCTCCCTGTGTCCATGTGTTCTCATTGTTCAGCTCCCACTAATCAGAGAGAACACGTGTTGTTTGGTTTTCTGTCTTTGTGATATTTTGCTGAGACTGATGGTTTCCAGCTTCATCCACGTCCCTGCAAAGGACATGAACTCATCCTGTTTTATGGCTGCATAGTATTCCATGGTGTATATGTGCCACATTTTCTTGATCCAGTCTATCATTGATGGACATTTGGGTTGGTTCCAAGTCTTTGTTATTGTGAATAGTGCTGCAATAAACATACGTGTCCATGTGTCTTTATAGTAGCATGATTTATAATCCTTGGGTATATACCCAGTAATGGGATTGCTGAGTCAAATGGTATTTCTAGTTCTAGATCCTTGAGGAATCGTCATACTGTCTTCCACAATGGTTGAACTAATTTACACTCCCACCAACGGTGTAAAACTGTTCTATTTCTCCACATCCTCTCCAGTATCTGTTGTTTCCTGACTTTTTAATGATCACCGTTCTAACTGGCATGAGATGGTATCTCATTGTGGTTTTGATTTGCATTTCTCTGATGACCAGTGATGATGAGCATTTTTTCATGTGTCTGTTGGCTGCATAAATGTCTTCTTTTGAGAAGTGTCTGTTCATATCCTTTGCCCACTTTTTGATGGGGTTGTTTTTTTTCTTGTAAATTTGTTTAAGTTCTTTGTAGACTCTGGATATTAGCCCTTTGTCAGATGGGTAGATTGCAAAATTTTTCTCCCATTCTGTAGATTGCCTGTTCACTCTGATGATAGTTTCTTTTGCTGTGCAGAAGCTCTTTAGTTTAATTAGATCCCATTTGTCAATTTTGGCTTTTGTTGCCATTGCTTTTGGTGTTTTAGTCATGAAGTCATTACCCATGCCTATGTCCTGAATAGTACTGCCTAGGTTTTCTTCTAGGGTTTTTATGGTTTTAGGTCTAACATTTAAGTCTTTAATTTATCTTGAGTTAATTTTTGTATAACGTGTAAGGAAGGGATCCAGTTTCAGCTTTCTACATATGGCTAGCCAGTTTTCCCAGCACTATTTGTTAAATAGGGAATCCTTTCCCCATGTCTTGTTTTTGTCAGGTTTGTCAAAGATCAGATGGTTGTAGATGTGTGGTGTTATTTCTGAGGCTCTGTTCTGTTCCATTGGTCTATATATCTGTTTTGTTACCAGTACCATGCGTTTTGGTTACTGTAGCCTTATAGTTTAAAGTCAGGTGGCGTGATACCTCCTGCTTTATTCTTTTGGCTTAGGATTGTTTTGGCAATGTGGGCAAAAAAAAGATTTTTGGTTCCATATGAAATTTAAAGTAGTTTTTTCCAATTCTGTGAAGAAACTCAGTGGTAGCTTGATGGGGATAGCATTGAATCTATAAATTACCTTGGGCAGTATGACCGTTTTCACGATACTGATTCTTCCTAACCATGAGCATGGAATGTTCTTCCATTTGTTTGTGTCCTCTTTTATTTCGTTGAGCAGTGGTTTGTAGTTCTCCTTGAAGAGGTCCTTCACATCCCTTGTAAGTTGGATTCCTAGGTATTTTATTCTCTTTGTAGTAATTGTGAATGGGAGTTCACTCATGATTTGGCTCTCTGTTTGTCTTTCTTGGTGTGTAGGAATGCTTGTAATTTTTGCACATTGATTTTGTATCCTGAGACTTTGCTGAAGTTGCTTATCAGATTAAGATTTTTGAATGACCCAAATTTTTATGCTCTGAATATCTTGGTTAAGCATTAACAATGAATGCCTAAAAACACATAAATTAAAATTTTTACTTAATAGCAGGTAAAAATTTTAACTGCCTAAGAAATACACTACAGAAACATAAAACTGCATAAAACATTTATACTAAAACAAGTAATCAAATGACAAAATCACCACACTTAATGACAAAAAGCCCAACATTCCAGCAGCCCTGTTATATAATATCAGGTTAAATATTTTATCTTATTACATCATTACAAAGTGATACTACATTTTACCACAGAGGCAAAAAAGGAACTAGTCACTAGGTAATATGAAAGGAGATCTATACAGCCAGCAGGGTTGCTCAGACCTGTAATTCCAGTGCTTTGGGAGGCAAAGATGGGAGGATTGCTTGAGGCCTGGCATTTGAGACCAGCCTGGGCAACATAGCGAGACCCCATCTCTATAAAAAAAATTTTTTTTTTTTTGAGATGGAGTGCAGTGGTGCCATCTCGGCTCACTGCAACCTTCACCTCCAGGGTTCAAGTGATTCTCCTGCCTCAGCCTCCTGACTAGCTGGGATTACAGATGGGTGCAACCACACCCAGCTAATTTTTGTACTTTTAATAGAGACGGAGTTTCATGACCCCATTCGAGACCATGTTGGCCAGGCTGGTCTCGAACTCCTGACCTCAGGTAATCCAGCCGCTTCAGCCTCCCAAAGTGCTTGGATTACAGGCATGAGCCACCACGCCCTGCGGCAAAATTTTTTTTTAATTAGCTGGGCATGATGGTGTGTACCTGCAGTCCCAGCTACTTGGGAGGTTGAGGTGGGAGGATCACTTGAGCCCAGGATTTCAAGGCTGCAGTGAACTATCATCAGGCCACTGTACTCCAGCCTGGTGACAGAGCATGACTCTGTCTCTTAAAAAAAAAAAAAGGAGATACAATTTGTGATATAGTTGGGACTGTGAATTGAGATTAAGATGTTCTTAACTCCTAGACTGGATTGTAGAGAAAACTGTAAATGTTTTAACACACTAGTGTTTCTACTGCCAAATTCCTGTTATCTCATTAATTGCATTCCATATACACCTTTTGCAAATGTTTACCATATAGTCTGTGTTTCCCAAACTTTGGGTATTTGACCATGTGATCCCTTTTAATATGTTTGAGAAATGCAGAATTTGTCCTTAAATATTTATTCCAGATATGAAGTAAATCAGCATGATTCTATAACCAGTAGCAAATATAAAAGCAATCATTCCTAAATAGGATCAAATTGCCTCCAACTTAGAACCATATAAAATATAAGGTCTATTTCAACATTAGGTTTCCAGCCCACAGCTTCCTGTGCTTTTTTTTGAGACAGAGCCTTGCTCTGTCGCCAGGCTGGAGTGCAGTAGCATGATCTTGGCTCACTGCAACCTCTACCTCCTGGGTTCAAGCAATTCTCCTGCCTCAGCCTCCCCAGTAACTGGGATTACAGGTGCACGCCACCATACCCAGCTAATTTTTGTATTTTTAGTAGAGACGGGGTTTCATCATGTTGGCCAGGCTGGTCTTGAACTCCTGACCTTGTGATCTGCCTGCCTTGGCCTCCCAAAGTGATGGGATTACAGACATGAGCCACCGCACCCGGCCTCCTGTGCTTATTTCTAGTTTGCTTATTATAAACAAGTAAAATTTAAAATGTCCTTATATATCTGATAACTAGTAATATGCTGAAAGTTATCATGGATACTATGGCTCAAGTTCTGACATACAAACTTTTATTTATTTGCTGATTTTTGATAAAATGTTTGTTAGAGGCAGCCAGGGGACAGCTTTCTTTCTCCCCCAAGACCAGCTTTAGAATGGTAATTGATTGTACTTAGTTCTCAGAACTTCAGAAACAATGTAATAAGTAAACAATTTCTTAAAAGTATTCTAGATAATAGCAAATGGGATTCTTTAACAACAGTACTCTGTTGCAGTGAGAGGTGATTTTTCTGAAGAATCCCAAACCTCACAATATTCTCTATACTCCAGCCCCTTACACACACACACACACACACACACACACACACACTGTAAAGTATGAATCTCACATATATAGAAAGGCTCTCTAAATGATGGAAAAAAGTGGAAAAAAAAAGCATATGTCAAACAAATACAAAACTGGCATGTGTTAAGACTAATAAATTATAGAAAAACAGACCTTTAAATACCTTTAAGTTGTTACAACAGAACTGATGAAACCATAACTTTAGTAGGTAACTGAGAATTATGACTATATCCTTTGCTTCAATACTTTTACTCTAAAATGTGACCCTAAGTAAAACATGTACATAAATTCTTTCCATGAACAGCTTGATTGCAGAAAACCAAACATATTATAGATATATCTTAACACTGAATAATTTCAGTGCCTTGAGTTATAATGTGTTGCTCACACTGGCACCAAGTAGAGACTGATAATCTAAAAGAATAGCATTAAGTGTTATTCAAACTGGTCCATAAACATTCTCAGTGGTCCTTAGGTTCTGAGAGATACAGTCCTGAAATTTTACAAGTATGCTTAGCTGTAACTGAAATTCTAACTTGCATAACATAATGTAACTTAAAATGTTAGTTCCTCCAAAAAAAAAAAAAAAATCCAGGACCTCTTTATAAAAAATTATCAAATTTATTTTAATGTCTAGTTTCATTTTTAAACTGTAGCTGCTAGACAATTTTTTGTAATTTAAAATTCATTAATGGGTACAGAAAACATTAATAAGCTGACAGTGAATTAAATACTAACAGTGAATAAAATTATTGGACCATGCATTTATAAAAGCCATGTTTAATAGTAAAACGTTCCAGTTCTACTAAACTGAAAGAAACATCCTTTAGCTCCCTACTTCCAATTACAGCACATTCTCATTTTGATATAATTTATCCTTTTCACCCAATCACTACTATGCCCAACAAAATGTTTCCAAATTTTATACCTTTCTTTACCACTTATGAAGTATGGCGTAACTGTTACACTTTAAGAGTTCTTTAAAAGAAATGTGAAATTTAACGTTTTACTTTGAACCTGTTTGATCAGAAAGTATTAAATATCACTACCACATGAGTTAAAACAAAGAATGAAATAAAAAACAAATGGTGTCTTTGTAATCGGCGAATTACTTGATAAGACATTTTAACTATTTTACAGTTCTGCTTAGCACAAGAATAAACTGGGTTCCAAGGTACTACAGTGTTTGGCATTTTTACTGCAAGCTTTAAACCATAGTGTTACTCCTCTCAAGCCATCTCTAAGAAAATGGCAGTGTTTGTGAGTACAAAAATTGTTCTGTCCAGTAGGTGGTATTCTACATAGTCGAGATAAGAGAATTCTTTATAAAATTATGTTTTAAAAAATGGAAAATGACTTATAATTACCAGCTGTCTCAAAGGCTGTAATAAGAAAAATGCAGCAAATAGAAGTACTCATTAATATTATTTTGTTTTGAGAAAGCCAGAAATGATTCTAAGAAATAAACAATAATAATAAAAGATGTAATTAATATACTGTATCCCTTTTAAGCCAAAGCACACTTTTTACCTCAAGACTGTTCTGACTTTTACATTCTTAATTTCCTTTGTCCAAAATAGGACCCCATTTTAAATAGAGTTCATTTGAATTGAGTTCATAATCTAAAGTCACTTTTCCCCACAAGATGTTTTCATTTCAGTATATAAACTGCTAAGCGGCAAATGACTAAGTCAGTTATAAAGAATTTGTACCACAGTAAATGCTAATTTACAATAACTGTCAATAGAAACCTATAAACTTCTACACCCACGCCTAAAAGTTACTATAGTATTGAGGTCAGAACTAACATGATTCTTCCATTTGGTCAAATTTCATTTACTAAATCATACTGTCAAGAAATCCAAAGAAGAAACTTTAGTGGATTCTTCCAAAGCTGTGTAATTTTCCAAATGATTTTCCTCTGGTTGCAAAGCCTGTTCAGTCCTTCAATCCTTTTTTAGTCGTTTAGCTTTTGCAATGTTTTCTTGGCGTTTTTGCTTCTTCTTTTGCTCCTTCTCCCTGGCCTCAATCATCTTGGCCAATTTCCAAGACAGTACAGCACTTGCTAGGAACAGTGGAGTAAGGGCCAAAATAACGGTTGTAAGGAAGCCATAGGGGTCCTTTGCAGCCCATTCCACAACATACTCAGCCCAAGCCTTTATATCAAACATCTTCACAGCAGTCTTATGAAAACTGGGGCTGGGGGAGGCGGGTGGAGAACACAGAGGAAAAAAACAGGAGAAAAGACTATGTGGTTAATCAAATTTTGAAAAAGTTTCCTCACACAACCAGTTAACTCAGGATTCCATTATCACTCAGTTTGCTTTTTTAAAAAGTACAACTTAGTACTATTGTAATAAGGACTAGTATCTCTGGTTAGGAAAAAGTAATTCATCTAGTACAGCCAGAATAGTGACACTTCAAAGAGGTAAAGTTATAGAAGATTTAAAAAAGCCATGTGACTCTGTCATAAGGACTATGCATTCTCACATGCCTCCTATATTCAAGACAAACTTTATTTAGGAGGAGGCTTTTATAAAAATCTTGAGTTTTCTGTGGTCATTCCAGGAAACAGCTGAATACAGTTTGTCATTTTTTGACATATCCTTAGTATTACTAATTAACAAAAATACAAATCAGCAAATTTGGTGTTTGAAAAGGACAAGCAACAGAGCATGTGAAATGCTCGCAGAGAAGGAGAGATGACTATTTCCCCGAATGGGAAGGAGAGGGTAAGGGAGTCATGACATCGCATTAATATGCCAAAGAAGCAAAAAGTACTGTGCTATTTTATGCCCTTTCAGCTTTGAGGACCTCTGTTGGAATAAGCCTAATTTAATAAATGAGAAAGTAGCCTTAACAGATGCCATGTGTTTTGTTCCTTTTTGAGTGTAAGGAAAAGGCAACTGGCAAATGAGGATTATGTGACTTGAGTGACGTTTTCTATTTTGCCCCAGAGGCTTTTCTCCCTTTCATGTTTGTGTCAACCGCTATTCAAAGTGGAGAATTAGAATACCTGGGTAGGGAATGAGTGTATATACATCCACTTACAATTTCAACTGGAATTTTTTTAAAAAAATCATCTACCTTATGCTTGAGTAGTGATCCCTTAACTTTGTCCTGGTGTTATTAGTGACCCAATCACGACTTCAGATGACCCTTGGTAGTCTGTCTTCTTGAGTTCTACTGTACACATCTGAGAGACGGTTTAAATTCTGTACAATTGGCTAGTTGGAAAGAATACAAAAAATAAAACAAAATTTAAGTCACAATTTCAGGATAATTGTAATAAAATTTTAAATGGAAAATTTCTATATTGTATATATGCAACCTATATGACATCTAAAATTGCCTATCCGGTATAGTAACTTAATACGTTTCTTCCTCATTTGAATTTACAATTGCAAATGCCCTGTAAGAAAATCCTAATTACTGGAAATCAAGTATTTTACTAAGTTACTTATTTCAATAATAAAATTTTTTTAGTTCATTGACATACGGGAGACAAGTTGGCTCACTGACTGACTTACACAGCGTATCCGTTCCTAGATTTTCAATTTTTATACTAAAAATGTTGCCACTCATTTATTTACTGGATTAGGTACACCACTACAAAATCAAACAGCTCATCTTACTCTTTATAAAGGTTTTTTTGGGTCCATCATACAATTTGTGTCCTTTACTTAAAAAATTAGAAGACATAACCAAACAAATTATAGTAATTCACCCACAGTCCCATTACCCCAAGAAAACTGTGACTAGTTTTAATTATATCTTCCCCACGATTTTCAACTGAACACACATGAAAGTGCCTAATACGTTAAATATCTTAGCTCCTGGACTTCATACGACCTCACCCATACAGTTAGAATTAGGTACTACTGAGATCGATCTGCCTTCACCTTCTCCAGCCCAGTAGCGAATAAACAATGTAAGTTTCAGAAATAAGCAAAAGAACTTTGCAGTAAAAGAGCCATGGTCCACAGGCCACACATCTCCCTGCAACTCAACTTCGGACCCAAACGCTCGCGCCTCCACACTTTCAGGAATAAATCCTACTCTTCCGCCCAAAACGGATCGACCAGGCTCGATCTCCCAACCAGACCCGCGTGGCCCCTGCGGCTGCAACGGGTAGCACTTGACGGCCGTCCGCACTTCCTCCTTTGTCTTTCCCTTATTCCTTACGTTTCTCCCTTGCTCACTCTTCCCTCCTTACCCTATCGGGGCTGCAGACCCACGGAGGCCACGTTCACTCCTGCCCGTCGGCCTTGGCAAGCGCGGGCCCCTTGTCGCGCAGAGCGGAGGGTCCTGGGAGATCCTGGGTTGGCCCAGCCACACCTTGCGCCGCCGCCGTTTCTGCTGGACACCAGGAGAAAACCACGGCAGCTGCAGCCACCAACTTCCCCTACATAGCCCCACGGGATCGGATCCCACTCCCCACTCACCGCCAGACCGGAAGCAGGAAGGCGGAAGTCGCGGCCTTTGCGTCCCGCCCACAGGCGACCCGAGCCGCCAGCCGGGCGTGAGTAAGTCTAGGGCCCAGTTTCCGGCTGCGCCATTGCTGTGTGGGTCTTGGGACCTCGAGTTGGAGGACGCGGGAGGGTGGGGGCGGGGGCAGGGCAGCGCTGAGATTTCCGGGGAGCGGCAGGTGAGGCCGCGCGGGGCGGGTGACGGCACCCGGGCGGGCTCCTTTCCAGGCTGGAGCCCGAGACTGCCACGTCCTGCGGGGACCAAGTGGTGGGCGAGGAGGCGTGGAGCGGCTTCAGGACTCGAGGAGCGGTTCCGAAGCAGCTAGGGACTTTTGCCTTTGCCCCCCGAGGTCGATCGGAAGACAACCCCCATCCCCTGCTGTAGCGGGACAGTTGGAGGGTCATGGGTGGGTGAAGTGTTTGGCTGAGGGAAACTCAGACCAAAGAGCAGCGGCAAGAAAGCAGTTGGGTCCCCACAAAACGCCCGAAGTCAAGGTGAGGGTCACACAACGACTCTTGACGATTCCGGCGAGTTCATCCTGGTGCACATCCCACTCCATGCCTCTCTCTTCTGGTTGGACAATAGTTACATCCTTACGAAAAGGAGGCAAGCTACTGGGCCTTGGTGGATCCACTCAACCTTGTTACCAAGGGACATGCCGCCATGCTATGTGAAAAGGGGGGTTTTGTTGTTTGTTTTTAATTTAAGTATCTAATTCGTTTCACGAAAGAATGATCAATACCGGCCCAGAGTAAACTTGATAAGTAATTAAACTGTCAGGGCATAGAGTTCCCATAGAGGTGCTTGTTCTTTCAATACACAAATAAAGGGATGCAAAAGTCAACATGCAGAAAGGGTGAGTTAATATTGTCTTCTAATCTACAGGAACTGAAAGATTAGCTAATCTGGTTTGGTTGGTGACCAAATTTTGTGATTGCTTGCACTGTTTGACTACCTCTGACAAATGTTGCAAGACCTCTTCACTGATTCTCCAAAGACTATAGAATGTTCTCTTTCAGGAGCAAGCTGCGACATGTTTAACTAGTTTAGGTAAAACAACAATAACTGTTATTTACCAGGGAACAGGCTTTTGGCAGATAATCTAACGATCTACGATACTGTTCGTTGGGCATATGTTAATGTTTGTAATGTTGTATTACCAGCAGTTGTTTTCTTACTCCTTTTTATTTGAAAACCTGGATGATAGTTTCAAAGCCTATGCTGCTTAGGCCTAGCCTGTACCTTAGTAGCCAGAAAAAGTAGACTCAGTCACTGGATTGTGTGCACTGAATACTTACTTGAGATAACTGATTTTTCTAAAACTTCCCCAAGTCTTGAATCCAAGATGTGGGCAGAATGTATTATTTTAACATCCTTCGTTCCAGAGGCCAATGCGTGTTTTATTTTAATCATGATAGGTGGTTTTCCCAGTTACTGCCTCCGGATACTTGCAGTGCTGCATCCCTAGTTAAAAGCCCAGAAGTCTTGGGCAGGAAGGAAGGGCATATAAAGAGAAAGCCTTTGTAGTTCTTTAGCTGTAATCTAGACCAGGGGTCCCCAACGACGGACTGGTACCTGGTTTGCAGCCTGTTAGGAACGGGGCCGCACAGCAGGAGGTGAGCGATGGGTGAGTGAGCATTTCCGTCTAAGTTCCGCCTCCTGTCAGATCAGCAGCATCATTAGATTCTCATGGTGCGAACCGTAATGTGAACTGCATGTGCGAGGGATCTAGGTTGTGCGCTCCTTATGATAATCTAATGCCTGATGATCTGAGGTGGAACAGCTTCATCCTGAAAGCATCCCCCATCCCCGTCCATGGAAAAATTGTTTTCCACGAAACCAGTCCTGGATGCCATTAAGGTTGGAGACTGCTGATCTAGACCATGCCTTTACAATCTAAGTTTGCTCATCTAGCTTCAAGTTACAGGACAGTCTGCAAGACCAGGAACAGCATAGGGGTTGCCACAGTGGAGCTCCTTACTGCAGTCTGCATTGCCTTAACTAAAGGTGGTGTCAGGATTGATTCAAATACTGTGAACTACTTTCCATAAAGAGAAGTCTGAGCTCGTGAACTGAGATTCACAGTTGTGGTACAGTAATGTTATGTATACTCTGATAAATCACTCTGAGTGTGTTTCCACTTAGATATGTGGAAAGCATACTAGGCAATCTCCAATGCCCTTTCAGCTTTAAAATCTGTAAATTGGACTGGATTTGGTCATTTTTCTTAAATAAATAGCATAGTAAGGTATTTGATAGAAACATTATTGCAAGTTTTCTTAAGGTCTTTTTTTTTTTTTTTTTTTTTAATTTTGAGACGGAGTCTCTGTCACCAGGGCTGGAGTGCAGTGCTGCGATCTTGGCTCACTGCACCCTCCACCTCCCAGGTTCAAGCGATTCTCCTGCCTCAGCCTTCTGAGTACTTGGGACTACAGGCGGGCATCACCACGCCCAGCTAATTTTTGTATTTTTAGTATAGATGGGGTTTCACCATTTGGCCAGGATGGTCTCGATTTCTTGACCTCGTGATCCACCCGCCTCGGCCTCCCAAAGTGCTGGGATTACAGGCGTGAGCCACCACCGCGCCTGGCCTTTTTTTTTTTTTTTTTTTTTAAACACGGTCTTGCTCTGGCCCAGCTGGAATGCAGTGGTGCGATCATAGCCCACTGCCTCTTCGAACTCCTGGGCTCAAGGGATCCTCACTCCTCACCTTCTGAATAGCTGGGACTACAGCCACAAGCCACCATGCCCAGCTTAGCATACTCATTATTTTTTAAACCTATGACCAGTGTTAATTTTCTGCTTAATGTATTCAGTTCTAAGTCAAGCCCAACTAGAGAGAATGAGTTTCAGTGATTTTTTTTTTTTTTTTTTTTGAGACAGGGTCTCACTAAGTCACCCACGCTGGGGTGCAGTGGGTCCATCACTGCTCACTGCAGCCTTGACTGCCTGGGCTCAAGCGATCCTCCCACCTCAGCCTCTAGAGTAGCTGGGACTACAGATGCATGCCACTATGCCCAACTAATTTTTAAAAATTTTTTTCTAGAGGCAGGGTTTCACTCTGTTGCCCAGGCTGGTCCCAAACTCCTTGCCTGAAGTGATCCTCCTGCCTTTGTCTTTCAAAGTGCTGGCACTACAGGTGTGAGCCACTGTTCCAGGACAAGATCTTATTTCTTTGTTTGAAAAGATCCTTAATCAGGTTTTTATTCTCTCAAATGTCTGTCAGAATACGAATTTAGAATAACAAGGAAATAAGGTCTGCTTTATTTACTTTTAAGAAATAAAATATTATTCATGTAAGTTTAGCCAAACTAACTAAACCTGATGCTGTTAATGAAATAGGGCCTGCCTTTGCATAAGATAATTCCTGTGTAGTATATCACACCACCAGCCTCTTCAGCACTAGTGTACTCTATTGCAATTATATTTTATAAGTAGAGCCTTATAAAATTCTTTTGTCTATTGAGAATGGAAGTCCTGTGGCAGTCCCATGCCATTTTTTTTCTTAAAAAGTATTTTTCCCTTGATTGGTGCAAAATTATATCTCATTCTAACCCATGTCAAAGTTGTAAGTAGTGAAACCAGAATAAGATTCAGATAATATTAAGATAATAATATAGTTTAATAATAACAATTGAGTGTGTCTAAAAGACTTTGAGAGTTCTCTTACCTGCATCTTACTTTGATGGAATTGGTTTCTTCCCTAAATTTTATTTTGTGAGGTTTTTTACTTCCATTGAAACATAATGCAAAACATTTCTTAATAGGCACATTTATGTAATATTTATTTATTTTTATTTATTTATTTATTTTGAGGCAGAGTCTCGCTCTCTTGCCCAGGCTAGAGTGCAGTAGTGCGATCTCAGCTCACTGCAGCCTCCACCTCCCAGGTTCAAGTGATTCTCCTGCCTCAGCCTCCCGAGTAGTTGGGACTACAGGCGTGCACCATCATGCCCAGCTAATTTTTGTATTTTTTGTAGGGATGGGTTTTTACCATATTGGACAGGCTGGTCTCAAACTCCTGATGTCGGGTGATTTGCCCGCCTCAGCCTCCCAAAGTGCTGGGATTACAGGCCTGAGCCACTGTGCCCAGGCAGTGATTTTTTTTTTTTTAGCATAATCAGATTTTAGTGATATTTGAAAGTTTATACAGAAGAATAATTTTTTTTAAAGCTACTTATTGTGGCCAGGCACATTGGCTCATGCCTGTAATCCCAGCCCTTTGTGAAGCAGAAGCAGGTGGATCACCTGAGGTCAGGAGTTCGAGACCAGCCTGATGAACTTGGTGAAACCCGTCTCCACTAAAATTAAAAAATTAGCTGGGCGTGGTGGCACATGCCTGTAATCCCAGCTACTTGGCAGGCTGAGGCAGGAGAATTGTTTGAACCCAGGAGGTGGAGGTTGCAGCAAACAGAGATCATGCCATTGCACTCCTGCCTAGGCAACAAGAGCGAAACTCCATCTCAAAAAAAAAAAAAAGCTACTTATTCCAGCTCTTTGGGAGGCCGAGGCTGGTGGATCACCTGAGGTCAGGAGTTCGAGATCAGCCTGACCAACATGGAGAAACCCCGTCTCTACTGAAAATACAAAATTAGCCAGGCATGGTGGCGCATGCCTGTAATCTCAGCTGCCCGGGAGGCTGAGGCAGGAGAATTGCTTGAACCCAGGAGGCAGAGGTTGCCGTGAGCCGAGATCGCGCCACCGCACTCCAGCCTGGCAGCCTGGGCAACAAGAGCAAAACTCCATCTCAAAAAAAAAAAAAAAGTTACTTATTGAGTACTTAGTATGTACCAGGTGCTGGGCTAGGTGCTTCACACTTATTATCACTAATCCTGAAACTAAACAACACCACAGGATTGTATTTTTATACTAATTTTACAGATAGGGAACCAGAGACTTTAAAAATAAAGCAGGAATTTTAAGTATATCTGGCCAAAATCTCTGCTCTTTTTTAATCGAAAAACAAAACCATTGTAGAATCAAAAAACATGCTTTCATTCTATGAAATCAGCGTTTTTTGTCTTTCATTTTTCTTGACAAAAAATGCTGATTTTATAATATGAAAGTATGTTTTTTGATTCTATAATTGTTAACAGATAATAACTAAAATCCCCCCAAACTTCAAAATTGCCTATTGCCCAGGTGGTGGCAGCATGTCTCAGAGAGCCAATGTGCTGGGGAAGGTTTTCTCCAACCTTGCCAGTTGATCGGCTTCTTCATCCCACATACATGACATTATAAACCTCTCAATTCTCTGTTGGGCTCTTTCACTGCTATTAGACCAACCCATCGGTGGTTCATGGTCCCATTAGCCTCATCTTCTGAATGGGTCATACTCTGCCTGTTTCAGCCTATTTTCCCTGCAAAGTGTGACCAAATTGTTTTCTGGAAAACTCATTTAGGCCTATCCTATAAGTTGTTTCAGTTAGTATTTTTCCAACCATTATTAAATGTTGTTTGGCAGAAACACCTCCTAAACTGTTAGTTAATATTATTAAGAAATGCTTGTTTAAATTAGAAGGCATGCGTCTCAAACTTTGGAATACACCAATTAAAGGAGATAATGAAAAGCTTATAAAAGATAGAGGCCGGGTGCGGTGGCTCACGCCTGTAATCCCAGCACTTTGGGAGGCTAAGGTGGGTGGATCAAGAGGTCAGGAGATCGAGACCATCCTGGCTAACATGGTGAAACCCCGTCTCTACTAAAAATACAAAAAAATTAGCCGGGCGTGGACTAAAAACACAAAAAATTAGCCAGGCGTGGTGGTGGGTGCCTGTAGTCCCAGCTACTCAGGAGGCTGAGGCAGGAGAATCACTTGAACCCGGGAGGCGGAGCTTGCAGTGAGCCGAGATCGCGCCACTGCACTTCAGCCTGGGTGACAGGGTGAGACTCCGTCTCAAAAAAAAAAAAAAAAAGGATAGAATTAGTCTTCAAAATAAGAACAATAAAATTCAATAGGGAGCAGTACAAGGTTATATAATTTGGAAGGAATGCATATAAATATATAGCAGATTACTCGTTAAACTTTCATTAGCCAAAAATTGCTTAAAACGTTCTTTTCATATGTTTGCAGGGCTACTGCCTTCCTAGAGGTTTCAAATGAAGTGCTACCTATTACAAAAGGCTTCTCCACCCCCATAACATTTTTTTTCTCCACAGCTTTTACCTCAATCTGATACCTTGTTTACTGGTTCACTGTCTATTTTTTCCACTAGAATGTAAGCTATATGAGGTCGGTTACCCCAATACCTAGAACATTGTTTTAAATAATTGATTTCACGATGTAGCATTGTTGCTTACAAATAAAACTGAGAATGTTTGAAGGAATTATGAAATAATTTAAATCCTGGATATTTGTGAAGCTCATAGTAAAGTGCCAAACTGTTGAAGTATGTTTTGAAAGTGGTGAGATACCCTAGTAGGAAGAGGTCTAAAAGATTAGTAAGATGTTTTGGGAAAGGTTAAAATAATTGTAGTTATCGTGTTAATGAGAGAAGACTAGTTACTTAATGATTTCCAACTTCGTAAAAGTATTTACAGGAAAGTCGTGATTCATCATTTTCATTGATAAAAAGAATTAGTCCTAGGCCGTAGGTGCTACGATTTAAGATAAGAGCAAGCTAGACTAGAGATCTAAATAGAGATCTTTGAAAATGGGATAAGAGTGTATACGCAGACTAGATGCCCTCACTAGATACTTTCCAGCCTGTGATTCCAAACGCAGATTGTGGGAGAAAGATTAGATAGCAGGTGCTTCTGTTGTTGATAATTCCTTGCTACCCATGGCCATTGCCATTTTAAAACCAATTCAGTGTGTTTTTTGAGCGTAGTCAATATAGGTGATTATATATTGCTGTTTTGGGTAGTTTATATTTGTTGACATAATACTGAAAATTGGATGTGTGCTTTTTTAACTCCAAGACTTCATATTTACAATGCTTAATCTCCAGAATGCCACCATACATGTACATGCTGCAAACTAATTCCCTGTAGTTAGCAGCCATCCTTTTGGAGGAGTAAAATGTCCAGTAAATCTGAAGCCTTGGGTTGTAGTCCTGCTAAAATCGTAAGAGACCCTAAACTTTCTGGCTGAAACTAGAGGATCAAATATTAGGCCTGTCCCTATATGATTTTTAGCTATGTCAAGTAACTTTTTATTTCTGTACTGGGTTCTCCTAGCCATTAAATTAGAATTGCTATCCCATTGGGAAGACTAATTCACGTTTAAGAAGCCTTCAGTGTAAAAGCTTTGTATTGCAAAAGCAGCCCCTAGCACGATTGCCTTCACCAAGTAGCATTTTAATTTAGACCTTCTACCTTCACCTAAGCTAACTGCTTAAAGTAACCATGCAAAAATTTTTAACTGCATTTGCAATATGATGTTGTCAAGGGTATTGTCCTCTGTGTCATATTGTGCCCTTTTACTTTTTTATTTTTTAATTTTATTAGAGATGGGGTCTTGCTGTGTTGCCAGGGCTGGTCTCAAACTCCTGGCCTCAAACAATCCTCCTGCCTCAGCCTCCCAAAGTGCTTGGATTACAGGCGTGAGCCACCACACCCAGCCTCAGTGTCCTTTATATAAAGTCCCATGTAAGATATATTAGTAAGTGATTCTTAGAATAGTTTCGGAAGCCACTTTTTGATAGTGAAAATTTTGTCAGGAAGCTCAAGCCAAATTTGAAATGCACGTTTAACGGTCATCCTAACCTGCATACTTGCATTTCTTTTTAAATATGCTTTTCCTAGAACAGATATCCTTTATCATTATTGTATATGTTCACGTAGGAAGACATCGCAATCCTTTGTGAAATAATGTGGGGTACAGGTTGCCTGTAGGTAAAGTGTTTGAATCTCAGAAGTTTACATAGAGACCCCTGATATGTTAACAGGTAGTTACAAGTAAAATTCTCCCATTGATCCAAATTTTTATGTTTATTTTTAAATCTCATAACTATTCAGAACCATTAGTTCTCATTCAGAACTGTGGAACGTAAGAAATCATTTGGAATTGCATCCCAAAGTCTAATTCTAAAAGCTAGTTTGTGTCTTTAAAAAGCTTTCAGAGTATAATGTGTATATTTGGAATCTACTTTAAAAAGTGAACAAAAATTTAATGATACCAGGCTATAAATATAGTTTCCTAAACCATCAGTTACACATCCTGGTCCCTCACTTAAAGACATCCTGGTCCCAAATTTTTAGTTGCATCTGCTGAGTTCAGTTTATGTTTTTAGGCTTCCTGGCTTAAAGTAAGGAAGTAGAGCAATCTGAAATCAGAAACTCCATTCTGTTTCATATATGTCTTCTTGAAGTAGGGTAAGTAATACTGGCAAGTTTGATGAGTTTCTGGAGGCTTTGAATTTGAAGTTTTCCTAAATTTTTAGATTTGCCCTTGACCAACTAATTCTCCACTCTCTGTAATAAGCAGATAATAATAATTCCTGCCTTCAGACAGAAAGTTGGACCAATTTTTTTTTATTTTTTTTTTTATCTCTAGGTTTTAATATTCTGTTGTAGGACTATGCCACAGTTGTAGAGTTGTACTGTTAATGAATATAGGTGTATAGGAATCTGATGTAATCTCTAGTTCTGGGTTCATATTTTATCTCATTATGTGGGTCAAGGAAACTTTATTTTTGTGCCTAGATTCCTATATCCATAAAATAGTATTAATAATACCTGTTTATTGTGATACTAATTAATAAACATGTAACTTCCTTTTGATAATAAAAAGGTTGTATTCTGTAGAATTCATTTGTAAGATGATTGTTGGGAGCTTACACAGATTATCATGTAATTAATACTATAAATAGTAGCTAAGTTCCTCACTTAGCCTGTAAATGCAGATTTGACACACAGCCTAAGTGGAAATAGTGCCTCTGTGTAAAAATGGTAGAAATTTTAATACTGGTAGTAAATAGTGGCCAGACATGGTGGCTCACGCCTGTAGTCTCAGCACCTTGGGAGGCCGAGGCAGGAGGATCCCTTGAACCCAAGAGTTCAAGACCAGCCTAGGAAACAGGGTGAGACTTCCTATCTCAAAACCATAAATAAATAAATTAATGAAATTTTTTAAATAGCAAAAATTCAATGAATTTTTGATTGCCTTGTACCACAGTATGATTTTGTAAAGAGTTATAGAAAATGAATTTGTCTTGGTCCTTTTTTTCAAACTTTTATACCCTGGAAGGTATGAATGCTTTGTCAGCACTTTTTGGACCACTTTACCATATATGTAGCATTGCATATATGCAATACGTATATGCAATCATATATGTAGTACAGGAATCACTTTTTGTTGCATCTGTCTTCAAATCTGCTAATCCTTTTATACCACAGAGAACTCAAAGCTACACATGGGCCTATAAATTATTCATGCATGTATGTAATGCATATGGAATATAGTCCTATACATTAACTGTGATGTGCCCTCACCCTGTATCCCCCACATTATTATCTGTAGAATGAGATACAAACTTCTTAGAGGATCCTAGAGATCCTACTAGTCTGGCCCAGGCTCCTTACAAATCTTCTGCATGATAGATTTATTTCAGACCTCTTGTAATTCCAAGACATGTCTTCTGGTTCGGTGGTTGAGGGTATAGACTCAAACCAAACTACCTGGTTTGAATCCCAGCTCTGCCTCTTGCTAGGATGCTGCTGCTATGAGAATGTACCTCACAGACCCCCAACTACAGGGAGCTTACTTGGCCAAGGGCCCCAGCTGCTTGCTATGCTGTGAAATCCATCACTATGTTTGTGCTAAGACCTTGCTTTTCTCACAGTTCAGCAACTGAGCATCATAGAGATTCTAGGAGACCCAAGACTCTTCTGATAGCCAGCTCAGGCTCAAGGACATCCCCATTGCTTTGCCAAGCCTTCCTTAGGCTACATGGCAGTCTGGTACACTTCCACACAACCTTCTTTCCCGCTCTCTTACATTTGGGGTCAGACTTGCATCCTAGTGTGATAGTCCACCAGTTCTTTCCCAGCTCCTTCCCTATCTTCTCTCACAGGTGTTTTCCCTAATAAAAAGTCTTGTACATTTAGTCCCATCTTGGCATCTACTTCTGGGGTGATAATATTGGAACAGTCCCATCCATTACCTGACTGAGAAGATGCCACCTTAGTTGGTAGATGGAGCATTCATAGTCCCAGACATAACTTTGCAGCTTAATTGCTTAATTTCACCAGTGTTGACTTGGAACCCTGTCCCAATAGAAGGAAATAATGGGGCTAAGTGTGATACAGGCATTTGAAAATGCTTGCAGAGACAGCAGAGTTGGCTGGTTATTGCTAACTTAAACACTACAAGTGGAAAACAAGAAATGGGACTGTTAACAAGCAGTTAATAGCTAAGTATGAGAGGCTCTATGGTAACTTACAAAGAGGTCTTTATCACCTATAGGACAGATTCAGTTGAACCACAGGTTCAAGAGCTAATTGTTAAGAGTCACAGAGCTCCAGAGACATTGGACCATTTAATATTTAGAATAGGCAGGTCTATTAATGTAGAGAAACCTGGGATCCTGAACATGGGATGGGGTCTGGATGGATGCCCCTGCAGCTCCCTCTGGACCTTCTGGTCTAACTAGTATGTCTGCTGTGCTGGAAGATACAGAAGCTTGCTGCCACAAGGCAGTAGCCCTTTCTCCCACCTTCTCCAACTTCCCCTACTTCCTTTCCTGGCTGCCAAGCCAGTAACTAAGATTAAATCCCAACATAACCCAGCTGGGACATGCTGACGTATTTGCAAGAACCAGGGGAGCACTCTTGGGATTGGATTTTAAGGGTGCTTGGGTCTGTGGACTAAGCTGTCTTAGGACAGCCAAGTAAAACACTGAAACTGCCTCCCACTCCTGCCAAGATAGTAAATCAGACACAATATTGTATCCTGGGGGAATGACGGAAATTAGTCCCACTATTTAAAACCTGAAGGATGGAGGAGTGGTGGTCCCAATCGTATCTTTTAATTTGCAGGCTGCTCCTTGAAACTGAATAGATCCTAGATGGTAACTATAGACTTCTACTAACTTAACCAAAGAATAACCCTGCTCTCACCTGCTGTGCTGGACTCATTGCTAGAGCAGATCAGTACAGATACATGGTATGCAATCTTTGATTTGGTAAATGCATTTTATACCATTCCAGTTGGAAAACAGGATCAGAAATAGTTCACATTCATGTAGAACAGACAAAAATATTCAGGCTGAGTTTTGCCTCAGCCTGTGTTAACTCTCACCCTCAGTCATAATATGAAGAACTCTGGACCATCTCATCCCTCAGAACACCACACTGATCCAGTTTATTGACAACATCCTACTTATAGGACAGGATGAGGAAGAGATAGCTAGTATGGTGAAGGCCTTGGTAAGATACCTGAATGCCAGAGGATGGGAGATAAACACTGAAGATTCAGAGAACAGTCACATTAGTAAAGTTTTTAGAGGTCCAGTGCTCAGGGCAGTGTCGAGATATCCTCTCCGAAGTGAAAGACAAATTGCTGCGTCTTACAGCCTCTATACCAATAAGGAAGTATAGCACTTGGTAGACCCCTTTGGGTTCTGGAGGCAACACATTCTACATCTAAGAGTAATGAGCCAGCTCCTCATATACCAAGTGACGTGGAAGGTCGCCAGCTCTGAATGGGGCCCAGAACAGGAAAGGGCTCTGCAACAGTTCCAGGCTTCAGGTGCAAGCAGCCCTGATACTTGGATCATATGACCCAGCAGACCCTAGTGTGTCAGTGGTGGGAAAAGATGCAGTGTGGAATTTATGGCAAGTCCAGTGGAAGAGTCATAACATAGGCCCCTGGGATTCTGGAGCAAGGTGATAACGTCTGCAGCAGAGAATTGTATTCCCATTGAGAAACAGCTCTTCCATGTCACTGGCTGCTATAGAGACTGAATGCTTTACCATGGGACACTTAAACCTCCTCCTCCCTATCCTTGAGTGACTGACTTTCTAACTCAATATTTATTAGTTGACATTCTACTGAAAGAAAGCATTTTCCTTCCTCCCCCATTCATTTTTTCATTTGTTTATAACAGAATGGACTCATGGATTCTTAGTCAACAAATCAAATATTGTTACTGTTGTTACTTATTTTGATGTTCTAACTGTCCCAGTTTTGACCAATGGGAACCCCAGGATGTCTATGTCCTTTACTTGTGTCCTCATCATTCTTTGGGGACTTTCTTGCTTTTTGGTACAAGATGTTCCAGGCTCAACTTGTACTATTCCCACTCTAGCCCTGCAATTGGCTATTTCTCCAAGGAGCTCTGCTTCCTTTCCACGTAGAATGGTATTCAGGAACCAAGATCTACTGAGTGCCAGGTTTGCTCATTGCTACTGGTGTGTCATTGTGTGTAGTCCCTCTCAGCAGACGGATACATACAAAAATACTTATATTTATTTCTAGCTACTAAAAACCATGAATTTGTACTGATACCTTCAACTCTAGTCAAATGCTGCTTTCTAGTTTCCCCCTTTTCCATATTTATAACTCCTTTAACAGGAAGAAACCTGGCTGCCATTATCCTCAAAATATTTATGTATTTGCTCATGAATAGAATACACAGAAAGTAATTTTAGAATTGCTAACTCATACTACTGTGAAAAGAAAGCTTACTAGATTTTGGGGTGACGTGTTTCAATTGTCTTTCAATTTGGCAGCTGAAATGCCATCCTTTAAATAAGGTTAACATATTCAAACTTAAGCCCCAAATAACCCTATCTAGGCCATGAGAACTGGATGGTTCAGAGGCTTATTAAAAGGCCGTAGGGATTCAGCAATCTTTAGGTTACTAGCTTTAATCCTCACATCTACTGTAACTAACAGTGGTTGACACGGAATTGTTTATGTTGGCTAATAGTAGCTGATCATGGCTTTATCTTCCAGGTCTTAGTGATTAAAATCACATCACTGAGAATTGCCACCTCAGCTGAAGGAAAGGGCAGATTTCCCACAACGGTGCTGTTTAATCTTTTTAAAAGCAAACTACAACAGATTGTTCATAAGTAATTTCTGTGCATGCAAAAAGTACTTAAAGCACAATTCTCAGTTACATCTAATAAGTGTGCAATATGATCATATCCTTTTTAAAATCCCATCAGGTTTTACAAGCTACAGATATTTTTGAACAAATATTTAGAAAATGATTCAAGGAAAAAGGTGCTATCAAAGGCAGTACTTTGAATCTGGAAGGCCAGTGCTTTCTCTCTGCACCAAAACCAAATTGATTTTAGGAGATGGCATTTTTTAGTTGGAATATAAATTCAGTTTAGGATTTTGTGTAAATGTCCTGTCAACATCAGGTTTCAAGAGTGCAAGTCATTTGTGCCTTCATAAGGGTTTCTTTTCACTTTTAGTAGTTTGTGTCATTTTGCTAGATGTTGTTAAGCACTTTTAACTTGCATTCTTAGCATTAAATGGTAAGCACTCCACAGATGAATGAATCCTTTAGTATTGACAGGACCTTTGAGGAAGGCTTATAGTTACTAATATCAGTATTCAGTGTTGTTCGGTACATTAGCTTGTCCCTCTAAAATGAGCAGTAAACTTAAAATTTATTACTGTCATCAGCTTAATATCAGTACATCAACTTGCCTATTTTGCTTGATAGTTTACCTTTACATTTACTGTATCTGCTCTTTACTAAAACCAAATTTTGTGTTGAGTCCTTAAAGTGTCTGGCCTATTTTCTATGAACTTGTATAACTAGGAAAATGTTAGGGAAAAGAAGAAGGAGCACTTTCAGTCTTTGGAAAGCACATTGACCTAATTCATAAGGCGATGTAAAGGCTGGAATTATGCAAGCTGGCCTGCCTTGATATTATCTTGTCTAAATGACCTTAAATTAATGCAGCTATAGTTGATTAAACAAAAATATAAATTTATTATTAGAAAGTACACCTGTCAGTTTACTTTTATTTCATCTCTACCAAAGCGTATGACATTTGTTCTTCAAGGAAACCATTGATGTGCATGCTCCTAATTTTAAGACAGTCCAGTTGGGATTCCTTTAAGGTAGATTAGTTTTTAGGTAGAGTATCATCATTAAATGTCTGTGGTAGGCAGTGTCTAAGATGACTCCCAAAGATACTGTCTTCCTTGTATTTGTGCCCTTGTATTATCCCCTCCTGTAGAGTTTGGGTTGGAGTTTTTGATAAACAGAATCTGGCAAAAAGCAATGGATGTCATTTCCAGGTTATAGATAAACTCTGGCTTCCACCTTGCTCACCCCCTTGTTCTCTCACATGCTTACTTTAACGGAAGCCAGTTACCAGACTATGAGCTGCCCTGAAAGGCAGGAGAGCCAAAGAAAGCTTCTGGCCAACAGCCGGTGAGGAGCCCTGTCCTGCCAATAGCCACTCGAGTGAGCTCACATGCAAGCTCTCCTCCTCCCCACACCCAGCCTGGACTGACACCCCATGAATGCAGTCTTCAAGAAACCCTGAGCCAGAGGACCCACTAAGCTGTGCCCAGATTCCTGACCAAGAGACACTCTGAGAGAAGGGCTGGCTGTTTGAAGCTGCTAAATTTTGGGATAATTTGTTACCCAGCCATAGATAACTAACACAATGTCCTTTAAAAAACAAAAAACAAAAGCCCATCAAACTTCCTGTTTTCTTGATAGGGCTTCAACTCACATTTGAGATCAATAGTTTTGCACAGTGATTGTCAACCCCGGCTGTACATTAGAATCACCTGGGCAGTTTTTTAAAACTACAAGTACCTGGGCTTCACGCCAAGCAATTCCACTTGAATTGGTCTGCAGTGGAGTCTGGGCCTCAGTATTTTTTTGAAGTTCCCCAGGTAATTCCAGTAGGCAAATGAGGAATCACTGATTTAACACAAGTGGACTCAGCACTTTCCAAGTCCTGGGTGTATTGAGCAGGATATGGAGCTCCCTGTCGTAAGTAAGGCAAGAAGACTAACATGTAAGAAAGAAATTACAAGGTGATATAAGAAGCACAGAAGAGGAAACACCCAACTCAGCCTGATAAATCAGAAAAGGTTTGACAGAAAATATTAGGCCATTTCTTAAGCTTAAGTGTATCAAAAGCTAGTTAACAAGAACTTGGGAAAATAAACATTCCAGGCAGGGGAAAAGCAAGAGTACAGGCACACAGCTGTCAGAGAATAAGCAGGGAGATGGTATGCTCATGTTTGAGTAATAGGTCAGGAAAAAACTCCAGAGGGGTGAAAGATGAGGACACGACCTGTGGTGGTGGCGACCTGTGGTGGTGGCCAAAGGAATAGAGAGTAGGGGCGAATGAATTTGCTAGTCAGGATCTACGATGGCTAGGATGTGGAGCGAGGCACTGAAACACAGAGGAGCCCGGAATGACTCCCAGTTCTGGTTTGCTGATTGTGTAGGTGGAAGACTAACTTTGGCAGCAAGTACGGGGGAAGCAAAAGCAGAAGACAGAGGGAAATGAACCCTCCATCTGAAACTGAAACAGTTCAGTTTTGGACCTGTTAAGTTTGAAGCCTCAGAATAAACAACTGGTGGCAGTTGGCCCTTGAAATGAAAACCCAGTTGCCATGTCACTTGCCAGAAGAGCACGTTCTTGTGGATGATTTGGTGTATTTGGAAATAATCGACAACTACCTTCTATTTTGGTGCTTTGGTGATTTGCAGTCAGCTTTCAATGAGACTGGGAAGATCTTGAGAATTAGCTGTCTTGACATTTGGAACACATTCCATTGCATTAAACCAAAGAAGCCTTTAAAACTGAACCATGCATGCTGCTTTTCACTATTTTTGTTCACTGGCTACGGTTCATTCCCACCATACTCTTCTCTTAGGTACCATTGCCCCACGTAAGCAGGTAATGCCTTGGTTTGCCCAGCTCTTGGTAGAATTTTGAACTGACAGCGGATTACATTGTGTCATGAGGTGGGAAGGGCTGGGAAGGCAACATCCACATATCCCCATTATGATCTAGTCATTGTTTCCATTTCAAAGGAGCGATATATTCAGCTCAGCACTTCCGTCTATTTAAGATATGTTAGCTCCATGAATCAGAGTGAATCTACATATTCCCATTGTGAACCTGACATTGAAATATACGTTTTCCAGTTTCAATCTACTCACCTGTTATGAGTGAAGCTTACCTTTAAAAAAAAAAAAAAAGGAGCAGAGATATTTAATATTCCCAATATTTGCTTTTGATGAACTGATACTTTTGAACTTTTAAAACTATTTTATGTCTTCTGTACTCACAGCTCGTATACCCCCACAAGAGTGGAGAAGCCACAGGGAAATACAACTGGATCTTACTGTGAAAGGCAGGATTATGAGGTCTCGATATCAAGGCTGCCTAGAGGCTGGTATAAAAAAATGCTGATGTCCACATAACTTGTAACTCTTAAGTAAATCAAACCTGTAATTCAGCTTGGCTGCTTCTAAGTCATTTTGATTCCTGCCAACAGAACATTAATGAACTTAGCTTCTCCGCAAGTTTATTCATGTGTAATACCCAATTCCTTCTTCCTCGTTCCAGCAGTTGCCCCTGGTACATCTGATAAGGTGGAAAGCTAGACTAGGTCATACAAATCCAGGTCATTACTTAAACCCAGATTATTATAGACTGTTCTCTAATTTTTCTGTCTGGTTTTAGAGTGGCAAACAGAAGAAAGTTTCTAGGGCTTGGGTTTGGAAAAAAAATCCATACACTAATAATTCTTGTCTTGAAGAAACATTTTATAAAATTTAGCTTATTCTAATGCCTTTATATTTCCTACTTTTATTCTCCTTTTGACAATGATAAATAATTCAATTATATTGCAGTTTTGCTTTTGGATCTTGGTTTACCTCCATGGATTTACAGTGATGGGAATATTCTAGAACAAGTAGTCATCTAGATTTCCCCAAATGCCCTGAGACTGATATAAGAAGCATACTAAAATGGACATGAACCTAATTTTTCGAAGTATAAAATAATATAAACCAGTTGTGACCAAACTTGCCTACAAATTAGAATTGCCTGGAGATCTCTAAAATGCCAAAGCCCGGGACATATCCCAAACCAATTAAATCACTATTTCTCGAGGTGGGACACAGGCGTCAGGAGCGCTTTAACTCCCAGGATGATTCCTATTTGTAGACAAGCTTAGGAACCACTGACCTAGACAACTGTGTTACTTGAGGATTCTAAGTCGGCACAGCTGTGGCGTGTTCACTACCCAGCCCTGCCCTTGGCATGATGTTCTCTCCTATCCAGCTTCTCCATCATCTTCCTCCACCTGATTCGTAGAGACCTCTGGACATCTGAGCCTAAGCAGGGCCACTAAATGAGAGAGAATCCCATCACTGAAAAGCAACAATGAATATATTAAGGACCACAGGTGGGTGTAAAATAGATTTTTGCAAATTTTGTGAATTGTTATTTGTTATATTTTTCCTGATAACAAAAGTTTTATGTCAAAGATTTTTGTCTTCCAGTTTTAGTTTCTTATGCAGTAGTTTTAGGAAACTCTGGTGTGCCAAGATGATATTTTTTTTTCATGCTTGGGTGATTGTTTTAGAATTCCTTCTTTGAGTTCAAGAACATCTTTAAAATATCTAACTCAGGGGTATTATGTGTGTTGAGTGAGAATTGTCTATTTGCCTTCTTTAAAGAAACACAATTTGACACAAAGATAGGTATTAAAATTTTTATTTTCTGTGTATACACAGCACATTAGTTATTTATTTAAGCAACCACTGGCTGTCCAAAAACTGAGGGAGGCATGATATAACACCGATTGTTTACCATAGCCTTTATCACAACTCAGAGCTCTAGCATTGTACAAATAATCACATATTGTCTTAAAAAATTAAAAAACTAAAGTAATCCAATAAAATAATGATTTTGCTCTCTGTATCTTAGGAGAGATAGAAGAAATATTGCAACTGAAGCTGCTAGATGGTTATGATTATCTGAATAGGTGTGATCTTGACTTTAGCGAATTAACAGGTAAGCTTCTTACTATGAGGTTGGTGCAAAAGTAATTGTGGTTTTTGGTAATTGCACCAACCTAATATAAGTACTTCATTAATTGTAAACCATATTTGATTTAGAAACCATTTATACGTAATTTCTGGACTTGTATTCAATTAAAATAATCTATGCTAATATGTGCAAATTATAATCCCACTCTTGCTTTGATCATCTGTTTTCTGCCACTAACTGCCACTGAGGAGTGGAAAAAGAAGGCACATAGCTGTAATCTAATTTCAAATAATATTTGTCAGGGAAGATGTTTGGTTGGAAAATGCATGGCTTTTTTAACTCAGATTTTATTCTATAAGTGATTATTGGGGGCAGAGGGTAGAAAAAAAGTGAGAATACATGTCTGTCTCATGATAAACAAAAGCCTGAGATGTTACAGTTACTTACTAAAATCACTTTTATCATATGAAGATTTTGGATAAATCATTATTAAGGAAACTAAGGACAGCTGTGGCATGGAATCAGCGGGCTTTCAGTTTGAATCCCAGTTACTCACAAATGTAAAGTGGTATTTTCATTCCTCTTTTGTTAAAATGCTTTTTTTAAATGTAGGAAGTTTACATTTTGTCCTAGATCACATTGGCTTCTGTTCCCACAGGAAATGTTATATGCTATATGTCAGTTTTCATTTCATTAAAAGTGAAAGTAAACATGGTATGCATCAGCCAAACAGTAACTAATCCCGACATAATTTCAGTATTAAATGAGGCTTGGAATATGTATTTGAATGGGCATGATAGTTTGGGAAACTCTAATTCAGAGATGTCCCACTTATAACAGTGATGTTGGAGAATAGGGTTACCAGTTATGGCCTATATTTGCTCTGTCATATCACGTTCTTACAGTATGTAATTATATTTGGAGAAATATCCTTTGAGCCATAGTATTTTGGAGTCAAGTATTAGGCTATAATTTAGACATTGTTTTAGTAGAATAAAGTAACTTTATAAGATTGTTCCAGATCTTTGTTCTATATCTCTGTCTTTTATCCTTCCCCCTTGCAGAAGTCATTCCTATTTACCTTATTTAAAAAACGAGAGAAAGTATAACTCAGGCTGAAATAAAGCACCAGACTAAAAAGAGATGCCCATTTTCATTCAATATTTATATTTGCCAGAATAAAGGGAGACAAATAATTATTTTGCCTTTAAGGCCTTGATTCTGGATGATAGATTAAGTAGACAGACTGTTGACCACATGTGACTTAAGGAATATTGTTAATTATTTTACCAATCTTTGGATCAAGGTTTGCTTGAAGTAAGTAAGCTGTGCTGTGGATAAACCTTTGGATGATAAAGAGTGAGCTGTATTGCCTTCAATATTGTTTGCATCAGAACATTACTAAGTGGTATCGATTTTGAAAAATAAAATTCAACTTTCTGAGAACATAGACCAGATTCAAGTATTTTTATCTTTTTTTCCCCCCTTTTTTCAGAGAATGGAATCTCTCCACGTTGCCCAAGCAGGTCTCGAACTCCTGTACTTGAGCTATTCTCCCACCTCTGCCTCCCTAAGTGCTGGGATTACAAGCGTGAGCCACTGTTCATGGCCTTAGGGACTTTTAAATGTTAAATTGATTTTGACCTACCCAGGAGCTAGAGAATACCAATGATTACAGAGGGGAGAATAAAATTGCCGTATAGATTTTCTGTGCTCCTTTAGAAAATCCATTCTGGAGTAAAGAGATGGGCAATTGGTCAACTGAGTTTCTTTCTTGTATAATATGTCAGAGTTTGATATTGTCAGTCTGTTAACCAAGATTTTTATTGGGATATTTGCTGAAAGAGGCTCTAAGAATATCCCATCACCAGTAATTAGAATTTGTTACAGGTTTCAGTCAGGGTAGTTGAAAGGGAGCTAATTTGGTAACACAATAACCTAGTACCCAACTAATTCAGGAGCATGAAGAAAAATTGGTTGATTAAGGCTTAAGTCAGATAAATAATACTATAGGTTGACATGGCTGGGTTAGCTCAGGTTTGTATATTTGTTTTTTCAAAGAGGCAGACTTTTCCTAAGATTAGAATCCACAGTAATGATGGAAGCAGGAAACTTAGGGGCAGGCCATAGGTGTAAAATCAAAGTTGAGCTGCTTCTGTGTTACAGCTGTAAGCACAGGAAGTTGCCCATTTTTTTCAAGCACTATTTCTGCATAGTCATATATCAGCTAGTGTTGTCAACATAGACACAAGAGACAATAGGAATACGTACATGCAATTCCACCATCAGCTAAAAAACCCACATAAGTCTTTGAAGCTCTCAAATAACACGCATGACACTGAATGGTACATTTTGATGCACTTTGAAACTCTTATCTCTTTAGTTGGTAAGTACATTTGAACACTTAATATGTGCTCAGCAGAAGAGAAGGAGAACAAGGGAAGTCTAATATAAAATCAGGATTTTTTCTTTTCTCTTTGAAGCCAATTAGAATGTGTGTATGTGTGTGTGTGTGTGTGTGTGTGTGTGCGTGTGTGTGTGTGTGTGTGTGTATTATTTAGTGTAGTAATCCTTGGGTTTTTTTTAAAAAAACGTGTTTTACTATGAAGTGTAACATACAAGAAAGTGATAACATATGACATATACAGCTTACAAATGGTTGTAAGAATTAATACACTTTGTAAGTGCCACCCATGGTAAAAATAAGTAGGTGGAGAAGGAGGAGAAGAAAAGAAGAATTTAACTAGCATGTCAGAAGTCTCATGGATCTCTTTCCAGTCACAACCCTCTCACCAAGCTCGATTCCTATTCCCTGAGTAAGTTCTAATCTTACTTTTCTTTTTTTTTTTTTTTTTGAGAGAGAGTCTGACTCTGTCACCCAAGCTAGAGTGGTGCAATCTCGGTTCACTGCAATCTCTGCCTCCTGGGTTCAAGTGATTCTCCTGCCTCAGCCTCCCGAGTAGCTGGGATTACAGGCATGTGCCACCATGCTGTGCTAATTTTTGTATTTTTAGTAGAGATGGGTTTTCGCCATGTTGGCCAGGCTAGTCTTGAACTCCTGACCTTAGGTGATCCGCCCGCCACAGCCTCCCAAAGTGCTAGTATTACAGGCATCAGCCACCGTGCCCAGCCTAATCTTACTTTTAAAGTAATCATTTATTGCTTTTCTTTACAGTTTACCACTTGGATGTGCATCCATATGTACCATATACAACCATAGAGTTTAGTGTTGTGTGTCTGGAAACTTTACAGAATGAGGTCATACTTTATATATTCTTTTGTCTTGTTTCTTTCACTTGTTATCTATGATGTTGAATGTAGATGCAGTCTGTTCATTTTCATTGCTATGTAGTATTCCATTAAATAAACGACAACTTATTTATCCATTCTACTATGTTGGACATCTGGGTTGCTTACAGTTTGCATTACAGATAATGTTCCTGTGAATATAGTTATGCTATCCCTTGGTGCATATAGGCTTGCATTTCTGTTGGACATAGTCCTAGTCAGTAAAAAGGAATATGACAGAAGTCAATGAAACTGTCTTTTTCTGAATGAAAATTTAGTGAGCCAGTAATCTAATGAGGAAAACAGCTGTTCTTTTTGTTATTCTAATGGTAGGTGCTGTCTGGATATAAAGATGACCATTTCATTTGCTTAATATGAATGTCTACAAGTATGTTTCACCAAGAAAATAAAATACATTTTAGTTTTAAACCATATCTGGTATTATTTCTAGAATTCTAAAATTAACAGGATAAAAAGTCCTTAGAGGGCAAGGATTCTTTCATTTTTTAAATGTACTTCACAGTGACCATAGCAATGCTATTAAGATGCTGAATCCCAACCAAATATGCATTCTCTTGACAAATATACTTTGGAGTAAAATTATTTGTACAAATGCATATAACTTTTCAGATGTCCAGAACTTTAATTTTTCCTTTATTCTAAAAAGGGGGAAAAGATGGATTCCTTTAACTTAAAACTGTTTCTGTTTTGAAAGCCTCTATCCTGAAAGATAGAAAATAATAGTTTTGATGAATCCATGTAATATTCTGTGTTCTTCACAATTTTTCTTACAACATTATTCCTCTATACATGTTCTTAGTATAGATAATATTAATGTATTTCTGAGGCCATTAATAATTATAATTTGGGCCTTTTGTTTGCCTTTTGAACCTGGAAGACAAAATAGATAGTATATTAAGATGCAAATGTATATTTTCTAATGGACTTGTGCTTCAAAGCATATGTATTTTAGGGCTTGGCCTGATTTTGCCAGCTAAGGCCAGATCATTGTAAATTGATTTCAATATCTTTCTGCTTTTATAAGCTTTGTTCTAAAGCTTCACAGGAAGAATCAAAATAATGTTTGTCACACTGTTCTAGCTTAGCTGAAATCTTGTTCCTGTTTACACTAAATGACCATTGGCCTAATGCAGTTAACATGAGTACTTTACAACTCATCCAAGAACTATTTCAAGTGTTGAGGAAAAGGCACTTTAATTGAAAAATTACTTATGCAGGATCAGACTGAGCGAGAATGCTGTTTTTTGTACATTCAGCATATTACACATACCACGCTCCATTTTGCTCCTTTGTTATAACAAATGAATTCTTTTTTGCAATGAAAGGATTCTTATGGTTTATCTTCCTTGGGGATTGTAACTTTCAAAAGGTGCTCTTAAATATATTACTACTTTATTTAAACTATTCACTTCCCAGATGTGCAGTGCTTTGCACAAAGAATAATTCACTAATGCCTTGAGCACACAAAAGGAAAATGCTCTGCTGGGTTTCCCTTTTTATTTTACTTTCCAGTGGTAGGTTTATGACTTGATGCCCAGCTTCTTAATAAATTCACCTCTCACAGGACACAGTTCTCTTTAATATGTTTTCCATGCTTATAGAAAGAAACACTGTATTAGCAAACACCAGTAGAAATTTCATTTTCACCACGTTGCTTTCTCTGGGTATATATAGAGAAACCCCTTAAAGGGCTTCTCCAGGACAACTGAAAGTTATCTTTTTCATTGATCTCTTCTGTGGCTTTAAAATATTTTCTTGACAACATATTGTTTTTATTAATCTAAATTAAGCATTTTAGATTCTTTTATGAATTTAAAAGATATTAAAACCAAAGAATTGGAAAAATATCTAAGAAAAGTTACTAATTTCCATGGTGGGGTATAGAGTTGGTGTGTGTAGGAAGTTATACAGGCAGAGGAGCATTGGAAGAAAAGTGGTGTTTAAGGAAGATTACTGTAAACTGGCAGCAGGCAAGAGTCCAGGACGTTTACCCTTCCACCAAGTTTTCCCAGCCTGCTCTAGCCATGCTATTATTTTACAAGCTCCTATACATATTATATAATATATAAGCAAGAATGGATGGATGGGTCAAAATAAAATGCTTCTATCAGCAAGTTCCCTTGATAAGACAGCAATGGTCAAAATTCACATGAAATAAAAAGATCTTGGATATGGTTTCTTCCCGGGACTTAGAACTTTAATATGTTAATGTACGTCTTGAGGTTCCAAAAAGGGCCTTATATTTCAAGGAATGCTGGTGTTTCAAGCAACAGAGTTTGGGAAACAACAAGGTAAATGATAATCTAATGCATTTAGGTAAGAGGTAAGTGAAAGTTAGAATATATGCTTGAGCAACATGTAACCATAATGGCTGTGGAGTCCCAGCTTTGAATATCTTGGAAGAATAGACAATTATCAATGTTCCTCCCTCTCAAATGATCCTTCTCAACACAGGTTGTGCTTGATGAATCTTTAAGAACAGAATCTTAGCAGGATTTTGTCAAATGCCTTTTCTTCATCTGTTGAGATAATCATGTTTTTCTCTTTTAGTGTATTAGCATGATGAATTCCATTGATTGATTTTCTAATGTTAAACCAATCCTACATTTTTCAGATGAACCCCACTTGGTTATGACGTACTATCCTTTTATCCCTTTAATATATTGTATTTGATACTCTAAAATTTTGTTTAGAATTTTTACATCTATGTTCATAAGGGATACTGGTTTGTAGTTTCCTTTGCTGTAATATCTTTGTATTTTCTGCTCTATTTTTGGAAATGTTTGAGTAAAATTGTTATTTATTCATTAAATGTTTGGGAGAATTTACCCTGAAGCCATCTGTGCTTGGAGTTTTCTTTTTGGGAAGATTATAAACTGTGATGTCCATTTCTTTAACAGATACACAGTTCATACCAATACCCTCAATTCCAGTCCAACACCACAAAGTCTATTCTAGTTTTCATCCTTTCCATACCTGTAACTCCCTACCCTGACAATGAGAAACCCCTCTCCCATCATCTTTCACGTACTTCCTTATTTGGTTAATGTCTCTATATATAACCCATCTTCTTTTGCCGCTGCTGCCTCTCCAATACAAGTGCCCTCTTCACCTCCCTTGGGGTCTGAAACTCTGCCAAGGGCAGCAAGTGCTACTTCCCCTTCTACCCCTCAATGCATGCCCTCCTTACACTACCCAGGCTGATACCATATGCCAGACTGCCCCCATTGCATGGTGATATGGCTTGGCTCTGTGTCCCCACCAAAATATCATGTTGAATTGTAATTCCCAATGTTGGGGGAGAGAACTGGTTGGAGGGGATTGGATCATGGGGACAGATTTCCCCCTTTCTGTTCTCATGATAGTGAGTTCTCACAAGATCTAATGGTTTAAAAGTATGTGGCACTTCCCCCTTCATTCTATCTCTCTCCTGCCACCATGTGAAGATATGCTTGCTTTCCTTTCATCCTTCTGCCATGATTGGCAGGAGGACTTCCTGAGGCCTCCCTAGCCATGTCTCCTGTACAGACTGTGGAACTGTGAGTCAATGAAACCTCTTTTCTTTAGAAATTACCTATTCTCAGGTAGTTCTTTATAGCAGTGTGAGAATGGGCTAATGCAGAAAATTGTTACCAGGGAATTGGGGTCTTGCTATAAAGATACCTGAATATGTGGAAACAACTTTGGAACTGGAGAATGGGCAGAGGATAGAACAGTTTAGAGGGATCAGAAGAAGACAGGAAGATGAGGGAAAGTTTGGAATGTCCAGGAGAGTTGTTGAGTGATTGTAACTAAAATGCTGATAGTGTTATGGACAGTGAATTCCAGGCTGAGGTACTCTCAGACAGAGATGAGGAACTTATTGGGAACTGGAGTAAAGGTCACTCATGCTATGCTTTAGCAAAGAGACTAGTGGCATTGTGCCCCTGCTCTAGAGATCTGTGAAACTTTGAACTTGGAAAGATTATTTAGGGTATCTGGTAGAAGAAATTTCTAAGCAGCAAAGCATTCAAGATGTGGCCTGGCTACTTCTAAAAGCTTGTGCTCATTTGCATAAACAAACAAATGACCTGAAACTCAAACTTATATTAAAAGGGGAAGCAGAGCATAAAAGTTTGGAAAATTTGCAGCCTGACCATGAGGTAGAAAAGAAAAATCCATTTTCTGGGGAGGAATTCAAGGCTGCAGAAATTTGCATAAGTAAAGAAGAGCTGAATGTTAATAGCCAAGACAATGGGGAAAATGCTTCCAGGGCATTTCAGAGACCTTCACAGCAGCCCTTCCCATCACAGGCCTGGAGGCTTAGGATGGAAAAATAGTTTCATGGGCCAGGTTGAAGGTCCCGTGCAGCCTTAAGACATGGTGCCCTGCATCCCAGATGCTTCAGCTCTAGCTTTGGCTAAAAGAAGTCAAGGTACAGCTCGGGCCATTGCTTCAGAGGGTGCAAGCCCAAGCCTTGGTGACTTCATGAGCCTGGGCCTGTGGGTGTGCAGAAGACAAGAGTTGAGGTTTGGGAGCCTCTGCCTAGATTTCAAGGGATGTATGGAAATGCCTGGATGCCCAGGCAGAAGTCTTGATATGGTTTGGCTCTGTGTCCCCACAAATCTCATCTCAAATTGTAATCCCCACGTGTTGAGGGAGGGAGGTGATTGCATTATGGAGGCAGTTTCCCTCATGCTATTCTCATGATAGTGAGGGATTCTCATGAGATCTGATGGTTTAAAAAGTGTGGCACGTCCTCACTTGGCACTTCTCTCTCCTGCTGCCATGTGAAGAAGGTCCTTGCTTCTCCACCTTCTATCATGATTGTAAGTTTCCTGAGCCCTCCCAGCCATATGGAACTGTGAGTCAATTCAACCTCTTTCCCTTATAAATTACCCAGTCTTGGATATTTCTTTATAGCAGTGTGAAAAATTGACTAATACAAGCCTGCTGGTATTACTCAATACAAGCAGCAGGGGTGGAGCCTTCATGGAGACCCTCTACTAGGGCAGTGCAGAGGGGTAAATGTGGCATTGGAGCCCTCACATAGAGTCCCCACTGGGACACTGCTTAGTGGAGCTGTGAGAAGGGGCCACCATCCTCCAGACCCCAGAATCAGATCCATCAACAACTTGCACCATGCACCTGGAAAAGCCACAGGCATTCAATGCTGGTCAGTGAAAGCAGCCACAGGGACTGTACCCTGCAGATCCACAGGGGCAGAGCTACTCAACGCCTTGGGAGCCCACCCCTTGCATCAATGTAGCCTGGATGTGAGACATGGAGTCAAAGGAAATCATTTTGGAGCTTTAAGATTTAGTGACTGCCCTGCTGGATTTCAGACTTGCATGGGGCCTGTAGCCCCTTTGTTTTGGCCAATTTCTCCCTTTTGGAATGGGAGCATTTACCCAATGCTTGTCTCCCCAGGAATTAACTAACTTGCTTTTGATTTTATAGGCCGATAGGCAGAAGGAAGTTTCCTTCTCTCAGATGAAACTTTGGACTTGGACTTTTGAGTTAATGCTGGAATGAATTAAAACTTTGAGGGACTATTGGGTAGCCATGATTGTGTTTGGAAATGTGAGAAGGACATGAGATTTGGGAGAGGCCAGGGCAGAATGATATAGTTTGTCTCTGTGTCCCTACCCAAATCTCATGTTGAATTGTAATTCCCAGTGTTGGGGGAGGGATCTGGTGGGAGAGGATTGGATCATGGGGGCAGATTTCCCCCTTGCTGTTCTTATGATAGTGAATTCTCACAATATCTGATGGTTTAAAAGTGAGTGGCACTTCCCCCTTTGCTCTCTCTCTCCTGCTGCCATGTGAAAATGTGCTTGCTTTCTTTTTACCCTTCCACCATGATTGTAAGTTTCCTGAGGAAACTTGTACAGCCTGTGGAACTGAGTCAATGAAACCTCTTTTCTTTATAAATTACCCAGTCTCAGGTAGTCCTTTATAGCAGTGTGAGAATAGACTAATACACATGGACACCCTCCTCACTTTCTCCTCTCTTCCTGCCAACTGAGTCTGTGTTGTTCAATTTAAACTGTTTTATTCAATGTATCTGTACATAACTGGCAAATAATAAATATGTAATCAATGACTTAAAAACTACATTTTTAATGGACATGTTCTATATTGGACTTTGAAGAAGATATTATTGAACTACCTGAGTGTATACTCGAGCTCTGCTGTTGCCTAACTGTGCAGCCATGGAGAAATTAAATCAACTTTTTAATATTTCTGTGTCCTCATCTGTTAAGTGGGATGATAATATAAATAATTATAAGATAATATTAATGAAGATAGATTACACGTGATGCCTACTATGCACCAGGTGCCATACTAAGGACTTGACATATATTAGGTCATATAATCTCCAAAATGGTTTTTTGGAGGACATGCTATTATATTCATATTACAGAAGAGACAGTTGTCGTTTGATGTAGTGCCAGTATCTCATTTTTCAGATGAGGAAACAAAGCACAAAGAAATAATTTATTCAAGATCACATAACTAATAACTGGCATGGCTGTAATCCAGACACTATGCCTCCAGAAAACAATTCTGACACATATGAAAATTCCTAGTACAGTGCTTGCTACACAGTGGGTGCTAGTAAGTAATAATTATGTTAATGGATAAAGTGATTAATTATAATATGTCTGAATCACTATTATCAGGTCTATGACACAGGAAGAATCATGGCACTGTCCAATTGGAGTGGGGAGGATGATCCATTTTTAGCCTGAACACAATTGGCAATAATTTTATTAACTCGTTGGAGGTTAAAGTTCTCTCTATTTATTGCAGGTTGGTAAAGGAGGCATTATTACATAGAAAGAAGACACAGACTCAGAAATAGGTTATGTACTTCAATCTAAAAGGAAAAGATGGGAAAAAATTCTAGTTGATAGAAGATAAGAAAAAGAACTAATGGCACCCTAGAGATATTATAATAAACGAAAGACATCAAAGCTGGACGAAGTAGCCCAGTGGCTTCAAGGAGAACAATAGAAGCTTGAAAAACATCTATCAATCCAGATCAGCATTTAATAAGAGCCAAAAGCCCACAGATCCATTAATTTAATGAACCTGTGAACCTGGAACATTATAGGTGCTCAATATATGTTTGTTGAATTGATCTGACAATCCTTTAAAAAGCTTAAGTCAAATTTCTAGTTAAAGGCACACGTATAATAAAAGGGAGAACAGGAAAGAAGAAAACAGCCTCAAAATTTTGGACTTAGTGTACTGGAGAAAGCAGATTTTTAAACTGTTAGTGAGGAAAGCGGAGCAGAAACTCAATTTACATTATAAAATCCCCCAAGACCCAGGTATTTCTGGAAAGTGAGGGTGAAGATGAGGTTAAGGCTTCAATGACAGTGTGTTAATGAAGCAATTATTCTTTTATCCTTTTCCCACTTTGTACAGCAACTGCCCCTGACCCTCTCAGCTCCTAGACAGCTGGCTGTCAAACCAAAATGCTGCTGGCAGAAAAATAGAAATCTTATTGCAGGGACAGAAAAGAACTCAGACCCTGACATCAGGAACTCCTCAAGGAATAACATGTTGACCTTGGGCATCCCCCAAGGGATGGGCCCAGCTAAATTGCCCTACAGTGAAGACTATAGCCAACAAGCTATATGCACATGCACAGAGTTTCTAATCAGCTTTCTGGTGGACAACTTTTGGTTTCAGCAAAACAGCCAGAGAATACCAGAAGGGCAAGGAAAGCCTCTTGATATGACTGACACCAAACATACTTGGAAGAAATGGAGGCACATCCGGGAGATGTGCACCATCAAGTTCAGAAACATAAGAGAAGTTGTTACCTTCATTAAAAAAGATCAGAGTGCTATGTTTAAAAAAAAAAAAAATCACAGAACCAAAAAAAAAAAAAAAAAAAAGCTTTTGGAAGTTAAAATTGCAGTAGCAAATATAAAGGGAGTTTAGATAAAATAGGAGATACATATTGAAGGCAGAATTTAGTAAATATTGCAGAAGGTAAAATTATAAAAACACAAATATATGGAAAGTAGGAGAGAAAAAATAAGAAAATGGGAAGACCAATCCAGAAGATTTGATACCTAAATAATAGGAGCTCTAGAAAGAGGAAACAGAGAAAATAAAGGCAAGGAAAGTATACAGAGTAATTTAAGAGGATTCCTCAGAGCTGAAAGCCATGTTTACCCAGCACAATGGTCTAAAATAGATCCACATCATTTCATATCATCATGATGTTTCAGAGCATCATGGATGGAAAGGAAATCCCACAATCTCCAGAGATATGGGGAAAAAAGTTTCATAACAGGATCAAGAATCAGAATAGCACCATATTTCTCAAAACACAGCAGTAGAAGTGATAGGACAATGAAAAAGTGCCTTCAAACTTGTGAAGGAAAATGATGTTTCCAATTTCAATTCCATGCCAATCCAAAAGTGTGAGGGCAGAATGAAGATCTCTAAAAGTCTATTTCCCTTGCACTCTTTCTCTAGAAGCTACAGGAGGATGTGCTCCACCAAAACAAGGATGTAAGGCAAGAAAGAGGAAGAACTGGGACCCAAGAAACAGAGACAAGGAGAGTCTCTAGGATGGAGAAAGGAGACCTCAAGGTGACAGCAGTACCTAGAAAACATGCCTGGGATGGAACAGGTCAGAAGTCTCCAGGAAGAATTTCTTCAGGAAGATGAAATTGATCAAACACATATTTTAAATATCTCAAGAGGAAATTTGCACACTTTGGGAAGGATTTCCATTAAATTACCTACAAATTTATTTTAAAAAGTAAGCAAATCTACAAAAAGACCATGATTACATTCAGAGGATTGTATCACCTTAATCTGTTAGAGGACTGAGAAAGTTTCAGGAGAGTTCCAATCTTTGTGAGGGCTAGTCTATTTCCAGTTCACTCTTTATTTCTAGGATTTAGCTTTTAATGATCTCAGTCTAAAACCTGGGGAATATCCTATGCTCTATCCTAGTGGACACTGAACTCCAATTTTGTCCTGTTGGCCTTTTGAGTCCATCAAAGCTTTGCTCAGTTATTCAGCCACCTCTTCTAAAATCAGCAGTAACTAAGGTGAATACAGCCTCAAATTTCCAGCGCACCTCTCTGCGTTTCTTACTTCTTCCTGATCATGATCTTTCTTCACTGTTTTGTTATCTCTCTGATAATTTCAAGCAAATTTTAAAAATATTTTGTCTAGTTTTTCAACTTGTTCTCAGTGAAAGGGTTGGTTCTAATTACAAAGTTTGCCATTCAAGTGAACCCCCAAAACTTACTTAAAACATTTTCAATAGTTTTTGGGGTACAGGTGGTTTTTGGTTAAGTAAGTAAGTTCTTTATTGGTGATTTCTAGAATTTTGGTGCACCTGTCACCTAAGCAGTGTACCCTGTACCAAATGTGTAGTCTTTTATCCCTCACCCTGCTCTCACTCTTATCCTCAAGTCTCCAAGGTCCATTACATTATCCTTATACCTTTGCATCCTCACAGCTTAGCCCCCACTTATACGTGAGAACATGTGATGTTTGGTTTTCCATTCCTGAGTTACTTCACCTAGAATAATGGCCTCTAGCTCCAACCAAGTCACTGCAAATGCCATTATTTCATTCCATTTTATGACTGAGTATGAGTAGTCTATATACCACTTTTTTTTCCTTTTTTTTTGATGGAGTCTTGCTCTGTTGCCCAGGCTGGAGTGCAGTGCCACAATCTTGACTCACTGCAACCTCTGTCTCCCAGGTTCAAGCGATTCTCCTGCTTCAGCCTCTCGAGTAGCTGGTACTACAGGCACGTGCTACCTCGCCTGGCTAATTTTTGTATTTTTAGTGAGATGAGGTTTCACCTTGTTGGCCAGTCTGGTCTTGAACTCCTGACCTCAGGTGATACACCCCCACCTTGGCCTCCCAAAGTGCTAGGATTACAGGCATGAGCCACCGTGCCTGTCCTATATGCCACATTTTTTTAACCACTCATTGGTTGATGGGCATTTAGGTTGGCTCCATATTTTTGCAATTGGTGAATTGTGCTGCTATATATATGTGTGCATGTCTTCTTCATATAATGACTTTTTTGGGGGAGGTCCAAAACATACTTTTCATCTACTAACTCTGTGTATCCCTATATGTAGGAATATATGTAGATGCAATAAAGTTATATAAAAAGGAAAGTAAGGGCCGGGTGCAGTGGCTCACACCTGTAATCCCAGCCTGAGCAAGAGTGATTAAAAAAAAAAAAAAAAAAAAGGTAAGTAAGGACATGATAAAAACAAGATAGGCTGTGTGTGAGGAGAAGATGGTAGATGAAGGTTATTTCCAAGTCTCTAGGTTTCATCTGAGATGTCGGGTCAAGGGAGCTAATTACATTATTTAAATATTTTAGTTAAATATTATAACTAAAAGAAGTTCATACATAAACCAATGATAAGTATATGTTATAAATTATAATTAATCCAAATCTGTGTATCTCAGTTTCAATAAAAAGAAAAAACTTATGCAGGAAAGGAAATATAGTATATTATGTGGCACAGGTGAGGATAGCATTTAAGTAATGTGAATGAATACTGAATGGTGATCTAACTAAAATTGTCCATAGAGCCAAAATTTAAAATTAAAAGTGTGTATTTATGTGGATGAACAGGATGCAAAAGATAAGCAAATCTTCATCTTCTATACTGGGAAATCAGCAGATAATGGCTAAAATGGAAAAGTGAAGAAATCATATAATAATCATTATTTGAAGTAAAAACGTAAAGAAAGAGAATCTGCTACCAGGGTTCAAAATGGTTGCCTGGAGGTACAGTGGTGGAGTTGGGAGTGAGAAAATAAGTTGATATTTATTTATAACAAGATTGTTAAGGTTGTTTGACTCCCTAAACTGCTTATAAAATCGGTAAATTTAGTTAAAATAAAAATTAAAAATAATTTTTAAACAATATCAGAACTAACTAAAAATAAAAGAAATATGTAGTACAAAATAATGAAAACTCATATCTGAGTATACTTTGCCTAAAACTTATCCTATCAATTAATCTATTATTTCAACCAATTGGTTTTCAGCCAATTCCTTTACTCTTTTTCACATGGCAAAAGTATGCTATGCCTGCTTTCAATTAAAAAAAAAAAGCTGAAGAAAGTATGTGCGGTTCATCTGCATGGATTTTTTAATTTTTTTTATTTGAATTTAATTTAATTTAATTTTAGGTTCCAGGATGCATGTGCAGGACATGCAGGTTTGTTACATAGATAAACATGTGCCATGGTGATTTGTTGCACTTATCAACCCATTAGTTAAGTATTAAGCCCTGCATGCATTAACTATTTATCCTGATGCTCTCCACCCCCACCACCAACAGGCCCCAGTGTGTGTTGTTCCCCTCCTTGCGTCCATGTGTTCTCCTTGTTCAGCTCCCACTTATAAGTGAGAACATGTGATGTTTGGTTTTCTGTTCCTGTGTTGGTTTGCTGAACATAATGGCTTCCAACTCCATCCATGTCCCTGCAAAGGACATGATCTTGTTCCGTTTTATGGCTGCATAGTATTCCATTGTGTATATGTACCACATTTTCTTTATCCAGTCTATCATTGATAGGCATTTGGATTGATTCCGTGTCTTTGCTATTGTGATTAGTGCTGCAGTGAACATACACATGCATGTATCTTTACAATAGAATGATTTATATCCCTTTGGGTATATACCCAGTGACGAGATTGCTGTGTCAAATGGTATTTCTGGTTCCAGGTCTTTGAGGAATTGCCATGCCATCTTCCACAATGGTTGAACTAATTTACATTCTCACCAACAGTGTAAAAGCATTCCTGTTTCTCCACAGCCTCACCAGCATCTGTTGTTCCTTGACTTTTTGATAATGGCCATTCTGACTGGTGTGTGATGGTATCTCATTGTGGTTTTGATTTGCATTTCTCTAATGATCAGTGATGTTGAGCTTTTTTTCATGTTTGTGGGATACATAAATGTCTTCCTTTGAGAAATGTCTGTTCATGTCCTTTGCCCACTTTTTAATGCAGTTTTTTTTACTTATAAATTTGTTTAATTTACAAGTAAATTCTGAATATTAGACCTTTGTCAGATGGATAGATTGCAAAAGTTTTCTCCCATTCTGCAGGTTGTCTGTTCAGTCTGATGATAGTTTCTTTTGCTGTGCAGAAGCTCTTTAGTTTAATTAGATCATATTTGTCAAGTTTTGCTTTTGTTGCAATTGCTTTTGATGTTTTCATCCTGAAATCTTTGGCTGTGCCTATCTCCTGAGTGGTATTGCCTAGATTTTCTTCTAGGGTTTTTATAATTTAGGGTTTTACATTGAAGTCTTTAATTCATTTTGAGTTAATGTTTGGATAAAGTGTAAGGAATGGCTTCAGTTTCAGGCTTCTGCATGTGGCTAGCCAGTTCTCCCAGCACCATTTATTAAATAGGGAATCCTTTCTCTATTGCTCATTTTTGTCAGGTTTGTCAAAGATCAGATGGTTGTAGATGTGCAGTCTTATTTCTGAGTTCTGTATTCTGTTCCATTGGTCTATGTGTCTGTTTTTGTACCAGTACCGTGCTGTTTTGTTTGAAGTTGGGTAGCATGATGCTTCCAGCTTTCTTCTTTTTGCTTAGGAGTGTCTTGGCTATATGGGCTCTTTTTTGGTTTCATATGAATTTTAAAGTAGTTTTTGCTAATTCTGTGAAGAATGTCAATGGTAGTTTAATGGGAATAGCAATGAATCTATAAATTACTTTGGGCAGTAAGGCCATTTTCATGATATTGATTTTTCCTATCGATGAGTTTTTCGATTTGTTTGTGTCTTCTCTGATTTCCTTGAGTAGTGGTTTGTAGTTCTCCTTGAAGAGGTCCTTCACTTCCCTTGTTAACTGTATTCTCTTTGTAGCAATTGTGAATGGGAGTTCATTCATGTTTGGGCTCTCTGCTTGTCTGTTGTTGGCATATAGGAATGCTTGTGATTTTTGCACATTGATTTTGTATCCTGAGACTTCGCTGCAGTTGCTTATCAGCTTAAGAATCTTTGGGCTGAGACGATGGGGTTTTCTAGACACAGAATCACGTTATCTGCAAACAGTTTGACTTCCTCTCTTTCTATATGAATACATTTTATCTCTTTCTCCTGCCTGATTGCCCTGGCTAGAACTTCCGATACTATGTTGAGTAGGAGTGGTGAGAGAGGCCATCCTTGTCTTGTGCTGTTTTCAAGGTGAATGCTTCCAGCTATTGCCCATTCAATATGATATTAGCTGTGGGTTTCTCATAAATGGCTCTTATTATTTTGAGGTATGTTCCATCAATACCTAGTTTATTGAGAGTTTTTAACACGAAGGGATTTTGAATTTTATCAAAGGCCTTTTCTGCGCCTATTGAGATAATCATGTGGTTTTTGTCTTTAGTTCTGTTTATGTGATGAATTATGTTTATTGATTTGTGTATGTTGAACCAGCCTTGTATCCTGGGGATGAAGCCGACTTGATCGTGGTGGATCAGCTTTTTGATGTGCTACTGGATTTGGTTTGCTAGTATTTTATTGAGGGTTTTTGCATCAATATTCATTAGGGATATTGGCCTGAAGTTTTCTTTTTTGTTGTATCTCTGCCAGGATTTGGTATCAGGATCATGCTGGCCTCATAAAATGGGTTTTCAGTGGTTTGGAATAGTTTCAGAAAAAAATGGTACCAGCTTCTTTTTGTATCTCTGATAGAACTCAGCTGTAAATCTGTCTGGTCCTGGACTTTTTTTGGTTGGTAGGCTATTTATTACTGCCTGAACTTCAGAACTCATTATTGGGCTATTCAAGAATTCACCTTCTTCCTGGCTCAGTCTTGGGAGGGTGTATATGTCCAGGAATTTCTCCCTTTCTTCTAGATTTTCTAGTTTATTTACATAGAGGTGTTTATAGCATTCTCTGATGATTGTTTGTATTTCTGTGGGGTCAGTGGTGATATCCCCTTTATAATTTTTTATCGTGTCTACTTGATTCTTCTCTTTTCTTCTTTATTAGTCTAGCTAGCAGTCTATCCATTTTATTAATTTTTTCAAAAAAGAGCTCCTGGATTTGTTAATTTTTCAAAGGGTTTTTCATGTCTCTTTCTCCTTCAGTGCCACTCTGATCTTGGTTATTTCTTGTCTTCTGCTAGCTTTGGGGTATGTTTGCTCTTGATTCTCTAGTTCTTTTAATTGTGATGTTAGGGTGTCAATTTGAGATCTTTCTAGTCTTTGATGTGGGCATTTAGTGCTATAAACTTTCCTCTTAACACTGCTTTAGCCATGTCCCAGAGATTCTGGTGGATTGTCTCTTTGTTGTCAGTGGTTTCAAAGAACTTCTTGATTTCTGCTTTAATTTTATTATTTACCCAGGAGTCATTCAGGAGCAGTTGTTCAATTTCCATGTAATTGTGTGGTTTTGAGTGAGTTTCTTAATCTTGAGTTCTAATTTGATTGTGCTGTGTTCTGAGAGACTGTCGTGATTTCAGTTCATCAAAAAAAAGATTATTTTGCTTTTGCTGAGGAGTGTTTTACTTCCAATTATGTGATCGATTTTAGAGTACGTGACATGTGGCACTGAGAGGAATGCATATTCTCTTGTTTTGGGGTGGAGAGTTCTGTGCATATCTATCAGGTCCACTTGATCCAGGGCTGAGTTTAAGACCTGAATATCTTTGTTAATTTTCTATCTCAATAATTTGTCTAATGTTGATAATGGGGTGTTAAAGTCTCCCACTATTATCATGTGGGAGTGTAAGTCTCTTTGTATGTCTCTAATAATTTGTTTTATGAATCTAGGGTCTCCTTTATTGGGTGCATATGTATTTAAAATAGCTCTTCCTGTTGAATTGAACCCTTTACCATTATGTAATGCCCTTCTTTGTCTTTTTCAATCTTTGTCGGTTTAAAATCTGTTTTGTCAGAAACTAAGATTGCAATCCTTGCTTTTATCTGCTTTCCATTTGGTTGGTAAATTATCCTCTATCCCTTTATTTTGAGCCTATGTGTGTCTTTGCACATGTGTCTCTTGAATACAGCACACTAATGGGTCTTGACTGTTTATGCAGCTTGCCGTTCTGTGTCTTCTCATTGGGGCACTTAACCCATTTACATTTAAGGTTAATATTGTTATCTGTGAATTTGATTGTGTCATCATGATTCTAGCTGGTTATTTTGCAGACTTGTTAATGTAGTTCCTTTATAGTGCTATTGGTCTTTGCACTTCAGTGTATTTTTGTGGTGGCTGGTAATGTTTTTTCCTTTCCATATTTAGTGCTTCCTTCAGGAGCTCTTGCAGGGCAGGCCTGGTGGTGATAAATTCCCTCAGCATTTGGCTGTCTGAAAAGGATTTTATTTCTCCTTCACTTATGAAACTTAGTTTGGCCAGATATGAAATTCTGGGTTGGAAATTCTTTTCTTTAAGAATGTTGAATGTTGACCCCCAATCTCTTCTGGCTTGTAGGGTTTCTGCTGAGAGGTCCACTGTTAGTCTGATGGGCTTCCCTTTATAGGTTGCCCGGTCTTTCTCTCTGGCTGCCCTTAGCTTTTTTTTCTTCATTTTAACCTTGGAAAATCTGATGATTATGTGTCTTGGGATTGATCTTCCCATGGAGTATCTTAATGGGGTTCTCTGGATTTTGTAAATTTGAATGTTAACCTGTCTTGCTAGGTTGGGGAAGTTCTCCTGAATGATATCCTGAAGTATGTTTTCCAACTTGGTTTCGTTCTCCCTGTCTCTTTCAGGTACCCCAATCAGTCGTAGTTTCAGTCTTTTTACATAATCCCATAGTTCTCGGAAGTTTTGTTCATTCCTTTTCATTGTTTTCTTGTCTGCTGTCTTATTTCAGTAAGATAGTCTTCAAGCTCTGAAATTCTTTCCTCTGCCTGTTCTATTTGGCTACTGATACTTGCAGTTGCATTGTGAAGTTCTTGTGTCGGGTTTTTCAGCTCCATCAGGTCATTTATATTCCACTCTAAACTGGTTATGCTGGTTAACAGCTTCTGTAATGTTTTATCATGGTTCTCAGCTTCTCTGCATTGGGTTAGGATATGCCCCTTTAGCTTAACAAAGTTCATTATTACACGTCTTCTGAAGCCTACTTCTGTCAATTCATCCATTTCAGCCTCCTCCTAGTTCTGTGCCCTTGCTAGAGAGGTATTGCAATCACTTGGAGAAGAATAAGCACTCTGGCCTTTTGAGTTTTCAGCATTTTTTGTTGTTGTTGTTGATTCTTTCTCATCTTTCTGAGTTTATCTAGCTTTGATCTTTGAGGCTCCTGACCTTTGAGTGGGGTTCTTGTGGGGACTTTTTTGTTGATGCTCTTGTTGCTTTCTGTTTGTTTTTCTTTTAACAGTCAGAATGCTCTTCTGTAGGGCTGCTTCAGTTTGCTGGGAGTCTACTCCAGACCCTGTTTGCCTGGGTCCCTCCCACACCTGGAGGTGTCACCAGTGGAGGCTACAGAACAGCAAAGAAGACTGCCTGCTCCTTCCTCTGGGAGCTCTGTCCCAGAGGGGCACCACCCTGATGCCAGTGGGAATGCCCCTGTATAGGGCGTCTGGCATATCCTGTTGTGGGGGTCTCACCCAGTCAGGAGACATGGGATCAGAGACCCGCTTAACAAAGCACTCTAGCTGCTCCTCAGTGGAGAGGGTGTGCTGTGCTGGGGAAATCCCACTCATCCAGACTGCCCTGACTCCTCAGAGACACCAGGCGGAAAGACTAAGTCTGCTGATCCGCAGAGACCATGGCTGCCCTTCCCCTACGAGGCTCTGTCCCAGGGAGATGTGAGTTCTGACTATAAACCCCTGGCCTGAGTAGCTAAAATTCCCACAAGGAGGCCCCACTGGTTGAGGAGGGACGGGTAAGGGTCTGGCCTAAAGAGTCAGTCTGGCCATGATCTGCCACAGCCACTGTGCTGTGCTGTGGGGAATTCCTCCTGGGTCCAAACCACCCAATCTCCCCAGCATCCACAGGGGAAAACCAGCAGACTGGAGCTGCAGTGGTGGCTGCTGCCCCTCCCACTGGGAGCTCAGTCATCTTAGGCAGCAGGAAGCCACAGTGATAATGGCCACCCTTCCCCCTGGGAGCTCAGTTGGTCTTAGGCAGCAAGCAGCTGCAGTGATGACAGCCGCCCAAGCCCCTGGGAACTTGGTAGTCTTAGTCAGCCTCCAGCCGAAATGTCCGCTGAGAACCTGCACAGCTCTGTGCTGGGAACCAAAGCCCTGGTGGTGTGGGCTCATGAGAGGGGGTATCGTGATCTGTGGGTTGCAGAGATCTGTGGAAAATGTGTGGTTTTCCCAGGCCGTGTAGCACAATCACTCACCGCATCTCTTGGCTGGGGTTGGGAGCTCCCCTTCCCCTGTGCAGCTCCTGAGTGGGCCATCACTCCACCCTGCTTTTCCTTGCTCTCCGTGGGTCACGCCAACTGCCTAGTTAGTCCCAGTGAAAGAACCTGGATACCTCAGTTGCTGGTACAGGATTCACTTGCCATTTTCGTTCTCAGTGGGAGCCTCTGACAGCAGCTGTTTCTGTTTGGCTATCTTGGCCCCTCCCCCAGCACAGATTTTTATAAAACTAATGGCTATAGTGCACAGTCCTAAGATTCCGAAAAGAGGTTAAACTTTTATTTGGGAATAATACACTGAAAAGACAGGTACGATGTTGTTCTGATTGAAAAAGCTCCATAAAATAATTGAACACGTACTATTAGGTAAACTGAAAACTAGAAAAATTATTATCTAAATGATGTAACATTATTAAGCACTGTGACAAGGATTCTAGCAAAACTGCAAAAAATCCTGTTCCGCACTTCTGGTATAAAATATCTTTTTGTTCAGGCATGATGGGGCACTGTGTCTGCTAGCCATAGTCGGCATGTTTTATCTTCTAGTTAACGTATATCAAACCCAGCACTCAAATACAACTTTCCAGATCCTGGATGTGACAGTGAAGCACTGTTCAGAGCCCATTTTCTTTGGCCATTGATCTCAGATGCACCCTGAAACAAAAGTATTTACAACAACAATGAAAGATGAGTTTGCATGGAACATTTAAACTTTATGTTCTTTAGTTTTGCCACCTCTAAAATGAGAATAATCATTTTAGCTTACCTATTAGAGTTGTTCCAAAAAGTACTTAAGATGATTGTGAAAGACAATCACCTTAAAGAAAAAAGGACTACTTGATGGTTACATATTACAATAAGCACAAAAGAAAAGTGGACTTAAGTTTCATATCAGGGTAGGAACAGGATGGTTTCAGCTTTTGAGAGTATCATGAGTAGGTGTCATTTAACTGAATGAATGGAATGAACCATGTGTATTATATAAATAAGCATATACATATTTTATAATCTTGTGATATTTACCAGATACTTGTTATCTACTAGTTCTTTGTAAAATACAAAATATGTGTATATTTTTGTGTTGACCTATACACAAAACTCTAATTCAGGACTTTAGATATAGCCAACGAAACAGCTACTTTCAGCTCCCACAAAAGTAAATGAATATACAACGTATTTTGCCAGTACCATAAGCAATGAGTCAACAGGCCCCATAACATTTTTTGGTTACATGTTTTGAGTGACCACATTTTGAGTTACAGGGATTACAGATCTCATGGCCATAAAAAGTAATAACACTCCCACCCCATCAGTTATTGCATTTATATCTAGCTTATTCATTTCTGCCTCCACATTGGGTAACTAGGGAAACAATGATGTCACTGCTCAGTGTGGTACTTAGAAACTTCTTTAATTAGGCTTATGGTTGGGGAAGCCTACAGTCATTTAATGAGTCTCACCTCTACCACTGCAATAAACTCATAGAACTTTTATTTTTCCGGGCTGCTGATAGGGGAAAGATTATAATTCTATCTAATGCATTGTTTTGGAAAAAATATGTATTCTAAAGCATATTTTTACTGAAAAATCATCTGTGTGTTTGCAACAGGAGTTTTTTGATGTACATTGACAACATTGAGGCAATTATATGACCCAAATTAAATGTTCCTTGTGGGACCGTGGTCCTTTGAGCAGTCATCCTTCCCCTGGCCCTTCCTGGCACCTAGCTTTTGGTCTGAGAGGCTGGGTTTCCATTTTGCTCTTCTTTATTATGATTTTTCCTACTCTGTCATGTTGGTAACAGCAAGTTTTAAAAAATAAACAGTATCTGAATGTAAAAGCCACCTGCCCCCAAAATGGGATAGAAATTAAATATCAGTCTTTCTAGTAAAATAAATAAATGGTCACTCAGTACAGCTCAGCCATCACTTGCTTAATATGTTTGATATAGTTTGGATATTTGTTTCCTCCAAGTCTCATGTTGAAATTTGATCCCCAGTGTTGGAGGTGGGACCTGGTGGGAGGTGTTTGGATCATAACGACAGATACCTCATGAATGGCTCAGTTCCATCCTTGTGATAATGAATGAGTTCCTACTGTATTAGTCTCTGTGAGAACTGATTGTCTAAAAGAGCATGGCACCTTCTCCTCTCTCTCTTTTCTCCTCTCTCACTGTTAGATGCCTGTTCCCCCTACTCTTCCTCCGTGAGTGGAAGCTTCTTGAAGCCCTCACTAAAAGCAGATGCTGACATCATGCTTCTTGTACAGCACCCACAGGGGAAAACCAGCAGTAAAGGCTGCAGAACTATGAGCCAAATAAGCCTTTTTTTTTGATACATTACCCAGCCTTAGGTGTTCCTTTATAGCAATGCAAATGGATTAAGTCAATGTTTGTGTTCTTAATTTCCAAAATTATTTCCGTCATCTTATTTTTTCAAACTTTCTACACTCCCAACTGCCCTCCCTCAGCTGTTGACCTAATAATATAATTTGTTGAGAAAATGGAAGCAACCAGAGATGAATTCCATTATTTTCCCACCATCTAAGCCACACACCTACCTATATCCACACCTGTCTATACTCTACCTTCCCTCTGCCTCTATGAATGAAGGGTCCCTGTTCTGGGCAAAGGCCAACCCCTATCCTTGGGCTCAAGATCCTACCTGCTCTAATTCCCAATTTCCCCTCCCCATCTTGCATGTGTTTCTTCCTCTCTGTTGGGCATGCTTATCATTCCTATGGTCTACTGTCTCCCAACTTTAAAAAACCTTGCCTTGATCCAACCTACAGAATGGGAAAAAATTTTTGCAATCTACCCATCTGACAAAGAGCTAATATCTAAAATCTACAAAGAACTTAAACAAATTTATAAGAAAAAATCAACCCCATCAAAAAGTGGGCAAAGGATATGAACAGACAATTCTCAAAAGGAGACATTTATGCAGCCAATGGACACATGAAAAAATGCTCATCATCACTGGCCATCAGAGAAATGCAAATCAAACCACAATGAGATACTATCTCACACCAGTTAGAATGGCAATCATTTAAAAGTCAGGAAACAACAGATGCTGGAGAGGTTGTGGAGAAATAGGAACACTTTTACACTGTTGGTGGGAGTGTAAACTAGTTCAACCATTGTGGAAGACAGTGTGGTGATTCCTCAAGGATCTAGAACTAGAAATACCATTTGACCTAGCCATCCCATTACTGGGTATATAAAGCATGCTGCTATAAAAACACATGCACATGTATGTTTATTGCAGCACTATTCACAATAGCAAAGACTTGGAACCAACTCAAATGGCCATCAATGATAGACTGGATTAAGAAAATGTGGCACATATACCTCATGGAATACTATGCAGCCATTAAAAAAAGGATGAGTTCATGTCATTTGAAGGGACGTGGATGAAGCTGGAAACGGTTCTGAGCAAACTATTGCAAGGACAGAAAACCAAACACCACATGTTCTCACTCATAGGTGGGAATTGAACAATGAGAACACGTGGACGCAGGGCAGGGAACATCACACACTGGGGCCTGTCGTGGGGTAGGGGGCAGGGGGAAGGATAGCATTAGGAGAAATACCTAATGTAAATGACAAGTTAATGAGTGCAGCAAAGCAACATGGGACATGGATATATATGTAACAAACCTGCACTTTGTGCACATGTTTTCTAGAACTTAAAGTATAAAAATAAATAAATAAATAAATAAATAAAAATAAAAAAACCTTGCCTTGATCCTATGTAGGGTCAAGCTGTTGGCCCATATTTCTCCTCCCCAGTCACTGTCAAGTGCGATATATTTCAAAAGGGAGACAATAGCTGAGAAGTCAAAGGTCCACAGGATTTGGACCCTTGAAAGAATGTCTACCATTTGCTGTCTTCATTTCCCCATTTCCTATTCTCTTCAAACTCCTCATATTGAGTGTCTTCTCCACTGGAACTGCTCTTGTCAGGGTTCCCAGTAATCCAATCTAGTCACATCCTGTGGACCTTGGCCTCTTGGGAGCATTCAACACAAATTAATACTGTCTGGTTCTTGAAATATTGGTTCCCTCCAGCGCCTCTGCCCGGCCACCTCATCTGGGAAGTGAGGTGCCCCTCTGCCCGACTGCCCACCATCTGGCAAGTGAGGAGTGCCTTTGCCCAGCTGCCCACTGTCTGGGAAGTGAGGAGCACCTCTGCCCAGCCACCCCACCTGGGAAGTGAGGAGCACCTCTGTCCGGCCGCTGCCCCATCTGGGAAGTGAGGAGCACCTCTGCCTGGCTGCTGTGCAACTTTCCAAGTGTGAAGTGACAGCCTTGTGTGTGATTTTTCCTGTCTTCCTCAAGTTTGCATTTTTGACATTAAAGTTTACTTTTTAATTAAAAAAAAAAGAAAGAAATATTTGGTTCCCTCCTAAAACAGAGCCTGAGACAAAGACTTGTAGTCAGATGGTTTATTTGGAGAAGGATTCCAGGAAGCTGAAGTGAGAGGTTGTATTAGTCCATTTTCATGCTGCTGATAAAGACAATCTGAGACTTGGCAATTTACAAAAGAAAGAGGTTTAACGGACTTACAGTTCCATGTGGTTGGGGAGGCCTCACAATCATGGTGGAAGGCAAGAAAAAGCAAGTCACATCTTACATGGATGGCAGCAGGAAAAGAGAGAGCTTGTGCAGGGAAACTCCTGTTTTTAAAACCATCAGACCTCATGAGACTTACTTACTGTCATGAGAAGTGCATGGGAAAGACTCACCCCCATGATTCAATTATCTCCCACCAGGTCCCTCCCACAACACATGGAAATTATGGGAGCTACAGGATGAGATTTGTGGGGGACAGAGCCAAACCATATCATTCCACTCCTGGCCCCTCCCAAATCTCAAGTCCTCACATTTCAAAACCAGTCATGCCTTCCCAACAGTCCCCCAAAGTCTTAATTCATTTCAGCATTAACTCAAAAGTCCACCATCCAAAGTCTCATCTGAGACAAGGCAAGTCCCTTCCACCTATGATTCTGTAAAATCAAAGGCAAGTTAGTTACTTCCTAGATACAATGGGAGTACAGGCATTGGGGAACTACAGCCATTCCAAACAGGAGAAATTGGCCAAAACAAAGGGCCTATAGGCCCCATGCAAGTCCAAAATCCAGTGGGGCAGTCAAACCTTGAAGCTGCAAAATGATCTCCTTTGACTCCATGTCTCAAATCCAGGTCATGCTGATGCAAGAGGTGGGTTCCCATGGTCTTGGGCAGCTCTGCCCCTGTGGCTTTGCAGGGTACAGTCTCCCTCCTGCTGCTTTCATGAGCTAGCATTGAGTGTCTGTGGCTTTTCCAGGCATACAGTGCAAGCTGTTTGTGGATCTACCATTCTGGGGTCTGGAGAATGGTAGCCCTCTTCTCACAGCTCCACTAGGCAGTGCCCCAATAGGGACTTTGTGTGGTGGCTCCAACCCCACATTTCCCTTCTGCACTGCCCTAGCAGAGGTCCTCCATGAGAGCCCCCACTCTGCAGCAAACTTCTGCCTGGGCATCCAGGCATTTCCATACATCCTCTGAAATTTAGGCAGAGGTTCCCAAACCTCAATTATTGACTTCTGTGCACCTGCAGGCTCAACACCATGTGGAAAATTCCAAGGCTTGGGGCTTGCACCCTCTGAAGCCACAGCTCGACCTGTACCTTGCCCCTTTGAGTCACGGCTGGAGTGGCTGGGATGCAGGGCACCAAGTCCCTAGGCTGCACACAGCATGGGGACCCTTGGCCCAGCCCATGACCATTTTTTCTTTCTAGGCCTCAGGGCCTGTGATGGGGGATGCTGCTGCGAAGACCTCTGACATGCACTGGAGACATTTTCCCCATTGTCTTGGGAATTAGCATTTGGCTCCTTGTTACTTATGCACATTTCTGCAGCCAGCTTGAATTTCTCCTCAGAAAATGGAATTTTCTTTTCCATTGCATTGTCAGGCTGCAAATTTTCCAAATTTTTATACTCTGTTTCCCTTTTAAAACTAAACACCTTTAACAGCACCCAAGTCACCACTTGAATGCTTTGCTGCCTAGAAATTTCTTCTGCCAGATACCCTAAATCATCTCTCTCAAGTTCAAAGTTCCACAAATCTCTAGGGCAGGGGCAGAATGCTGCCAGTCTCTTTGCTAAAACATAACAAGAGTTATGTTCCCAACAAGTTCATCTCCACCTTAGACTACCTCAGCCTGGATTTCATGGTCCATTTCATTATCAGCATTTTGGTCAAAGCCATTCAACGAGTCTCTAGGAAGTTCCACACTTTCCCACATTTTCCTGTCTTCTGAGCCCTCCACACTGTTCCAACCTCTGCCTGTTACCCAGTTTCAGAGTCACTTCCACATTTTTGGGTATCTTTCAGGAGCACCCTACTCTACTGGTACCAATTTACTGTATCAGTCCATTTTCATGCTGTTGATAAAGACATGCATGAGACTGGGCAATTTACAAAAGAAAGCGGTTTAATGGACTTACAGTTCCACATGGCTGGGGAGGCCTCACAATCATGGTGGAAGGAAAGAAAAAGCAAGTCTTATCTTACGTGGGTGGCAGCAGGTAGAGAGAGAGCTTGTGCAGGGAAACTCCTGTTTTTAAAATCATCAGATCTCATGAGACTTATTTACTATCATGAGAACAGCATGGGAAAGACCCACCCTCATGATTCATTTATCTCCCACCAGATCCCTCCTACAACATGTGGGAATTATAGGAGCTACAGGATGAGATTTGGGTGGGGACACAGCCAACTATATCAGAGGTCATAGAGAAGAAAGGAAAGTCAATAAAAGGTCCTATTACGGAAGTGGCCACAGTTACAGGTGATTGGTGCAAGAAGTGATTAATTCATGAGACCCTGAAGAGTGTGATAAAATGTACCTTAGAACCATCTGCCTGGGGGATAGAAAGGGAAGCATGTATCTACTGGATCTCATTTCCCACAGCTCAGAGGTAGTCTCACAAGTGTTATCTTCTCAGTCTCAGTTCATGCACAAGTGTCAGCAGATTCCTATTTCATGGGTCAGATAAGCCCCAGGGCAGAAAGGGGGAGATGGCTGGTTTCTACCTGAGACAGGCACTTCCCATTTGTACCTGTATGAAGCTGTTAGAGCCTTCATGGGACATGTCACTGCAGCAGTGGCTGGAGACCAGCTTCCTGACACCACACTTATCAAGCACATGTAGAAGCCTTTTGTGCTGACTTCTCTGCTTCTCATCCCAATGTTGGCATTCTCCCATGGCTCTGTGCTGAAGCTGCTGCTTTTAAAAATCCAATCACTCTCACATGTGACCTCATTCTGTTCCATAGATGTAAATGTATCTATTTGACTCCCAAATCTACCCTAATCTCTACTTAGAACTCCAGACTTCAGTATCTACTAATAGTCTGCTTGACAGATGTGCAAATGGAGTCTAAGATGCATCTTAAACTGAATATGGCAAAAACAGATTAGTTGTTCTTCCAACATCACCACCACTGCTGCCACCCAAAACCTTCTCTATCCCCAGTCTTCAGAGGATCAGCATCCATCAAGTGTTGAAAAGCAAATTTAGAAGTTAGCCCTTATTCCTATATTTCCCTCATCCCCATATCAGCAAGTCCTGGGAATGCATCCTAGAAGCCATATCCTCCCCTTCTCCCCATCTCTGCTACCACTGCCTAGCCCAAGCCATCAGCTCTCACCTGACCCTACGATAGCTTCTTAATGCTCCGTTCTTCCCACAAAGCTTTCAGTTACTAAAGAAATATGTTCTAATTACATATTCTTAATGTTTGCTTACAAAGTTATCTCTCTGTCAAACTTTCAAACTTTTTCATTACTGAAATAAAACCATTTATGATGTTTCTTAACGAGAGCATGCTAACATTTGCCTATTTCTATTCCCCCATTTTTTATGCTTGAACTATGTTTACATTGTCAAAGCAAATAACTATTACATATCTTTTAACCTTTATTAGTTCTTAGTACTTATTTAGTCTTAGTTCTACAAGTAACCATGAATCTATTGCTCATCATCAGCCCTTGTGTAATATCTCTGAGTTATTGTTGTCTGAAGTTTATTCTCTAGTACAGCAGTCCCCAACCTTTTTGGCACCAGGGACCAATTTCATGGAAGACAATTTTTCCATGAACAGAGAGATTAGGGGATGGCTTCGGGATGAAACTGTTCCACCTCAGATCATCAGGCATTAGATTCTCATAAGGAACCCACAATCTAGATGCCTCACATGAGCAGTTCACTAAACGGTTCATGCTGCTATGAGAGATTAATGCCACTGCTGATCAGACAGGAGGCGGAGCTCAGGCAGTAATGCTCGCTCACCTGCTGCTCACCTCCTGCTGTGCAGCCTGGTTCCTAACAGGCCATGGACCAGTCCCAGGGTCTGTGGACCCCCAGGTTGGAGATCCCTGCTCTAGTAGATTCCTAAAGAATCACTTATGGGAATGACATTCTTTGAGTTGTCACATATTGATACTAGTTTGTGCCCTTTGTAGTGAAAAATATGTTTTTGCTAGATTTAAATCTTTGGCTTATATTTTCTTTTCTTGTCTTAAATATGTTACTCCATTTTTTCCTGCCACAAAGCATTGCTAGAAATGTTTGATTGATTATGTGTAATCTAATTTTCTTTTTTGGGGAAGAGAGGGTAGATGCTCAAATAATTGTTTCTTTTTATCTGAAGACTACTAAGCTTAAAATGTAGTTTCAAATATTTGTCTGCTTTAGGAATTTTTTTATTTATACTTTTTAGTGTTTGTTCTGTTGCCTTGTTTTTCTTCTTCAAGAATTTCTATTATCCATATATTGGATCTCCTTTGACTGTTTTCAGTATCTGTCATTTTTTCTCAAATACTTTTTATTTCTTTCTTCCTTTTATTTAAAAATAAACTTCCCCTTTCACTTTCTATTCTTTTTAAGGTGTTTTATTTTCTTTTTATTTTCATGCTCCTTTTATTTTATTCTTCATTTCAAAAGTGATTGTTTAATTTCTGTTTCTTTCTCAAGTTTTGTCACCTCATTTTTCTACTTCTGATTTATGTTGCTCTGTTATGTTTTATTTTCTTAATATCTTTTAGATCATTTTGAAGTAATAGGTTGGCCTGGCACAGTGGCTTACACCTGTAATCCCAGCACTTTGGGAAGGCCGAGGCAGGCAGATCACGAGGTCAGGAGATAGAGATCATCCTGACCAACATGGTGAAACCCCGCCTCTACTAAAATACAAAAATTAGCAGGCGTGGTGGTGGGCACCTGTAATCCCAGCTACTTGGGAGGCTGAGGCAGGGTAATCACTTGAACCTAGAGGCGGAGGTTGCAGTGAGCCAAGATTGTGCCACTGCACTCAAGCCTGGGCGACAGAGCAAGACTCCATCTGAAAAAAAAAGAAAAAGAAGAGAAGAGAAGAGAAATAATAGGTTAATGTTTATCTATTTTATGGGCATGTCTTTCTGAAATCCTCTCACTGACTAGGAATGTTATTCTCCTCCTTATTCTATTTTTTTTTTAATAACAGCATGAAATCTGACTTCAGTACTTCAGTGTTTATTTTTATGTGGCATTAGTTTGCCTTAACTTTTAGAAAGAGGCTTGATTCAGGGAGTTTTTCTGATTTCACAGAGCTACCGCTTGTTTTCTTATGGTGTTAACATAATACCGTAGCTTGTGTTCTTAAATTTCCTGATTTTGCTTCCCTCTCCCACTTTTATCTGCACCATTTCTTTCCATGCTCTCTGTTGTCTTGGTCCTTTTGAGGTTTGGTTTACTATCAGCCCTTTTGCTATAGTGTTGGGGCCCTGGCCTGGAAGGGAGCCCTGGCTGATCATTTTCAAAAGTTTATGGACTCTTCAGATTTTACTGTGCACCTTGTAATCACCTACTATTGGAGTAGATGAAACCCTGTTGGTTTCACCTGTTGTCTGCTAATTGGCCTGCTATGCTTTCAGTGAATTCTGAACTCTCCTGCTTTCACATCTGGGAGATGCCCTATAGCTTCTCTCAGCTTCCCTCTGCACAGATGCTAATATGAGGCAAATCTTGTGGCTATTGGTGGGTCGTCCTCACCCACTTGTATTTTGGGCTATCTCCATGAACCAAGTTTCGTTGTAAATGTAGTCCATGGCTTTTGGGTTAAACTCTCTACTTGTTTTCTGTTTTTATGCAGGGATTTGGCTTTTATCACCATTGCCATTCTCTTGTAGCATTCTCAAGGAACTAGCCACTTTAAGCAACAAATCAATCAGCCAAATTTTCTTTGAGTCAACTGTATGGTTATTCTATTTGAAATGATAAAACTACTTGATATGTACCAACATAAACAAATTTTACTTTTATGAAAGTAAAACAAAATGTATGTCTGCTTTTTTGCTAGCCCAAACTTGTCTCTGCTTAGAGCCCTATCAAAAATGGTGTCACAAAATGGAGTATAGTGCTCCTAATGTTAATACTTTTCAGGTGATTTGATCACATAAATGTAAATGTTAGAGAGGTTTATATGGTTCTATTTAGTGCATTAATATTGTAACTGAAGTTCAGTTTCTGACTTCATACACAAGAGTTAATAAATAGGCACATTTACCTACTGATTAAGTAAAAATAGCTTCCCACACTGATGATTGAACTGACAAAGGCTTTAGGGAATTAGAACTTAAAATTTTACTTGACATTCTGCTCACCTTACCATGTGACCTAATTCATGACTGCTTTACCCATTGCTTTAAAATAATATTCACCCAGAACTAGTATTTTTAAAGATAATTTAAGATGTCCCCACCAGGCCAGTCTGGCAAGTGCAGCTTCTTAAGACTATAAGAGATTATGCCTCTAATATTTTTATTGTTGAAGAGATAATACCCAGTATGATTTCTTTTCACTTAGACTTCCGAATATGGAATATTTTCTTGTTCTAAATCAAAGTATGAGATGTCTTTTTTAAAAATAATGAAACCACCATCACTGATGGAGGGAGAGATTGATCGTTAGATGTAACATGATATGAGAAAGCCAGTGTAATATGTAAAACTTTGATGGTAAAATATAGATGATGAGTATGGAGATGTTTACTATAAAATTCTTTCAACTTTGCTGTATGCTTGAGAATTGTTTTAATAATGTATTAGAGAAAATACCACATAAACTTTGAATCTCTGTGAAAGAGAAATGGAAAAAATTCTTGGATTTCATTCTAAAAGTTCCTTATTTAAAACCAAATAAACTTTGTAAGGTTTAGAGGAATTGTATTTTGAAAGTTTTTCCTATGTGTATCTAAGCACATTTTAATAACTTTCATGAACTAAGAGTTTCTCAAAAACAGGTTGTATCTGTTCTTCTTTACAGAAGTTCTCTATCCAAAATAGTTTCAGGAAGGAGGTTTCCGTGATACAGGCTTAAAATAAAAACTGAGTTAAAAAAAATTTGGCTGGCTGAATATGGTGCCAGAAGATGCTGGTGTAGATAAGGCTTCCTCCCCATGCACTCATGCTCACCATGGGCTTTTATTTTTTAGCTGGAATAGGAGGGATGTGTTCGGTTGAGGGCATAGGCTGTAAGAAGATTTTAAGGGGATGCTGTCAGCTTTGCCATCTACCCCTAGAAATGGGATTGATCCCTCAGGATTAGAGAAATAAAAGCCAGAAAGCAGACCTCCTGAAACTCTGGACAAAAGCAGACCTGCTGTGGGGACTCCATGAATGAGTGTCCAGAAAGAAAGAAAAAGGCCATTCTTCCAACTCTGTGTGGAAGTCAGGAGGACTGCAGCATCTTGACCATTGCCAGTTTGGGGAACCTCCAATAACCAGCATCCTTAGCATAAACATTATTGTTCTCAAAATGCAAGCCTTCAGCAGAAATCATGGTGGAGTTCAGTCAACCAGATACCTGGGCAGTGGTAAGGACATCTGCATGGGAGAGGAAACGGTGGAGGACGTAAATGAGGCTGCCATGACAGATTGGTTAGTAGGCACCTAGGAGGCTCCCTCAGTGGCTTACAGAAACAAATGAGGAATACTCAGAGTTAGTTTCTCGTTTGGGGATAGGTTACTTAAAAACTTGCCTGAGGTAGGAATTCTTGCCCAAGTGACTGATTTGAGCACCGTTCTTGGGAGAAGCGCATGAGAGAAGCAGGATAGGGAAGGGGAAGAAAGCTACTCAAGAACGAAGTCTCAGCTGGAAGTTAGCTTCCATCGGACCCCACGCACGGATTCTGGAAAGTGAATCACATCACAGAATTGGCCTTTTGTACTCCATGTCTCAGCCAGTCATTGGCTGATGTTTGCCCCCAAGTCCCAAGTGTAGAGGGCTGGAATAGCCTTCCTAATGAAGAGGTTCCTGAGGGCAATTCTTTGATGAAAAGGAAAGCTGTTCCTTGTTAAAAACCCCAAACTTAGTAGTGAGTGCTTGGTCTCTAAAGGGGAGCTAGGTGGAGCACCAAGAGGTGTCCACTACTGCTATATTCTTCTTTAGCAGGTGGGAGTTTCAGTGTTATTGTAATTAAGGTGCAAGTGTAAATGTGACCTTCATTTTATAGTCCCGGGCTTGTGAATGCAGGCATATTAATCAAACATTGATCTTAAATTAGCTTTAAGCATGTAGACTAACCAAACTGCTCCCGAGATAAGGGCCAAAAATAAGTTAAGTACTTTTTATTTGGGGACGTTACCTGATTTATCTGTAACATTTGTAAGCTCCATACTTATGATTACAGAAACATGGGTACATTTTACAATATCAAAGAGGTAGCTATAATGTATAAAGAGGATTTGATTCAGGGTTTGCTCATAGGGAATTTGGTCTTGTTTCTACCATTTCTGTGGCTTCATTCAAGTCTCTAAAACTCTCTGGGCCTTTGTTAGATGAGGCACAATGACATTTGCTACAACATTATCAATGTTTTCTTTATTGTATCTGTGAGGTAATAGGGAGCCACTGAAAGTCTTCAAACAGAAGACAATTTCCTCAAGTTGGAAAATATCTTTGAGAAAGATGAGCCCAGAAATTCTGTGTGTAACTGCCTGAAGGAACAAGAAGCCTAGTATAATTTTTCAGGCTTGAGGTAGTAAGGCCTGCTTTACCTCCTCCCCAATCAGACTAGGTTAAAGTTCCCTCCAGAATTCTCTGAAAGCACCTTGCAATTATATGTTCAATGTTTATTTTATCCACTAAACTTTACTTTGCATAATGTCAGGAACCATACCTGTCTCATTTACCATTGCATACCCAGAGCTGAACAAATATGTGCTGAATAAATGAAGGATTTGAATAAAATAGAGGAATGCAGCTGAATTCAGTAGATATTGGCTGAGAATAAGTGACAGATCTTGGTATGTGATGAAAGGAAAGAGTCATAGGTAACTTTAAAGCTTTGAGCCCAAGTGGACAGTAAGAAAGCAGTTGGAAAGGTTAAGTCTTCTGTTGCTATAAAACAATTTACCACAACCTATTGAATTTACACAATGCACAATTTCCGTGGGTCTGGAGTCCTGGCACAGCTAAGCTGGGTCCTCTACTTAGAGTTGCGTGGGCAGCCAGGCTGATTTTGTTTGTTTGTTTGTTTTTGAGACGGAGTCTTGCCCTGTCGCTCAGGCTGGAGTGCAGTGGTGCGATCTCGGCTCATTGCAAGCTCTGCCTCCCAGGTTCACACCATTCTCCTGCCTCAGCCTCCCGATTAGCTGGGACTACAGGCATGCACCACCACACCCGGCTAATGTTTTTTTTTGTATTTTTAGTAGAGACGGGTTTCACTGCATTAGCCAGGGTGGTCTCAATCTCCTGACCTCGTGATCCACCCACCTTGGCCTCCCAAAGTGCCGGGATTACAGGTGTGAGCCACCACACCCAGCCCAGGCTGGTGTTCTTATCTGGAGCTTGGGAGCCTTTTCTAGGCTTATTCAGATTATTGGCAGCATTTAGTTCCTTATGATTATAGGACTGAGGCCCTTAGCTCCTAGAGGCTGTCTTCTCCATCAGCAGTTCACAGCATGGCCATTTGCTTCTTCACAGTCAACAGGAGAGTGTCTCTCTTGCTTTGAGAGTCTTCTTTCAGGGAAGGCCTGTACCTGGATTTAAAGATCTCACCTGATTAGGCTGGGTCTACCTAGGATAGTTTCCCTTTTGATAAACTCAAAGTCAACTGATTAGGGACATGAATTACATCTGCTAAGTTCCTTCACCTTTGCCATATTCTGTGAATTAGAAGCAAGTCACAGCTTCTATCCACACTTAAGGGGAGAGGATGCACAAAGGTCTGAATACCAGGGGGCAGAAATCACACAGAGAGCCATCTTAGAATTCTGCACACCACAATAAGTCAGCTCAGTTTTGGTCAGGTTTGAGTGTTAGTGGAAGACAATAAACTAGTCATGGGTAAAAGTCATACTTGTGGATTTGACATAGTAGATGCTATGAGAGAGGGTTCATTACACAGAGAGGAAAACGAAGGGCCAAAAATGCTCTTGGTCTTGGGAAGATGTTTAGTATTTAGGGAAGAAAGAGGACCTAGCAAACTGAATGTAGGAGAGACAGTAATAGTGAAATGTCACATAGGTAGGAAGAAATTTCAAGAGCAGCATGTTTAAGAGTGTCAAATGTAGCAGCAACCAAGGAGGACGTTGGTGCAGTCCACTTGCTTAACTATGGGGTGGCCTTATAGAAAGTTGTTCAGGGCAGTGGTGATGTTAGAGTCAAGGCCGAAGTGAACTAATGGGGCCAGGGATGTCAAAATGGTGGAAGAAGGCTTCTGAGAATTCCCATCCCAGTCCAGGGCAGGGCCAGGCTTGACTTCTAGAAGAAGATGAGCCTGTTCTCAGGCCCTTTCATTCTAGCTCCACCTATGTAGCCCTCGGCTGACTTTCATTCTGGGGGTGTGGGGTGGCAGCACAGTTTGTGTTGGGGCTGCCTCTGGGCTCTTCTGGGAAAGGGAAAATGACACTGTTAGCAGAAAACACAAGTAATCGACCAACTTGGGGAAATCTGAGGTAGGGAGCCTTTCTGCTCTCTGAATTAAAAATGGACTCTTCTATCTCATCCTGTGAGTTGAATTTTTAATGACTAGTACAAATCCTTACTTGGTTTCTTTCTGGCCAGGCCTTATTTCTTTCAAGCCAGGAGCCCAGCTGTCCTTGCTGTTTTGTAGAGATCAAGTAGAATTCGGAGGAAATGAAATAGTAGGAAGGATTAAGCAATTGTTGGACCCCAGACAGACATTCTGAGCCTCTTGAAATACCAGCGTTGAAAGGGGGTATCATTAGTCAAATGTGGTGTTGCCATATAGAAGCTAAATTTAATTCTAATGTAACAAATCCATAAATGAGACTGTTTCTCTTTACTCTGTCTCACCTTTCTCCTTTCATTCAGAAGATCAACCTGAAATAATTTTGTTTTATTATGAGAGCTATATAGATAAAAAAAAATAACACACAGAATATTAGGCATCTGATTCCACCAATATGGCAATAATAATGTCTGGCTTTCTTGTCTCTCACTTTCATTATTAGTTACAAAAATTTACTTCCATCACAGAGTAATTAACATAAGTATTTCACCATCATTTTTTTTCTTTATCATTTATCCCATGTTAAAACTTCCTGGATATAAATACTATGTGTAAAAATATAGGATTAAAACCTACAGCTCTAAGAGTTTATAATCATCTCTGCAGCCTGCAGTGTGTTCATCTAACATTTTAAATAGATTTTTTCCATCATTTAAAACCAACAGGCTAAGTGCTGTGCACACTGTTGTAAAGTGTATTTCATGCCTCACTGGGCTTTTCTGTCTTTAGCTTTCCAATGTATGTAATTTGATTAAAATTTTTGGCTGGTCAGGATAAGGAGGAATAGACAGAAATTGCTCTTAACAGAATCTCCAGTGTGCCTAGTATTATAATTGAAGCCGAAATGAACATCTTTCTCTGTAGGAAGCTAAAGAAAGTCTTTGTTCCGTTTTTACATGGGAGATCATCTGTTATTGTAACCTAGACACCTAAACCCACTCCAGATTCAAAATGTGCCATTTATAAACATGCATGCCAAGTTTCAAATGCCCTTTTTGAATGTTTGCATATAATTTGAAGCTTGCAATGCCATGTAAAATACAGTTTCCATTGTATTGCATCTCCCACACTGCATGTGAGGTGCCTCTTTTCTCTGACATTGCTTGAATAGACGAAGCATAGTTTGACTTTGTTCAAAAAGAGGAATGTTTCTCAGCTCAACTGAAATGATTGCTAGGTATACGCTGCCAGCTTCATTTTCCCCCTTGCAGAAATGTACATTTTTCCCTATTATAAAATGTACTCATAATAGAAATGAGACAGTTCCCAGGAGTGTGATTATCCAAAGGTAATCTCAACCCAATCTGATTAGAGGCAAGTGGCTCATGCCTCAAAATGCTCCAGGGTATGATTATTTTATGATAACCATACTCTGTATCATGTCTTATTGATTAACTAATAAAGCGTCAGCATTGCTATTTAAAAGAAAAGCTGAGAAACCAGGGGGAGGAAAACTGGTTCTGGAAAGGAAGTGATTCTTTCAGAACACTCAAACTACCTCTTTTGCGCCACCCCTTTACAAATTTCAGGTGGCGCGTGAGAAGTCAGCACATGCCTATGTTAGTATCTTTGGTGATGAGCTCATTGATTTGTTAAATATGATGCAGTTAGTTACATTTAAATGTACCCTAAATTGCTACCTCTCCCTGTTGTGAATACTGACTTTGTGAGAGCAGAATGGTATTCCTTTAAATAATGCTATACTCTGTTCTCATCATCCAGATGACTTGATCGCACAGGTCCAGAGAGATACAGATAGAACCTGAAAAACACTGTACCTAGCTTGCCTGTAGTAGCTGTATGCTGGTCAAATCACCTAGCATTGAAGTGAGAAGAGCCTATGACTAGTAGGCAAATATTTTGCAGATACAATAGCTTTGGGGCTCTTACTAGGAGTGTGTCCCCTGGGACAACATTCAGACATCCACGATATTCTTATCATTCCCCAAAACTATGACTACACATCTATAGAAAAAGGTGGGGTGAGGGAATTGAAGCAATTACCTTAGGGGACTCAATTGAACAACGTGTTTTGTCACAATTACTTTATGTTTTCTTTGTAAATATGAGGTTATGGCCTGAATTACCAAGTTCGTTTCTCCAGAATTCCATTTCCTCTTCCTATGTAGACACAGCTAATATATTCAAATTGAAATATGTTCCACAAGTAATAGTGCCCAGCTCTAGTTCTTGATGATGTATCTTTCTGATAAAATTTAACTGTCTGAGAAGTAGAATTTAGTCAGTCCTATTATAATTGGTCAAGAGTTACCAGGTGCTAGTCAGGAGCTCTTTCCCTCCTCAATTCATTTCCTTGGCTATACATTATTGATGTCATCTGAGCAGAATAACACTTTGAGAAGATATACATAAGGTTAGCTTAATTTATACAAGTCTGCTTTAAGTATCCCACTATTCACAGAGCCAGTGGTATTTTTATCTTCAAAATCCAAACCTGCTAGAATGGAATTTCTGCTAATTTCCCAAAGAACATTTCACCAGAACCTCTATCTTTAAGTTCTAAGTTTAGTGTTTGCCTCAGAAGCCATCTGAACTACTTTCAAATGACCCTTAAAACTGATCAAACTGATCACATAACACACATCTTCCTATTAGCCCGATGTGCTTCTCTCCTTTTCTAAAACAGGATTTTACTGCCCATCTCTTTTTTCTTCTGATAGTACCTTCCCCCCACCCCACCATTAGACTTTCTGTTTGTTTGTGTTGTTTGTTTCTGCTGGATAAACACACTTGCTCTAAATTATCTTTGGCACTCTTGCTCAGCAGGACATGAAGACTCTGCCTTCTAGCCCCTAGCAATTAAGGGACCCTGGGAACCTTAAAGACTGATGATGGCATTTGTCCTAAGAAGAGTTGTGCAAGAAGAGCTTCCCTCACTCTTCACTGGAGAGTAGAGAAAAGAGCCAACCACTCTGCTGGTTCTGACCTTCTTCTCAGACATTAGTGCTATTTCCTGCTATTTCCATGCTTTTCAACATGGATGAGACATCTAACATTCTCATGTTTTTCTTTCCTGCTTGCAGTTACTTCAGGTATTTGTTTTTTACAATGAGGAGCAGAAATAACTTAGACAGATGAAGACATGAAAGATGTTGTATGCCCTCCTATCTTATCTTTTCATATCTGTGTTTCTGGCTATCTTTTTGGGCTGTGTAGTTTGGTAAGCCCCCATTCAAGTCAGCATGGGCTAAGTTATGCCACAGTAACAAACAACCATACAATTATAGAGTTTTAAAATAACAAAGACTTTATTGACACTACAGGTCCATAATGAGAGAATAGGATCCACCCCACATGTCTTCACTGTAGACCCAGGTTATCAGGAACACTGCTGTGCACTATAGCAGAGAGAAAGAGAGCTCTGGAGAGTCTTGGATTGGTCAAGTGCTGTGGCCCAGAAATGACACATATCACCTCTGCTTCCATCTCATTGCCAACATCATGCACATCATCCATCCAACAAGGATTACACCAAGGGCAGACAGACAAGACTCCAGTGGATGCCTGAAACTGCTGATAGTACCAAACCCTGTGTTTTTCCCATCTGACAACTGAGATGGCTGCTAACTGGCTAATGAGTGGGAGCATCTAAAGCATGGAGACACCAGACAAAGAGAAGATTCATATCCCTGGTGGGACAGACTGGGAAGGTCAGAGACTTCATCACGATACTCAGAATGGCTCACAATTTAAAACTTATGAAGTGTTTATTTCTGGGATTTTCCATTTGATATTTTTAGACCTCAGTTGACTGCCATTTACTATGGGTAACAGAGCCCTGACAAATGAAACCTCAGATAAGAGGACTCCTGTGCAGGGCTGTCAGCATCTAGAATGGGGGATTGCTGGAAATGCTTGATGAACAGCATGAATGGCGATCACATGCCCTCAACCAAAACAATAGATACATCTTTTTCTATCTTAAAAAGAAGGCCTTTTGTGTCTTCTCTTACATTACGTAATAAATCCTCACAGTACCTCAAAACCTTGGATTAGGCATATTTTTCTCAAATGTTAAGGCTCAGCGATAAATTCATTAGTTTTCTATTGCTGCATTAGAAAGTACCCCAAACATAGTGACTTCAGACAGCATACGTCTATTATCAAAGAGCTTCCCCAGATGGGAAGTCTGGGTATGGGCTAGGTGGGCTTTCTGCTCGGGTTCTCACTTAGCTGGAATAGAGGGTCAGCCAGGGCTGCATGTCCCTTAGAGGCTTCTCATCCTCTGCTAGTCTCACTGGTCCTTGGCAGAATTCAGTTGCTTTGGGTTGCTGGAGTGAAGTCCCAGCTTCTTGCTGGTCGTTGTCTGGGAACTACTCTGGGTTCTGGGGGTGCCCTCAGATTCTTGCCATATGTCCTGTATTAGCAGTTCACAACATGACTGTCTGCCTCTCCAGCATGAGCAGGAGAAATCTCTCTCACTTGAAATATCTGAAGTCTTGTAAGGTCTCCCTGATTAGGTTAGGCCTACTAGGCATAATCTGTCTTTTTATTAACTCAAAGTCAACTACTTAGGGCTCTTAATTACATCTGTTTATACCTTCTGCCATTCATCTTAACATATTGATATAGAGAGTGATATTCCATTATATCCATAAGTGCCTTCACACTCAAGGGAAGGGAATTATTCAGGGCATATACACCAGAGGGCAGGAATCTTGGGGGCCATCTTAATAATTTTGCCAACACAGAGTCACAGAAGGGCCACATGCAATTAGAAGCCAGTCTTGAAAGCTGATTGATTTGGTGTGTTTGGGACCATCTTACTAGCTGGCTTTACAGAATAACTTGTTGTAGTGTTCAATTAATTAACAATTAGAGAGAGAGAGAGAGAGGAGAAAGCTGATATGAAATGGTTTGATTTGGTGCTGCAGGTAGAGAGGGCCATGAGGGCAGTGAGAAGCCAGGTGTGAATCAGATCAGCTTCCCAAGTGCCAAATTTCCAGTGCATACCCAAGCGTCACACTGTCTCTTTAACAATGATACGTGTGGCATTCCTAGTTGGCCCTTGATAGTGTATCTGATTATATCTCCCTTTTGATTTCTTTTTAAGGTTTACTTCTGAAAACAACACTATTATTTTTGCATGATTCTCTTCTTTTCTGGAGTGAACATTTGTTGTTCTGCTTCTTGCCCAACTGCTTAAGATGGCTCATTATTCTATAATATGTGCAGTATTGCCCAGAAGTAATTTTCCTTTTATTTTAGCCCACAAGGTAGAAAATTAAGGATGAAATACAACTTTATTTTTGCTTTTCCCAGAAAAGGTGACAAGGTAGTTTTTTCTGCCTGTTTTTCTATTAGCAGTGAAATATTATTTTGGCTGTAACATTTGCCTACTTCATCCTATTTTGGCAAAAGTTTTATGTAGAGAGACTCCTGCCCTTGTTTATGCCCAGAGGCCCATCCCAGGGTCTTGCAGGGTGGAGGGGATTTCTATGCTCAGAGCTTTGGGGACAGGGTTTCCTGCCCCTCACCATGCTCAGGTATGTCTTTGCCTGTGCTTCTTCTTTCTCTAATTGGGAGGCTTATTCTCAATCTCTCTATAACATTTCTGCTCAGGAAATACAACTTTTTAAACTGAAGAGATGAAGTGCTAATGAAGACTGGAGCATTGATAGTGTTCGCTTCTCTTCGGTGCTGAGTATGGACACACTAGTAGAAACACTGACCAAGGGGAATGCTGTACATTTTAAGAGACTTTCTCTTCCTTTCACTTCTGCCTCCTGCTGGCCTTTTTTATCCATTCCAATGTGATGGAGAATTTCAAGAACTGTAGTAGTAAAGAACTACTAGGATTAATCATTAGGTCCACTTTTATAGACCTTTTCTTCTGTTTACCTTTCACATCATTTTATGACCAATACCTAAAATGAGCTAATTTGATGAGAAAGAAACTTTTTAAGCTAAGGAACATTTAAAGAATCTGTAGAGTCCTGGAGCATCCATTTAGTATTTATTCAACACAAATTCTTGAATAAGTACTATGCATATAGCACTGCCCCAGACACTTGAGGCATATAAGAAAGATCTGGTTTCTGCCTCAAAGAGAATAGTTGGTGGGAAGAACATAAATTCAGAATCAGACAGACCAGGGTTTGAATCCTTGTTCTGCTACCTGCTGGGTGTAAATCTCATGCATATTCCATATTTCCCTACGTCTCAGTTTCCTGTCTGTAAAATGGGTGTTATGAACTCTGTTTCCTTATACTGTGAACATTAAAAGACTCCAGTAAGATAAAAAATATGTTACATCATGACCAAGTTAGGATTATATGAGAAATGGATGAATCATTTAATATTAAAAATTCCATAAATATAATCCACCCATTAACCAATTATTAGAGAAAAGCCATATGATCATCTCAGAAGATACAGAAAGCACATTTGAAAAAATGGTATAGTTTGGCTCTGTGTCCCTACACAAATCTCATCTTGAGTTGTAATCCCCATGTGTCAAGGGAGGGACCTGAAGTCCCCACGTGCCAAGGGAGGGAAGTGATTGGATTATGGGGGCAGTTTCTCTCATGCTGTTCACGTGATAGTGAGTGAGTTCTCACGAGATGCGATGCTTTTAAAAGTGGCAGTTTTTCCTGTGCTCACACTCCCTCTTTCCTGCCCCCTTGTGAAGAAGGTACCTGCTTCCCCTGTCACCTTCTGCCATGACTGTAAGTTTCCTGAACCCTCCCCAGTAATGCAGAACTGTGGGTCAATTAAAACTCTTTCCATTATAAATTACCCAGTCTTGGGTATGTCTTTATAGCAGGTGAAAACAAACTAATACAAAAACTTCAATATTTAATCATGATTAAAAAGAAAACTCTTGGCCAACTCTTATGAACTTCCTTTACTAGATAAAGTACCTACCAAAAACCTGGAGTAAATGTCTTTATTAATGATGAAATATTAGAAGCATCCATTTAAAATCAGTCCTTAGATAATAATGGTCATCTGTCACCAGTTCTTTATTTAACATTATACTGGACTTACTAGCCAACACAGCAAGATGTGAAAAAGAAAGAAAATCATAAGAATTGAAAAGCAAGAAACATGACTCCTAATATTTATGGAGGATATGACCACCTACAAAAAAACCCAGTGCATCTTATATACAAAGAATTGGGGTTTAAAAGAGAGGTTTTTAGGCTGGTTTAATATATGATTAGTCTATAAAAACCAATTTTATTGTATACTCTAGCAACAAACAGTTGGAAAAACATGTTTTAAAAGGTTTTTATTTATAAAGAACCTAGACGTTAATCTAACAGAATTTGCCAGGTCAATATGGAAAAATGTATAAAATGCTTTTCAAGTCCTCACCCAGCTTATATTCCACAGTCAATAATTATAACCACTTGGATTATGGGCATATGCTCAACTCCTTTGCATTTTTCCTGCTTTAACATTATGGCCTGACTAAACCGAATTCTTGGTTCTATCCAACACTTCCTCTAACCTATACTTGCAACTGCGCAATTGAATGTGCTGGAATAAAATAACACAAACTTGCTGACTGGTTTTACTTTAAATTCAGAATTGCCCATCTCAGTTGAGCCCTATGAAAGCCCTGCAATTATACTATCTTCCTTTGGTTCATCCGTGCTTCTCTTCTCTTAGACAAGTGTCTTCAAAATGGATACATGACCATAGAATCACCATATGATCCAGAAATTTCACTTCTGGGTATATATCCAAAAGAATTAAAAGCAGGGGCTTAAATAAATATTTGTATACATCATGTTCACAGAAGCATTATTCAAATTGCCAAAAAGTGGAAACAGCCCAAATGTCCATGGATAGATGGATAAACCAAATCACACACACACACACACACACACACACACACACATGAATATCATTCAGCTTTTAAAAGGAGTGATAGTCTGATACATGCTACAGCATGGATGAATCTTGAAGACACTACGCTAATTGAAATAAGCCAGTCACAAAAAACAAATATTATGTGAGGTACCCAGGATAGTTAGTTTCACAGAGACAAAAATGATAAGACCGGTTGCTAATGGCTGGGGATGGAGGAATGGGGAATTGTTTAATGGGAACAGAGTTTCCATTTGGGATGATGAAAAAGTTCTGGAGACGTGTAGTAGTCACAGTGACACCACAATGTAAATGCACTTAATGCCACTGAATTGCACTTCAAAATGGCTAAAATGTTCAATTTTATGCTATATATATGTTTAATTACAATTTTAAACAAATGGATACATGAAGAATTTCTAAGAGACACGTTGGCAAGGACACTTTTAAGGGAGTCACTTTGCAAATTTACACTTTCCCCAGATTAACTTGCCTGAGAACATCTGGAATTCAGGAGTCTCCTTTCACAATTGCTTTTCTCTTTTTTGTGAAAATAGGAAAAAAACATGCATCTTATCTGTTATGAATCTTAGTATGCTCCATGGCCCAGTGCATAAGGAATTAGATACAGGAACAATCTGAAATACTGGTATTTGTGTTAAGAAAATAAATGAGTATTATTGGGGAATATAACTATTGCAGCCCAGTTTCCTATTCTTTGCTTTTAATTAAACTGAACACAAACTAATTACATTGTAAGTTGATATATCATTAAAAATAATTTTTAATAATAGATATAAAAATATTTGTAAAAACACTTTTTGGAAATAATATTTGTGATTTCTGCTACATAACTCAGAAGAGTTTCAAAAATTCCGTAACTTTGCTTTAACAAAAGTCGTTCTCTTCCCAGCTGGTTATATAAATGAAATTACAGCTTTTGCAATGATTTAAATTTATAATGAAAAATTTTAGTTGCCACTTAAAAAATATATGAGGAAATATCATTTTTCAAAATTATTTTAGGAGGTATGAAAGCAAAAAAATTTCGATGGTTGCTAAACTAGCGGACTGCTTCACATTATTTCCTCTCTTCTCAAAACACCAACTTCTCCCAGATTCTGTTAGCTGATGATCTTGCTTTTTGTTGCACTGCGAAAATGGACACAATCAAAAATGAACCTCCTCACCACACACCACTCATCATATCTACACACCCACAAGCATCTGTACACTCACACTCCACCATCTCATCCCTCCTGTTTGTAGAGATGAACTCTCCAAGCTGTTAACTCAACCCAAGCCCTTTGCTTATGCTCCAGTCACCACCCCTCCTTGCTTGTCCCAGGGCATTGCCCAGCAATTTACTTCTCTTCTGCATCATCCAATTTTTGCCTTTATACTGGGTCATTCTTATTAATATACAAACAGGGTGTTATTTCCTCTCATCTTAAAAACAACAAAGCCTGTCTTGATCTACTTTTCCTTCCAATGACCACCCATGTCCCTCATCTCTTTACATATAATTTTACAATTTTTAGCAGAATTCCTTGAAAGAGTTGTCTATTCTCAAGTCTTTAATTCCTCTCTCAGACCCACTTCAGTGAGGTCCCCCTCCCACTACCATTGCTCTTGTCAAGGTCAACAGAGACCTCTGCTTTGCTATGTCCAGTGGTCAGTTCTTAGGCCTCATCTTCCTGGACCTATCCACAGCAGGTGGCACATTTAACACTCTCTCCGTGAAATCATTTTTTCCTTGGCTTCCCAGACACCATACCTTCCTGGAGTTGCTTCTTCTCAGTCTCCTTTGCTGCTTCCTGCGCGCCTATCCAGCTTCTAGAAACTGGACTAATCCAGAGTTTAGTCCCAGAGCTCTGCAAGATCTTTTCCATCTGCATGCATTCTCCAGTCATTTCATCGTCTCCTGGCTATAAACACCAGCGATACCAGCTTCTCTGCCTGCTCCAGGTAATGTCTCTTTACCTCTGGATCTATTCTCCACTTTTCTCTGCCCTGGTCTCTACCCGGCAGGTTGGCTGGTATGTACTTTATCTGCAGGCCTCTGTGCCTTCTGGATTCTGGCTGGTTGTGACTAATGGTGAGTGGTGGCAAGATATCAAGGGGAAAGAGAAGAGTGATATTGAGCCTTTTTTCCCTCAGCTCCAACTGTGTGAAGACATTTAACCAAAGATAATGTCTCTCATGGGCCTCCTTGGTTTTTATTATTATTATTTTTAAATATAGGGCCTCACTCTGTTGCCCAGGCTGGGGTGCAGTGGCATGACCATAGCTCACTGCATCCCTGACCTCTTAGGCTCAAGTGATCCTCCCGCCTCAGCCTCCCTAGTAGCTGGGATTACAGACTTGAGCCACCATGTCTGGGTAAAGCCTCCTTCTTGATCCAGTTCTCCACCTCCAAGTTCCTGTAACCCCTATCTCCCTTGTTCTTTGATATTTCAAGTAGAACACTGGTGTTCCACCGGCTCTTGTGTTTCCCTGTACCCTCACCTGTAAAAATAGTTCCTTTGTAAATAAATCCTCCTTAAATGTTCCTAATTTGAGTATTCCACTGTTTTCTGTGGCAATCCTGAGTGATACATCCAAATGTCTAGCATCATTTGGAGCCTCCCTTCTGAACTCCAGTCTTCTCTGTCCAGCAGACTGCAGGACACCATTTCTGAGATGTCTCACAGAAACCTCAAACATCATGTCTAGTATTGAGCTCCTTGCATTCCCTGCAGCCTGGTCTGCCTCCCTTCTTCCCATCTCAGCAAAGGCAACAACATCCTTCCTGTGGCTCAGGAATGTCTCTTGGACTAATCAGTCTTTATCGTTTCTCACACCTCACACGGTCCATCAGCAAATCCTGTCAGAGTTGCTATGGTTTGGAGATGTTTTTCTCTTCCAAACCTCATGTTGAAATTTGATCCCCAGTGTTAGAAGTGTGGCCTAATGGGAGGCGTGTGGGTCATGGGGGTGGATCCCTCCTGAATAGATTAATGCCCTAATAGATTTAATGCCTTGATAGAGACTGATAGACTTCTTACTCCATTACTTCCCACAGAGCTGGTTGCTAAAGAGCCTGGCACCTCCCAGCTCTCTCCTGCCTCCTCTCTCACCCTGTGGTCCCTGCACAGGCTGGCTCCTCTTGGCCTTCTGCCTTGATCGGAAGCAGCCTGAGGCCCCCACCAGATGCAGATGCCCAATCTTGAATTTCCCAGCCATCAGAATCATGAGCCAAATAGACCTTTTTTTCCTTTATAAATTACCCAGCCTCAGGTATTCCTTTATAACAACACAGTGCTTCTTTTCACTGGCCACTTCTCACCACCCCATTGCCACTACACTGGTCCAAGCCAAAATCAGTCTTCTCTGGATGAAATGGGCAAAAGCCTTGAATAAGCTTTCACAGAAGCAGAAACACAAATGACCAATGTTCACAATATGTTTAATCTCATTAATATCAGAACAATTCAAGTTCAAATTTGCAATGTAAATCGCTAGATTTAAAAAATATCATAAGTGTCATAAGACAAAGTGTGAGTGAGGATATGGAACAAATGGAAACCCTAATGCCTGCTGTTGGAAATGCCAATTGTGCCATCATGGAGAAGACAATTTGGTATTAACCCCTAAATATGAACTTCACCATGTGTACCAGGAGACCTGTTTTGGAATGTTTACAGCAGCACTGTTTATCATAATAACAAAATCAAACAACCCTTCTCAAAGAAACACAATTTTGAGAAGCTAGAAAGAACTCAGATGTCCATTGACTGAATGAGTAAATGAACTCATGAATATGAATAAATAAATTATAGTATATTCATACTATATAGTTTGGGGCAGTGAAAATGAACGAAGCACAGCTGCACACTGGCTTTCTCTTCAGTCCTGCTGGCCCGTGTTGCTCACACCATACAGTTCAACTCCACAGTGGATCCAGTAACACCGTCCATCCAGTGCCAGTGTGGGCTTTCAGTGCGGCCCCAGCTCCCTTCCTCTTAAATGCCACCTCTGACTCATCCTGCTTCTGGCTTTATCCACCAAATAGTTACTGGACCTCACCTCCAACGCAGGCGCTGTGTGTGTGTGTGTGTGTGTGTGTGTGTGTGTGTGTGTGTGAGAGAGAGAGAGAGAAAGAGAAAGAGAGGTGATTCTTGAGGAGAGAGAAGATTCCAGAACAGTGTTATGATTCTGTTAGGAAGAGGAAGGAGGGAATAGATGCTGGATATGCCTGCACGCAGCCACTGCCCACTACTGCTGGTTTGTTTCTGTGTCTTCTACCATAGTGCAAACTCCTTAAGGGGAGAAACCATGTCAGTCGTCTCTGCATTCCCCTACCACAGTGCCTGGCACATGCCAAGCATTCAAGAAATATTGAACAGAAGCATAGCATGAGAGAGACCTAACTGGTCAGACCTATGGAAATAGACCTAACTGAAACAGAAACCAGGTCAAGAGCCTCTTGCCAGAACCAACACGCTCCCTGGGAGAGCTGCTATCAAAAGATAAGGAAATGGGTGGATGACAAATTAGGAAGTAGAGGCAGTTTAAGGGCTACTCTGAGTGGCAAAACAAAAGCACGGTGGTCAGGTACAATGATCGCCCCTGGGGAAGGGAGCTAAGTTCGCAAGGCTGTGACCACCGTTGCCTTTTAATGAAATCTTCAGAAGTAACCCCATAGGAAGGTGGTATTTTCCTGATCTTAAAAGAAGCACAGCAGGAGTTTTTGTTCTCCAGCCGCGGAGTCGTGGAACATGGCTTGCCATCCAACTGGAACGGCATTTTTGGCAGCAGTGCCTTTTGGTAGCTTTTCCCAGCTTGCCCTCTGCATAAGCCAGCCACTGCCCAGGCAGGCTGTGGTGGCACCACAATGCAGATGCACCAGGCCCTCTGGGCTCACCCACTTGCCTCTGTGTTTGAAATCAGTCCAGTGTTAATGCATCATACACCCCTGGTGATGACTCATTTACAACCCCTGTGTCTGAGAAGGTGCCGGAGAACTCAGAGAAGAGAAGCTCAAAATTGTCCTGACTTACGGTCAAAACACTAAGATCTGGCCAGTGTGTGCAAGTATTTCAGGACCAGAATCGACCCTCCTCCCCCGCTTCACAGCAGGGTCATCACATGTGGTTACGCATGTGGTTGCACGGAAGCTCTGGCTGCGGTATAGGGGGCACTGAATCCAGATTGCACTCTGCTCACCAAGCTTGCAGGTGGGGTGCTTCCTCCATCTGCCTGGACGATGGGGCTCTTTTCTTCTCCTAGACACTTCTGCTTGCCAAGCCAGGGCTGCATCTGCCTAGAGGGGCCCTCTCATCTAACTGTTACAGAGGCACAGTGTTACCTTCCCATCCTATCCTTAGGACAGACCCAGAAGCCTTGGGCTGATTTGAGCTTGCTTTTTGTCCCAGCAGGAAGTATGCAAGTATGCAAGAACCAGCAGCTTTCTTACTGGCAGTGAGACCATCCGAGATGCTTGTCCTCCTTGATCCTGTTCTCTGCCAACTTCCCATTCCCCTTCCTGCAGATGGGCCGTGATCCTGGCCTATCTTCCCAGCTTTGCTCATGGTTATCTGTGTCTTCCTGGTTGCTGTCTGTCTGCAGAGCATCCTCTGACCCATTGATCACCCTGCTGGTGGGGGCCGTGGCTGCTCAGTCTGCTCTCAACCTGCCCCCTGGCTCCTCGCCAGGCTGATTCCTGGCTCATGGCTTAGCCCTCAACTTCCGTTTGTTTGTGCCTAGGCTCCTGCCTGGTTGCTGACACCAGCCCTGAATGCTGCTGGCCTGGGCTTTCGGTCTTGACTCTGGGCTTCAGAACTTATAGGCTTAGCACTGACAGCAACCTCTGATCTGGACAGGAAGGGGTTGTTTCCCACGGATGGAGTGTATCTGTCCACCCCAATTAGACATCTTGGAGCAGCCAGGCCCAGCCTGCTGAGTGTGCTACACATGCCCCTGTTTACAGATGGCCTCCTGGACCCTCTTTCTCTTCCAGCACTCACTCCCCACCCTGTTCTCCTGGTCAGCAACCAGAGTTCATTCCACTGTTATCTGTAACCCTGTGAATCTTTCTAGATTTCAGATGATCTTTCTCAGCATTGTTTAAGCAATTTGCTCACAGACTCCATCATAATATCCTTTATAGCTTTACCCAGCTCCTAAGATCCTCCCAACCTGTGCCTCCCCCAGGAGCCACCCTCTCCCCTCTCCTCTCACCCCCTCACACACAGCCTGCTTTGGGGGTGGGGTCCAGACACCATTTAGTTCTGGGCAGAAGCGGGATGAGTCAGAAGCCGAGTTTAAGGGGAAGGGAGACGGGCTGCCCTGAAAGTGCGCATTGTTGCTGGAACGAGAGTAGCTGTTCCCATTCTGGAGCTGAGCTGCGCAGTGTGTCTGGATATGAACAACATGGGCCAGCAGGGTGACATTAAGCCAGGATTGCAGAGGAATAAGAGACTAGGCATTACGGACTAAATGTGTGTGTTCCTCCCCCCAAATCAATATGTTGAAGTCCTAACCCCCAGAGTGATGGTGTTGGAAGATGGGGCCTTTGGGAGGTGATTAGAATTAGATGAGTGTGGGATCCTCATGATGGGAGTGGAGGCCTCATAGGAGGAGGAAGAGTCTCTCTCCTCGTGTGTGTGTGTAGGGGTGTGCGAGAGTGTGTGACTGTGTTTATGTTTGTGTGGGTGTACGTGTGACAGTGTATGAGTGTGTGTAGTTGTGAGTGTGGGGGCATGTGTGAGTGTATGTGTGAGTGTGTGTGAGTGTGTATATGTGAGTGTGAGTATGTGTGAGTGTGTGTGTTAGTGTATGTGTGTGAGTGTTAGAGTGTGTGTATGTGTGTGAGTGTGTGTGTATGTGAGTATGAGTATGTGTGTGCCCCATGCACCAAGGAAAGGCCATGTGAGGACACTGTAAGGAGGAGGCCATTTGCAAACCAAGGAGAAGTTTCCTCAACAGACACCAACCCTGTTGGTACTTTGATCTTGGACTTTACAGCTTCTAGAACTGTAAGAAAATCAATGCTTAAGCCATCCAGTATATGGTATTTTGTTACGGCAGCCCGAGCTGACTAAGACACTAGAGGAGATAATCCTGTCGAAAGCCTGGGAGAAAACATTACACTTTGAAAAATGAGCTTGGGAGTCATCGTGCCTCCTGCTCCCTTCCCCTGACCCCAGCCCCACTTCTGGCTGGGACCTTTGAAGAGTCCAGTTCCCCTTCCCCCATAATTCATTCTGTCCACCTACTCATTCCAGCACACTTTTTGATCTGATTTCTATGGCTCAGCTCCAAGGTGCTTGCCTCAGTCCCCTGGGCCGCAGGAGCCCACTCTGTACTGCTCCTTTGCTCCCACCTGACCCTCTCCCACGAGATGGTTTTGGCATTCAGGCTCTGCTCCCCTGAACCTGGCTCCAGTGAAGCATGAATGCAGTGAGGGCAGCGGTCCTTTCTTTACACTCCGCAGCACCTAACGTGATTTGGGACACGCGTCATGACTAATCAATGTTTGTTAATTGATTGATGAATAGATTGATTATAAGCACATTTTCCATTACACTTTATAACATGGTATTTTTCTAAGTGTGCTATAAGGACCTGTTGTACCAGAATCTCATTGAATGTCTTCTAAAATGCAGATCTTGGACCCCACCACACTGCTAGCAAACCAGAATTTGTGAGGGGAGAGCTCTGGCATTTGTGTTGTGGTGGATGAAAGATGGTTACAAATTATTTGACATTTTCCCCATCTAGAGGTGGGATCTATTTCTCCACCCCTTGAAATGCCCATGGCTGCTCTGATCAATGGAATGATGCAATGCCAATTCCAGAGCTAGCATAGGTCTCTAGGAGCCCTGGGCCACCAGAGCAATGTGATGAGACCCTAAGACCATGTGGAGACAGAGAAAAACATGGCTAAGCTAGCTTTACAATCACCCTACAATTTTCCAGTCATGTAGGTGAAATTATCTTGGACTCTCCAGACAAGACCAGCCACCAGCTGAATACCAGTGGGTGACCCCAGTCAATCACATGGAACAGAAGAATCACTCAGCTGAGCCCTGCCAGAATTCTTGATCCACAAAATCCTGAAGTGCAATTAAATGATGGTTGTTTTAAGCCCCTAAATTTTAAGGTGGTTTGTTAAATAGTGATAAACAACAAGAATATGCAGGTGTCACAAATTCTACAGGATATACATTTGTATCCTAGAATTTAGGAGTCATTGTTATAAAAGGATCTGACATTAATGAGTAAAATTTTATGTTAAATAATAAAAAGGATAATTCATTTCATAATGTATTATCTACATATCCTAGGGGAAGGAAGATGTGGTAAAACAAAATCTCACAATTTATGTTGTTGGTACTCATTTTATTGGACAGCAGGCCGGATCTGCTCATAGCATAAACAAGAGAGGGCCTCCAGCTCTCCTGAACTTTTCTAGACAATCTGATTGCCACAGACAGTGTTAATAAACAGTGTCACCCCAATGGAATAAAATTTAGCTTTGGATTTAAAATGTAGTGAGCCCTGACAACATTTGGTTTGGACATGTTTCCTTAGTCTATGCTTCCAGGCCAAAACTAAGATGATTTTTTTTTTCTGGTTTGTCTCTTGGGAGTATATTTTAAGACTAAGCTCGTGGGTTTTTTTCAGGTTTTATAATGAAACCTTTAGGCTTGTGAGTCACATGACTGACCACTACTTTTGCCGTAGTTTTGGACAAAAACCACAGACCCTACAAGCCCCACTGGGATTAGGGATTTTTGTTTTGATTTCTCAACAAAGCAGTTTGGACAAATCTGAGAGATTTTTCCAGACTCAGCAGAGATCTGTGTGAAACTCAGCATCTTCCTTGGATGCTTCAGCTAGCTTCCGTGGGTTTGGATGGACCCAGTGCTTAAAATGGAACTCTAAAAGCATAAAACCACATGAGCCAAAAATATTTTCCAAAATGAGTTTAACTAAGCTGAAGCTGCTGGGATGTGTGCCCTCTCTGTGCAGACAAGCAAATGTGTCCCTTCCAACTTGATCTCCAACTTGCCTTCAAGCACATAGCATTTGCAGTGTCACCTGCTGAGTAGAGCTATCCCTTAGAACCGAACTCAGGCCTCTTTAGACACTCATCAGAGGTGACAGCATGTTTCTAAACACTCAATAATTTAAGTTGGGCAAGAAATCCACCTCACCATTTATTTTTATTTTGTTCATCTGAATAACAAAGTGCCCATATGGTGGTATCACTTGAGAAGAGCTGACAAATAAACATAATCATCCTTCGAGCCAGTGGTTCTCAAACAGCAGGCCTGGTGATGGCGGGGCTGCTTCAACACCGCTTGGGGCTCTGGTTACAAATACAGATTCCCAGGCAGCCCCGCCAAATCAGAATTTCTGGGTGGGAGCCCAAGAATCTTTATTTTTAATGAGTTTCTCAGATGATTGTACACATCCAAGTTTAGGAAACACTTTTGTGTTTAAAAAACACCTCTGCTTCTGGCTGAGATGGAGTTACAGGGACTGGGTTTATCCTCCTGCCTGACACAACTGAAAAACTGGGCAAAGTGTGTGAAAGAATGGTTTTCAGACCAGGGACATCAAAAGCCCAGCGTGGTGATCTCTGCGAGGGGAACAAATGAGGTGGACTGTAGGATATTACCCCAGCTCACTGTCTGTGGAGTTTCTGGGCTGCAACACAGAGCATGGTGACCTCCCTGAGTCCAGGGGATAGAGCTGGGAGTCCTGGAAGCCACAGTGGCTAAAGGAGAGCTGGACACCGCTTGCTCTATGACAAAATCTCTTTATCAAAACAGATGATTAGGCCTGGCGTGGTGGCTCATGCCAGTAATCCCAGCATTTTGGGAGGCTGAGGCAGGTGGATCACTTGAGCCCAGGAGTTCGAGACCAGTCTGGGAAATGTAGTGAAACCCAGTCTCTACAAAAATTAGCGGGGCATGGTGGCATGAGCCTGTAATCCCAGCTGCTTAGGTGGGTGAGGTAGAAGGATTGCTTGAACCTGGGAGGTCGTGGCTGCAGTGAGCTGAGATCATACCATTGCACTCCATCCTGGGCGACAGAGATGATTAGAAGGCAATTGTATTTTACTCTCCAAAAGATTTGTCTTCGCTTCATAGAAGAGTCATCCCACGGTAGGGGCCTGGCTGCTGAATTACTGGAGGCCTGTCCTTCCAATATTCTGTGGGAATATTCTGTGGCTTTGGGAGAGGTGTGAGAGGTATGCAGCTGCTAACATGGACGAAGGCCAAGCAAAGAACAAGTTTACTACATGCCCTTGTCTGTGTTTTTAAGATAGAGATATTGACATATTGAGATGTGCAGAATATTTCTGTGGGAAACATAACAAAGTGTTGTGTTAGTTACCTCTGAGGAAAAGGCCTGAGTGCCTGGGATGTAGTGAAAGATTATTTTTACTGTATACTTTCTGTACTGTTTAAATATCTTACAATGCACATGTATTTCTTTTTCAACAAAAAAGCTAGTTAAAATAAAATATTAAAATAAATAAATCGCCTTAAGGATTTCATTAAATTTTTAATAAATTTTCATTTCATTTCCACAAACTCACTCATTATATAACTCTAGGAAATATCTACAATGTAAAGCAATTGTTATAATACGCACCTATGTGATAATTTATTCTATATGTCATTCACAATTTAGTTTATCTTTTATTCATCTGGCATACATAAAACTACACAAAAAATGACAACACATTTCATTGTTATTGTGTTTCAAATTGTTCAAAGGACAGGTTTTTGTCTTTGTTGCCTATTCATTTCCAAAATATGAGTTTAAAAGTGTTTAATTGTTTTGGGGATCTGGCCCAGTCTTACACAATGCCCAGCATCAATTATCTGGCTGTTACATACACATTCCTGTTGTCTCTGAAATCTACAAAATTATTCTATTTGAGACACTTAAGTGTCAGAAAAATAAGATATTTCTAAGGCCTTCTTTGTCTCTATGTCCAGGTTGATTTAAGATAAAGAAAAGCTTCTGGGTGGAATAAATGTTCATGCCTCAGGCCATGGGCAGCACCCCAACATGCTAACACTGAGACCCAGGGTGAGGGCAGCTCTTCCTAAGGGGACACTGTACCGCACTTGCCACTGTGTTTCGTGTTCTTTTCTTAAAGTCAGCATACACATGTTTTTGTTGTTAGGCAAAAAAGATGAGCTCTATGAATCATCTAAAACTTTCGCTTGTTCAGACAACAAAGATTTTTGAAGCTTAAAGAGTTAAGAGGCCCAAAGAATAGGTTTAACCAAAGAACCAAAGTCAAATAAAACGATTCTGGGAATCTAAATAACAGAAATCATTTCCATTCTTCCAAGCTGCTGATATACCATCATACCTTCTCTATTCATGGATTCCCACTACCAGGACAAATAAAGCAAGTTCCTTCTCTCCTAAATTCTTTCTCAAAAACATTGGGAAAGGGAGGAAAATAGGGATATGCTTGTGTTTGCTTGTATCGGCAAAAATCCCGGGATGATACACAAGAAGCTAACGATGTGCTTACCTGCAGGGAGAGGGGGTTGGGGAAGGGGCTGGGCCGGAGCAGATGGGGACAGACTTCTCAACATATACATTTTTATATTGTGTTGATATTCCCCATGTTAATGCATCGCCTAGTTTTATTTTTATTTTTTAAAGACAAGTTCTGTCACCTAGGTTCTAGTGCAGTGGCACGATCCATAGCTCACTGCAGCCTCAAACTCCTAAGCTCCAGTGATCCTCCCACCTTAGCCTCCCAAACAGCTAGGACTACAGTCATGTACCACCGTGCTTGGCTAAATTTTTTATTTTTTGTAGAGACAGGGTCTCTCTATGTAGCCCAGGCTTATCTCAAATTCCTGGCCTCAAGCAGTCCTCCTACCTCAGCCTCCCAAAGTGCTGGGATTACGGGCGTGACTCATTGTGCCATTTTTAAAATTAAAGTTAAAAAATATTTCTCAAAGTTTATCTCTTTTCATAAAACCTTTATATAATATGCCTGTGCCTGGGTCAAATGGATTGAAGTTGCACAAACTGACTAAAAACAACAGGCAGCTGGAGCCTAACCCTGCCTCCCTCCTCTAGTTATCAATTTGAATGAAAAGGGATCTCAAGAAATTGTCATTTCTTATGCAGCCAACAGACACATGAAAAAATGTTCATCATCACTGGTCATCAGAGAAATGCAAATCAAAACCACAGTGAGATACCATCTCACACCAGTTAGAATGGCGATCATTAAAAAGTCAGGAAACAACAGATGCTGGAAAGGATGTGGAGAAATAGGAACACTTTCACACTGTTGGTGGGAGTGTAAACTAGTTCAACCATTGTGGAAGACAGTGTGGCGATTCCTCAAGGATCTAGAACTAGAAATACCATTTGACTCAGCCATCCCATTACTGGGTACATACCCAAAGGATTATAAATCATTCTACTGTAAAGACACATGCACACGTATGTTTATTGCGGCACTATTCACAATAGCAAAGACTTGGAACCGACCCAAATGTCCAACAATGATAGACTGGATTAAGAAAATGTGGCACATATACACCATGGAACACTATGCAGCCAATAAAAAAGAAGGAGTTCATGTCCTTTGCAGGGACATGGATGAAGCTGGAAACCATCATTCTGAGCAAACTATCACAAGGACAGAAAACCAAACACAGCATGTTCTCACTCATAGGTGGGAATTGAACAATGAGAATGCTGGGACCCAGGGTGGGGAACATCACACACTGGGGTCTGTCGTGGGGTGGGGGCATGGGGGAGGGATAGCATTAGGAGATATACATAATGTAAATGACAAGTTAATCGGTGCAGCAAACAAACACGGCACATGTATACATATGTAACAAACCTGCACATTGTGCACATGTACCCTAGAACTTAAAGTATAATAAATAAATAAATAAATAAATAAATAAATAAATAAATACCAGACACCAATTTAAAAAAAGAAATTGTCTAATTGATTTCTTTTGGCTGCCCCTTTTCACAATCTTATGTCAGATGAATCTATAGGTTCTTAGAACATTTTGAAAACTAAGAGGCAAAATTTTACTTTGTGTAGTTTTTCCTTTTACAGGCATTTTGGGCACTTCACTACAGAATAACCTGTGTACACATTAGGAAAACAGAGGTGAACTAAACAAAGAGGAGCTAAAAAGTCTAAGAGATTGTGTGTGTGTGTGTGTGTGTGTGTGTGTGTGTGTGCAGAGGCTGGGGGACATTGGGAGAGGGTAAAGAAGGACTGGAGGTATTTCCCAGTGTAAACATTAGAGGTTTAATTTTTGCAAAGCAGCTTTTCTGGTGAAATATTGCTGACTGAATTTGGAAGTTGATGATATAATTCAGTTGTCCTCTGGGCATTGTGGGTACCCTATTATTTTCTTGGTTGAAATGCTTTCTCCCCATCTCAGAATAGTAGAGAAAAACTGAATAATTTCATATTGCACACTTTCCCTGTTGGGGAATAATTTAAGCACTACCATATGTCTTCTTATTTTGTCCTTCTACTGTCTCTCATGAACCACTGGGCTTTGAAAATACACATAGAAAACAAACACAAAGAAACACTAGAGAAGTGTGTGCGTGCGTGTGTGTGTGTGTGTGTGTGTGTGTGTGTTTAAAATCACTCTGGTGATTCCTCAATCACTGGGCCATGGTAATTATCCAGGAAGGTGTTTGAAGATATGCTCCACTGAAGGGGAGTTATAACAACCTTTAGAAACTGTTTAAGCCCCAGGAACTAAAATCAGCCTGATAGTGGCTGCACACGATAGGAAGAAATCATCATTGAAATTAGACCCAAGGAAGAGCACATGAAGTGTGTTTGCCATCAGCCACGAGCATCAGAACACTTCAGGCCCCGGTAGCAGGCGTTTTACCTGCGATGAATAGCTTGCTCTGAGGCACTCCTGTTGAGTTGGTGTCTCTTTCCCAGTATTGTGTGGCATTATTGCCCCACGTTCACAATGGGCTGTCAGATTTGCCAGAGCAGAGGCCAATTTCTGAAGCATCCTAATCAGCCTAGAAATAATAGTCCAGTTACCTGATTTTTTACACAGTTCTTTACCTTTTCCCAGCACCAAGGAGTTTTGTAGCTAACATTATTCACATCAAACAACTGTGGAGGTTAAAGTTATCTCAGATTTGGAGCCATATAATTTGCTTGAAAGGTGCAGTGATTTTTCAAGTACATTTAAAGGACTCAGCAAACCGATTATTCAGAAGGCCTCTTGTCTCTGAAAGCTGATTAAATCATATAAATTATCAAGACACTTATTTCAAAGATACTGAGAAAATCAGAGTGTCCTTGGAAGGTGGCTGTGGCCTCAACATGCCTTCACGTCCCCTCAAGAAGAAGGGTCCCCATCTCCTAGCTGAATCAGGATGGGCTGGTGACAGTGAAGGATGGTAGAAGTGTCGCTGGTGTGACTTCCAGTGCTGGGTTAGAAAAGGCCACGCCACTGGGAGGCAGAGCTTGCAGTGAGCTGAGATCACGCCATTGCACTCCAGCCTGGGCGACAGAGCGAGACTCCATCTCAAAAAAAAAGAAAAGAAAAGGCCATGCTGCTTCTGCTTTGCCATCTTGGCCCACTTATTCTGGGGGAAGCCAGCCAGCATGTAAGAAGCCCAACTCCACTGAGAAAGCCACATTGGGAAGCCCTTCTGGTTACAACCCCACTGGGCTTCCAGAATAGCCAGCATCCCCTGCCAGCCATGTGGATGGGCATCTTGGGCATGCAGCCCATGTGAGCCATCAGGTGATTGCAGTCTCGTCAATATCTGACAACAGCTTTATGAAAAACCACATGTGGCAAGAGAGCAGCCAAGCCCTTCTTGAGTTCATGACCTGCAAAATCACCTTTTTAAAAAATTAACCGGGGGGTGGAGCCAAGATGGCCGAATAGGAACAGCTCCAGTCTACAGCTCCCAGCGTGAGCGACGCAGAAGATGAATGATTTCTGCATTTCCAGCTGAGGTACTGGGTTCATCTCACTGGGGATTGTCAGACAGTGGGTACAGGACAGTGGGTGCAGTGCACCGAGCGTGATCCAAAGCAGGGTGAGGCATCGCCTCACCTGGGAAGCGCAAGGGGTCAGGGAATTCCCTTTCCTAGCCAAGAAAAGGGGTGACAGACGGCACCTGGAAAATCGGGTCACTCCCACCCTAATACTGCACTTTTCCAATGGTCTTAGCAAACGGCACACCAGGAGATTATATCCCGTGCCTGGCTCAGAGGGTCCCACGCCCAAGGAGCCTCGCTCATTGCTAGCACAGCAGTCTGAGATCAAACTGCAAGGTGACAGTGAGGCTGAGGGAGGGGTGCCTGCCATTGCTGAGGCTTGAGTAGGTAAACAAAGTGGCCGGGAAGCTCGAACTGGGTGGAGCCCACCGCAGCTCAGGGAGGCCTGCCTGCCTCTGTAGACTCCACCTCTGGGGGCAGGGCATAGCCAAACAAAAGGCAGCAGAAACCTCTGCAGACTTAAATGTCCCTGTCTGACAGCTTTGAAGAGAGTAGTTGTTCTCCCAGCAAGCAGCTGGAGATCTGAGAACGGACAGACTGCCTCCTCAAGTGGGTCCTTGACCCCCGAGTAGCCTAACTGGGAGGCACCCCCCAATAGGGGCAGACTGACACTTCACATGGCCAGGCACTCCTCTGAGACAAAACTTCCAGAGGAACGATCAGCCAGCAACATTTGTTGTTCACCAATATCTGCTGTTTTGCAGCCTCTGCTGCTGATACCCAGGAAAAGTAGGGTCTGGAGTGGACCTCTGGCAAACTCCAACAGACCTGCAGCTGAGGGTCCTGACTGTTAGAAGGAAAACTAACAAACAGAAAGGACATCCACACCAAAACCCCATCTGTGCGTCACCATCATCAAAGACCAAAGGTAGATAAAACCACAAAGATGGGGAAAAAACAGCAGAAAAACTGAAAATTCTAAAAATCAGAGCACCTCTCCTTCTCCAAAGGAACAGAGCTCCTCACCAGCAATGGAACAAAGCTGGACAGAGAATGACTTTGATGAGAGAAGAAGCCTTCAGACGATCAAATTACTCTGAGCTAAAGGAGGAAGTTCGAACCCATGGCAAAAAAGTTAAAAACCTTGAAAAAAGATTAGACGAATGGCTAACTAGAATAACCAATGCAGAGAAGTCCTTAAAGGACCTGATGGAGCTGAAAACCATGGCACAAGAACTACATGATGAATGCACAAGCCTCAGTAGCTGATTCGATCAACTGGAAGAAAGGGTATCAGTGATGGGAGATCAAATGAATGAAATGAAGTGAGAAGAGAAGTTGAGAGAAAAAAGAATAAAAAGAAACAAACAAAGCCTCCAAGAAATATGGGACTATGTGAAAAGACCAAATCTACATCTGATTGGTGTACCAGAAAGTGATGGGGAGAAGGGATCCAAGCTGGAAAACACTCTGCAGGATATTATCCAAGAAAACTTCCCCAATCTAGCAAGGCAGGCCAACATTGAAATTCAGGAAATACAGAGAATGCCACAAAGATACTCCTCAAGAAGAGCAACTCCAAGACACATAATTGTCAGATTCACCAAAGTTGAAATGAAGGAAAAAATGTTAAGGGCAGCCAGAAAGAAAGGTCGGGTTACCCACAAATGGAAGCCCATCAGACTAACAGCTGATCTCTCAGCAGAAACTCTATAAGCCAGAAGAGAGTGGGGGCCAATATTCAACATTCTTAAAGAAAAGAATTTTCAACCCAGAATTTCATATCCAGCCAAACTAAGCTTCATAAGTGAAGGAGAAATAAAATACTTTACAGACAAGCAAATGCTAAGAGATTTTGTCACCACCAGGCCTGCCCTAAAAGAGCTCCTGAAGGAAGCACTAAACATGGAAAGGAACAACCGGCACCAGCCACTGCAAAAACATGCCAAATTGTAAAGACCATCGAGGCTAGGAAGAAACTGCATCAACTAACGAGCAAAATAACCAGCTAACATCATAATGACAGGATCAAATTCACACATAACAATATTAACCTTAAATGTAAATGGGCTAAATGCTCCAATTAAAAGACACAGACTGGCAAATTGGATAAAGAGTGAAGACCCATCAGTGTGCTATATTCAGGAAACCCATCTCACATGCAGAGACACATATAGGCTCAAAATAAAGGGATGGAGGAAGATCTACCAAGCAAATGGAAAACAAAAAAAAGGCAGGGAGTTGCAATCCTAGTCTCTGATAAAACAGATTTTAAACCAACAAAGATCAAAAGAGACAAAGAAGGCCATTACATAATGGTAAAGGGATCAATTCAACAAGAAGAGCTAACTATCCTAAATATATATGCACCCAATACAGGAGCACCCAGATTCATAAAGCAAGTCCTTAGAGACCTAAAAAGAGACTTAGACTCCCACACAATAATAATGGGAGACTTTAATACCCCACTGTCAACATTAGACAGATCAACGAGACAGAAAGTTAACAAGGATATCCAGGAATTGAACTCAGCTCTGCACCAAGTGCACCTAATAGACATCTACAGAACTCTCCACCCCAAATCAACATAACATACATTCTTTTCAGAACCACACCACACTTATTCCAAAATTGACCACATAGTTGGAAGTAAAGCACTCCTCAGCAAATGTAAAAGAACAGAAATTATAACAAACTGTCTCTCAGACCACAGTGCAATCAAACTAGAAATCAGGATTAAGAAACTCACTCAAAACTGCTCAACTACATGGACACTGAACAACCTCCTCCTGAATGACTACTGGGTACATAACGAAATGAAGGCAGAAATAAAGATGTTCTTTGAAAGAAACAAGAACAAAGACACAACATACCAGTTTCTCTGGGACACATTTAAAGCAGTGTGTAGAGGGAAATTTATAGCACTAAATGCCCACAAGAGAAAGCAGGAAAGATCTAAAATTGACACCCTAACATCACAATTAAAAGAACTAGAGAAGCAAAAGCAAACACATTCAAAAGCTAGCAGAAGGCAAGAAATAACTAAGATCAGAGCAGAACTGAAGGAGATAGAGACAAAAAAACCCTTCAAAAAATCAATGAATCCAGGAGCTGGTTTTTTGAAAAGATCAATAAAATTGATAGACCACTAGCAAGACTAATAAAGAAGAGAGAAGAATCAAATAGAGGCAATAAAAAATGTAAAGGGGATATCACCACCAATCCCACAGAAATACAAACTACCATCAGAGAATACTACAAACACCTCTACACAAATAAACTAGAAAATCTAGCAGAAATGGATAAATTCCTCGACACATACACCCTCCCAAGACTAAACCAGGAAGAAGTTGAATCTCTGAATAGACCAATACCAGGCTCTGAAATAGAGGCAATAATTAATAGCTTACCAACCAAAAAAAGTCCAGGACCAGATGGATTCACAGCCGAATTCTACCAGAGGTACAAGGAGGAGCTGGTACCATTCCTCCTGAAACTATTCCACTCAATACAAAAAGAGGGAATCCTCCCTAACTCATTTGATGAGGCCAGCATCATCCTGATACCAAAGCCTGGCAGAGACACAACAAAAAAAGAGAATTTTACACCAATATCCCTGATGAACATCGATGCAAAAATCCTCAATAAAATACTGGCAGCAGCACATCAAAAAGCTTATCCACCATGATCAAGTTGGTTTCATCCCTGGGATGCAAGGCTGGTTCAACATATGCAAATCAATACACATGATCCAGCATATAAACAGAACCAAAGACAAAAACCACATGATTATCTCAACAGATGCAGAAAAGGCCTTTGAAAAGATTCAACAACCCTTCATGCTAAAAACTCTCAATAAATTAGGTATTGAGGGGACATATCTCAAAATAATAAGAGCTATCTATGACAAACCCACAGCCAATATCATACTGAATGGGCAAAAACTGGAAGCATTCCCTTTGAAAACTGGCACAAGACAGGGATGCCTTCTCTCACCACTCCTATTCAACATAGTGTTGGAAGTTCTGGCCAGGGCAATTAGGCAGGAGAAGGAAATAAAGGGTATTCAATTAGGAAAAGAGGGAGTCAAATTGTCCCTGTTTGCAGATGACATGATTGTATATCTAGAAAACCTCATTGTCTCAGCCCAAAATCTCCTTAAGCTCATAAGCAACTTCAGCAAAGTCTCAGGATACAAAATCAATGTGCAAAAATCACAAGCATTCTTATACACCAATAACAGACAAACAGAGAGCCAAATCATGAGTGAACTCCCATTCACAATTGCTTCAAAGAGAATAAAATACCTAGGAATCCAACTTACAAGGGATGTAAAGGACCTCTTCAAGGAGAATTACAAACCATTGCTCAACGAAATAAAAGAGGATACAAACAAATGGAAGAACATTCCATGCTCATGGGTAGGAAGAATCAATATCGTGAAGATGACCATACTGCCCAAGGTAATTTATAGATTCAATGCCATCCCCATCAAGCTACCAAAGACTTTTTTCACAGAATTGGAAAAAACTACTTTAAAGTTCATATAGAACCAAAAAAGAGCCCACATTGCCAAGTCAATCCTAAGCCAAAAGAACAAAGCTGGAGGCATCATGCTACCTGATTTCAAACTATACTACAAGGCTACAGTAACCAAAACAGCATGGTACTGGTACCAAAACAGAGATATAGACCAATGGAACAGAACAGAGTCCTCAAAAAATAATGCCACATATCTACAACTATCTGATCTTTGACAAACCTGACAAAAACAAGAAATGGGGAAAGGATTCCCTATTTAATAAATGGTGCTGGGAAAACTGGCTAGCCATGTGTAGAAAGCTGAAACTGGATCCCTTCTTTATACCTTATACAAAAATTAATTCAGGATGGATTAAAGACTTAAATGTTAGACCTAAAACCATAAAAACCCTAGAAGAAAACCTAGGCAATACCACTCAGGACATAGGCATGGACAAGGACTTCATGTCTAAAACACCAAAAGCAATGGCAACAAAAGCCAAAATTGACAAATGGAATCTAGTTAAACTAAAGAGCTTCTGCACAGCAAAAAAACTACCATCAGAGTGAACAGGCAACCTACAAAATAGGAGAAAATTTTTGCAATCTACTCATCTGACAAAGAGCTAATATCCAGAATCTACAATGAAGTCAAACAAATTTACAAGAAGAAAACAAACAACCCCATCAACAAGTGGGCTAAGGATATGAACAGACACTTCTCAAAAGAAGACATTTATGCAGCCAAAAGACACATGAAAAAATGCTCATCATGACTGGCCATCAGAGAAATGCAAATCAAAACCACATGAGATATCATCTCACACCAGTTAGAATGGTGATCATTAAAAAGTCAGGAAACAACAGGTGCTGGAGAGGATGTGGAGAAATAGGAACACTTTCACACCATTGGTGGGACTGTAAACTAGTTCAACCATTGTGGAAGTCAGTGTGGCGATTCCTCAGGGATCTAGAACTAGAAATACCATTTGACCCAGCAATCCCATTACTGGGTATATACCCAAAGGATTATAAATCATGCTGCTATAAAGGCATATGCACATGTATGTTTACTGCAGCACTATTCACAATAACAAAGACTTGGAACCAAGCCAAATGTCCAACAATGATAGACTGGATTAAGAAAATGTGGCACATATACACCATGGAATACTAAGCAGCCATAAAAAATGGTGAGTTCATGTCCTTTGTAGGGACATGGATGAAGCTGGAAATCATCATTCTGAGCAAACTATTGCAAGGACAAAAAAACAAACACCGCCAAGTTCTCACTCATAGGTGGGAATTGAATAATGAGAACACATGGACACAGGGCAGGGAACATCACACACCGGGGACTGTTGTGGGATCGGGGGACGGGGGTGGGATAGAATTAGGAAATATAGCTAATGTTAAATGATGAGTTAACGGGTGCAGCACACCAACATGGCACATGTATACATATGTAACAAACCTGCACGTTGTGCACATGTACCCTAAAACTTAAAGTATAATAAAAAAAATTAACCAATTGGTTTTTGGTTTATACCACTCCATTTTGGGGTCACTTGTTCCACAGTGCCAATGGTAAAGACCTTTCTCTCCTTAGATCTTCTGATCATTCCAGCTGCTCACTTTCACTTCTGGGTCTTTATATCATGGGTACTTTTGTCCATTTTTCCTTGGGTTTATCTTTTCATACTCCACACATAGACACACAGACACATACACAGCTGCACATGGACAGCCACCCGCATGTACACAAAATCCATCACTTGGCTCAGTTTTATTCCCTAGGTCACTTAGTTCAACCCTCATTTTTCAGCTGAGGAGACCTGGGTCTAGAGATTAAGTTTCTCACCCGAGGTCACTTGGCTACGTAGTGGCATAGCTGAAAGCACACCCAGGTCTTCTGATGCCTAGTCCAGTCTTTTTCCCATTTAATTACTTTAATTTCCCACTGACCTCATAAAATATAATGGATCAGTTATTTTCTAGTCCAGAGACCATAAACTCTGAAAGTGCCAAACAAGATCCTGGTTGCAGCCCCTCCTTTGGCCCCCTAGGAGTGTCCAGTGGACCCCAGGTAGCTGCCTGTAGGTCTGTCTGATTGGGAAGAGGCGGCGAGTGAGGAAAGGAAAAAGGGAAGTGCCAGGAGGACCTAGCCTACTCCCTGCCTTTTTCCTCCTAGGCCTGCATTCTGAAGGCACCACACTAATTATGGTTAGAGTGCAGGCGGGGATTCCCGAATGTGATGGAAAAATGCCAAACTCCTCCCTCAAGCTTCTATGTTGGACACTTCTTCTAAAAGCAAAAGCATTTTAAAATGGCACATTGCATATTTTGGAATCAAGCTTTAAAAAGATGAGTGACTGGGACAGAAGACTGAGAAATTCTCTGGTAACCAGGACTGGGGCTGCTTAACCGTGGGCAGTGTGTATCTGTGTGCTTTATCTGCCGCTCAAAGGCCTAGGCAGGTCGTCATTAATACATTCTCAGCCGCCCACTGCCCCAGAGTTGCCCCAATTTTTCTAAGCCCTACAGCGTTGTCATTTCGTACGTCTGGCGAGGGAATTACAGCCGGTGAATAAGAAGGCCACTCCCCCTCTGTAATGCTAGATTTCTATTCCCTTCAGCTATCCTGCCCACAGTCAGATCTCCCTCCTCCACCCCACGCCTACCACCATTCTCCTACACCAAAGAGTGAAGGATGATTACAAGTCTTTTACAGGAGGTGTGGTTTAGTTCAATATGTACTGTTGGTTCTGCAAATATGCTGGTGGGAGGTTGACTATGCATGTTATGTGCCATATGCCACCCTGTTGGCTGGCATGCAGTGGGAAGCCTGAAAAGCAAGGGCAGAGAAATAGATACTCTTTCTGCTTTTGAAGCACAGGCTTTAATAATAATAATTTTAAAAACAAGAGTTTTTGAAAAAAAATTCACGTAACTACAGTTGTGTTAATTCTTCATGGATTGCTTACATTGAGCACAATTTGCCTCTCAAAAAAGCAGCAGCAGATTAAATCGACCTCTTCAGATCCATAAAATCATGTTCAACTAGATATATCTCACTTTGTGTGCTTGATATGTTCTGGAAAAGTTATGTGTAAATTGAATTTTGCAAATCTGGTCATATTTCAGATAATTCTCAAGGTGCTTTCAATTTAAATTGGTTCCATTTTGTAAAGCAAATAATAACTTTGTAATGCAAATAGTTACTCCCTAGCTTATTTGTTTTGTAAGTTTGGGCTCTGGTATTTACACTTTTATTTTTCTAAAAGCAAGGTACATCTATAGATAAGAAGCAGTAGGACTTTAATTTATAAGTAATACAATGTAAAAATATAAAATATAAACTAAAATCATTTTAGAAATGTAATCTAGGAATTTAGATGTTTGCTTTTTAGAACTTTAATGTAAGAACTTGTGCCTGTCCCAAAGGTAGACCTTGTAGCATCATAGAGAAGTGCACGGTAGACTTTTCTTAAGGCAGTCTGGCAACACATAGCAAAATACGGAATCTAATTGTGAAAAGATGTATGTACCAAGAAGTTCATTGCAACATTGTTTACATTAACAAAAAATTGGAAGGAACCCAAAACATAATCAATAGAGAGATCATTTAAATAAAAACATTGTTTTAGGCCAGGAGCAGTGGCTCATGCTTGTAACTCTAGCACTTTGGGAGGCCAAGGTAGGCGGATCACTTGAAGTCAAGAGTTCGAGACCAGCCTGGCCAACATGGTAAAACCCAATCTCCACTAAAAATACAAAAATTAGGCCGGTGTGGTGGCGCACACCTGTAATCCCAGCTACTCAGGAGGCTGAGGCAGGAGAATCACTTAAACCCAGGAGGCAGAGGTTGCAGTGAGCCAAGATCATGCCACTGCACTCCAGCCTGGGTGACAGAATGAAACTCTGTCTCAAAAAGCAAGCAAACAAACAAAACCAAAAACATTATTTTTCTCTCATGCAATGAAATATTATGCTGCTGTTTAAAAGGGTAAAGTAATAAAGAACCACAATGAGATAATCATTTTCTTGCCTACCACATTGGCATTTGAAAGTTTGATCATCTACTAGTGAATGTGAAATAATAAGGTCAGGAGTGGTATGAACAAGTACTATAAAACACTCACTGTGTGGTTTTCACTGGGAGCTGTTGGTAAGGTTGGGTACCATCACGTTTGCTCATCCACAAATATTCAGGAGACTGAGATGCCGTACTCAATGTGATATGAACTTGAAATATTTACTTACAAAGTCCCCAAAAGTCAATTTTATATATTTTAAGAGATTCAAAAAGTGATGTTAAAGAATCATGTAATTTAATGAGCAAATATTAAAGTTTAATCTTCCTGAGATATTTTTACTGGAAACATCATTTACTGCTTTTTTAAGAGGAAAATAGGTATCCAGCTCTTCCAGAGCAGATTCTACATAAGATTATTTTATATATTTTCAAGTCGGGTAGTGCTTTTACTACACTTGAGTAGTGGTTTTACTGCATTTATAATACTCAGTGTTACCCACTTTGAGGTCTTTTTCAATCTATACTTCCTTTCTGGATTTACTTGGTTGAAATAAGTTATGAATTACTTGACACTCCAGTTTATGTAAATGAACCATTATTTAAGATGTGGTCCTAAAGACACCTTTAGTTACCAACATTAAATTTTTTCCACATATAGTACAGAAAAATGGGGGCAAGGAATGCTCGCCAATAATCTCGCCATCCTAACTTAATGTTCTTTGTTTTTTTGTTTTCTTCCAGGAGTACTTCTTAGAATTGTTATTTTTACAAATATGAAACAATTCAAACAACAAGTAACAGAATAGGACTCCTGTTTACTTCAGTATGGCAATAGATACTCTGAACAGCCCTCCACTGGAAACAACTAAAAATGCTAAATAAAATGTCAGAATTCAAAATTATTTTTGGGCTGGGAGCGGTGGCTCATGCTTGCAATCCCAGCACTTTGGGAGGCCGAGGTGGGTTTGAGGTCAGGAGTTCGAGACTAGCCTGGCCAACATGGTGAAACTTCGTCTCTACTAAAATTACAAAAATTAGCCAGGCATGGTGGAGGGTGCCTGTAATCTCAGCTTCTCAGGAGGCTGAGGCTGGAGAATCGCTTGAATCCCAGAAGCAGAGTTTGCAGTGAGCCGAGATAAGGCCGCTGCACTCCAGCCTGGGCAATGGAGTGAGATCCCGTCTCAAAAAAAAAAATTTTTTTTTTGAATGTACCATTGAGCTGATAGAAGAGTAAAAAATATCAGAGGCAAATAAAATAAAAGCAGGAATCCTGAAAGGTGAGAGTGCTTACCTGAATGTAGCCTTTTCCATGGAGGCATCTGTAGATCCTTGCTGACAATGATCTTAGGTTTTGATGTTGGCATGGGGTGAAAGGGACAGGAGAACAACCCCAGGGCCCAACCACGGTGAAGTCTAATACGAGATCCCCATGTAAAGCCAGGACCCCAAAAGGAAGCACCTTCAGTGTGAGGGTGAACAAGAGATAAGCCCACTCCATAGATAGAGATAGCAAGGAAACTTGCTTGTCTTGACCATTGTGCTGAGTGGAAAGGAAAAAAAGTCTTCCCTGAAAATGTATAACCACAAGCAAACCTGCACAGAAACTTGAGGTCCAAAATGTATACTATCTGTGAGGACCAAAAACACCTCAAGCTGAAATGCTTATTTTAAGTTGGTTTCAAGTTTTAGTTGCTTTCAGGTACCTGGCAGAAACAAACACAATCTTCTCTGGAGGAATCCACTTTCAAATCAGGCCTCAAAAAATTCCCACAATTGAGCACCAAAGGTTATGGTCCAACCTTCAAAACTCATAAGACACACAAGCAATCAAGACACCATGGGGGATAGCCAAGAAACCAAATAGAAGAATCAAACCCATAATGATATTAGATATTATAATTACCATCACACATAAAATATGTGAGACATTTTTTCATAATCACGTTTTTTTATTTTATTTTTTGATTTTAAGTTCCAGGATACATGTGCAGGATGTGCAGGCTTGTTACATAGGTAAACATGTGCCATGGTGGTTTGCTGCACCTATCAACCCATCACCTACGTATTAAGGCCCGCATGCATTAGCTATTTATCCTGATGCTCTCCCTCTCCCAGCCCCCCCGATAGGCCGCAGTGTATGTTGTTCCCCTCCCTGTGTCCATGTGTTCTCATTGTTCAGCTCCCACTTATAAGTGAGAACATGTGGTGTTTGTTTTTTTGTTCCTGTGTTAGTTTGCTGAGAATAATGGCTTTCAGCTTCATCCATGTCCCTGCAAAGAACATGATCACATTCCTTTTTATGGTTGCATAGAATTCCATGGTGTATATGCACCACATTTTCTTTATCCAGTCTATTATTGATGGGCATTTAGGTTGGTTCCATGTCTGCTATTGTGAATAGTGCTGCAATGAACACACGCATGCATGTATCTTTTAGTAGAATGATTTCTATTCCTTTGGTTATATACCCAGTAATGGGATTGCTGGGTCAAATGGTATTTCTGGTTCTAGGTCTTTGAGGAATCATCACACTGTCTTCCACAATGGTTGAACTAGTGTATATTTGCAACAACAGTATAGAAAGCGTTCCCATTTCTCCATAGCCTTGCCAGCATCTGTTGTTTCTTTACTTTTTATTTTTATTTATTTACTTATTTATTTATTGAGACAAGAGTTTCACTCTGTCACCCAGGTTGGAGTGTAGTGGCACAATCTCAACTCGCTGCAACCTCTGCCTCCTGAGTTCAAGTGATTCTCCTGCCTCAGCAGGTCCCAAGTAGCTAGGACCACAGGCATGCACCACCATGCCCAGCTAATTTTTGCATTTTTAGTGGACACAGGGTTTTACCACATTGGCCAGGCTGGTCTTGAACTCCTGACCTCAAGTGATCTGCTCACCTCGGCCTCTCAAAGTGTTGGGATTACAGGCATTAGCCACTGCACTTGGCCTCTTGACTTTTTAATAGTTGCCATTCTGACTGGTATCTCGTTGTTTTGATTTGCGTTTCTCTAATGATCAGTGACGCTGAGCTTTTTATCGTGTTTTTTGGATGCATAAATGTCTTCTTTTGAGAAGTGTCTGTTCATGTTTTTTGCCCACTGTTTAATGGGGTAGTTTGTTTTTTTCTTGTAAATTTGTTTAAGTTCCTTGTAGACTCTGGATATTAGACCTTTGTCAGATGGATAGATTGCAAAAGTGTTCTCCCGTTCTATAGGTTGTGTCTGTTCACTCTGATGATGGTTTCTTTTGCTGTGCAGAAGCTCTTTTGTTTAATTAAATCATATTTGTCAATTTTTGCTTTTGTTGCAATTGCTTTTGATGTTTCGTCATGAAATCTTTGCCCACGCCTATGTCCCAAATGAAATATGTGAGTTTAATTGGCAAAAAGTAATAACAGAGGGGATTAAAATTATATAAGGAGAAAGGACTAAAACTAATAATCTTACAAATTTCAAAACAAATAGAATTTATAGAATAAAAAAAGTTGTAATTGAAATAAAAATTCTAATAGAATGGTTAAACAGATTAGGCACAGTCAAAAATGAAGAAGGAAGAAGAAGAAAAGAAGAAGAAGAAGAAGAGGAAGAAGAAGAAGAAGAAGAGGAAGAAGAAGAAGAAGAAAAAGAAGATAGGCGAAGTGGCTTATGTCTCATGCCTGTAAGTCCAGTAATTTGGGAAAGTTAGGTGTGGGGATTGCTTGAAGCCAGGAGTTCGAGACCAGCCTGAGTAACAAAGGGAGACCTGGTCTCTACAAAATATTTTTTTTAACAAATTAGCGGGATATGGTGATGCACACCTGTGGTCCCAGCTACTTAGAAGGTTGAGGCAGGATGATTGCTTGAGCCCAGGAGTTTAAGGCTGCAGTGAGCTATGACTGCGCTGCTGAAATCTAGCCTGGGCAACAGAGTGAGACCTTGTCTCTTAAAAAAATAAAAAAACTGGTAAAAATTATTCATAAGGTTGAACAGGGAAGCAATTGAAAAGTATAAAAGGGAAACCAAGACAGTTTATAAGATCTTACATAGATCTAATAGGAGCTTTGGGGAAAAGACTCAACTTTGATAGTAATCACGGAAGGTTTCTTGGGGAAAAAAAAGAATAAATATAGAAGTGACTGGATGACTTAAGCAAAAATTGGGAACTGGATGACTTAAGCAAAAAATTGGCCCCTTGTCTTTGTTGCAGGACCCTAACTCTGAGGTTATTTTACATGTAACTGGAAATCCACAGAGAAGAACTGGCAAATGCAATCAAAATTTATCAAGCTATATATAGCTAAAACCTGGGTAGACGTATTGGAGAGAAGCTTACCCTATAGCTATGAAGTCTGATATTTATCTTCTTTATGATTCTATATAATTAGCTGCATTTAAGGAAACAAGAAAACAGTGTCTCCTGAGTCTGCGTATCCATACACTTGAATACACTCCCAAATAAGCCCATTCAAAGCATTTTTAAAACGGTAATTTTGCAGTATCAGATCTTGTTTTTAATTAAGGTTTAACTTCCACCCTCCCTTGCATTGCATTGAAGGATTAGGCCAGGCCACATCACATCTGGCTGGGCCTGTGATGTCTCAGGGATTTATGAATGACAAGCTGTATTAGAACTGTGGTCGCATGCAGTCATCCTGAAATCAGAAGCTGAGTCCTCCCTTCCCAGCGGCGCTGGGTTTGGGGTAAACAGGTAATCAAAGGCAACACTATCTCTGCACTCTCTTTCTTTTTCCAGAATCTTGCTTCATGAAAATTCAGAACCTGAATCTTGTGGCCTTCTCTAATGAGTAAACCATCATCAAAGTCAAGTGATTTATTTCTTAATGTTGGCTATGAAGAGGGCAAGGGAAGAAAGAGGCTGGAATCAGTGTGAGAGAGAATCAGAACAAGACAGGAGGGCACTGCAAGTTCACCAGCAGGAGAGGCTGCCCTTGCACCCCGGCCAAGAGGTCCGTGGAAAAGCAAGGTCATGGGCTTTGTCTATCGGAGTTCTCGCTAATAAGCTGAAAAATATGCAAACTAGCGAGTTCACACAGAAGTTCAGACATTCTTGGGGCATTACTGAGAATTATTTTGAAAACATACAATAAGATTATTGAGGGGCTGATTTGTCAGTGAGCCGCAGCAGAGGCTCTGGGAATGTGGGAGCCTTTCCTGAAGCCGCCGTGGTGGCCGCGGGTTGTGCAGAGACACTTACCTCCCTGTGAACAGGGCTGTCTGTGTATGGTCTGTCAGACTGGCTGGGCAGCTGTCTTCCTTTCTTCAATGACTGCTGCCACCGAGGCCACCTCCGGCAAATCACTTGAGGTCATGCCTTGGTTTCTTAAAGCCCCGGCATCTTGAAGCCCTAGGCTTTTGCCTCTTCCAGGAACAATATGCTGGAAAACAGCAAGGAGAAAAGCTGTTATACCAAAAGACTGATCTGGGAGAAACAGAGACCTAGAGATAGACACTAAATGGGACTGGGATAATAGCATGTGGAAGTGTTTTGAAAAGTTCCAAGTGCGACATAAACAAAGCTAATACTATTTCTATATAACAGCATGGCTTAATGGATCCACAAACTGTAAGCACTGGGCCATGGACAAACTGGTCCTTAAGAATAGAACCAATAGTACCACCTTTCCTCACTGCGCCTAATCCATAATTCAGCCTTGTGGAAATTCCACTAGACTTTGCGGTGTACCATACATATTTGGTAGCATGTGAGTAGAGTCAGAAACTTAGCATCAGTTATGGTCAGATAAGACAGATAAGACAGGAGGGAATAGAAAGTGGCATCTAATCGTTCACATTAATATGCATTACAATTGTCAAAGCACTTTTGCTTTGTAGCCTCACAACTGTGTGAAATAGTTAGGAGCTGTCATCTCTATTTTCCAGGCAAGGAAACCGAGACTCAGCCAGGTGCCCCAGTTCACCCCAGGTCACAGGGCTGGTGAGCAGGTCCCTCACAGCTGTGTAGTCAGTGGCCTCTAGGATACTCTGCAGAAACGTGGCAGGATAGCATTCTAAATCCAGGAATTTAACCAGTTGAACTGCAGGCAAAGCAGTAGAGACATGAAGCTCTTTCCTTTTCTGGGGCTCTCAATATTGCTGAAAAGCTGAGGTATGCCTGGGGAGAGGGTATGTTTGACTCTCCTAAATTATACCTCACCTGCTATACCTTCTCTTTCAGAGCCCCGTGTGCTCGACAAAGGAGAGCTTGCTCCAGAAATTGCAACCTGGTAATATTTGGCACATTCAGCACTTTCCATCTAGATGTTATCTCATTAACCTTCCTGGTGTCCCAGGGAGGCATGTGCTACATGCAATGTTGCTGAGCCTCTATCGCTCTAGGAAAAGGTAGTCCATTCTCCAGTCACCTCAGGATGAAGGCCTTTGGCTCTGCAGCTATTTTGCCAGGTCCCAGGTGCTTTTAAAGGAAATAACTTGGGTGCAGGTGGCAAATGCTTTCTTTTGCTATTTTCTGAATACAGGTATTTAGAAGTCAATTATTGCTATAAAAAGGGGGCATTTACTTCTCTATAATGTTACTGAGTAATGTATAGATGCTTTCTTTATGTCTGGCATTTAACCCTTATAACAATGTGGGAAGTAGGTATTTTTACTCTTATTTTATAGGAAACAGTCACTTAGAGATGAAATACCTTGCTCAAAGACACACTGGTATTAGGTGGCAGCATAGGGTCTGTTATGAGGTCTGGGTGACTTCTAAGCCAAGACTTGAGGTGCCAGCATCCAACTTACAGGGTTGTTCTATGCTGCGACCTCATGAGCTAAGGGAAGGAATGAGGACCCAAATAACACAGCCTCACTGGCACCACCTAAATCCACAGGCTTCCCCACTGCCCACTGCAAGCCTCAAAGCAGGTAGGGGGCGGGGGTTGTAAAGGGAAGGCATGGGCAGCCTGAGACCCCAGACTCAGCTTCCCTAAGGTTGCTCATCCAATGTGGAGAAGGTCTTTTGAGTGCCTCTAATGTGGAGAGGTGTTTCAAGGCTCTTTGTGCTGTCAGGGCAGGGAGCCTGTGCCCTTGTGCTCCAGAGAATCAGGTGGGATTCTCAGAAACAAGGCGAAAGAAAAAGAGAGGACAGGAGCTGGAGAATCCATGCTAAAGAAGAGGAGCAGGGGACTGGAGAGGGCCAGCTCACACTGTTCAGTAAACGCTGTGATAGAAATGTGCCTGGTGTGGCTAAAAGAGGACTTGTTGATTTGTGAAAGAGTGCTATGTTTCAATATGTGGGGGCTGCATTTTAAGAGCTGTCCTACAAATTTTAGAAGGAAAAGAAATGTCCCACGGGCAATCTCAATCAAATGAAGTGGTGTATGCTTAATCAAATCAACAAGAATGGAACTTTTCAGAGGTTTTAAGATGCCTTTATTGTATTTATATTAGCCTCTGGGGTTAATGAGAAAGTCTTGCTAATAATGGTTTTTATATAAAATTGGTTGTAACATAAATTAAAAAGAAAAAATTTGGTTGTAAGAGGAGAGGTAGTTATCACTCAGGTTAATGATGACCCAGTGCCATAATTTCACAGCTGGTAAAATCAACTTGCAGTAGCATTTGAGTTGTTCCTTTAATCCAGGTCTTGGACACAGGAACCAGTGGCCATGAAGCAGAGCTGCTCCACACCGGGCTGCCTGGTGACTTGCATACCTTGTATAGAGCTTTTACATGGTCAGAGAGACTGACCATATCCAATACTCATTTTTACATTCTTCCATGGAAAAGTGGATTCAGATTAGGATCAGCCCTACTAATAAGCACCCCAGACATAATCAGCCACCTTCCCTGAGGCTACATTTCTCATACAGTGTCCTTGTTCTGGGTATGTGACTAATCACAGAGCTCTGATAAAGTAGTGTGTGTTTAGCGTAAATTATAAACTGGATGTTGGGCTGACATTTTGGCCTGATAGAGCTAAAACAGGTATTTCCAGCTTTGTCAGATCAAACTTATCACCTAATGGATACTTTCGGAAGTCTGTAGCTGATTCCTCATCTACTTAAGTTTCAGTAGCTTCTCTTCTCCAGATGAACATAAGATTACAAACTTCAAGTAGCCATTTGGTTAGTACCATTGCCATTAAGTAGGTGAATAATAAACTGCTCAAGGACTCACACTTGCCCTTTCTTGTCCTCTTCCAAAGGGACAGACTCTTACTCTCAGTAGCCCATATCAGTATTTGAGCATTCTTACAGGCAAATTCTCCCTTAAATCCAGCCAGAGTCTCTCCTGCTTTAATTCCATTTCCTCTTTCACTTAGGTCTTCAGAAGTCTTGTAGAATAACAGTTTGACACCCCTCCCATAAAACTCTCCAGGAGCTTGGAAACAGCAACCAAGTTCTTTCATAGGCTTCTCTACCGTAAGGTAAAACTTCTGATTCCTTTTTTTTTTTTTTTTTTTTTGACAGAGTCTCATTCTGTTACCCAAGCTGAGTGTAGTGGCATGATTTTCTGTTTCATCAGCTTTAGATAAGTCATAAGAATACTGCAGCCTTCACCTCCCCAGTTCAAGCAATCCTCCCACTTCAGCCTCCCAAGTAGCTGGTACTAGAGACACATGCCACCACGCCAGGCTAATTTTTTTATTTATTAAAAAAAATTTTTGGTAGAGACGGAGTCTAGCTATGTTGCCCAGGCTACTGTCTAACTCCTGGACTCAAGTGATCCTCCCTGCTCAGCTTCCCAAAGTGCTGGGATTACAAGCATGAACCACTGCACCCAGCAACCTCTGATTCCTTTTAACTTTCTAGTTTCATTCTGTTCCTCCTAGTAGAGGACTCCTGAATCTTCTCTGGGTTTCCCCCATCTTTATTAAAGTGTATAGGATTCAACTAAGGATTAATTATCTCTCAAAATGGAAGTCTCAGGCAGAGTGGCTCCAGCCCAAGCAAACAACCAAGGCTCTCTCTACAGTTTCTAGTAGGTTGGGGATGTCCCCCACTCATGTTGCAAGATGTCTGTCTGCAACAGTTCCAGACATCCCATGCAATACAACAATGCCCAGTGAAAAGAGAGGGTCTCCTCCTATGAGTCTCTCTGTACTATAAGAAAAGCCTTTTCCCAAAGCTCCCTAGGTGGCTTACAGTCAGACCTCCTTGGCTAAGATTGGGCCACAGGCCAAGGGCATGAGCCTGCCAAGACTGCCTGGACTAATAACCCTTCATGTCCCCACCCAGCCTGGCAAGGGGAGTTGTTTCCTGAGCACATGACCTTCAAACAAAATCAAGGCTCCACAAGCAAGGTGGAGAAGGGTGAGAAGGGGCAGTGTGGCTAAGTGGCAATCAGCTGTCTTTGTCACAGGGGAGCAAAAACGGGGCCCAAATGATTCTCCATATAGTTCAAAATAGTAATAATAACACAACAAAACAAGCAATTACTGAGAGCCCACTAAATACCAGTTATTGTGAGATCTAGCAGGTTCACAAAGATAAACAAGATGTGGTCTTTGACCTGCAGAGTTAGCAATCAAGTTTGGGAGAAGATACATCCCATATAATTCCAAAACTGTATAGTAAATGATAAAAGAGGCATGCATAGCATGTTCTGGAAACACAGTGAATGGAGGCTGGCTGGACTGGCTGTAAGTGCTGAGAATGAGTTAGCTTAAGAAAAACAAGACTTGGGAAGAACTATGAGTTATGTGACTTCTGATTTTCTAATCTTTGTGTAGTATTTTATGGTTTTTTTTTTTTTTTTTTTTGAGACACAGTCTCACTCTGTCGCCCAGGCTGGAGTGCAGTGGCGCAATCTCGGCTCACTGCAAGCTCTGCCTCCTGGGTTCACGCCATTCTCCTGCCTCAGCCTCCTGAGTAGCTGGGACTACAGGTGCCCGACACCAGCCTGGCTAATTTTTTGTATTTTTAGTAGAGACGGGGTTTCACCGTGTTAGCCAGGATGGTCTCGATCTCCTGACCTCATGATCCACACGCCTCAGCTTCCCAAAGTGCTGGGATTACAGGCAGTATTTTATGTTTTATTATTATGGCTCATCTAAAGTTGATGAAATAGAAAATCCTTTCAAGCCTTGAGGGTGGTGTGAATTTCAAGGGTCATTTCCTATGAGTTCATTTTTTCATATTTCGTGTCTGGATGAAATCCATTTTATGATGAGTGAATTCCATGTTTAAACAAGGAAGCCACTCATCCAGTAGGAAAATGTGTGAAGGAGAAAATGAATGCAGTCTTGATCATCATGATGTCACTGGTTCTGAAAATGGGCTTGTTTAAGTATTATGAGAAAACTTCAGTAATTTGGACTGAGGAGGAATTGGTCAGAATGAGTGAAAGTCATTTGGAATTATTAAAACACAGTTTTTATTACTTTTATTTAAGTCTAGCTTAAGTTTAAAATTGGATGACAGAGTTGCTAATGAGGAATGTGTATTAAATTGTTAAGAATGATTTCCTTAGCAAATTCACCATCTCCCTAAAAGTGCTCCTCAGATGGTAAGGGACACTAGAAAACAAGTTATTCTTTTCTCCTGTGTCTTTCTTTTTTCAAGTTTTTACGAGATTTACACTTCACTAGGAAAATTTGCTTTAACAAATATAAACTTTAGCCTGGTCTCTGTGGAGTTTATTATAGAATTAGGAAAATGTAAAACGTAATTGCTTTTTAAAATCTTAGTTACAGAACTGGAGTTGTGTGTCCATGCTCTCACATAAGAATACAAACTTTTTTTATAAATCAATAAGAAAAAGATAAACATTGCAATAGACACACAGGCGAAAGTCATGAACAGGCAATTCAAGGCAACAAATCATATAAAATAGATTTCTTAATAATCACATAAATGAAAGTTAAAACAAAGTATCACCTATCAAATTGGCAAAGGTTTTTGTACAACATAAATAAAGTGCTTGTGCCCACGGCTGACGAGAGTATGGAGGAATGAACACCAAAGTTTTATTCTGTATACAGAGATGTATATATAAGGATGTTTGTTCTAGCACAAAAGTTTAAAATAAAATGTCCATTAATAGACAACTGGTTAAATAATGGTGTAGTCACATAAGGGAATACTACACATCCATTAAAAAGAATTAGGTATGTCTCGATTCTTTAAAATTTTAAGATGTATTACATAAACAAACCAAGGGACAGAGCAGAATAAAAGTTATCTGTGAGTTCATATTCAGAGATATTAGTAATTATGTTTTCTGGAAGGACATATGATAAACTATTACGGGAGTTACAGTGATTACTTCAAGAAAAGAACTAGAAGTAAATGGTGGAAGATTTCTACTTTTCATTTTAAACCTTTCTGTATGATTTGATTCTGTGCAAGGACTGCTTTATTTTAAAATGTGAAATGTTTTTATAAAAAAGAAAAATAGGTTACATCTTTGTAGTTAGTTGACATGGAAAATATCTACAATATAAAAAGAGAAAGATCTGGTGCAGAATGACCAGAGTGTTATGACATTCCATTATGTTAACGATTTCATTTATATATAAATATAGATGTAGACAAATATAATGTTTGTATTAAAAAACCTGGAAGGGCTGGGTGCGGTGGCTCACGCCTGTAATCCCAGCACTTTGGGAGGCCAAGGCAGGTGGATCACTTGAGGTCAGGAGTTCGAGACCAGCCTGGCTAACATGGTGAAACCCTGTCTCTACTGAAAATACAAATATTAGCCTGGCATGGTGGCATGTGCCTGTAATTCCAGCTATTCGGGAGGCTGAGGCATGAGAATCGCTTGGACCCAGGAGGCAGAGATTACAGTGGGCCGAGATTGAGCCACTGAACTCCAGCCTGGGTGACAGAGCAAGACTCTGTCTCAAAACAAAACAAAACAAAACAAAACAAAACAAAACAAAACAAAACAAGAAAAGCCTGGAAGGATATATCTAAACTCTCATTGCAGCTGACCCTTAGACAGAGGTGGAAAAGTGTTGAGATTGCAGAAACATTTACTTTCTCTGTACTCATTAATTTTGTATAGTGGGCTGGGCACTGTGGCTCAGGTATAAAATGAAAAGTAGAAATCTTCCATCATTTACTTCTAGTTCTTTTCTTGAAGTAATCACTGTCACTCCCGTAATAGTTTATCATATGTCCTTCCAGAAAACATAATTACTAATATCTCTGAATATGTACACACAGATAACTTTTATTCTGCTCTGTTCCTTGGTTTGTTTATGTAATACATCTTAAAATTTTAAAGAATCGAGACATACCTAATTCTTTTTAACAGATGCGTAGTATTCCCTTACGTGACTACACCGTTATTTAACCAGTTCTTTATTAATCCCAGCCCTTTGGGAGGCTGAGGCAGGTGGATCGCTTGAGCTCAGGAGTTCGAGGCCAGCCTGGGCAACATAGTGAAACCCTGTTTCAATTAAAAAAAAAAATGACTGAGCTAATTTTCTACACTGCTAGTAAATTATCAGAAAGGAAAACATAAATTTTTCTGATTGGGAGGAAAACTCAGAGAAGAAAGACTACCCAGCCCTCCCGTGCATGCTCCCATTTGCATGAAGCACTCCTGTCTGCCCTATGCAAAAACAAGGCTCGGTCTCCATCTCTCACCTGGCTCTTCCAGGCTTACTCTCACTCATTTCCCTTTTAAATCCCACCTACAGGGAAGCCTTTACAGTTCAGAGTGGGATAGGTAAGAAATCTCTCCTAGGATCCAGTTTACCTACCCGAGTCTTACCCAACTAGAAAAACTTGAAAATAAAAATCAAAAACAGAATGTTCAAACAGGACACTGAAAACTAGCCTAACCTGTAAATGAAATCAGCACCTTTTAGAGCACCATGGATTGGTAAGAGGAGCCAGCAGCCAGCTGAAATGAAAGGAACCCTGGGCTGGAGAAACAGGCCCTGGCACTCCCAGGGACCATCTGTGAGGTCCCTCCACTCTTTGAGCCTCCTCATTTTTCTCATTTGCTCATCATATCTATTTCTCTTAACCGTAGAGGCTGCTATGAGAATCTGTGGGAGCAGAAGGTATGCTATGAAAATGAAAGATGATTAAGCAATGCGTAAGCCCTGGAGGGTAAGGCTTGAATCGTGGGTTCGTTATGAATATTGCCTAGGAAATCAGGAGAACCCAAGATGTTCATTAACCCTAATACGCTCCGACATTATTAAGAAACTGCTGGCCGGGCGCGGTGGCTCACGCCTGTAATCCCAGCACTTTGGGGGGCCGAGGCGGGCGGATCACGAGGTCAGGAGATCGAGACCATCCTGGCTAACACGGTGAAACCCCGTCTCTACTAAAAATACAAAAAATTAGCCGGGCGTGGTGGCAGGTGCCTGTAGTCCCAGCTACTCGGGAGGCTGAGGCAGGAGAATGGCGTGAACCCGGGAGGCGGAGCTTGCAGTGAGCCGAGATCGCGCCACTGCACTCCAGCCTGGGCGACAGAGCGAGACTCCGTCTCAAAAAAAAAAAAAAAAAAAAGAAACTGCTATGACAACCCAATTCTAAAAATTCTTTTCAATTACTTTTCATATCAAGATCTCAAAAACCCTTAAATGTCACTTTAAGGTTTACATCATGACTGTACAATAATAGGTGTGAATACTACTGGGCAACAAATGTATCCCTATTGACATATTAATACATGCTCCAGCATCTCCCCTCCTTCATAGATAATGAAAAGTTGTTGGGTTTTTTTTGTTGTTGTTGTTACTGGTGAGAGCCACTATTACAGTAAAAAATAAAATAAAATAAAATCAATTTTTTAAAGGCAGCTCAGATGTGTCCCAGTGCTGAAATCTCAGTTGAAAGTATAAATCAGATTCCCAGTTTGCTGGGGAAACCAGAAGAAGAGGCTTGAGCAGACACACACCAGGGGAAGTGGCTGAGCAGAAGTTCCTAAAGCTCAGGCCACTATTAACCTCTCAAGCAGTTCTTCTTTGCCATTTGTTTGAATCTCATTCATTATTACTCTAGTTACCAAACATTCCTTGTGCTGATTCACAAAACAAGATAATTTTTTGTTAAGTTGAGAAAATATTTAAATGACAAGGTAGATGATGGTTATTTGCAGAATTGTGTTCCCCCAAAAAGGATATATTGCAGTCCTAACTCCCATCAGTCCTAACTCCCATACCTCAGAATGTGGTCTTATTTGGAAACAGGGTCTTTGCACATTTAACCGAGTTCAAGTGAGGTCATTAGGATGGGCCCTACTCCAATAAGACTGGTGTCCTTACGAAAAGGGAAAATTTGGATACAAAGACAGACTCACACAGAAGGAAGAAGATACAAAGAAACAGGAAGAAGGCCATGTGAAGAAGGAGGATTTGAGGGAGGCAGCTAAGCCCAGGAGCCCCTGAGGCTGCAGGAAGCTAGGGGGGTCTAATGGCCTCCTCCCCAGCACCTTCGGCGGGAACGTGGCTGTGACAACATCTTCATTTTGGACCTCTGGTCTCCAGAACTGTGAGACAATACATTTTTATCACATAGGTCTGCACCCATTTTGTGAGACTTTCTTATGGCAGTCCTAGGGAACTAATACATCTACTAAAGTCACAGTTCTTAACAATGGTCAGAAAGTGGAGTAAGAGTAAAACCTCAGCTGATTTCAGTGCGGGATGTTTGTGTGACGACATACATAACAGGAGCTCATGGCTTCTCCATTGCAGGGGTGGGTTTTTACTGAAAACCCTCAGCCTGGAGGTGGTTCCCTTCCTGCAGAGTGCAGAAAGCCAGTTAAACCCCTCCTTCAGCGGCAGGGCGGAGGGGAGAGGCCCAGAGCCCTGCCCATGCCAGCAGGGAGGGTGCTATCCTAAGCTAGACCAGTGCTTGGCTCTGTGCAGGAGCTAACACTGTGCACAGCTGCTCAAGCCCTATCTGTCACCCAGTAGAGACAAAGACAGTGACACAGCTCCTCAAAGGGGATGAGAGTCCTAAGCCCAGCAGCCAGGCAGTGACTCTTCTACACCAGCCCTAGAAGGTACGAATCAGAGGCCAGTGACGTCTCAAACCAACAGAAACAGAAAAACTCAGGAATATCAGTACCTGGACCCCATCTGGCCGTGGATTTTTTTCTTGTGTTTTATTTTTGTTATACTTCAAAACTTCTTTAGAGAGTAAAAATGAGCACTAAAACTAGAGCCCCAGCACATAATTTTTGCTTATATTTGTCGGAATATAATTTACTCCTAACTCTGTGTGTGTGTATCATTCTATTATATGGAATCGGTTTTTAGCTCATCCTTTTGTTATCTGTTGGAAGCCAGGAAATAAAAACAAAAATAAGCAGATATTGTTGAAGAGAGGACCCACGTGGACCAAGAAGTCCCCACATGACGGCAGCCCTGAGTGGGCAGAGCGAGACCTGGAAGCTGCCGTAGCAGGAAGGTGCAGCCCTCACTCAGACCCACCCTCAATCAGTGCAGGGTCAGACACAAGCCTCAGGACCTAGCCTTTGTTGTCCTTCCTTCAGCGACTCCTAAGACCCAGCTCCGCTCCCTTTCATCTAAAGAGTAGGCCGGGGTAGGAGGGGAGGGATGACTGACATCACACAGGATGCTAGAAAATAATGTCATAAATTTGAGGTAATTTCCCCCGTTCACGTCACCTTAGAAAAAGGCCTTCTTTTGTCAAAATTAAAACCATTTACAAAAGTGCTGGTTTGTTGTTGTTTTGAAGAATGTGAACAGCTAGGTGTTTTCCCTGGGACTCAGTTTCAAAATGAACAAACGGACACCTGCCTGAAAAAGGAAAAAACGGAGTCAGCGATGTCATCATCCTTCCTCAGCAGCACTCCAGGTGAGAGGAGCCGCTCCTGGGTCCCACTGTCCTCAAACAGGGACTGCATGGTGCTTCAGAAGCCGCCCAGGCACGGGAGGGAAAGGAGGAAAGGTCAAGTTGTTTGTACATTTGGTCTTACTATGACTGGGCTGGTAAAATTGTTATTCTGAGAGCTCCTTGTTCATCTGGCTTTTAAATACTTATTATGCTTTTTTTTTTTTTTTTTCTGAAGGGTGAGAGAGAAGCAAAATTTCCACATTGTGAACTGTCACGGATTTTTCCTGTGCAGTACAGAGTGACAGCAAGGTGGTTCTAAAACATGTGATTTATTTATAAACATATATGGAAATATTTTTAAAATTAAAAAATGCCAAGGGTGAGGCTGGGTCATAGGCAACCATGAGAAGTAAGATGTTTGTTCTGGAGGCCGGTGTTAGCACTCTTCCACGAGTAGTTTTAGAGCAATCTAGGGTCAAGTGGAAACGTTCTGACTATACTGCCCTGCAGTTTTGTTTCAAGAGCATCTGGATCCCAGTTCCGGGGAAGCTGATTTGAGTTGCTCTGTGCTTGAAATACAACCTTGTTCTGTAGAGTTCCCAAGACGAACGCTGAGTGGGTAGTATTTAAAGAACAGCTTGGCAGTCCCTGTGCCCTGAGCCCTCACCTTCATTTCCTCCTGATCCTTTCCTTTGTGCTGCGTCTTTCCCTTGCAAGGACGCACGCATGCAGACAGAGGAGGAGGCCAGCAGAGGATGGGGAAGTAGTTAATGCAACTAGCACACCCTTCCCAGGTTCACTCTGCCACCTTTCTATTCTTTCCAGTCTATTCTCACTACTCCATTCTAGTTGGGAGTGTTTCTTCAGTTGCTTTAAGTAGCGATGGGGAGAGGATGTTTGGTCAAAGGGCATCGAGATGGGAACAGGAGAATCAAGGAGAGGAAGTAAGGGGCCAGAGATAAAGAAATAAGAGCTAGGAGGAGGGAAGTAAATAGAAGCAAAGATGATGAATAATACCAGGTACACAATAGACAGGGAGCGAAATGAAAAAGGAGCAGTACATAGAGGTTGTGATGCAGAAAGGAACAATTCAAAATAGAAAAATGTAAGAAACCTGAAAACAAACAAACTTAGAAGCCCATACAGGAAAGCAAAGAACCAAATGGAAGTAAGAAACAGAACCCCAAACAGGAAGGACGTCTGAATGAGAAATGTGATTGAGGGAAGGAACAGAGGAGCCTTTGTGGTGTGTTTGTAGATTAGAGGGAAAACGACAGAACAGAGAGAATCCAAGAGTGTTTATTCCTTGCACCTGGCAAACAAAAAATTCATTATTTTTTAATCATGGAAGAAGTATCTCTAAGAGCACTGGGCCTTTCATGCTACCGGCCTGTCTCTTACTCATCTCAATCCCTTAGGATTCTTTTAAAAGCGTAAGGAAACCCAGCACAAGGAAAACCAAATTTCCACCCAGATGCTATTTATATGAAGCTTATTTTATAGAGGTGAGTCCTCATGGCCCTTAGAGTTCAAGCTGGGTTACCTGTTCCCAGTGGTGAATGATGTCCAGCTTTTTGGTCCCTGTAAATCCCAGGTAAATGACAAAGATATCTCAGTCCCTTAAAAACACGGGTAAAAAATGAAATCATTATTTGCATGATTCTCATTTCCGAAGCCTGCCTTACCATTAATAAGTTAGAGGTTGCCTTGTAAGTTTAAATAATTTAGGAAATGGAGTAATAAAAAAAAGTAAGTAAAGCATAAGCCGAAAAATATAACACATACCCAGGAGAAGGAAAGATTAGTTATTTCATTACTGCAAATTGCTGTTACTAAACATTATGATAAATTACCAAAAAGATGCCTCTTCACCCCCTTCTATAATTTCAGGTTATTAATTGTATTCACATACAAGTGATTCTTTCCTTCTATGCCTCTCTTGCCCTGTTTCTCTAATGAGGAAACAGGAAAAAAAATGCAGTAGATAAAATGCTTAAATTGAGGCTGAGGCAAATGAAAAAAGATATCAGAAACAAATAACATTATCAGCTTTTAGCTCCATAATAAGCTCTTGTTTATTTAGACCCTATTAATTTGGAATTTATAATAACTTGATGGGGACCTGGGCAGAAATTTTCCTTCCATTTAGCAAACTCTGTCTTGCTAAGTAGTGCAGAAGAATGATGTAAATGAGATTACAGGAGGAATGTTTGAAATACATCTTTGAGCACTTCAGGCAATCCCTTATATATGAATAATTAATATAAGAATACATATCATTCTTATCCAATAATTATCTGGCAGTTCAGAAGGAATTTGTTAGGTCACCCTGCAGAGTAACAAGATGTGTGTTTGTCACTAAATAGTTCTATGACCATAGGCAAGGCACTTAACTTTTTCAGCCCTTATTTTTCTTACCTAAAATTGGATTGATAATATCAACTCTGCCTAGTTTGGGAGGTTGTTATGATCATGAAATGAGAGAATAGATGGAAATCCATTTTGAAATCCATAAGGGATTAGGAAAATCTGTATTATGTAAATGAGTTTAAAATTCATACTTTCTACTAATTCAATCCAACCCTCCCTCCGATGGTCTATACCGGTGAAGCTTTTATGCTTTAAACAGCTGTTACATAGCGACATGTTTAGCACCTTCAGCCATCACTGAATCTCTTTTATTAGGGCAACTGCCTAATGCATTGGTGTGTGTGTGTTTGTGTGTGTGTGTATGTGTGACACTACTCCTCCTCCGGCCCCTAACAGATCCTTGGAGTCATTCTTTGTGTTCTGAGTACACTAAATATACTTCACGTGACACAACGGGAGAAAGTTATTGTACTTGAAAGAGTCTAAGCTTTGGAGTCTGACAGTCTTGGGTTCAAATTCAAGATCTTCCACACAGATGAGTTAGCTGGAACAATTATTTCTCTGAGCCCCAGTTTTTTAATACAATTTTTTATGAAGCCTAAAAGAGAAAATGTACATAGCACAGTGTCTGGCACAGAGTAGGCACTTCAAAAGGATGATGATTACATGAAAGATAAGTTATCTTGAGGTGGTATTTGCATTGGAGAAAATATCTAAGACTCCCCCCTTCAAATCTCTGGCCCCTTATTGCAGTTTAGTTCCCAAATTACAAAGCCAAATAGGCAGTCACCCTTACAATATCCAGTTTTTTTACACATAGATAACCTGTGTTGCTTTTGGTCAAATGTATGTCGCAAAGTATTAAAATAATGTCTTCTTAATTCTAAGAATCCTGTTTTTTCACATTTGGATGTTTTGGAAATCAGAATGAATTTTACAATCATTGTCAAAATAAACATGTCAACTGCTAGGTGGAAGAGTTGCTAAGAGGAATTGTCATTTGTTTGTAACAGGTGAAATCAGCCAAAGCTTTCAGAATAAAGGGTTTTCAAAGCCAGGAGATGTTGGTGTTTATGCTTCATAAACAGATGTTTATGCAAAACATCTGTCTGTCAAGTGCTTTCAAAGAAGCTATTGAACTTCCTGCAAGAGGTAATCAATTAAGGGAAAAAAAATTAAGATCCCAGATCAGGGGTGCTAAAGAGGTCAAACTCCCAGGCACTTTTATCAGTGTCACCACCTCTTCTTTGCAGCAACTGCCAATGTCCTGGTGATTCCAAGGAATCTTTGGAGTGTAGTTAAGATGGAGTAATTACATTAATAAAATGCATGCTGTTTTTTGCTAAAAAATGTGTATATTTAATGTAGCATTTCTTTTTTTAATATCTAATGATAAGCTTTGGCTGTGCCCCCACCCAAATCTCATCTTGAATGATAGTTCCCATAATCCCCAAATGTTGCGGGAGGGACCTCATGGGAGGTGATTAGATTATTGGGCAGAGGGTGTTTCCCCCATACTGTTCTCATGATAGTGAGTGAGTTCTTATGAGATCTGATGGTTTTATAAGATTTTATCCTGAGATCTGATGGTTTTATAAGGGGCTCTTTCCCCCCCTTTGCTCTGCGGTTTTATAAGGGGCTTTTCCCCCTCTTTGCTCTGCACTTCTCTCTTCTGCTGCCATGTGAGGCAGGATGTGTTTGCTTCCCCTTCTGCCATGATTGTAAGTTTCCTGAGGCCTCCCCAGCCACGTGGAGCTGTGAGTCGATTAAACCTGTTTCCTCTGTAGATTACCCAGTCTTGGGTATTTCTTCATGGCAGTGTGAGAACAGACTAATACATCTGAATAAAACTATATTTTAATTCAATAAATTAATCTCCTTTCTTCTAATCGACAGACTCATTAGAGAAAGTGTCTAGCTTTTTAAAATCATCTAAAAACAAGGTTAAATATAATTAAATTTATACTTAAGACATCTGCAGATTGCTGTATGTGTTATACTTTAATAAAACATTAAAAAATTAGAGATATGTGTATTTGTGTATTTAGCTTGAATAGTTGAAGATTTGTCAAAATATACACAGTTATAGCTTTCAAACTAATAGGTGTAACCATTTATAGAACACACTTTCTCGATCAAGTCTTGGGCACTTTACTCTTGTTATTTAATATTAATAATAACAGCTAATATTTATTAAGCACTTACTATGTGCCAAACATTTTCAAGGGGTGTTTCATCTCCTTTAACTTTTAAAAGACTAATTGAGGTGAGTATTATTATTGCTGACTATATCAGATGGGTATTAGTTTTACAAAGATGGAAATTCATATATAAGGCACATATAAGTTACTTACTTCATGAAATCACACAGCTAGAAAGTGGTTGGGGAAAAACTAGAATCCAGAAGCTTGCATTTATGTATTTCTTCACAGGCACCCTAAAAAGTACATGACGGGTCATACTGTCCTTATTTCACAGACAAGCACCCTGAACCTCAGAGAGGTTAAGTGATTTGACCGTACCACACAGCTTACAAGTGGGAGAGCCAGGATTCTTAACTGAGCCGGTCTCCAAATAGACAATGCAATGCTTTTTTTGGAGATCATGTTCTTCAGACATAGGTTTCTTAATATCACCTCCAAATAAGCCAAAGAGTGAGAACCCAGGGGTGGGGAAAAGTGGGGGAGAGAAGAGAGCTGAGGAAGCAACTCTTAGAACTTCCAGGGAGCTGTCACTGATGTCTTTAATCCAGTCTGTCCAGAAACTGCAATTTTCCTCCTTTTTCAGTTACTATGACTATGGGTGCAGTTGCCAATGAAATTTAATTCACATTCATTGAGATATTAAGTCACAAATTTTCTCTAACTCAGAAGTGTATTTTCCTTTCTCCCTTTTTCCTTTCTGGTTAGCGCCAATACATCTGCTCCCCTTAAGAAAACAAAAGAGCAATAGTGGACTTTAGGAAGCATACTCCTCAAACATAGGAACCCACACAGGCAGCCACTGTTGTCTTGTTTAAAGAAGGGGGTGGCTGAGTCCTGCCCCTCAGTGCCAACCTGGAAGGTTAGGCTTCTTTTAGCTTCCTCTATGTCTTGTTATTTGTAAATTAGTACCACCCTTTTAGTTTCCAACTACACACACACAAAAAAGCTAGCTTCAACAATAATTAATTTGGGGCCATTTTAATTGGCTGCAATTTTCCTTATTAGGAACTGAAAATTATGATTGGGGTCAGTTCCACTGTCTGTGAAAGAAAAGCTTCATTCTTCATTCATTCTCACTCTCCAGGCCCCCTCCAAGACAGTCACAATATTGGCTTAGGAACTTACAGTGGAGGAGACGGCATTGAAATTCAGGGTACTATTTTGGTATTTTTAGCATTTTAGAAACCATCTACTACATTGTAGCTTGAGAAATTTTGAAAGACTTCTCTAAAAGTTGGTTTCTAGAGACAAAGAGGAAAATAGATATGAAACAATTTTACAAAATTGCTGATGTTTTGGAGAAGTTAATAGACTACAGTAATTTTTATCAGTAGAAGTATATTCTCATTTCCACGTGGTTCACTCTATAAATGTCTCAGGAAATAGTTTATGTTGTAAAGAAAGATAGTACTTTAATGTCAGCATCTACCTAAACAATACAAGTTAAAATAGAAAGAAGGAAGGAAGGGAGGGAGAGACAGAGAGAGAGAGAGAGACAGAGAGAGAGAGAGAGAAAGAGAAAGAAAGAAAGAAGGAGAGAAAGAAAGAAAGAAGAAAGAAAAAGAGAAAGAAGAAAGAAAAGAAAGAAAGAGAAAAGAAAGAAAGAAAGAAAGAATTCAGTTAGACCTCTTATTAATCTTTATGAAAAAAACAAGGTTAAAAAAAAACTTGCCACAGTCCATGGTTTTTGAATGTTTGAATGTTGTAAATAGTGGGTTATTGGGTGTGTCATTTTTCTCTTTGTGTTCAATTTCCTTTTCAGCTGTGACATAGTGATATGTTTACCACCTTCAGCCATCAAGGCAGCTGAAAAATAAAATAATCTGCCTCTCTGAACTTTAGTTTTGGGTCTGTACCCCAGTACCTGTCAATGTCAAACCTCCACGGATGCCAGATTCCAAGCTTAAGCCTCCACTCAAAAATGAAGGAGTTGGGTAGGAGGTGGGGACAAGAAATTTAAAAAAAATTAAGCCAGTGGAATCTAAAAGCAGTGGTTATGAAAGTTTAGTTGGAAAATGCTAGATGGACCAATGCATTTGAGTATCAGGAGTGGTAATGTTAATGCCTCCTTCAATAATGATTTCTGTAGTTTAAGCCATCACCCACCCATGGAAACTCCATAGACAAAAGAGTCGCTCAGCTGGTCTAAGGTAAGGGCCCTGCTTAATAAGGCAAGGTGGGTCTGTTTTTGTCTAGAACTCCTAGACAGGCCTCTTTTTCAGGAAAAGACGAATCTTCAAAGTATCAAGAAACATGAAGCTACTTGCTGAGTCTGTAAGATCTTCTTTAGCCACAGCTACATTCATGCAGTGGGTACATGGATGCATAGAGTGATAGCCTTAGACAGTGCTAGGTTCCAATGCCTGCCTTGCCACTTTCTAGCCCTGTAATTTAAAGAAAGTTACTTAAATGACCCAAGCCTCCCTTTTGTCATCTGCAAAGTGGGGATAATAATGGTCACTACTTATCAGGTATGGTAAGGGCCAAATGTCACGTGCACCTGGCATGTCTCCTGTGCTAATAAATGCTTGAAATGTGTTTCTGTCCTTTCACTTCTTAGGTCATTTTTAACTGTATGATTTGTATGTTGTGATAAGATCATTTACAAAACAGCTCACATCTCTTTGACATTTCATATGTAACAGAAGCTCCAAGTTCTGCCCTGAGATAAGGTACTTTCTTGGCTTCCTATTGAGGAGTTTAGGGTATAACATGGCTTCCAGGCCCTGAACCTTCTCTGTGGAACTGTGGGAAATGCCACAGGTGGGAGCCAGTTACCTGCTGAGAACAAGGATGCTGCAGCCCCACCCTGCTTCCTCACCCTCCGGCCCTCTGGCCCTTTGGCCCAGGGTTAGGTGCGGACCAGGAGAGTGGCTGGCAGGGGGCGATCCCAGTGGTGACAGTCCGTGTGAGAAGGTGCCCAGCTTGGGGCAGGTAGGCATCAAGAACTGCATCCAGAATGACCAAATAGAGTAGACCAGAGATGGGCTGGTCCACTCGAGGTCTGGAAGGCCACACCATGTAGATCAAGTAGAGGACACTTGTGCCCACAAGTAAACACCAAGATCCAGCAAGGAGGCTCTGAAATCCCTTCCCCAGGGCAGCCAGGTGTTGAGGTCTGAGCTGACTCAGAGCTTCAGGGAGCTTCACCCACTGCCAGGGACTGTTTCTATCCAGATACCTGCTCCTCCACAGGCTTCTCCCCACCGTCTCACAGGCCAACAATGCAGACTCCGAGAATGGGGATTTCCTTCCTTCCCCTTCTGCCTTGCAGGCCTCATGGAGCTGTAAACCTCTTGGAGAAAGAAATCACAGGCCAAGGCTGCAGACATCAGTTCAACTAAGAGATGTTCAATTCAAAAAGAACCTACAGGGCTCTGTCTGCAGCTCCTCTGCAGAAATGGGGGACCCTGGTGGGTGCCCTGGAGGCCCAGCACTCTTCAACCTTTTCCTCTTATCCACTTCAATCTTCTCCATTTTTAAAAATCAATAGGAAAAAGACCAATGACCCAAAAGAAAAACGGGCCGGGACATGAGCAGGCAGTTCACACACACACACACACACACACACACACACACACACACACAAGGAGACAAAATTGGCCAGTAAATATTTTTAAAATTCTCTTCCTCTCAATTTAAAAAACCCAAAGCAAAATAAGATTTCATTTTCTACTTGTCAGGCTGAGTAAAATAAAAAAGATATTTACTAATACTTTGCATTGTTTATGATCAGGAGGAGCATAACACAATGTAAATAGCTACAGTCTCTTCAGAGGGAAATTTCAAGGCTACATATTTTTCCTATGTATACACTCTTACCTGTGAGCCCAAAAGTATGCACAAAGAACCAGTTAAAGAAAGCATGGTTCATAATGGAGTAGATTTATTTGTGCTCATGTGGCACTATCTCCAAGACATGATATTAAGTGAAAAGGAGTGGGTCAGAGCAGGGCATAAAATATCTCTGAAAGAAGATACAAGAACCAACAGGCCATGGTGGTTGCCTCCAGAGAGAGGGCTGGAGGGCTGGGCCGCTAGGGTGGAGCACAGACTTACATTTCACTATACTCTTCTGGATTTTTTTTAAACCATAGGTATGTATTTCTATTTTAATTAAAAATATACTACTTTTTTTTTAAAGAAAACTTTCTCCATTCTCTTCTATCCCTCTATCCTGTCCTACAAACTTCTCCCTTAGTCTCTTTTCTTCTCTCTCTTTTTTTTTTTTTTTTTTTTTTTTTGGAGACAGGGTCATCTTACTCTATCACCCAGGCTAGAGTGCAGGGACATGATTGTAGCTCACTGCAGCCTTGACCTCCTGGGCTTAAGCAATCCTCCCACCTCAAACTCCAGAGTAGCTAGGACTTCAGATGTGTGCCACCATGCCCAGATAATTTTTTAAATTTTTCATGGAGTCGAGGTCTCACTATTTAGTCCAATTTGGTCTCAAACTCCTGGTCTCAAGCAATCCTCCAGCTTCAGCCTCCTACAGTGCTGAGATTACAGGCGTGAGCCACTGCACCTGGCCTCCCCTTCATTCTTTTTTTTTTTTTTTTTTTTGAGACAAGTTCTCCCTCTGTTGCCCAGGCTGGAGAGCAGTGATGTGTGATCACTGTTTACTGCAGCCTTGATATCCTGGTCTCAAACAATCCTCTTGCCTCAGCCTCATGAGTAGCTGAGACTACAGGCATGTACCACCAGAGATGGGGTTTCACCACATGCCCAGGCTGGTCTTGAACTCCTGAGCTCAAGAGATCCACCCGTCTCAGCCTCCAAAAGTGCTGGGATTATAGGCAGAAGCCACTGAACCTGGCCTCTCCCTCTCATTCCTGACAGATTATCTTGCTTTGCATTGACATAGAAAATGAAAACATCAGTGAGAACATCTTCAACTCAGTGCACAGCCAAGACTGTACTCTAACTGCACCACATCCATCCTTTCCACTTTATTTTCTTCTCCCAGTCCCTGGATGCCATCCATAGCAGGACTTTGTCCCTCTTTGGTGAACCCTCAGCCCCTCTCTTTATTCTGGATTTTTTCATTGATATTCAAATTCACCAGTCTCCCAGTTCCTAAACCACCTGTCGCTGCTGCTCCTGGACTCTTTAGTCCCTTTTGTGGTTAATCTTCTCGAAAGAGTTGTCTACATTGCCTATTATTTGCTCCTCTTCCTTTGCTCATTCTGCAGTCTGGCTTCTGACTCCATCCCCACCCATCTTACATCTCCAAAATCACATGTGACCTGCATATTACTATTATAAAATCACTGGACACCTCTTCTTGAACACTCTCTTCCACTCCTTTAACTAGCTTCAGTTACCACATCTATATTTTTAGTGCAGATTCATCAACTAACTCACTCTACACTGGTCATCTGCTTTAGACGCCCCATAGACACATCAGCCTCAGCACCTGTGTTCTCTCTTTCAGTGAATGGTGTTGTCATCCAAGCCAAAGAGTTGGGAGTCTTTCTCTCATCTTCCCCTTCCCCTGCTCTCTATAGCCAGCCTTCCAATTGTCATTTGAATCTGCCTTCTCAGCTACTATCCTAGTCCTTGCCACCAGTTTCTCTGTGTCTTTACAACAGCTGATCTCTCTGCCTCCAGCCTTCCCCTCCCCCATCAATTCTCTACACTCTTTGCTTTGACCCTTTCAATGGCTTCCTCTACCCTCAGGATAAATCCCAAGTTCCTTAACATGGTTACAAGACCCTGCATGACCTCATCTTATTCACCAACCATCTTTTGCATTCTAAGATCCAGCCTTACTGCTTTCATTCTTTAAATACTCTATATTCTTCCATACTCTGAATCTCAGAATGCAATGATCCTTCTGCCTAGAAAGCTCTTTTCTTTTCTCTTCTCCTGGATAGGTTTTCTTCATTTTTCATGTCTCAGCTTTCATCTGTCTTCCTCCAGAAACCCTGGTTTGATGAGCTTCACCCTGGGTTAGATGTTTCTCCCATAGCATCTTGTGCTTCCTCTTTCATAACTATCATTGCCCTGTAATGAATTGCTTCTTTAGTTCTGATTCTTCCACAAGATTAAGTTTAAAATGGAGCTTATGGCTGGGTGCTATGGCTCACACCTGTAATCCCCAGCGCTTTGGGAGGCTGAGGTGGGCAGATCACTTGAGCTCAGGAATTCAAAACCAGTCTGGGGAACATGGAGAAAACCTGTGTCTACAAAGAATGCAAAAAGTTAGCCAAGCATGATGGTCTGCACCTGAAGTCCCAGCTACTTGGGAGGCTGAGGTGGGAGGATCACTTGAGCCTGGGAGGTGGAGGTTGCAATGAACCCAGATTGTGCCACTATACTCCAGCCTAGGCAGCAGAGATAGAACCTGTATTAGAAAAAAAAAAAAAAAGGAGCATAGCCCTCCTGATACACCACTCTGGCACATAGTAAATGCCAAATAATCATTGTATGAACTGATGAATGCACGACCAACCCCCATTTCACAGTGTATTTTAACAAAGAAACATACACAGAGCCTTGCTGCCTTTGTGGAATCACCAAGGGAAAATAGCTCAGCCAAAGGTACTCTACATAGTTATAATTCTAATTCTGACTAACTTGTTAGGGTTCTCCCTCTGGTGATATATTGTAGAATTTAAAACATGTTTGCAATAATGCATGCCTTCATCTTCCCTTTAAAAACTGTGTGTGTGTGCATGTCCACGTCATTGTGTCAGAGAATGGGTTTGCCAAATAGGCCTTTGTAGTCCAGTAGTTTGAACTATTAGATTACTAATAGAAATCTATGAGAAGATTGTTCTTCAGCAAGTTTTCCAGTAAATTATCTCTAGGCAAGAATGTAGCAACTGGGTATTTTAAAATGTATTTTTGTAGCAGCTATTGACAAAGTACAGCCTGTATTGCTTAAGAAATTTTAACATGTAGACATCTAAAGTGCATTGTTGAAATAAAATGATACATACATTCCAAGGGTCAAGGCTGACCAATGTCAGATTTAAGAATGTCAGTTGGCAGAAGTGGAGGAATTTGGGAACTAGAAAACATGGCTATTTGCTCAGGTTAATTCTGAAATGGGTGGAGGGAGAATCAATGAGCATGTGAATCCAAGCAGTCTTCAGACAGAATTTTTAGCAGTGCACTCACAGTGAAAGTAAAACCTTTAGAAACTAAAAAAATTAAACATCAAGCTGAACAAATAAATAAAGCAGGAACAAAACTGGCATAGGTCTGGTTTTTTAAAGAAGAGAACCAAAGCAGGCAGTTCTTAGCTGATCTCCTGGAATTCCTAGTAAAAGAAAGAAAGAAAATAAGGGTGCCCACACTGGATTATCAAATCTGTTTTCTTTTCCTTAGCTCTAGGGCTGTACAGAAGCCTCCATGCTCTTGGATATGTGTGCCACCTCAAACCCAGCCCCTCCCAGACGCTTCAGCCCCTGAGCTGCACCCCCACCTGGCTCTCCTTCCTCTCTCCGCTACCTGGCTCTCCCTCCCCTCTCTCCTACCTGGCTCTCACTCTCCCCTCCCGTACTGCTGGTCTGGGTGTTGTCAGTTCTTTCCATTATTATGGGTCTGTCCATGCCACCACCCTGATGCAAGCCCCTACTGTCTGCTGCCCAGCCTGTGGGCAGGAAGGAGCCCCTGGGATGTAGTAACTAAGCTTCAGGCTCTAGCCAGGGACTACCAGGGTCTCAGCTTGGTTCTAGCACTTACAAGCCAACCAACGCTGGTCCAGTGATTCTGTGTCTCAATCTCCTCTTTGTTAAAAGGAGAGGGATGATAGTCCCTGGCCCACAGGGCTGTGTGAGGACTGAAGGAGGCGATGTGTATAAAGGTCACAGACCAGTACGTGGCCCAAAGTAGCATGCTCTGTACACACCAGCTACTGTTATTTCTTATTATTTCCTTGCTCCCTTTCTTGCCTCCATTGAATCCATTTTCCTGCAGTTATCACTTTCAAATAAACTCTGATCATAACACCTTCCTGCTGAAAACACTTGCAAAATTTGCCCGTGATTTTTAGGAACAGCCTAAATCCGTAAAAAGGCCTCCAAAACTGGGTGTGGCCTGGGCCCTACCTCCTTCTCCAGCCCCATCTTGCACCCTCTCCCCTTTGTTCTCAGAGCTCCAGATGCCTGGCTGTCTTTCAGTTCTTCAAACTAGAGGAGCTTCCCTCCACCTCAGGGCTTTACACAAGCTGCTTCCTCTGCCCGGAACGCCGACTCATCCTTCCCGTCTCGGTGCGAGCCTCATCACTTCCTCAGGGAGATCTTGCCCAGCCTCCCTCACTAGGTCAAAGCAGGCTGTGGCACCAATCATACTTCTCCTTCAATGGCGTTCCTCAGGGTCACCATCTAACACATTTGTGTGGTTACTAGATCAACACCGCTCTCACTGCTACAGTGAAAACTCTGTGAAGGCAGGGAGCATGACTATTTTTTATTTATTCCAACCCTCAGAGCCTAGAGTAGTTCCTGAAATGCAACAAAGTAGGTGCTTTGAAATGAGGAAGGGGCTGGGTGAGGTGGCTAACACCTGTTACCCCAGCACTTTGGAAGCCGTGGTGGGAGGATCATTTGAGGCCAGGAGTTTGAGACCAGCCTGGGCAATGTAGCAAGACTCCATCTCTACAAAGAATTTTATTTTTATTTATTTATTTTTGAGACAGGGTCTGGCTCTGTCACCCAGGCTAGAGTGCAGCAACACAGTCACAGCTCACTGCAGCCTCAACTTCCCAGGATCAAGCAAGCCTCCCACCTCAGTCTCCCAAGGAGCTACGACTATGGGTGTGCACCACCACGCCCAGCTATTTTTTTTTATTTTTCTTTAGGGACAGGGTGTCCCTATATTGCCCAGGCTGGTCTTGAACTCCTGGACTCAAGCAATCCTCTGGACTTAGCCTCCCAAAGTGCTGGGATCACAGGTGTGAGCCACTGCACCTGGCCTGCTATAAAACATTAAAAAATTTCCTAGGCATGGTAGTGCATATCTGTAGTCCTAGATGATCCCTTGAGCCCAGGAGGTTGAGGCTGTAGTGAGCTGTCATTGTGCCACTGCACTCCAGCCTGGGTGACAGAGTGAGACCGTGTCTCAAAGAAAAGAATTAAGATAGAAGGGAGGGAAGAAAAGAAGGAGAGGGAAGAAAAATGCATGCTGGTACCCTTGCCTGTTCTGGAGGCCACATTGCCCTGAGGATTTCTGTCAGTCTCCAGGAACCATCTCATTCCATAAGCCTTGTGTGCTTTTCTCACTTCCTACTGCCTTTGACTCATTAAGGTGTTGATTCTCAATTCAATTCGAATGTTTGTTCTTAGGAAAAATGGTCCTTACATTGGCATGATGGTGTGACCTCTGAATGCAGTTTATGGCTTTTTTGTGTGTTTGTTTTATGTACAGACATTTTGTGATTTCAAGAAAGGATAAAGTGATAGGTATGAAGTTGCAGGGAAAAAAAATTCCATCAACCCAAATCCAAAAGGGTTCCTTGCCCAGCACAGCACAGCAGCTCACTCTCTGGTATTTCTGCCCCCACACTGAGGAGAGACCCACAGGAGGAGCTCCAGCACAAGCCGATGGCAAAGGAAGGGAAACAATAGGAGGGGAGAACAGCCTCCCACATCCACCATTTCAACCTCTCAGAGAAAGTACTGAAAGTGAAAGGAGCATGAATAAAGAAGCCATTTCTCTGAACTAAAAGCAGAGGAGAGGGCTCTTCCTCCTGCTGCACATGAGTGAACAAAGATGGGCTCCAGAAGAACCAGAGGAGAAAGAATGCCAGCGTTGAGAGGAGGTTTTCCCCTTAATCCAACTCCGTTCTTGCATGAGGGAGGCAATGAAAGGCCAGAGAAGTGAAGGGATTTGCAGAGGACACACAGAGGCGAGCTAGAGGAAAGGAAGTGGGGTTTATTGAGTGACTACTGCTTTGGGCTCCTCCCTGTAGTTTAGGTATTTTGCTCTGATTGAATCTTACATAACTATATGAAGTAGATTTCATTACCACATTTTACAGAAAAAAAAAAAAAAAAAAAAACCATGGATACTCCAAAAGGCCCAGGACGAAGATATAAAGCTGCCCAGTGGAAACACGCTGTGGCTGACACTGCAAAGAATCCCGGCTCAGCCACGTCCTTGTTCTTGTGCAAGCCAGCGCCCTGCACCTGAAGGCCCTTATGTGGAGGGTGACTACATGCTCTGCCTTGCCTGAGTCAGACCTGGTTTACACCTGTTGTTCGAGTGTCATTAGTAATAGCACCTCCTCTCTCAAAAGTGCCTTATTTGAGGCTGGGCGTGGTGACTCACACCCATAATCCCAGCACTTTGGGAGGCCAGGGTGGGAGGATCACTTGAATCCAGGAGTTTGAGACCAGCCTGCGCAACTCAGTGAGACCTCATCTCTACTAAAAAAAATTTTTTTAAATGTAAAAGGTGCCCTGTTTGGGATAACGAATTTATTGTGTGATCACCCTACTGTCTATAAAATGGGGATATTAATGTTACCTAGGTCGTGGAGTGGCTGCAAGGACTCAATGAGATGTCGCACATAAAATACATGGCATCTAGTCAGTGCTCAATAAATGTTAGCTGCTATTATTATTATTAGGGTGGCATCTAGAGAGGCGGCAGCAAGGAGTGAAGCCAAGCTTCCCACTTGACATTCCCACCTTGGTCTCTGTGAATGATGCTCCCTGTAGTTGTGCAGTGCCAGCCTTTGTGGCTTCAGACTGACCCGGCATGGGCAGCACTAGCTACTCTAGATTAGAGACCATATGGGGGCACCACACTTGCCACTTCTACCTCTGCACCAATCAGATTCACCACCTTCTCCTTCTTGGGTTACATTGTTGGGACTGAATTTTTTTTCTTTTACTGAAAAGTTTAGAGCCCAGATTTCTTAAAGGGGAAGAATGTCAAGCAGCGAATCCTGCAGAGCATCCCTACCCCTGGCCCCAGCCCATGCTAATTAAGTGACTGACTTAAGGAAGTTGCCTCCTCTTAGAAATTAAGAGGTGGATTGAGTATTTTCCTCTGGCCTCCTTAAATGTTCTTGGTTACAGTGATAAAAATGCTGAGCTCTATTGCCTACTATTGGAGTGAAGGCTGCTGGAAACTCCTCGTTCCCTGAAGAACCTAATTGTCGATGCTAGTGCATCTAAACAGGTGTTCTTTAGATTACTTTTGCTAATGCCTTTTCACTGGAAAGATCAATTTAAATGTTGCTTTGAGCTAATTAGTTATTGCTTCTGTGTCCATCCAAATTTATATATTTGATTCTGTGTGCTGGATGAGGCATTACCTTCAAAATCTATAAGCTTACACAAGGTAGGTCATTTTAAATTTAGTTATCTGTCCTCTTCTATATTTTATACAAATATGCATATATTTCTTTTATTATTTAAAATGCCACCAGGTGTTGTGGCTCATGCCTGTAATCCTAACACTTTGGGAGGCTGAGGTGGGTGGGTTGCTTGAGCCCAGGAGTTCGAGACCTGCTTGGGCAACATGGCGAGACCACATCTCTACCAAAAAGAATACAAAAATTAGCTGGGCATGGTGGTGCATGCCTATAGTCCCAGCTACTTGGGAGGCTGGGGTGGGAGGATCACTTGAGCCCAGGAGGTTAAGACTGCAGTAAGCCTAGATTGCGCCACTGCACTCCAGCCTGGGTGACAGAGCTGGATTCTGTCCCCAAAAAAATAAAGAAAACAAAAACAAAATGAAATGCCTAGTTTAAACATATATTAGAATGTCCAGCATCATCTTTGGATGTCCTCTATCACCAAGAATGGTGTGTTATACAGAGTATGTGTTGAATGACTATTTGTGGAACAGATAAACTAATACCCTAACTTAAATGGCAAACAGATTAGATTTGTTGTCTCTAGGTGTTTTCGTTTGGGAATCCTTTAAATGTTGCCTAAACTTTCTGTGTTTATTCTGTTCTCTGCCTAGAATTTCCTCCATTTCATCTCTATCTCTGGAAATCTTGCCATTCATTCAAGATTCTCTTCAAATGCCAGTTTCTCCATGAAACCCAGCTTGCAGTCTCCAACCAGATATCATGGAGTCATTCTTAGAACAAAGGATCTGGAAAGGGCCACGTCTAGTTTTCCAGATTCCACATTACTCCAGGTCTCTGTTACCTTATCTGGTGGGTATGTGGAGAATGTGAACTGCTTAAAATGAGACAGATGGTATACTCTGCTGAACCCAGTATATTACCTAACTGATAGTAAGTGCTTAATGAACGGTAAGTTTATAGTTTGGAAGAAGGATGTTTAAAAAATAGGGTACACTTGAACCTATTAATAAAAGTAATTAATGTGGCTCTTCAATCAAGCCCCCAAAACATAGAGCTTTAGAACCTAGAAGTTGTCTGTTCAGACTCTCCTTTTAGAGTCTTAGGATCTTGTTTAAGGTCACCTGGCTGAGGAGGAGCAGAGTCCAGCCAACAGGTCTCCTGAGTGCTGTTCCAGACATTTCTTCAGGCATAATTTAACATGTATCAGTTTATCCTTGAGTGTAAAGTACACTTCATGATTGAATGCAGGTAACTGGCTATTCATACTTCCCCCACCCCCTTTCTTTTAGTGCCTGTTTCTAAGCAGCAGAGTTGTGGTTCAGTGACTCTGTCTGTATAATATGAAAACAGGGCACCCAGCCAATTCTGATGAGCTAATTATTTCCCTAAATTATCATGCCTAAGCAAAGGGCCCTCAACTCTGCTGTTCAACACTTATCATTGTATTTGGGGGGTGAGCTGTACATAAGGCATATCATCAGATAGCTAGAATTTTCTATTTCAGATTGTCAAGCAGTGAAAATTGTCGTTCTTAGAAATGACTGACAATCCCCCTTCCTCATTTCTGCTACATTGAGTTAGGTAAAGAAAAAAAAAAAAGACTTCAGTCTTTTTACAGATCTCTTGCTGAAAACACGTGACAGAACTATACATTTTCACTAGAAATTGATGGAAAAATGAGCACTTCCAAATGCCTGAAAAACTTTGCAAAGGTCCCACTTAACAGAATGTGGCTAACACCTCAAAAAATAAAGCAAAATAAATGTTGCAGTGGGCATGAATCTTGCTTCAAGTGCTGGGTTGTTGGCTGGTTGCCTGGGGAGAGTGGGGCCAGGGCTTGCCAGCTGGCAGAGCCACATGCCTATAAAGGATGCAGTCAGCTTACACCTTGGCAAACTATGATTTTGATGGAAATCTTAGAGGTCAGCAGACGTTCTCCCTAGTAGAGTTACGTTAGCTCAGGTCATTGCTTTTATTTGAGTGAAGAAAACATCTTGATGGTCATAATTCATAGGACCAAGTCATTGCCCTGATCTAAACCAGAGTTTGTTACTGGATCTGAATAGATAGACATACCCTAAAGAAGGCACAGGATGTAATTGAAGGTGGCACTTTCAATTACTAATCCCCAAGTTCAACTAGTCATGCCACTGAAGCACACCAACTGGCTCATGAGCAAGCACACATCTGCCCCAAAGTCCCACTCAGCAGCCATTGTTTTCAAACTCTGAGCTCCAAAGCTACTACCATCCTATTCTCTGATGCTCATTCATATTCTGCTTTGTGTAGTTGTTGTTTTGTTTCTCTTTCATAGATCTGAAGGCAGTATCTCCAAAATAGCTAGCTTAGTGCTTTTTAGCAAAGGAAAGAACTGCAGAGGGAGATTCTAGATTTCAGAGTCCATGTTGAAAATTATAGCCATTAATATTTTTAATTGACAAAATACCCATCAGTCTCCCAATGGATTTGTTGGGGTTTTTTTGAAATGGTCTAAACTGATTCTAATATTTATTTTTCTAAATATTAGAATCAATATTGGCATGCAAAATAGCCAGAAGAAATACTGTGAAAAAATTCAAAAGACAAATATAGATTCGGAAAAACATTTGCAATACTGTATATGCAACCAGCAAAGGGTCAATATCCTTACTACATAAAAGTGGACAAAGAAAATGATCTAAGAACTTACAGAGGAAGAAATAACTATTTAACATACAAAAGCATTTTGACCTTACTAGTAATCAAAAACTACAAATGACAGCCAAATGCCTCTTATCTGTCATACAAGGAAAAATCAGAGTTGTACTGAGTGGTCATTTGACACTTTGATATACTACCCATGACAATGAAAAATGATACCACCTTTTGGGGGAACAAATTGTCTTTCTTTCTCTGTCTCGCTCTCTCTCTATCTATATAGATTCAGGATCACTATATATATCTATATATAAATATATATATAAATATATATAAATATATATATAAATATAAATGTATATATAAATATATAAATATATATAAATATATATAAAATATATAAATATATATAAATATATGCAAATATATATATAAATATATAAATATATATAAATATATATATAAATATATATAAATATATATAAATATATATAAATATATATAAATATATATATGTATAAATATATATGAATGTATATAAATATGTATAAATATATATGAATATATATATAAATATATGTAAATATATATAAATATATATATAAATATATATGAATATATATATAAATATATATAAATATATATGAATATATATATAAATATATATATAAATATATATGAATATATATATAAATATATATGAATATATATGAATATATATATAAATATATATGAATATATATATAAATATATACAAATATATATGAATATATATATAAATATATACAAATATATATGAATATATATATAAATATATATAAATATATATGAATATCTATATAAATATATATAAATATATATGAATATCTATATAAATATATATAAATATATATAAATGTATATGATTATCTATATAAATATATATAAATATATATGAATATCTATATAAATATATATAAATATATATGAATATATATATAAATATATATGAATATATATAAATATATATAAATATATATGAATATACATATAAATATATATAAATATATATGAATATATATATAAATATATATAAATATATATGAATATATAAATATATATAAATATATATATATAAATATATATAAATATATATATATAAATATATATAAATATATATAAATATACATAAATATACATGAATATATATATAAATATATATAAATATATAAATATATATATAAATATATATGAATATATATAAATATATATATATAAATATATATAAATATATATAAATATATATACATATAAATATATATAAATATATATACATATAAATATATATAAATATATATAAATATATAAATAAATAAATATATAAATACATATAAATATATATATAAATATATATATAGAGAGAGAGACTGTCATATAATATGTATATATGACCTCTATGTATGCAGGTCTATATATATCTATATCTATATCTGTATAGATATAGATATAGATATAGATATAGATATAGATATAGATATAGATATAGATATAGATATAGATATAGATATCCTGCAGAAACTCTTCCGAAGGGAACAATCAGATGAGTGTGTAATGGTTTATGTGCAAACAAATTGGAAAGAGCCTAAATCCTGGCCAACAGAGGACTAATCAAATGAGGTAAACTACATCCATATTATTATGCAGCCATTGTATTTGTAAGAGTATGATCATTTTTTGGAAAAATATACGTATATATACATATATGTTTACATATTTTTATACATATACACATATGCGTACACACATATATGTTTACATCTTCATGATAGCCATGATTTATGCCCTTCCAGAGTGGCTTTCATATGAATGGATTGATAGAGCTTAGTTTTCTGATAATAAATATGAGGGTTTTGTTCAAACGTGCTTAATTTTTTTTAGAGACTGGTCTCAGTCTATTGCCCAGGCTAGAGTGAAATGGTGCAATCAACAGCTCACTGCAACCTGGAACTCTTCGGCTCAAGCAATCCTCCCATCTCTGCCTCCTGAATAGATGGGACTATAGGTGCATGCCACCATGCCTGACTAATTTTTGTTTTGTTTTGTTTTGTTTTGAAGAAACAAGGGTCTCCCTATATTGCCCAGGCTGATTTTGAACTCCTAGCCTCAGGCAATCCTCCTGCCTTGGCCTCCCAAACTCCTAGGATTACGAGCATGAGCCACCATGCCCAGCCTAAACAGACGTATAAAATTTTTAACAGTAAAGACTTAATGGAGCTGACATATTTGGATATGGGGACTAGAACAGAGGACTTGAAAGAGAACTCTTATTGATGCTTATGTGAATACTGCAATGATGAATGCATTTTTTTCTTGCCAGATATCAACCTGGATAAGGTCTTTAGATTTAAATATTAGTCAGTTGAGAAATGGATATACACATACTAATAAGGAAGTTGAATTAGATGAAAACTAACAAGTTTTCCATGCTTTAGGCTGCCTGCATTACGAGTATATACAGGTGACCCTTGACTGACTTACCCCTCAGTTGGATATTGAGGGATCATTAGAATTCTAGAACTGATTGTATAATTTCAGATATGTGGAGGAGGGAAAATTGATGAAGTGAAGAATAATAAGAGAGTAGGTTAAAAAGAAACTGTAAAGAAGTAAAGAAAAAAATACTGTTTTAATGCTATAAAAATTAGTTGGTGGAGGATAGTTTAAAATTATTAAAGTTGAATATAGTAAATCAAATTACCATTAATATTCGTGAGCACGTGGTTGTGAAAAGATGGATGAAATGACTAGCTAACTGTCTTTTTAATAAGACTATTGGTAATAGAATCAGTTGTGGCTCATTATTAACTGTATTAACAGAAAATTAGCCTACATGAGCACTTAAAAATATGAGGTTGTTTTAATAGACTGTGGTCCCTTATCAACATATGTAAAACTTAAAGGTTTATAAACCATTTCTCTTCCCAGAACTAAACTAGATTAGATGATCAATTAATGGCTAAAATGTTATTATATCTCTTTTTAATATTTCTTGTTAAAAACTTAAATATTCCTGATTCAACTTGTGCTTCTATTTGCCTGATATAATTTGGTCATAATTGGTTTCATTTTGATTGTCTTTACATTTGGGGTACTTATTATCTTTTCTCTCATCCACTGGGAATGCCAAGCACCAATTTTTGCTACTTAGCAAGTCAGTGAGGAGCTTCCCACTGAGTGCCTTAATTATTGTTAATTGAATATTGTAAATGATTTTTCAGGATCACCATCCTGGCAATCCACATAGCATTTTTCTCAGTTAGCAAAAGTTAAAGCACCAAGTGTCCCTTCTACCCCTTACCATACAGTCATCAAATCCAGTACCAGCAGTAACCAGTTCCTGTATAAACGAGCCTTCTCTTTTCAAATGTCACATCATGTATATGCTTCATACGACACTTAGAACATGGTGGCTGCTCAATGAATATTAAACGACAGCTGTCCTTTTATATAGAAGGAGTCCCAGTTCCAGTCTGAGAGGAAACATTCAATTTCCCTTTCCAGAGCTCTCACGGTTCATCTCATGTAGCATGGCATGCCCGGTACCCCAGGGTAGCACTCTCCCATTTACAGGCTCCAGGACAAAGCTTTCTAGAACTTTTTGCTGCTGTATCATCAAAAGGAAGCAAAAAAGTAGTAAATAAAGAGCTTCAGAAGATCCGAGAGTATTGGAAATGCTACAGGCAACAAACTGGAGTGACTGAGCCAGCCTTCTTATGTACTTCTTGCCTTACAATACACAATAAAAAAGAAATGAGAAATGTATGACCTGCCTTTTCAGCTTTTCAACTGTGTCTTCAACTTTGGAGGGGGCTGGGGGCTAAGGCTTCAATGGAATGAAGTTGTGTTGGAGGTTGGTTTTAGCTACATAAAATTTTGCCTTCTTAATGATTTGTTTTCTGGCCCAGTCAATGAAATTTCAACCACTGTTATGAAATCAAGACCAGAAGAAGCCTTGAGACATAATTTAGAGTCTTCTTCCCTATCAAGGCAGCCCACAGATCAACACAGAAAGAAGAGAATCTGTCTTAGAGAGACAGGCTTCCACAGGCTGTGATTGTAACCTATTCTATAAATGACATTTTCTGCCTGGACTTTCCTCTTATATGTAGCCACTTGCTATTAAGTTTGGCAGGTCTTAGATTTAGAAACAAATTCAAGGCCCACTGTCTTAGTCCCTTCCCACTGTTTATAACAATATACCTTAGACTAGATAATTTGTAAACAACAGAAATGTATTGCTCACTGTTCTAGAGGCTGGGAAGTCCAAGATCAAGGCACCAGCAGAGTCAGTATCTGGTGAGGGCTGCTCTCTCTGCTTCAAAGATGGTTCCTCCTTGCTGCATCCTCATGTGGTGGAAGGGGAGAACAAGCTGCCTTTGTCTTCTTTTATAAGGGCACTAATCCCATTCATGAGGGCTCTGCCCTTATGTCCTAATCACCTCCTAAAGGCCCCACTGCTTAACACTGGTGCACTGGGGATCAGGTTTTAACATCTGAATTTGGGGAGTGGTGGGGCATACAAACATTCAGACAATACCACCCACTTTTAGCAAGTTTCTAGTGTTGAGTGTTACAGACTACGTGGTACTAATTTTGTCCCTGTGAAATAGGGACAAATTCTCTTTTTTTCCCCATTTGCCTACATTTCTCAACTGTTTGATCCTTTTATATTGTACATAGTTGTGTAAATCACCTCAAATCTTTTGTTATAGAGACAGGTAAGAATTAATACATGATTGAATAAATAAAACAATAAAACATGCCCTCAGGCCGCAGTTTAAGGGCATTTTTGCTGGTTCTGAAGGAAAGCTGGTCCTCATTAGTAATCAGAGCCTGCCTGTGCCTCAGCCCTTTCTGATGAGCAATGCTCTGACCACACCCTTTTACCTCCCACCCATCATCTGCTTTGGTGAATTGGACCAGTGGTGGGCACCTGACCTAAGGGCCACCGTTGCATTGGCCAGACAATGGTCTAAAATGCAACCTGACTCCAGTAGGTGAACTGGGCCAATCACAGTCATGCTCCTGAGAGCTTAAGTGCAGCAAGAATATGCTAGGTAGTAGTGGTGAGCTGAAACTGAAGGGTCTTGGTTGGAGAGGGGCCCGAGAGGCTGTAATGAATGCCATGTGTAAGCTGGTTATGAGGGAGCAGAAGCCATGAGGAAGCCAAGAAACTAGTCAGAAAGGAGAGGAGGATGAGTCAGGGTGGCCCCAGAGACAGACGGGAGAACAGCCAGACCCAGAGCTGCCACTGTTTCTGGAGGCTTCCACATCTGCCCAGTCCACAAATTCTCCGGTAAATCTCCCAGTAAATCTCTCATTTTTCCAAGGTGACCTGAGAGAGTCTATATTGTTTGCAGTCAGGAGTCTTGGTATGTATCAAAATATTTTCTTTTCTTCCTGTTTTCTCTCAATTATAAAGTTTTTACCTGCTCACTTAGGGCTTTTCTGTTTTTCCAATAAGATATAAAAATTATTGTCTCGTAGAATGATGTTTGGGAACAGAGGTTTAGTAGAAACCAAACAGAAAAGAATAATTATTCCCATCTACTTGTCTCCAAATAAATACTGGATTAAAAATTCTAAATATTTATGGAAGGAGATTCCCTAACTTTCTTCAATGTCTTGTTCAATCTTCTTACAAGTAGTAGAACTTATCTGCCCTGAGGCTCCACTGTCTAATATTTGCAGATACTGAGCTTTTCCCCCTCCTTTTCTACTTGCTTTGGGTAGAATATCTGGCTTTTGACTTCAATGCAATTCTTGAGCAAGTGACTTCCTTCTCTGGGGCTCAGTGCCATAGACTGGAGGCCTATTTGTCTGGAAGGAATGGGAGGGGACCATCAGCCTGTTTTAATATGTGAGGTAGCTGAACTTTAAACTTTGCACACGGTCAAACTGACACACAGTGCCAGAGAGATCCAGAATTTTTGGTCATTCCACCTCCTACAAGGGAAGACCGGTGACTAGTGTGACGAAAATATAGATCTCATGAGGGTTTTGCCATGATGACATGTCTTATGTCACCATATTAGCCACTGTCCCTCATTTATTGGTGTTTCCTTGAGCCTTTAGAAATATGTAAACATATAAACCCCTAGAAATATGTAACACTCCTATGTTTTCATTACTTTCACATTCTTTGGGCCTAGAATACCCACCTGCTACAAAGAGTTCATAACTTTAAATAATTCATGAATTTGTCAGTGTCTAGTTTCTTTTGTAATCATCCTAATGACAAAATTCACTATACAGCAAATCAAATCAGCTGTGCATCATCCAATTTGGTCACCAGCTGAAAATATCAGAACTTTTCCCTTTGAATATGTGTGGATGCTGATGTTTCAAGAAATATTATTCAGAATCACTGTGTGATATACTTGGACTATAGATAATGCCTATTAATGGTGGCTAGATTTGCCTGCTCATTCTTAGCTTTATGAACAGTTAAGGCCTGCTCTGCTGAGGAGTTCGTGGTGTTAACATCTCACTTACTTTCCATGGGAGAACCCTAGCTGCTTAATGGCACTCATGTATAGAAACATCCTGGATATTCATGCCTCTAACTGTCCCATGGTGCTTTCATTCATCTTAGCTGAAATATCCTCCCTTTTCTGTGCACCTTTCAAGGCCCAGCTTACGTCTCCCCTCCTTCCTGAATTCTTTTCTGACCTTTCCAGCCCTCCCTGATCGCCAATTCTTTCAAATTTCAACAGCCTGAGCCATCCATACCAGCTTACCTCTTTATGATAAGCTGCAATGGATAGCTTCCTGCTGTTTAGCAGGTCAGCCCCTCAGCCAAATCACATCCTTTGAAATGGGCAGAGACCACGGCCTTTACTATGGCTTTGTGCTCTACACACCTTGCATGACCACATTCATCTTGATTCAAAAAAATATTGTTTGGTTGATTCACTTCAATTCTATTTTCTTTGCGTGTGGAAAAGCAATATGAGGCCCAGTCACCATCATTTCTATAGGAAAATCTAGAGGGGCCACGAACATTTCAATAGTTCTGTAAAAGAACCCTTATTCACCCAGGACTATATTGCAGTAGGGCAGCCTGGAGAGAGGGCAGGCAGTTTCCCAATTCTTCCTAAACTTGCTTCATTAAGTCATTCTAAGGGAATGTTCAGATGCTCTGACATCTTCATATTTAAACATAAGTATAAAACCCCCTCCGAAATAAAACCAAAATGATTTTTTTCCATTATCCTTCTGAGTGTGGCCAAGTGAGCACTGACCACAGTGAAACTGGCTAATACTAATACTGTGGTGTCATCATCGCTCCCCTCCTTCCTAACTCACAGGAGGAAATCGCAGTCACATTTAAAAAGTGCTCTATCATGATTTGAGTTGAATTATAACTAGAAGATCTTCTTATAATTTTTACATATTCTGAATGTCAAAGATGGAAAATTACTCTTACCGTGCCATTCAACGGCTCCATGATTTTTGACAATTAAAGTTACTGTGGCATTGCTTACAACCGGTAGGCTTGAGTTTGTAAAGCAAGCCCTGTTAAGACTGGCTAATTTAAAAAAAAAAAAAAAGGAAAAAAAGACTGGCTAATTTCCCCTAAGCCCCAGGACTGCAAATTAGGTTGCTGCCACCAGGGTTTTCACATGACTCAACTGTTCTCCAAGCTCTCTCTGCTGAGGCAAAGCATTTAGCACACAATGCAGTCAATACCTTCAAATGAGATAATGAGTGTGAATGGGCTTGGAAGTGTCCCCCTCACTGCAGGGGACCTAGCTCTGACAGCCATGATCAGAGAATAGCAAAGACTGTTGTAGTCCTCAGCCAGGCTGAAGGACTCCAAGGCAGAGGAAAAGAACTCTAAGACCATCCGTTTCTGTATTTCTGCCCCAATGGCTATTCCACATAGTGGTCCAGGAGGCAGGGCAGAGAACCTGGAAGTAGGGGGCACCAGGAAGTAGTCACATCCAAGTAGGGAGCACAGCAAATGCTCAAGTCCCAGCAGCACTTCCTGCCCGGGGTGGGCATCAGTGAGGTCAGGCTGGAGAAATGCAAACTCTGGACTGGCTTGGTCACTGCTGTTCTGTTCTGATGAACTCTCCTTTGAAGGCCTCTTGCACCACTGGCCCTGGGGCACATTTGCAATCGTTAAGACAGCACAATTCAGAACTGCCTTACACCAAACTGCTGGAGCATAAAAATGAGAAGAACTGATGAAAGGGAATCAGAAGCCTTGGATGACCGCTCCATGCCATGGGATACCACAGCTGGCTTGTGAGAACAAGATATTGCTTCCCAACTCTGTGTTCAATGATGTCAGGTTGATACCCTGAGATCAGACCTTGTTGGGATAGTTACGCCACAGAAGTTGGCAAAGAATACAAATCAGTGTTGTGGGTTTTAACCCCCAAGAGAGCCACCACTACGTATCTGCCACATCAGCCACGAGAGTCTGGGTTAATTTTTTAACTTCCCCAAATCTTACACGATACTTATTTCACAGGGTTACTGGTGTAAGTAAGATAATTAATTTGGAATTTATCTGTAAAATGACAGTTTGCACTGGTTGAAGTAAAAGTTAAAGTATTAATATTTATAAAAGTAAAACATATAATAATAATCTTTTTTTTCTTAAAGCATTTTTTTCAAATTTCCATAGATTTTTGGGGAAGAGATGGTATTTGGTTACCTGAGTCAGTTCTTTTGTGGTGATTTGTGAGATTTTGGTGCACCCATCACCCGAGTCGTATACGCTGAACCCAATTTGTAGCATTTTATCCCTCACTCCCCCTCCCACCCTTTCTCCCTGAGTCCCCAAAGTCCATTGTTACGCCTTTGCATTCTCATAGCTTAGCTCACACTTATGAGTGAAAACATACGAAAAACATACAATAATAATCTTTAATTACAAACTTCCGATATGATGTAGGACAAGATTTTAGAAAGTGCAACACTTAGGAAGCAGCATATTTGTGTAAGTTAAAGCTTTACATACAAGTTACAATACTCTTAACTCAAACTGGTTTCAACAATGAAGTGAGTTCATTGTTACCGAGATTAAAAAGGCCAAATAGAGTGCTAGCTGAATCCAGCCAGCTGAATTGAGAGTCAAGGCTTAATCTAGCAGCTCAGACAGTGTCATCGTAGAGTGGATGACTGTGTGTCCCTGTTTGCCCAGAACAGTTCTGTTTATGCCTACTGTTCCGGCATCCTGTCTGGTTTAGCATTTGTCCTGCCCTTTTTCATTCTCAGAATTGTCCTGGTTTAGAAGATAAATGATATGTTTACTTAACCCAGGTTTGCTTTCTCTGCCCAGTAGTTTTGTGTTGGCAAGCTTCACCCGCAGGCATCACATGATACATTTTCCCCACCCACTTCCTGTAGCTCCAGCCTCTTTCCATATTGGTAGCAAAATAATATGTAGCAGCTCCAGACCTCACACCCTTACAACAGCCAATCTAGTAGGACTGAAAATCTCTTCCAACAGCTCCCATCCAAGTGCTGGGGTTCACTGTATCTTACTGGTCCAGTTTAGGTCATGTGGCCATTCCATTCAGGAAAATTGATGGACTTAATCAATCATGCTCATGTCGAGAGTGAGTTTGAGATCATTCTACACAAATCACAGAGCTGAGTGTTAGGAAGGGGTGAATATCCCCAAGGAAGAGTCAGAGATCACTGGCAGTAGAAGAAGTGAATGAATCCCGGGAGGTAAGGAGAGTGCTCCAGGCCAGGGCAGAACGGTGACAGTGCTGGAGGAGGAACCGGCTGACCTGGCTTGTAGCCTTTCCACTAACTGGTGTTGGGATGGTGGACAAACCTTTACATGTCTTGGGACTCAGTTTCCTGATGGCTAAAGTGGAAAGGTAGACTAGAGGACTCCGAAGGTTCCAGTTTGCTCTGAATGTTTCAGTTTCATGTATGGCTATGTTCTGTCATTAGTCTTCAGGGTTATCAACTGCAGGTTTATTTTCTTACCTGATTTTCTCAGTAGGCCTAAATAGAACTTGCCTTGGCTTTGTTTCTAATGCTAGAAAACTTCCAACTCTGGTGGAGATTTGAAATATGCCATCTTCTATTAACTAAGTCATATTCTTTAACTAGCCAACTTTCCCCTACAGTTTACAACTTGTGTCAGACACACGGAAGATTTGCTTTTGGTTTTTCCCTTGTGAACAAAACAAGTCATAAAAAAAATTATATCATGGTTTCCTTACAGTTGCATTTCATCCTGCATTTCTTAAATCAAGAAATTGACTAACATAATGGCTGAATGAATAAGACACCACAGCAATGAATGACTGCCTTTAGCAAACTGAGAGGGAGTCTCATTATTTAAATGTTCCTGGTTATATTAAGTGGAGCAAAAGGCTTGGAATCAAAAGTGAGAGAAATAGGCAGCCAAGTCAAAAATGCCACCAAGCTGTAAATAAAATATGAAACTAGCTTAGAAAGGGAGCATTACTTCGAAGTCCAACACTGATATATGGTCCATAATTGTGGGACGTTTGTAAAAGGTGACATGACACCTGTCAATTATCCACAGCAGCCAGGAAATGTAGATTACATGAATAATTCACCAACCCAGTGCCCTTTGTTGCTAAGCTGTCTCAGCCCAGTTCCATAAAATAACTGCTGATATGAAAGAAGAAAAAAATACGTTTAAGTTGCAAAAGCCTTATGTTACACGCGGAAATGTTTTCAAGGCAGCTTCATCATATGACTATGTTCCAGTTAGCACCGTTGGCTAAATAATTAACATGAGCCTTTATCAGGTGTAACAAAGGAGGGGGCTAGGACTCTGGAAACTTTATATGTTCCCTTTGTGGCAGGTGGAAGCAGGGGGTGCCGCATAAGAGAATCTTCAGTATCAGAAACACATCACTACATATGTCATAATTTTCTCATCCTCCCAAACAGCACACGATCCTTTAAAAAGTCTAAGTCTGTGTTTTTGTTTTGGAATCATGGAATTACAGAATAATCAATTTCATAGGTCACTTACAGATCGCCTAGTCCAGTGGTTTTTAGAAGCCAACAAAAGTTTTTCTTCTGAGAAGGTTTTATGTGAAAATACAAAATACAAGACAGATGAAGGTGGAGTTGTTTTTGTTGCCCTCGGGGTGGTGGTGAGCAGGATTATAGAGGATGGCAGGAAACTGCCTGGTCAGCAGCCCCTACTCTGCACCCCACTCCCCACCCTTTCCCAAGCACTTACAAGGATCCAACAGTGCCATTTCGTAGATGAGAAAACTGAGGCTCCTTGAAGTGGCAAAGGGGCTCTCTGAAGTCCCAGAATGAGGCAGAGGCAGAGCTGGGACTGGAAGCAGGACTGCTGATTTCCATGCAACACACATACACGTGTACCACTGTAAGTACAGCTTGTCTACACAGCCATGTGAGCCACCAGGATTTGGAGAAATACCAGTTCTGCAGCTCCCGGGACGGCACAATAGAGCATGAGGCATGGAAACAACTGACTCTTTCATTTGTAGCCTGGGCCCAGGCAGCCTGATACCTATACCCACCCCGCTCTTTCCCCACACCCTTGCTGGCTACAGGGCCTGGGTCAGAGGTCATGGGCCAGGTGGAAGGTGGGGCCTTGGAATGCCCAGGGGACTGGGCAGGCAGCCATAGGTAACCAGAGCCAGCCATCTAATCCATCTGCTTCCCTGGACTGCTGTGAGAAAAAGCCTCATTGGAGAGACCTACCAAAGTGGCTGCTTCCAGGAGCAAATCCAGCCACACTGTGGAGAAAGATTTTCTTGCCCTTACAAGGTGGTTCATTCCTTGTAACTTCCTTCCTTCAAAATGAAGTTCCAGCAGACAAAGAGAACAAAAAAGAGGTCTGTTTCTCATGGTTTATAAGGAAAAGAACACCTTGTAGATAAAGTACAGCCTTTCCCATTTTTCAGAAGCAAATGAGTGTTTCTTTCTCATTTGAGGCTTATTTGCAGCCAAGGTTTGGCTTTGTTTTTGAAAGTTTGGAGGAGGTTACATTCTTGTGTATACCCACTGGGTGCAAGTGCTTTGGCACAGGTTTTCTAATATTTGCTGTTTTTCTCCAACTGTCCCAAATGGTAGTTTATAGTATTTCAGCTCTTTCAGAGGCCAACCTACAGGGAAATGCAATGAAAAGGGAACTGAGTTTCTGATTCAGGTGAAAGGCAACTGTAATTTCAGGCTTTCTGCATGTATCTCTTTGCAATCAGTCATTACTTTTGAAATGAACATTATATTTAGTCATATGCAGAAATAATAACAAACTGCTGGTTTCATCGTGAAGATCTGAAGTTGAAAACTTCATGTTTTAACATTGACCATTCCAACAAGCGTAAAACAGGAGACATCGAACATCTTGACATTACAGCTGCGCTGAGACTATTTCTCCAGTGCATATGTCACAGGATCCCTTTGACAGCGTGGCTGAGAGGGTTTCTTTCAACAAATGGAGGTAATTGTTAAATGAATCAATGATTGCCTAAGCCAATTAATGCCTTTTCTAATAATGCTGAAATGTTTCTCAAGAATAGTCTGGAAAACTCTTTCATAGTAAGAGACTGGTGGAGCTGGAGCAGCAGAGTGTGAGTCCTGGCAAACGGATGGATATCCCTGAACCTTGGCCTTCTTATTTGTAATGTGGGTGCCATGCTGACAGCAGCAGTCCCCACCTCACAGGAAAGCTGGGAGCATTACAGCTACCTTGTCTGCCTGGAAAAACCCTTGCCCAGTTGGGTCGTAGCCTGGGTTCCCAGAAAGCTGGGGCCAAGGCAAAGGCCTACCTGTTCTTTATTGTGGATGTGACCCCCAGGAGCTGGATGAGAAACAGGGAGCCAAGCAGGGAAGGAAGGAAAGCCTGTGCCATGCCATACTGGCAAGTTGGCTACTGCTTAGGGTTTTCCTGTTTAGCAAATACAACTACCAAACACCCAGTTAACTTTGAATTTTGGATACATGACAAAGAATTTTTCACTCTTCCTATGGACCAGACAGTATTTGGGGCATACTAATACTTAAAAATCACTTGTTCTTTGTCTGGTGTCTAAAGTTAACTGGGCATCCTGGATTTTATCTGGCAACGCTGCCAGGGCAACTTGTGATGGGTTGCTGGACCTTATGGGGCTGTCTGAGATGCCAAGCGAAATCAGTCTTGGGATCCATCCATTTGTTCTAGGACATTAACTTCTCGAAGCACTTGTGGATTGCTCATGGCAGGGCGATGAGTGGGCTCCTGTTCCACTCTTCAGTGCCCAGTGAGAAGCCTGCGGTGAGGCGTTGTCAGGTTGCTCCTGTGTGAGGCTGCTCAGAGGCAGGCGCAAGACAGCAGAGGGTGTGTAAGAAGCATCCACAAGTAGTGAAGTGTAGTGATTGAGAGCACAGATCTTAGATCCAGAATGCTTGTGTTCAAATCCTAGCTCTGCTGCTTATTAAGGCAGATCATCAAAAGTCTCCAGGTCTCAGTTTCCTCATTTTTAAAATGGGCATCAAAATAATGCTCACATAGTAGGATTGTGATGAGGATTATAAACACATATATATCTCTTAGAATGGTCCTTGGGACATTCTAAGTGTTTGCAGTTATTATTCTGAGAGTAGCAGATATCAACCACTGTAGCTTGGCAGGCTGGTGTATCTTGAACACCTGACAACTAAGTGTGTTGCCAGATTTTGATCAATGTCTAGAATATATTTTTCCCACAAAGGAGGCTAAACATTATCATCCCCTTGTGGGTTTGGTTGTTCTTCAGCACTGAGAAGAATTATGTTGGTTCCTAGCTGCAGTCTTTCATGTAATCAAGAGGAAAAGCTTTTCATGCCCCATTGAACACGTGGTCTTCCTTTGGAACCAGCTCGATGCCCTGAACTTCCCACATCTCCCTCTCAGCCAGTCCCACATCTCCCTCTCAGCCAGTACCCTCTGTCCTGAGCCAAAAGGTACTTAGCTTGACACTATTGGCTAACATTGAGGTGACCATATGTATCCAGTTGTAGCAAAAATACATCTTACATATTGATCAGAAGACAAAAACCACATATATCTCCATATACCAAAATTAACAGCAAGTTTCTTCAATTCTCTGAAACTTGCTTCTTTGGCCCAGTGTTCTTAATTTGTTAATTTATCAAGAAATTATAAAATTTGAAAGTGGGCCTCAAACACAAAATTGCTGAAAAATGCTGGCTTAAACAGCCACTTGAGCAATGCTCCTTTCACAAAGCTGTCCTCCCACTGTCTGTAGAGTTAGGAGCTGACCCCTCCATGCTCTTGTAGAACCAGTAACAGACTTTAGTCATAGCCCTGATTGCCAGCCACCAAATGGCTTGCTTGCAGGTCTGCTTCCCTGAGACTGCTGAGCTCTTTAGGGTCAGGGCTGCATATACTCATCTTTGTGTCTCTAACCCATAGCCCATACTTGGCCCCTCCAAGAAATACAGTAAGCATAGTGCCTGGGCTCACAGTGCTTTTTAGGGGCCCAAGAAAATGTTTTCCTTTGTTTTGTTTTCATGTGTGTGTGTGGGTGGTTTTTGTGTGTGTGTGTGAGACAGGGTCTCTATCTGTTGTCCACGTTGGAGCACAGTAGTCCAGTCTCAGCTCACAGCAGCCTTGACCTCCTCAGCTAAGGCAATCCTCCTACCTCAGCCTCCTGAGTAGCTGGGACTACAGGTGTGCATCACCACCCCTAGCTAAAGAAAATGTTTTAATTTATTTTAAAATCAAAAGAAAAAAATGAACTGTCAGGACAGAAGAAAATGTTTCAATTTTTCCTCGCATTAGAAAAAAATGAAATTTTTAGGACCCACAAAATCTATTAAGCTATTTTAATTTTTCTAATGGAGGAAGGGGCCCAAGAAGGCAAAGGTCCTAGGACCCACAAAAGTCACAGTATGGTCCTGGTGTTGAAGGAATAAGTAAACAAACAAATGAGTATGTAATAGCTGTTTAAAATGCACTGCAAATGATAAAGTACCATGGAAACATGGCTGGTTATTAAAAGCTGACAATTTTATTGCTGTTTTAGACTTCTCCTGCCCTTTAGGACATTATGCTCCAAGGAGTTTACATTTTTTTAATTGAAAAATTTTCTTAGTCATATCTATATTTTCTTCCTCTGACATAAAATCTTCCAGTGACTTTTTATGAAGATATTTGGGTGTTGATAGGAAGAGGGCAGTTAATGCACATAATATGAAGTCTCCACTAGCCAGAAGACACATCCTGATAGCTCAGTATTCCAAACTTAAAATGAACCCACTGCATGAAAGCTCAATTCCTACAGAAGGTAGACCAAGGGAACTGTTTTTGTTTTGTTTTGGTTGTTTTTTTTTTTCATTTTTGAGACAGAGTCTTGCTCTGTTGCCCAGGCTGGAGTGCAGTGGCGTGCTCTCTGAGTGCAGTGGCACAGTCTTGGCTCACTGCAACCTCCGCCTCTCAGGTTCAAGCTATTCTCCTGCCTCAGCCTCCCAAATAGTAGCTGGGATTATAGGCATGCACCACCATTAATGGATTTTTTTTTTTCAGAGTCTTACTCTGTCACCCAGGCTGGAGTGCAGTGGCACAATCTTGGCAGAGACGGGGTTTCACCATGTTGGCCAGGCTGGTTTTGAACTCCTGACCTCAGGTGATCCACACGCCTTGGTCTCCCGAAGTGCTGGGATTACAGGCATGAGCCACTGTGCCCAGCTGGGGACTGTTATTTTTTTACAAAAAAGGGATCTATAAGCCTTAACTGTCATGTGTGTATTATTAACACTCTGCAGCCATGGTTCTCCTCTGAAAAAAAAAAAAAAAAAAAGAACTAGAGCATTTCTGAGGGGATCTGGTGCTATAGTCTATCCTTTGAGTTGATTGATGACAAATGAATCCTCGCACCTTCTGTTTTGGAAAATACAAATGCTGGGGATGCTCCAGCTCAGGAGATCTTCCAAGGGATTTTGAGGCTGTTCTGACCTGGACAATGCTAGAGGAGAGGATACCCTGGGCTTCCTCACTTTACCAAAGAGAATCCAGGCACATCCTTTTCTGGCAGTCTTGAAGGGCCTAACTATCTAAGAAAGAATCTTCACTCCCTGAAATGATTCTCAGTGGAATTCTTTAAAATATGAGTTATCATAGTACATTAAAACATGAGAGTACAAAATGACAACAAGTGTGGACTTAAGGAAAGGATTTATTTTTCCTTTTCTTTCTCTTCTATGTTTTCTATATGTGGCTAGAGTGGTCTTACATAAATAAATGAACAAGACAATTTATGGAGCCCCAAGCCCTGCTCGAAGCATGCTATATATGTTATTTCCTTTAAGGAGAGAAATTAAATGTGATTTCCAAAAGTTGTTTTGTGGAATAATTGAGGAAGACATTATTGTTCTACCTGCAACATTAGGATGAAAGCACAGTGAGCTATAATAGAAAACCTGCCACGTTATTTCCTTCCTGTTTCAATTCTTGACTTGTATGTTCCTAGGCCAGACTTCCTGGAGGTGAGCAGCCAGAGTGGACAGCGAGAGCAGCAAAGGGTAACTACCACCTTGTGAGTGCCTCCAGGCAAGCTGCATTCTAGGCATCTTTTATCACGAACAAATATCATGATGGCCAACTTTTGGGGAAAGCTCCTGTATGCCATTTATTATTCCAGGTGCTTTTATGTTTATTCACTGATGTAATCTTCCCAGTACACTAATATAGTAGGTCCTATTATTATCACTCTCACTTTAGAAGTGAGGACACTTGCTCAGAGAGAAGGTCAGTATCTTGGTCAAGACCATCCAACTAGTAAGGCATATACAAGTCTGGAACCCTGGAACCGAAACCCCAACCCCAGGGTTATGGAGCATAATATAAGGCTCACAACAATTCTAAGAAGTAGAGTTTTTCATTATCCCCATTTGACTTGAGGGGAACATGAGATTTAGACTGGCTAAGTAACTTTCTCAAGGTTATCTCGTTAGTAAATAGCAGTGCTGGGAAGTTTACCCAAGCAGCAGGCCACTGAGTCAATGTGTTGAATCATTTCAACACACAGAGTCTCCACATTCAGAATGGCACCTGCAGCCTGTTTGCTGAAAACGGATACAGTAGTGACAGAGAGCCTGGAGAGCAGAGAAAGGAGAGGAAATGATGCATGTGGGACAGGGCCGGGAACAGAGAAGAGGCTCTGCGGAAGACAGGAGAAAGGGAAAGGGGAACGGCGCTGTGCTTTGTGGAGCAATAGTGGAGATAGTGCAGCTTTCCAGGACACAAGGAGAGAAAACAAATCAGAAAATGGGTAAGGCAGAGAGATTTAACAGAAGCTTGGGGCTAGGGGAGAAGGCACTGGAAGGGGAAAGAAGGAGAAGGTGAACAAATGATAGAGGCTACAGTACAAATGTCTGGGTGAGTCCCATACCACCAGCTTATGGAAGGCCAGCGTTGGGTGGGTGAGGTGAGAGCTCACCATGCACCCAGATATCCTGCTGTTGCGTGCAGAAGACCACACACTGCAGCACCAGGCAGCCCTCTCTTCATGAGGGTCACACACATGTGAGGATTGTAAGACGAGGCCCTTGGGGCTCTGTTCACAACAAAAACATTGTACGAGCCTTTTACACATGACTCAGTGTGTATTGTGTGTCTGACTGAAAAAAGATCAGCTTTACCTACAAGTGCTAACGTGTTGGCCGAGTTGAAAGGAGTGCACAATTACATAAGAAATAAAAATACCAGGGGAGCAAGCAGTTTACCACCTTGTATGGGACACGCTGAATCTCCAGAGGAAAAGTGCCAGGTGACTCCTTTGCCAACTGTGAGAATAGCTGTGGTTGGAACTGGGTGTTTTGTTTTGTTTTGTTTTGTTTTTACCCCAGTGTTTGGCACAGAGTCCTGAACACCAAGTGAGGCCCCTGAACCCTGCTTGACACCAGATTGCATTTTCTAATGTCATTCCTGTTTCACTTCATTTGAGAAGGACTGGATAACAACAAAAGAAAAAGCGAAAGAGTAATTAAATTTTGTTGTATGGGAAAAGTTTATGTGCTAAGCCTGCAAAAAATAGAGTGTAATGTTTAAAAGTAAGGATTCTACGACTAGACATAGGTTGAAGCCTTAGCTCCATCATGTCTCAGCTGTGGGGCCTTTGGCTAGTTACTCAAAGTCTCTGAGTCTTAATTTTTTTCATCTATAAAATGGGCATGACAATAGTACCAACTCAGAAAGTTCATGTGAGAACATGTGAGAGAATGTAGGCAAATAGCTTGGCTTAGAACCCGGCACATGGTGCCCAGCCAGTGTTGGCTAGTATTATCTTTAAAACGGGAAAGATCCCTTCCCCCAGTTTGCTCAAGGGAGGTGATATGGTTTGGCTGTGTCCCCACCCAAATCTCATCTTGAATTCCCACATGTTGTGGGAGGGACTTGGTGGGAGGTAATTGAATCATGGGGGTAGGTCTTTCCTGTGCTGTTCTCATGATAGTACATAAGTTGCATGAGAGCTGATGGTTCTATAAGGGGAGCTTTCCTGCACAAACTCTTTCTTTGCCTGCTGCCATCCATCTAAGATGTGACTTGCCTCTCCTTGTCTTCCACCATGATTGTGAGGCTTTCCCAGTCACATGGAACTGTAAGTCCATTAAACCTCTTTCTTTTGTAAATTGACCAGTTTCGGGTATGTCTTTATCAGCAGCACAAAAACAGCTAAGGAGGATAAGGCTGAAACAAAAGGTTGGCAAGGTGGAAGCTCTTTGAAAAGCACTTATTAATATCTGTTTTATACTGTATGCAGTGTGGCATAGTAAAAACTATATTAGATGAGGAATTAGAAGATGTGGATTCTGGTCTCTGGACCCTCATTTTTTCATCATTTAATAAGGGGGCTAAATTAAGCCCCATTTAATATTCCTTTCAGCTCTGGCATCTGTGACTCCAGTGCCCATTCATTCCCTTGCCTACCTGCAGCAGGAAGGCCGGAGAATCTCCCATTCCCTGCTGGCCTCCCAGAGATCTAGCTGATAGACTTAAAAAAGAAAAGAAAGAAACCACTCACACATACCTGGGAATATATCCCAGGTACTTTAAGTGAAAAAAAAAGATAAGTTGAAGTACTATGTGTAATTCTAATATATAAACATTCCATAATATTTTTGGAAATATAGATTTGGTAGAAACTATCTCTTAGGCAGGATTGAAGGAAATTTTACTTTAGATCTTACACATTTCTATATTGTTTGAATCTCATACTGTGAGCAAGTTTCATTTGATAATCAAGATAATAATAAAGATGTAAAAAATAAAGTTAAAACATGTTCATTATAGAAAATTTGGAAGAAAAAAGAGAAACATCACTTACAGTCCATCCCAACTTAGAAATATTGCCATTAACATTTTAATTGATATCCTTTCAGTCTTTTTTTCTATATGTGTGTATCACCTGGAACTATACATATATATTCATAAAATATAATCATATTGTCCATGCTATTTTAAAACTTTCTTCACTTAACAATATATTGTTTATATTTTTCCACATCATTAAAGTTTCTTCTACAGTCTACAGCACGATTTTAATGATGGCTTGTTTTCCCATCATCTATGTGGCCAACCTTTTATGCTGCACATTTTGGCTGTTCCCAGTTTCCCCTTTGTAGTATTGACAGGCTTTTGGAGAATAATGAAACGCTGAAATGTTTGGCTTGGTTTCCCTCTTGGGTAGAGTCTGCTGCTCAGTCTTTTCTTCTGCCTCTTTGTATCCTTTAGCTTTTGGGTGGAGGCCCAGAGAGCTCCACAAGGGGTGATGTGTGTTTAAGAAACTCAGCTAAAGGAAACAAACTGATTGCAAAGAACTCTGAACCTAGGGTGTTGGGGGAAATGCTGAGCATTGTAATTGGCCTAATGCTGCTCCTGTGAGAGATGCCATCTCCCTAGGCCTCCAAAGTTCTGGCAGGGATTTTAACTCTTCTCATCCAGCTGATGACAGACAAATATTCATCACTTCAACAGTTAGGTGCAACCCCCAAAATGTTTCCTCAAGTCCTTCCTCACTGCAAATGCCTACCAGCTCATCTCTGAAGATGGAAAAGCAAGCGTGGTGACATCTGCAAATCTGGACAGTGGGCTTTAGGATTCATCTGAAAAGAAAGGCTCTTGGACAGTGCTGGACCTTGCTCCCTGAGCCAGGCTGTGGGTCCAGTGGTGACTCAGGAAGGAATGCCACTGACAAGCCACAGGCATGCCAGAGAATTACTCAGCACAAGCCAACAAGTAACCTCATACGAGAATCAAACGCCAGCCAATCTGCGAACGCTTTGCGTAACAGCATATTTGGATTTGGGGCTTAGCTTTCAGGCTTGAGTTTCACGTTTGCCTGAGCATACTCCCAGCCTCCCAGGGCCCCTTCTGTGTGCCCTGCCTCTGATTGCAAGTGCAGAGAGCAGTTCTCCCAAGAGCCAGGGCTCAGCTCACCCCTGCAGGTAACGCAGACCTCTGCTAGGGATCAGCTGTCTATCATCTGGTGGCGCCCCTCTTTCCAGCCAGCGCTACATCTTCATATGCCTTTTCTTACCAACAGGTCAGCAATGTGGGTGACAGATACTTCTTTTTGCTGTTGGAACACTTCATATTCATCTCTGGTATTGTCATGGCCTTTGACATACCTTACCAACAAGAGAGGTTTGTTGACTGATGACAGCAGGTATAACAAAATCTAACTAGTGACAGTTGTAAGAATTGGCAAAGTATTACTGCATCAACAGGTATGTGGACTGTCTAAGAGCCTCAGAAAGGACAAAGAAAGAAGCTTACAGATTCCGATGCCCCTTACTACTGTATCTGGCCTTTCTCCTGCCGGTATAGTGAGAGTTGACAGTTTGATGGATTTAATTTAGGATCTATGTTAGGATGAGATGCACTCTGTTTTCCTAAACAAATTTGCTGCAGAATGGCAGCCACAGTCTAGGGCCTCCTTGAGCTTGAGGCTAAATGACCTGATGGCCCACCCACTTCATCTATACTGCCTTTAATATGTCAGCATTTCCTCAAGGCCTGGGTTTCGTGCACTCAGGGTGATATTGAACATGAAGTTTTCAAACAGCAATACCTTGGGTAACAGACAAGGGCTAGTTAATGATCTCATTCATAATTCATCCCGTGAAGGAACCATTTACACTCAAACTCCAAGCAGGAAGAAAATATTCCCATTAGGTAGGGCTTTTTAAATGCCTCTGCCTTTGCCACAGTGCTGAGAGAGAACTGTGGTCTTCAGTAGTAAGGGCATATGGCTGCAAACAGAGTGCCCAGGTTAGAGACACCAAGAGCTGCAGCATCACTCAGTAATAGCTATTTCAGAGGGATGTAAAGCCTTCCCTGGGAAAAAGTTGAATAGGACTCAGTGCCTAAACACAGCACTTTCAAAAAGAAATGAATCTCTAATTAAACATCCTGAAGACAGAAGCTGACATGTCATTGCAGAGCTAATAATAAGACCTCATGAAATGTTCAAAAGTTCTCCAGAGTAAGTGTGAACAATTACATTTCCCTCTCTCCATCAGTGAAGGGTTACCACCAGTTCTTTAAGAAAGAGAAAATGAAGGTTAGTATCTGAAAGTATTATATAATGTGCTTATTACTATGCGTGGGTTGAGATATTCTCCAAAAAAAAGTTCCTTTTCCTTCCAGAATTAAAAAGAACCCCTCTAACTTTTGTTAACTGTAGATAGAATCTTTTCTTTTTTTTTTAAGGAAGAATCCTTACTGCATGTCTAAAACTCGTGGCTGAGAAAAAGTAGAGGATGTCCAGCCTAAGGAGCTATCAGCATTTTTTTGTAGCACTCGATATAGCTGCAAGCCAAGGTCCTCACGAAAGTGAAAGTTTTCATTCAAAGTTAAAAACATACTACTTGCATTTTACAAGCTCAAGAGTAAAGCACAATAATTATCAGTGCTTTATTGGTAGTTCCAAGCCTCCAAAAATGTCAGTAAGTTGAATCTACACTATCTTTGTACAAGAACATAAAACATAGCCTCGTGATAAAAATTAAAGGAAAGGATAAATTTGGTGAATTCCCTGCATAGTTCATAATAGAGATTAGTCAACCCAAGTTACAAAGATAATTTTTGAGATGAGGTATCACTCTGTTGCCCAGGCTGGAGGGCAGTGGTGCCATCATAGCTCACTGCATCCTGGCACTCCTGGGCTCAAGGGATCCTTCCTACTCTGTCTCCCGAGTAGCTGGGATTACAGGAAAGAGCCACCTTATCCGTTTGATTTTTTAAAAAAGAAATTTTTGTAGACACAGGTCTTGCTATGCTGCCCAAGCTGATCTCAAACTCCTGGACTCAAACAAGCCCCCAAGTTACAAAGACAATTTTTAAAGGTTTAAGAGGTTTGCTTCAAAGAGCTATTTCTTTTCTTTTCTTTCTTTCTTTTCAGAGACAGGATCTCACTCTGTCACCCAGGCAGGAGTGCAGTTGGTTCGATCATAGCTCCCTGAAGCTTTGAACTCCTGGGCTCAAAGGATCCTTCCGCTTCAGCCTCCCAAGTGGCTGGGACACTAAGCACACACCATCACACTCGGCTACTTAAAAAACATTTTTTTTTAGAGACAAGGGTCTCACTATGTTGCCCAAGTTGGTCTCCAACTCCTGGGCTCAAGCAATCCTCCTGCCTCAGCCTCTCCAGTAGGTGGAATTACAGGCATGAGCCACCACACTGGCTAAAGAGCTATTTCTTTTATATAAATTATATGAAGATTGCTAAAAGGTTTTAAGTCACACTACATGTAAAAACCCCTTAGGCTCAAACTCACCAGGAGGATCGTGGAGCTTGGAGCTAAATAAAGCCCAGGTGCTTTGCCCTCTGCTGCTGACTTCGGGTGCTGGCTGGGAAGGATCTATTTCCAGGAGGGACCCAGCAGAACCTCGGCGTCCCACGGCCCTAATAGGCAAATATGAGCCGGCCTCCGCCCCTTAAGGATGGAGCTGCTTAGCTTCGCCACTGCTGCCTGGAGTTCCTTGTCTGAGATAGGCAGGGCGTGGTGCCCCAGGTCATCTCCCAGGCATGCTTGCCCCACGAGCAGCGCTGTGAGGGTGTACTCAAGGCAATCCAAGTTTCAACGTCATACCATTGTCTTTAACAAAACCCTGCAAACATGTAGTGACCGAGGCATGATGCATCCTGCCTCTTGCTCTGCTATTTATCTGCTTTTCTTTTTTTAACTTTAACTTGTTCTCCTCCTATTTATTGGGCAATCACCTAGATTCTAGGAAACAAATATATTTAATTTTTCTAATCTAAAGGTTAATAAGGACTCTATCTTCTCTAGTCAGAGCCACAGGATGAACTTTCTCAACCCATCCTCTTTAAGGAAAAGAAGTTGTTGGCTGAGTCACGTGAGTGTCTGTTTACACACGTCTTATAACAGCATACAGGGTACATACACAGAGCAGCACACCTCCCCACCAGGAAGGCTGTGCTCCATATTCATGTGTCAAGTGATGTAAAGGTTGCCATGGTTATAATCTCTGTTTAGTCAATAGTGTGTGTGGGGGGGGGGGCGGGGAATCACCCCAATGGGCGTATTGCAATTTAGAGGAATCCCTGGGTACTTTTAAAGTATTGAATCACAATTTACATTTTAAAAAGTGTTGTCAATGACAGCATATTGGTTGCCATTTCTTGAAAACTCTTCTTTGTAGGAGGACCTTATGTATGCCAAGAACATCGTTTTTGCCTCCTTAGGTGAAACTTTATTTCCCACATTTAGGATTCATTAGGATTATCTAAGGTAAGTGGCAAGAGGGGAGAAGGATGAAAATCATGAGGGTGAATGTGGGAAAGGGATGAGGGAAGGTGAGCTTAATTATTTCAAAGATAATAATGAGTGAGGCTCCCAACCCCTGAAATTTGGGAGGCCAAGGTGGGAGGATTGTTTGAGTCCAGGAGTCTGAGATCAGCTTGGGCAACATAGCGAGACCTGCGTCTACAAAAATTTCTTTTTAAAAATATCAAACAGGCATGGTGGCTCTTTCCTGTAATCCCAGCTACTCAAGAGACAGAGTAGGAAGGATCCCTTGAGTCCAGAAGTTCAAGGCTGCAGTGAGCTATGATGGCAGTACTGCCCTCCAGCTGGGGAAACAGAGTGATACCTTGTCTCAAAAAAAAAAAAAAAAAAAAAAAGGAATAAAAATAAAAGTGTCAGTAATTCTTACTCTTCTTCTTGGTCTGCCACCTTCTTGCCTTGGTGACTTTTGGATCCCCCATCCCTCTGTTTTCTCATCTGTAAAATTGGAAGGATAACAGGGAGTTGCAGGGTCTACTGGGTTGCTCATAGGCATTTAGAGCACTCGCTGGCATACAGTGAGCACTCTTTAAATGCACCCAATCTTATTCATATTCTAGTCAATACACAAAGAATCTGCTGTGCTTTTGGATAGAGAGAAATGCTTCATAACAACACCATCACACATTATTGAAAAGATTTTGGTGTGATTAGGGCCGACTGACATCCAAACTTCCCTCCCACCTTTCTGGTCATATCTCCTCCTTTTCCCACACTCAGTATCTTTCCTTTATCTACTCTAAGCAGTAACATGATAAGTTATATAAATTATATGAAGATCATTAAAAGGTTTTAAAGTCACACTACATGTATGACTTCGTATTTGAAAAAGGCTCAAAACAGTAAGTGAAAAAAGTGACAGTTGGTGGAATTTTAGAAGTTGAGGGTGGAAGGTGTTTCCAAAACCCCTCAAATCACACACCCTAGATGTGGCTGCTTCCTGGATCCACTAGTGAAGCTGACTCTGGCAGGGAGTCACTTGCATTTTTCACTAACTGAGGTCCTGCTCTCTCAAATTTCACAATCTAAGGGAGAGAATCTTGATCCAGAGTGATAACAAAACAAGTAATGCAAGCTCAGCGATGTGGGATAACTCCCCTGTCCCTGGTATTAGCATGGAGGTGCTGGCCACCCTCTGGTGGAACAAGACCCATTCTTTGGCTTCAGGAACTTCACAGCTTAGTGGAAGGGACAAAACACATCAGATAGTGATAAGAAAATGTGTATGAGTAAAAGGAAGAGATAGGTATGTTGACAGAAGACAGCCTGAGGAGTTTAGAGAATAGAAACATTTCTCAAGAACTTGAAAGCGAAAGAGTCTCTTGAAAGGGTTTGTTGCACACTGCCTGAAGGCTGAGGTATGGACTGGAAAGTGACTTAGTCCAGCCCCTTCTAGCTGGGTGAGTAACTGAACACTCCAGCGTGCGGATCTTCACTGGAGAGAAATGGGAGCATGATTCATCTCTTTGACATCATCTTTAGATTTTTGGTTTAACTTTTCCTTTCCACATCAGACGCCCCTGTTGTTGGGTGGTCTGCCATGCCACTTCCTCCAAGTCCCAGCTACTTTACTCTAGGTAGAGGGCTGAGGGTAATGGATCTTATTTCAAAAGGAGAGGGGAAATTGAAACCAGAACAGCTTTGTGATGAACTGTAGGGGAATCCTTTTTTCTCTAGCAAAGGTTTCCCAAGGCTGGTGTCTCCAGCTTGGAGCTTGATCGTGTGTGGTGTGTGTGTGTGTGTGTGTGTGTGCATGTGTGTGTGTGTGTGTGTGTTTGTATTTGGTGAGAGTTAACCATTCAAAATGGAAATCCTTTCATAATTTGATCTAGTTATGCAAACACAGCCCATTGATGTTAACAAATAGAGACCAGATGCAAATAACCCACTCGGGCATAACATGGAATAACTAGCAGAAGTTAAAGCAAACCGTCTCCTCCCCACTGCCCTATTACCTCATAAGAATTCCTTCCATTTGGAAATAAGCAAGAGGAAAAGAAAAAAAATGGGACTATTAAGATGTCTCAGTCTTAAAATGATAGCAATAATAGAGTAGCCTGGATCACACAAGATTGCCGTGTAAACAACTGAAGAATTTCAGAATTATGTGGAATTAGACATGCATCCCTAAAAAAGGTTAGGTGCTCATGAATGTGCATAACACAAGGAAAAATTAATTACAACAGGAAAACAACTCCAAATGGAAGTCTGCAATTCAATGATTCATAGCCAGGGTGTTCAGAAGAAAACTTGGTTCTCTACAACTCATTGAATAGGGTGTCACTGGATATGGTAAAATTTTATGACATTCCCTGGGGCTCTGAGTGTTTTAACTGTTCTGCATAGACAGCCAAGCCATTACAGGGTGAGGCCTAACACAGGGAATCCTAGAATGGTAATGGTATTGCCATTTTCTGTAGAAAACAAGGTTTTAGTTGAATAAAAAGAGGTAGTTGATATAAATAAGCTCACAGGAAGTCTCCAAACCTTTGAGGTGACTACCATTGCTGCCACTTTTCCCAGAATGCCATTGCTTTATGAATGGCTTTTTGACCAAGAGGCTAAAGAACTCTTGACTTGTGTAGATTTTCTACTTTTTGAATAATGCTTAATTTTTAAAGCTTGTGTGTGTGTGTGTGTGTGTGTGTGTGTGTGTGTGTGTGTGTGTGTGTATGGCAGGCTCTAGGACTTGTGGGCCCAGGGAAAATTCATAGGTGGCTGAGAATAAAAAGAAGAGTTAAGTTTGAAAAAAGAGATAGCAACACTTCAGTTTAGGAAAATCAGACTCTGGAAAAGCATTTGGGTGAAATCTTCCCGATTTAGTTGTAGGACAGAATTAGACACAAACCAGGAAATCTCCAGAAGGTGCTCAGGAGATGCTGATAGAACGAAACCCTGAAGCTCCTTCTGTGAGGTTCTCCAGCACTTCAATATTATTAGCAGGAAATTCTTCCGAAAGTCAACACCAAATTCCTTCTGCAGCGATTTTAGCACATTCTCTCCCTTCCGACTCTAAAGAGAAACAGGAAAGATGCTGATATTGCTGTTCTCACATTTCTATTAAACTTGCCCTCAATCTTCCATTTTGTGAACTAAATAATTTTTTAAGCTTTTCCCTCAAAAAGGTAATTTCACAAACATTTTCATGTGCCAGTCTTGAGTCACAAAGGTTTAGAAATAACTTACTTATTACCATACAGACAGAGCTATACTGAGATAAATACTGTGCTTAGTTCATAAAGGGGCTGCTTCGTGTTGAAATTCCTGCATCCTGGGCAGCCACTGCCAGCACTGTAGGTTTCTTTCTGTGGTCTCCCTTGAGCCTGAATGAAGGTGATGGCTGATGAGCCAGACTAATAAAATGTACCCTTGCACTGATTAAACATCCATTTTCTTGGGGAGATGGCTGACAAGAGCAGGAGAAAGCTGTGAGGAAGCTTGTAGCAATTTCACAAATCTACCCCTAGCAGTGAGCTTTATCTGAGTGCTTAGAGCCACTCTGAGCAAAACAATGGGTGTTGAAAATGGACCAGGGAGAAAATTAAGAAATGACAAGCTTGTTTTCTTAAAGTAAGAGGAAAGCTTCTCTTGTTAGGTTTTTCTAGAGTGTTCTCATGAAGGGAAACAGAACGTTTCACTTTAACAAGATGCATCGTCTAACCATGAGGCACAGGGAAACAGGGCAAGCAGGTTGCAAGCAGGCAGGGTGAGCTCCAGTTATCTGCTTGAGGGCTTTGATCTCAGTTGCAATGGACAAGGCAGAAGCAGGAGCCGGGAACCTTCTAGGAGGGAAGAGAAAGAAGAATTGAGCACCGCAACATAGTGACCGCCTTAAAATCCTCAAGCCACCTGTGAATGATGGTGTAGGTGCTGATGGGGGTGAGGGAGTCCCCAGGATAGAGGTGGTAAGTGGAGAGAGTTGTTGTTCTTGTTTTTAAAAGGTAACACAAAAGACTTTGACTAGGGCTGTGCTGTTTACAGTAGCCACTAGCCACATGTAGCTACTGGGCACTTAAAATGTGCTGTATTTGTAAAAACACACACCAAAATTCAAAGACATATTTTTAAAAAGTAAAATATATTATTAATCCTTTTTTTACTATATGTTAAAATGATAATACTTTGGGTTGATTGGGTTAAATAAAATACACGACTAAAATGAATGCTATAACATGGATGAACTTTGAAAACATTGTGCTAAGGGAAAGAAGCCAGACACAAAAGGCTACCCATTGCATGATTCCATTTATATGAAATGGCCAATAGGCAAATCCGTAGAGACAAAAGGTAGATTAGTGGTTGCCTAGGGCTGGGGAGATTTGGAGGGAAATGGAAAGTGGGTGCAATGGTATGGGGTTTCTTTATGGGGTGAAAAAAAATTCTAATATTGATCATGAGGCCATGCCTGTAATCCTAGCACTTTGGGAGGCCAAAATGGGAAGATCAGTTGAGGCCAGGAGTTCGAGACCAGCCTGGCCAACATAGTGAGAAACTATCTCTACAAAATAGAAAAAGTTAGCAGGGCATGGTGGTGCGCACCTGTGTTCCCACCTACTTGGGAAGCTGAGGTGAGAGGATGGCTTGAGTCTAGGAGTTCAAGGCTGCAGTGAGCTATGATCACACTACTGCACTCCAACCTGAACAGAGCAAGACCCTGACACCAAAAAAAAGAAAAAAAAATTGACTGTGGTGTGATTGTAGAACTCTATGAACACAGACTGGGCACGGTGGCTCATGCCTGTAATCCCAACATTTTGGGAGGCTGAGGTGGGCGGATCACTTGAGGTCAAGAGTTAGAGACCAGCCTGGCCAAAATGGCAAAACCCCGTCTCTACTAAAAATACAAAAAATTAGCCAGTCGTGGTGGGACGTGCCTGTAGTCCCAGCTACTCGGGAGGCTGAGGCAGGAGAATCACTTGAACCCAGGAGGTGGAGGTTGCAGTGAGCCGAGATCACGCCACTGCACCCCAGCCTGGGTGACAGAGTGAGACTCTGTCTCGATATAATAATAATAATAATAATAATAAGAAGAAGAAGAAGAAGAAGAAGAAGAAGAAGAAGAAGAAGAAGAAGAAGAAGAAGAAGAAGAACTCTGTGAACATACTAAACGGCACACTTTAAATGGGTGACTCGTATGGTGTGTGTATTATATCTGGACAATGCTGTTTAAATAAATAAGTAAATTGGGATGCAAAAATCTCTAATATTACCTGTTTTAAAACCTTTTAAAATATGGCTAATAGGAAACTTAAAATTACATAACTGGCATTATATTTCTATTGGACCTGCTAGGCTGAGGGGACCGAGGATGAAGACTCTGGGCCAACCTGGGGCTAGTGGTACCCAAAGCGAAGGTCATAAACACAGGGCAGAAGAGCAGCCAGAAATGCTCAGCTGTGGTGCAGAGCAAGAAGGAATGAAGGATTGGGGAGAGGGGCTTGAGACTAAGGATGAAACTCCTGGACTGGGGCTGGCCTCTGCACTGAGGGCCAGCAATGGGACTGATGGCTGACTAGAATTTCTTGCCCCTAGGCAAACAGAGGGAGCTATCTTCAGTCATCTCTCCAGAGCTCTTATCAGCTCAGATGATAAAAGGTGGGGCATTTCCCTTTAGGTAACATTGATTTAAAAAAAAAATGGTGGGGCAGAGCTGCCCTACCTTTCCGCAGGTGGCTGCTCTAATTGCCTCAGGCCCTGGCCGGCAGCCCCCAGGGCCAAGAGGATCCCTATCTTAACCCATCTGTAATGTATTTGCATACCTGTAACCCAGGCTTGCTAAACTGCTGCAGGCAAGCCGGGAAGCTCTGGCCTTGTCCTGGGGGATGTAAACTTTTTCAGGAAGTATTAGCCAGGAGAGCTGTCAGACCTATTTATGAAATGCCATAAACAAACCCTAGTGCTTGTCCGAGGTTTGGGTGACACAGCATAAGGGAAAGCCTTGGGTGCCTTCTTGGCATCCTCTCTCCAGCCCAGGTTTCCTTCCAGTTCAGTTCCCCTCTTCACACGCCCCCCACCCAAAACACAACAGTATTTCAAAGGAGATACTGGCTCACTGGATGATGGATGAGGAACCTACACTTAGGGTCCCCACTGCCCCCCGTCACCAAAAGAAAGGACCTCATGGCTTGCTTCTGGAGACAGAAAAGTGACTGGACTGAAGGACAGAATGGGTGAATTAAGCCAGATGAGCTGTAACCCCGAAGGCCTAGTTCTGGAGGAGGGGTCAGTAGCCTAGAAAGGAGACAAAATCAAGAACACTATACTTGGCAGTGGCTGTTTCAATCTTACAATTACAAAGTGAATATCTGACATTATTCTGTATTTTATCTGAGCTATGTCCTGAAATTTTCTCCCATTGCAGTAAACATTAATTTTTCTCTTGACTGTGTCTCATGCTTCAGGGACAGGGTGGATAGCAAGCATAGACAATGGAGTAGGTACAGTTTATGAACCTAAGGGCACTGTCTGGGGCAAAGCCACATCCCCTGCTGTCCTGTCCAGGCGTAGCAACAGTAGAAAGTTAACTGTGTTCAATGAAGGTATACACAGGAGACACAAAAGACAGCATCATCTGCATGCCTGCAAGCTTCTGGAGGACAAGGCTTGCAAATTGTTCCTCTCCATATCTCCACCATAGGGTCATAGGCACATGCTAAGTACTCAAGAAATACTCGTGGATGGATGTGCAGATGGATGGATGTGACACATAGTAGTTACTTAATGTAGGTGTTATGTAATGATATCATATTTTGAGTAGTTGATGATGAAGAGAAAGGATGAAAGCTTTCATTTTTGCAACAGGAAAATAAATTCTGGATATATTAAACTAAAACAAATATAATAGCATATAGCATATTCAGTTTCGTCATCCAATTTTTTTCCAAACAGTGCTTAGATATGTTAGGTAAGGGTGGAAAGGGAAAAAAGTGCCCAGTACAGCTCATGAAGCCTCTTTCTCACCGGATCTTGTAAAATGCAAGCTACTTAGGAGTGGACGAATGACTTAACGATGATGTTGTCAGGGCCCTCTGAATAAATATTGCCTTTTCCATTCCCACCGTGGGTACTACAAGTACCACTGGCACCTTGTCAAGAGGTTGAGATCTCCTCATTCTTATCTTCTGAGTCAGGCAGCACAAGATGGTATAAACACTCGTTCAAAATGCACTTGAATATTCCATCCCTTGTCCTTGCATTTACACTGTTTTCTTGCAGCTGAAAGCCTAACAGCTAGTAAGTAGAAAAGGAGAGGACAGAACCATCCAAAAGTCAGCCTTTCCTTCTTAAGGAGAGCCCTCGGTGGGGTTTGTCCATCAAATGGTAGCCTCCCTAACTGCGTCTTCACTCTTTTTTCCTTTGCCACCCAGTATCGAGACACTTCTCATTTCTCAGAAGCAAGGAACTTCAGAATTGGTTTCGGCTTTACGATTCTCTTTCAGCAGCCATCCCGACAATCTATAAGACGAAATAATCACTCAGGACAGCAGGGACTTTAGAACTGATTGAAAGTCATTGATGACCAGGCACGATGGCTCATGACTGTAATCCCAGCATTTTGGGAGGCCGAGGTGGGCAGATTACTTGAGGTTAGGAGTTGGAGACCAGCCTGGCCAACATGGTGAAACCCCGTCTTTACAAAAAATAAAATGAAAAAATTAGCTGGGCATGGTGGCACACACCTGTAGTCCCAGCTACTTGGGAGGCTGAGGCAGGACAATTGCTTGAACCCGGGAGGTTGCAGCACCAAGATCGTGCCACTGCACTCCAGCCTGGGCGATAAAGTGAGACTCCATCTCAAAAACAAAAAAAAAAGAAAAAGAAAAAAAAAGAAAGAAAGTAAGAAAAGAAAAGGAAAAGAAAGTCACTGATTGTTGTCAGTAGCCAGGGCAGTAGTAGGTTATAGAATAGAGAATGAGGCAATTCTTTCTGGCCAAGGATCCTGTTCCATAAGTGAGTTGGCTTTTTGGCAGTTAAGAATCCATATTTGGTTGGGCGCGGTGGCTCACGTCTACAATCCCAGGACTTTGGGATGCCGAGGCAGATGGATTACTGGAGGTCAGGAGTTCAAGACCAGCCTGGTCAACATGGCGAAACCCCAACTCTACTAAAAGTACAAAAATTAGCAGGGCGTGGTGGTGCACGCCTGTACTCCCAACTACTGGGGCAGCTGAGGCGGGAGGATTGCTTGAATCCAGGAGGTGGAGGTTTCAGTGAGCTGAGATTGTGCTACTGCACTCCAGTCTGGGCGACAGAGCAAGACTCTGTCTCAAAAAAAAAAAAAAAAAAACAGTCAGGATACAGAAAAAATTTCTATCTCCGTATACTTTTATGAGGGAGCTTACAAGGCTCATCTGGATTATTTGAAGGCAGGATACTTCAAAGGAAGCAAAAATATGCTATTTTCAGATTTAACTTAGATTTCTAAAAATTCTGTGCAACTCTCTTATGTGGGTATGTGACACACCAGTAAATAGGGTGCATGTGACCCTGGCAGGGTGAGCTAAGAAAGTTGGATTCCTTGAAGGAAATAACTTTCTGTGATATCATGACTGGCGGGGGACTGCTGGTGGGGGATGACTGGCAGAGGATGTGCAGGTGCAGCTGGATGGAAGCCCTTGGCATTGGGGCTCCTGTCATGCATCCAAATCCCCAGTGCCCCTATTCCTCCACCCAGGTCATTCCTGCTCATGATATCAGTACTCTGACTCACAAGTAGCCTGCAGCAGCTGAAAGGAAATGATGTGGCAACTGTGTCTGAAGTCTGGTTAAATGCTGGAGACAGAAAAGAAAATCCATTTGAAAATATGTTGCTGTATTTTACAAAAAGGCTGTGCAAGATTTAAAAAGTATGTTTAGCATTCCAAGTATTTTCCCTTCTGTGTCTTCAGAGACCATCTCTGAGAGTGATGTTTTGTTTATTTAACATTTAATCAAAAGAGATGTGGACCCCACCAGCTTTTGAACAACAGATTCAGTAGCACTGCCTCTTGCATTAAGTTTGAAGAGAAACTTCAACCACACAGAGAATTTGATGTCTGTAATATGCACTAAAAGATCAGCTGGTCTAACTTTACAGGGCTAATAAAAGGGAAAAGTTTTCCTGTGCTCAGGTCTTTTATGAATTATAAATAACCATTCACTTTGGAAGATAGCACATCATAAAATTTTTTTACAAATATGCACAAATCCATTTTAAGATCCAAGGAAAAAGATGTTCAAAAGTCTCAGATGTACTCAGTTTTGATTTCGTAGGGAAACATGTTCTTTTACCATATGGATGCTTTTAAGGGGGCCTTCAGCTGGGGCTCAATAATGACACCCCAGTGGCTAAATAAGGGATTTCTTTCCTTCTAACATTATTTCTCTGTTATTAAAGGTGGAAAAACCTTCCACAAATAGCATACTATTAGAGTGCTTTAGGGGGTATCCTGGGAATCAAGGTTATGTGTCTGCTCCAGAAGTACTGTCTGTAATTATCATTCCTCCGTGGTTCTGAGGATGCAGTCTTGGTGTTTTCATTAATTTTTTCATTCTACAAGTCTGGAGTGTGTGTCTGCTCTTGATATTCAATATTTCACAGTAGGAATTTTGTTATTGTTGCTGTTTTTAGGGTCACAGATCTCTCCCCTCTCTTTTCCTCTCATAATAACCATTTCCTGGCTTCTTTTGCCCACTAAAATAAAAAGGTATGAAAGGCCAGATTTGAAAAGAAAAAGAATTCAGATATGACATTTTTCCAATTCCAGCCTTCATCTTCCCTCTTTATAATCTGCTAGTATGAGCATTAAAAAATAGAGCATTCAGATCTACCAAACACCTGAAGAGGGTTCATGGGTCAGAAGAGCACATAGATTTCCTCCCAGCACTTTGTTATCAGTATTTTCAAATATGCACCACATTAAAAGAATTTTACAGTGAACACCTATATGCCCATGATCTAGTTGTAGATTCTGCTATTAATACTTGACTCTTCTTGCTTTATCACATATTTATACAGCCCTCCTCCATTAATTCATCTTATTTTTTCATGTGTTTAAAAGTAAATTATAGGCATCCACCAATTTCTACTTAAAAACTTCAGTTTGATATTTACTTTTTTCATTTGATATGAAATTTACAGATTTTAAACTGTAAACACTAAGTGTCCAGTTTCGGAGTTTTGACAAATATATCCCTGTGTGCCCAAACCCTTACTGAGATATAAAATATTGTCATCACCTGGGAAGGTCCCTCATTTATCTTTCCTGTCAATCCCTGTTCCTAATCCCTTTCCCAAACCCAGAGGCAACCACTGTTTTGATTTTTTTCACCACAGATTAGCTTTGTCTATTCCATAATTTCATATGAATGGGTCAAATAGGATGAATTCTTTGTGTAAGACTTCTTTCACTCAGCATAATCTTTTTGAGATTTGTTGACGTTATTGTGTGAACAGTAGTAGCTCATTCTTTTATACTGCTAAGTAGTATTCCATTGTATGACTAAACCACAGTTTGCACACTTATTTTCTCTCTCTCTCTCTCTCTCTCTCTCTATCTTTGAGATGGAGCTTCACTCTGTTGCCCAGGGTGGAGTGCAGTGGCGTGATCTCAGGTCACTGCAAGCGGGTTCAAGCGATTCTCTTGCCTCAGCCTCTTGAGTAGCTGGGATTACGGGCACTCACCACCACACTCGGCTATTTTCTGCATTTTTAGTAGAGACAGGGTTTTCACCAGGTTGGCCAGGCTGGTCTTGAACTCCTGACTTCAAGTGATCCGCCTGCATTGGCCTCCCAAAGTGCTGGGATTACAGCAGTGAGCCACCGTGCCCGGCCCCTGTGCATTCGTTCTCTTCTTGATGGATACCTGGGCTGTATTCAGTTTTTGACTATTACTTATAGAGCTGCTATGAACACTCTTATACAAGTATTTTGATAAACATATGTTTTCATTTCCCTTAGGAAAAGACCTACTTATGTAATTGCAGGATCACAGCTAGTATATATTTAGTTTCTGAAGAAAATGCTATTTATTTTTCCAAAGTTGATGTACCATTTTATGTTCATATCAACAATGTATGGGAGTCCCAGTTGCTCCCCATCTTTGCTGACATTTAGTGTATTCAGTCTTTATATTTTAAGCCATCCTGGCAGTAGTGATACTTCAGGTTTTAATTTGCATTTTCCTAATGACTAAAGATATTGAGCACGTTGTCATGTGCTTATCTGCCATTTATATATCTTCTTTGGTAGAGTGTCTTCCATCCATTCAAAAAATGTTTTCTCTTTATTAATAAGTGGGAGTCCTTTACATATCCTGGATATCAGTCCTCTGTCAAGTTTATGTTTTGTAAATAATTTCTTCCAGTCTATGTCTTGACTATTCATTTTTTAATGGTCTCTTTTCATGAGAGGTTTTTTATTTTGCTTAAATCTAATTTATCAATTTTTTTGTGGTTATTGCTCTAGGTGGCCTAAACAAAGCACATTGATATTAATAAATGGTGTTCACAAAATGTGTTGTAGGCTCAAGATAATCCAAAGCTTCACTGTGGTCACTGTAACAGAAGTATTTCCCTAAAGAAACTTCCATGTCCGTACATACTGGGAACAACTGAGGAAAACCTGGTGATCTGTTTACACTCTCAAGAGCATCCCAGAGAATGAATACAACTCTAGACCTCCCTTTTCACTTTGTTTTATAGTAAGAAGCTTTCTGTTTTGACGGCTGGAAGGAGTCGCCACAGGCAAAACTACCTGGTCATGGCCTTGTTCTGGAATCAAGTCAGCCTTTGTGCTTATAAGCAGGATAAAGTAGATTATTTTAATAATTCATTTTTAATCCATATTTTAATAAGCATATGTTATTGAGATCATACTTAAAATAGTTTAATATATGGCATGAATGAATAAAAATAGACTCCCCAGAAGCTTTAAAAACATTCAAAGAAAGAAATCCACAGAGAGACCCAGGTGTCAGTGATGACATGGGGCAAAATTAAGAGCAGATTGAAAGTGGGAATCGTCTGCTATGAAGAAAGTAGGACTTGGGAAAATAGAGCTCTACTGAAGGAATACAACGATTCTTTAGTGTTGTTTTTAGGCTACACATTGAAGGGTTTCCCAAGATTTTACCCTGGTCTCTTTGCCAACTGCTCTGCTTGTCAGTGAAGCTGTTTGATTTCTCTCTTTGTTTCTTGTTCGAACCAAAAGGACACTCAATACAGACATGACATTTTGAAAACTAAACTCACATCTTTTTCACCCTAACTTCATTGTTGTTTTGGCCTACTTTCTCTTAGACACTTTCTTGAGGGTTCAGGCTGAATGTGGTCTTTCAAACTTTCAAACTCCCTTGAGTACCTCTTTCTGTGATTCCATTCCTAGTGATCATTAATGGTCTGCAACTGCTTCTTTATTTGTGGGGTATCTCGGGCCTTTTGCTTCTTCGGTTTTCTACTTTTTATCATTAAAAATCCCCCCCCCCCTTTATTCGAGACTGATTTAGGAAAAGAAAGGGATGAAACTTAAATGAATGAACTGCTGTTTGATTGCAGGTTAAAATTAGTGGCCAAGTTTTTGTTTGTTGTTGATCTAGTAGACTTTTATAAACCAAAACTAACTGTATGATTCTCATTGGAAGTTATGTTGAAATATGAGATATGAAGAGAGTACCAATTCACAAAGCCCTGGACTGTTCTAACCCTAGGGAATACTTGATGGTGGCTGTGTGGGTGTGCCTGCCAGGCTGGGAAAGGATCTAGCGTAATGGTGAGTTTTGTAACACACCAGCCCAGGTCCAACTGCTTGAGTAGGAAGAGTAGAGGTAGGTGGTTAGTTTTGTGGCCTCCCGGATCTGTTCCTGAAGAAAGCAGATAAGTTCAGGAAGGGAGAAGTCTAGGTTCTAAGTTAGAAATGTCAAGTAGGACTTCGAGGCCTCTGAAATAAAGATGTGTCCTAAGTAACTAACACACAAACATGATGGAAGTAATCATACGGGAGAAACGAGTGGGGTTAAAATCACAGGGCCACATGACAAATTATGTCTGGCTATGCCAGTGGGTTAAATCACTTCCTAAGATGTTGCCAACAGCACAAATATCTGTATTTAGCATCACATGCAACCAAAGAATTAACCAAACATACTCTCCAAGTTTCTTCCCCTTTGGAATAGTAATTCCTGCTATTACAGTGTTTCCACTAAGGCACTGGAGGATCCAGGGCAAAGTCTAATTGTGGTGGGTTCCACTGGCCTGCAGTGTGGGCAGCATTAAGCGGGTACCCGAATGTGGTGGGGGAGGACTGTGAAGCTCTATTTTCTGTGCAGCTCTTCGGGAAGTCCTGTTGCCAGCCCTCCTCAAACATCATTTTCTGCTCATGAATATTATCTTTTATACCAATAGAGGTGGGAGGGGGAACTACCCAGAATTCAGTCTCAAAATCTTTTATCCTTTTCTCTCATTTACTTCAAAATGTATATAAAGTAAAATGCAGCACCCACCAAAAACCATTTCAGCCTGAAACTAAACGCAAGCTCTTTAGCTTGACTATGGGGTCCTTCATGGGCAGAAGGGTTGGATAGAGGAAATGAATTATAGGGGGATGCTTTGCTTTGATTACTACCAGAGTTTAGCAGGAACATCTGGCTTATTTGCAGTTAGATTTTCTGCAGGGAGGGTTCAGCCATTGCTACCATAGCTCTTAGTACCATAAGGTTTATCTGAATCTCTGAATATCTATGCTCTTGCAAGATCCAAATTTCCCTTAAAGTTGATATTTGTCTTTCATTTGTTTCCTAATTAGCATTCAGATTTCAGCCCAAGAGTGCACTGCCAGAGGCATAACACCTCCCTTGGTGGGGACCTTTGTTGGCAGCATTCTAAAATGAATTCATAGGACTGTTCTCTGATTTTCAACTTTGCTTTTGATACAAGGTCTGTGAATGTTTAGTTGACAATACGTGTGCGCCTCTCTCATTTCCTGTTTTTAAGGGCTGCACTTAATTTATTTGAAAGGGTGGAATATTTTAAATTACAATTCAGCAGTTTTACTAAGGAAGGCTGTAAAACACAATGAGCAAGGAGTTTTACTTCCTCCTTCCAACTGCTACTCCCTGTTTTGAAATCTTGATGTCCTCCAATCAATGGGAATGACTTTAACTTACACTGTAACATTTTTAACAGCAACCACGCCATGGCTGGAGCTGCAGAGGGGCATGGGATTCCTGCACACTGTAATTCCATTTTTCCAGACGCCTTATTAGTACACGGAATGCGTCTGCCTGTGCTTGATATTGTTCTATCTTGTTAAGTCCCCTCCCCCAGGCAGAGCATTTGGATTGGTTAAGGAATACAGTCGCTTAGCCAATCAAGTGAAACCTTTCTCCTGCAACCCTAGCAACACCTGTCATTGACAAATGTTAAGAGAAAACCCCTGACAAACCCAACCAGCCCTTGAAAATGGTCCCTGTCAAGGGCAAGTAGGGCTACTCCTACCCACAGAGCACTTTCTGTGGCCAGAGGAGTTAGTGGTTTGTATCAGACCTGCAAAAACAGAACCTGGATGTGGCTGCAGGTGCTTGAGTCTAGGGCCCTATTCCGATCTGCTGTCAATTTCAGCGAAACTGACTTTTGTTAGCCAAAGCCGGTGTTGGAGCTTGGGGTTGTGGGGGGTGGGTGGTTGTCTATGGTGGGGTGGCAGCCGGGTAGTGTGCTCATATTCTCCCATACCAACCAGACCCCCATACCCACCAGAATATTTTCAGTGGCTGGAGGAAGAGTTCACATACAACTTCGGCTCCAGGGTCACACTTCTGTCACTGATGCTAATTTGTTTTGCAGGGCATGGCAAGAGGAGAATTTTCTGAGGGCAGCAAGATACCTGGCTATGTCCCCAGTGGCGCCTTTCCAAGACTTCTGGCTACACATCTTTCACCTCCCAGCCTCGTGCTGAACACTGTTGGGGTGCAGTTGGCCTGCCTGCCTCACCCGTGGGCATATTGGGACACTCCTGTCAGGGTGTAGTTAGACCTAAAAGAGCTCTCACCCCTCTCAGGGAGGCTTCATGACTGAGGAATCTGAAGGCAGATCTGGCAGAAGCTGGGAAGGGGAAGGGAATGGAGAGTAAGAAGGGGGACCTGCCAAAAACATGCACAGACAGTTCGTAGGCAAATGCATGTTCCCACAAAAGACATAATAGCTGTGTGTGTATGATACCCTGCTGAAGTCCCCTTATATGATCATTCCAGTTAGTCTAGCCACCTTGAAAACATATTTCAAACCCTGGTTGAGTAATCCATTGTGCCATGATTAGCTGTTAATGAAGCTGAAAATATCTAAATCATCCAACAAGTAATCTGAATTAATTTTTTATGATTACCACTTCTAGACAAGCTGGTGTCAGGACAAAGAAAGACCTGGGCATACAGACAGAGACATTCACACATGCAGATAAAACGTGTACACACAAGCATGCACACAGATAAACTTAGGCCAGAGGAGCAAAGGAGGAACAAGGGGGAAAAAGTAAAAGGGGAACTTTAAAGACAGTCCATGAATTGAACAGTGTGAAATCTTGTGTCAGACCTGTAAAAACAGAACCTGGATGTGGATGCTAGGGCTTGAGTCTAGGGCCCTACTCTGATCTGCCACCATTTCAGTGAAACTGACTTTTGTTAGTCAAAGCGAGTGTTGGAGCTGGGAGTGGGGGTCTGTGGTGGGACTCTTCAATTCACGGACTCTCCTTAGTGAAGTTCATTTGGTCCTCTCCAATCCCCAGCGTCCCTTTTCCTCCTAGCACCATCCTTCAAGGCCTGTCCTGAATTTAATTTTCCACCGGAGGTTGGCACATAGCTTAAGGCATCCCTTGGGAGCATAAACTGGTAATGACTTGAAATCTTAACCCCTAAAAGGATATTGATATTTTTTCAAAAGGTGCTCAGGAAGGTGTAAAAGAATTAAATCTCTAATGGCTGACTTGTAAATTGGGATTATCTTTATTCTGGAGACTTAGCTTTGCTCAAACATACTTTTTGGGTACAGATCTCCTCTGGGCATTCCTAAGGCCAGAATTACAGGCAAGAAAAAGTGGTCCTGGAGAGGAGGGTGGGTTGCAGTGGGGAGAGATCCATCAGATGGGTGCTCGGTAGGAGGATAGATACTGAAGAGGTGCGGGAGAGGCCAGAAGGCTGAACTTCCACATGGAGACAAACTAGAAGCTGGTTTTATAATCTTCCGTATCTGTCCTTCAGGGAACTTGCAAACTTTCTGGTGGCATGAGATGTAGAATATTACAATACAGATTACATAACAGGTTAAAAGCTGAGTCTTACAATGGTCATATACATGCACACAGGTTCTAGGTTCAAAGTCTCAAAGAAATTAAGTCATTGTGAGAGGATGTAAAATTGTGGACATTTGCCTATTAAGGAGACAAGCAAACTATTTTTTTCCTTTTTCAGATTTTTCAAGTTTTTCAGGTATGTCTGGTCAAGTTTTCTGTGGATATTAGCAACTATCAAGTATGAAGATTATAGAACAACAAAAAAAGCAACATTACATGTTTATGTCTTGCTCTGGAAGTCGAGATTTTTATTTCCTTGTGAAATAGATAATAAAAAAATAAAATTAACAATGTATATACACCATGGTTCTTTGTAACCCGAGTGTCACAAAGAGCTCTATAAAATATCTGAAGTGCTTGAGGTTGCCTAGAGGGAAAAGGTAAAGATTCTCACTACAGAGCTAATAGTTCCTGCTCAACAATTTGAATTTCACTTAAGAATAAACCTGAGAGCCCACATCTGGGAGAGCATGTTTACCTTTAATGTAGCAGTTTGGAGGTGGAGGCATTCCTGGAAGAGAACAATGCCTGATGCATTATAGGCACAAAAATAAAGATTTGTTGATGACACCGAAGCCCTGCCTCCACACCAACATTCTCTCAATTCACAAATACTATCAAAGGAAGAAAACTCTAGAACTCCATTAGAGTGGATATCTCCCCGCTCTTAATCTCCCAGAGATCATTGTTTCCTATTTCCATGGAAACTAGAAGACTTGAAATTGCCAAAACTTGAGAGACACTTGAGATGAAAGCCAGAAAAAAAAAATTAACAAAAGACAAATGTTACAGGCAGCATGTATGACAGTGTGGTAAAGTTTCTGACATTTGTTTGGGAAGATTTTCTTATTTCTTTGCTTGGAAGAATGCAATGATTTCCAGAATGTGGCCATAATAGCTTCACACCATGCTGCTGAATGTTCATCGAGTAGATTTTACTCTTTTCTAGAAAGGAAAGGAAAGACCCATGGGCCTTGGCAGCAATCAAGTGAATGTTAAGCTGTTGGAAATTGCTCTCCTGGCACACCTTGATGTTAACCACAATGAGGAGGCCAGTCTGGCTGAAGTGCCCTTGCTCCCTCCCTTCCATGCAGTGAACAAATATTTATTGAGCACCTACTATTCTCCAGGTAATGTGTCCTACATACAACTAAATGAAAAATTACAACTCAGATAAGAGCCCCTAGGAGAAGTACACGTAACTACTAGAGTGTGTAATAGACAGAACTGACCTGTCAGGGCGGCCAGGCTTTCCTAAGGAAGTGTGATTAAGCCGAGCAGGAGGAAACTAGGCAGTGGTTGTGGGGCCTGGGGAAGGAGAACATTCCAGGGAGCAGGAACTCTTGGGCAAAGGCCTCTGGAGGAAGTGAGTGTTAAAGGAATTGAAAGTAGGCCTGAGTAGCCTGTGTTGGCAGAGCTCCAGAGAGCAAAGGGAATGAACTTGGGGTAAGGCCATTTGGAGAGGTGGGCAGGGACCAGGTCATTCCTAATGCACAGTCTTGAGTCTTGCAGGGCAGGCTTGTTAAGGATTTGGTTTCTAACCCTCCCCTCTCCAGGGTGAACTCAAGCTGTCATAGGAGTGCATGGCATACAGTCCTTGTGTGTGACCTGGGAATGCAGATTTTGTTTCATCTGAAATCTGTCAAAACATTGCCATAGATTTCAGAAGTGAACCACCAAGTTCCAAAGGTTATAATTTCATTAAATGCTTTAAACCTAAATCATGTTCAGTAAATATTATTTTACACATGATGATTCAGTAGGCATCTTGGACTCATCATCACAAATGTCAATTATCATCCTATATTAACCCCTCAGAAGCCAGAGTTTGGTCATCTAATAACTTCTCCATTTTCTGGGACCTAGCTGGAATCTAGGAAGTCTGCAAGAGGCAAAATAAATGTGACAAAGATCGTGTACATTTTAACCAGGTGGGAGATTCTCATTAAGAACTTCGCTGATTTTACTTTACACATAATTGTAGAAATAAGGTTCTCCGGGTTCAGAGGCTACAACATGGGGAGAGCAATAATTCAGAAAGTGAGAAGCGACATTATGGGTGGTTATATGACAATAATTAACAGTAAGAGGGGCTAGGCATGGAGGTACATGCCTGTAGTCTTAGCTACTCAGGAGACTGAGGCAGGAGAATCACTTGAGCCCAGGAGTTTGAGTCCAGCCTCGGCAATACAGCAAGATCGACTCTAAATAAACAACAAAAAAGTGAAAGTAACAGGAAATAGCACAACTGTAAAGGCTGAGACCAACAAACCAAAACAAAACCTAGAACAAACTAAATAAAAAATGGAGGGAAAAGAAGGGAAGGGAAAGAAGGGGAAAGAAGGGAAGGGGAGGGGAGGGAAGTGGGGAGGGAAGGGAAGGGCAAAAGAAATAAAGAGAAAAAGAGAAGAAAAACCAAGCCAGCAATCTGGGTTTTTTGTTATGAACAAGCAACCTTGCGTACCTTAGTAGCTCTTAAGGGCATCATTGTGTTTATAATCAGTCCTTATAATATGCTTAAGAAGTCAAAGAAGTGTGTCATGTTTTAGAAAGATTTCTAGTGTGCAGGGTTAAGCCTGTATTTTTATTTTATTTTGAGACAGAGTCTCACTCAGTCACCCAGAATGGAGTGCAGTGGCGTGATCTCAGCTCACCGCAACCTCTGCCTCCCAGGTTCAAGCCGTCTTGTGCCTCAGCCTCTGGAGTAACTGGGATTACAGGTGCTTGCCACCAAGCCCAGCAAATTTTGTGTATTTTTAATAGAGACAGGGTTTTGCCATGTTGGCCAGGCTGGTCTCAAACTCCGGGCCTCAAATGATCTGCCTGCCTCGGCCTCCCAGAGTGCTGGGATTACAGGTGTGAGCCACCACACATAGCCCCGTTAAGCTTTTAAAAAGATTTTTGGGCCAGGAGCAGTGGCTCATGCCTGTAATCCCAACACTCTGGGAGGCCAAAGCGGGCGGATCACCTGAGGTCGGGAGGTGAAGACCAGCCTGACCAACATGGGGAAACCCCATCTCTACTAAAAATACAAAATTAGCCGGGAATGGTGGCGCATGCCTGTAATCCCAGCTACCTGGGAGGCTGAGACAGGAGAATCGCTTGGACCCCAGAGGCGGAGGTTGTGGGAAGCCGAGATCGCTCCATTGCACTCCAGCCTGGGCAACAAGAACAAAACTCTGTTTCAAAAAAAGAGATGTTTGGTCCTTAAAAAGTACAACTTCAGCTCTTTGGGAAACCTGTCCAATCTGGGTGGTTTTCACAAAAGTTCTGCATAACCATGGTTTTATTGCAACGTGATTCCGTGGGGGTGTGAGTTAATATAGATTTCACGTTGAAAAATGTCTGATACACCAGCTTTTACTGAAACCTCTTCATTTTCACAAGTTATCTAATTCTGGATTTGAACAAAGTCATTGGAAGTGACATTTTTCACATCTGAATTGTCATGATTCCTTTCTTGACAGGGAGTGAATTCTTGAATATTTAAAAATACTGTAGGTGATAAAATGCCGTTAATAAATTTGTTTCAGAATTTGGCTTTCATGTTTAAAATTTTAATTTTCATGTATCTTAAATGCAAATAATCTTTATCTAGGCATAAGGTGCCCCCTAAAGTTACCTGGCTGTCTAGATTTTACATCTTTACTTCCTCCAAATAGGAATGAGAATGAACAAAGTACTATTTGATCACTTTGAAAAATGCTCATTCTATATCCTTACAAAGTGAATTTTGGAATGACATTACTTTCTGTAAATACATCCTTCATACATGTCAGAGCACCTTTTGTCTCCCTAGAGAATATGTCTTAAACCTCTTTTTCTTGTACCATCTCACATTATCAGAGATATCTGCAAGAGAGTGACCTAGTAGGGTGAGGCAATTTTGAGAAAATCATTAATTTTCTAAATTATGATTCTCTATACTAACACTTTTTTAGTGTTTAAAAGTGGGAGTTTTTTCCTAGTTAACACAGGTAAATAAATACTGAAATAAATGTCTTTACATTATCCTATTAAATAGATTAAATAGTATTCTTTTGTTTATCCTGTGACAATCTTAACAAAATAGTTCATAAAAAGTTAGTTATTTAAAAGGGGAAATATTAAGGTTATAAGGAAATGTGGCATTTCCTATTTCTTTTGGCCATCACTGGGTTCTAAGCCTGTTTTGAAGCCTGATGAACCTTCCAGTTTTAAGATGTTTTCATTTAATAAGATCCTCACCATTGCACTTTGCATTGGAGTAACTAACAGAATGATAATAGCCTGGTAACTTTTACTAATATTTAAATGGTATAGAGACTATACGCTAAAATGTTTTTCTTTTCTGAAAATTGACACACGCAAATTATTTAATATTTAATGAAAGCAAATCTCTTTTACTTCTTGAGGGTAGAATTATTGCCCAAATCACAACATTTAAAACAAATTCATTTGTAAGCAATTTTGCCAGCCTGGTTTTTTGGTATATATTGAGATGCAATAATTTATTTTTCAAAATTCCAGCTTGTAACTTTAAAGGCTTCCATCTAAACAGAATACACTGTTCTTAGAAGCAGGTTGGAAAAGATTGGTTGATTGATCAGTGGTTGAATATATTTTCTTATAATTCAGCACATTTTAGAAGGGGACATCTTAAGGAATGAAATAGTGTGGGTTACTGAGTGACAATGTGGTGTGGAATATGATATTTCCCAATTTTGCCTATTCTGAAGAATTATCCAGGGCATGGGTTAAAAAGATAGATTCCAAGCTCCACCCCAGCCCTGCTGAATCAGAATCTCCAGGGGAGAGGTAAAGGAAATGTATATTTTTAACAAGTGCTCAGGGTGATTCTTATGACCTGACAAGTTTGGGAAATACTGGATAATGGAAAAAAATTCTGGCTTTAGAGTGAGACCGACAGAACTTGAATCCTTGCGTGGCCAGATAGCAGCCAAATAACCTTTGGCAAATTTCTCTGAGTCTCAGTTTCTTCGTTTGTTTCTTGTGTAAGAGGCATTAAATGAGTTACTGTTTGTAAAGGACCTAGTATGGTGTCTTTGCCCACTGTCCCAAAATACTAATGGTAAGATATTAGTGGCTTGGCTGGGCACTGTGGCTCACGCCTGTAATCCCAGCACTTTGGGAGGCCGAGGCGGGCAGATCACCTGAGATCAGGAGATCGAGACCATCCTAGCTAACATGGTGAAGCCCTGTCTCTACTAAAAGTACAAAAAATTAGCCAGGCATGGTGGCGGGTGCCTGTAGTCCCAGCTACTCGGGAGGCTGAGGCAGGAGAATGGCGTGAACCTGGGAGGCAGAGCTTGCAGTGAGCTGAGACTGCGCCACTGCACTCCAGCCTCGGCGACAGAGCGAGCTCCTATCTAAAAAAAAAAAAAAAAAAAAAAATTGTGGCTTGATTCTCAAGGATTCAACAAAGTTAAAATGAACCCTCTTCAAAGTTGGAGTAATGGTTTAAATTTTTCAGTTCTGGTTGATCATTCCCTGCTTACCTCTTCCTTTGCACAAGAATCTATTCCATGGAAATGACTGACCAGGAAGACTCTTTTGGCACTTTCTCCTGTTACTGGACATTTTTCACTGATGAAGTATCATCTATTCTCCCTCATTCTTCGCTCTTTTTAGCCATACAGAGTGAGATGCTCTCTCACTGCACAAGAGGGGAGAATGCCTGGTTCATAGGTTAACTATGCTGTTTTAGGCTTTTATTCTCCTCTAAACAAATTATATTCCAGGGAACATAATTGGCTTCGACTACAGTATTAAAAAATATGTCCCAGTATGAAAAAGAGAATGGAAATGAATATAACTTTGTGTCCATCTTCAAATGACTTGAAATTCCTTAGATCTAATTTAATTTCCATGTCTTGGAATCTTCCTACTAATGGCAAATTATTGTCTTAATTAGCTGAGATGACTAGCAATAATGATGAGGCAATGCCATTTTCTCCTGCAGGCCTCCTAAGCGCAGGACCCTGTGAAGTTCTTGTCACCAAAGGGTAGTTTTCAAACTTTAGTGTAAAGATGACTCATGTGGGGAGCCGCTACATGTGTTAATTTCCGTTTCCCAGCTCCAAAGTTGTGTGCATTTTGCCCTGGGGCACTCTAGGGGTCTCTCTTTGAAAACCACTGCTCCAGGAATTTGGTAAACCGCTACCGAATTTAATTCAAAAATTTCATTTCTAAGTTAAAGGAGGGTGGAGGAGCCATAAGAGATCTCTGGCTAGGACTCCACTGCCCTTCTCAAATAAATTCCTTTGCCATTCATCTGTCCATCAACCTATCTATGCATCTGACTGCAGTGGGCTGGGTGCTAGATGTGGTGCTCAGGTGGGTGTTGGGTGGGGTTTTCTCACTTCCTTCAGTTCATCAGTTTAGCTACTGGGAGTACTATTTATGAAGTGGGCCAGGGAGCCTAGCTCCTGACCACACTAGTGATGTGGTGTGATGTGATATGAGTCACTGCATATGGGAAGCAGTAGACTTTCTGTACTTTGATTTCCTACCATTGCCTAATGGTAAACACTGGAGGCGGCTCTATCCCTGATTTGGTCCCTGGGGTAGAAGCCTGCTGGAAAAGGGTAATCATAAGTAATTCAGTAATGATTTCTATGAACACCAGGAAAAACACTATAATTACTCAAAAAAATGAGAGATGGCAGAAGCACTAGCCAAAGATGACACACCATCACTCACTTCTCCCTTGGCTCCTGGGTGTAGCTAACCTCTGGGGAGACAGAAACCTTGCAGGACAATGCTGGGCATTCAGGGACTACAGAAATGGACAAGGCATATACCCAACTGTCAGAGAATTTCTAACCAGGGAAGAGAGGAAGAGGAAAAGAGAGAGAGAGAGAGAAAGAGAAAGGACAATGGCTTAGGCAAGTGTAAACATAACTCTGATGCTAGGCAGAATGGTATAAATGTCACAAGAACGATCCAAAGTGTTAAAGGGGCTTGAGGAGAGAGAGATCACACAGCCAGGTGGGTTTTCCCAGAGGAAGTGGCATTTGAGCAAATCCTTGTAGGAAGGGTAGGAATTTGACAAGTTGCAAGGGAAGGGAGAGACATTTCAGGCAGCAGGAACATCTTGAGCAAATGTGTGGGGTGGAGAAGTCCTGTTGGGACATAACAGAATTCCTGCTGGGGAACTGGGAAACGTTCTGTTGGGTTTTAGTGGGAGGCAAGGCTGAAAAGTTGGGTTTGGTCAAGATCAGATCTGAGTTTGGATTTCTCCCAGTAGGCAGCAGAGAGCCATTTACAGGGACTTAAGCAGGAGGGTGACACAATCCGAAATGTACTTTAGGAAGCACAGCAGCTGGGTGGAGGATGATTTGGAGGAGGAAAGGCTATACAGACACACCAGGGAGGAGGCTCCTGCAGAGTGAAGAGGAGGAATAATTGACTGTGAGCAGCCAGAGGGGCTGGGATAGACAATACAAGTCAACTGTGGGAGTTACAGGAAAGAGGCAAAGGCAGAGGAAAAAGCTTGGGGCCCTGGGAACAGGTGGCAACAGTATCAAAAATATAACGAAAGAAGAGAACCTGGATTCTAGGGAAAGGTGGTTCTTTGGGTTTGAGGTGGCCGTGGGCATCCTGGTGGTGATGGAAAAGTGAGCTGGCCACCAGGAAGAAATACGTGAGCCAGAGAGGGAGATGATACTTTAGGAAACGGTTATAGGGTGGGTGGTGGAAACTCTCCAAGTGGTGGATCAAGCAAAATGAAGAGGACCGTGATAGGCTGCAGGGCAGGGTATACATTAAACAGTTTGAAGGAAGATAAACAAAAAAGAGGGAAAAGAGGAGTTGGAGACACTGGAGGGATGGCAGAATTCCGGGAAACTCAGAGAGGGGCCCAGTTCAAGAGGAGGTCAGTAATCAGCGCCAGAGAGTGCAGGGAGGGCCGGCTGGGTCAGGCTGAACTGGTGGCCCCTCATTTGTCTCTGAATTAGAGAGCTTATAATAGATCCCTCCAGCAAACGACGGTGCCTTAAATCCAGTCTCTTGCTCGTTATAATAACGAAAGCTCTAAAAGTTAGGCACCTCCAAAGGTACCTACTTCCCTGTTCAATGTGAATTAATCTCTTCTACTAACAACCCCTATGACCCTGAATGAGTCATTTATCCTGTCTGGGGGCACCAGTTTTGTCATCGCTGACTTTCCAGTTCAGTGATTCTATGTGTTTATGTGTGAAAATGCTTGCTAATCTACACATTATACAAGCCTAAGTCGTATCATGAACTTCTGAAGAGAATAGAGCCCAACTTGTGTTTTACTTTTAAACTTACTGTCTTCTATACCTATGTTTTACACAATTATAAGATTATTCTTATTTTTAAAGAGATCTAGAAATGAAACCCCTGAAAGAGACTTCTCCCTCTACTTGCCCATAAAGATCCTCCAGTTTTCCGCACAGGCTTTTTCCTAGACATGGAGGAAGTGCCCAGAAAAATACTGGACGGATATACAAAAACATAATGCCACAAAAATTTTCCTAACAAGTAAGGCAGCTGCGGAAAGTCGGCCAGCGTCCCGACCCCAGGGACCTGCAGCCTGGGACTTGTGAAGGCCCACTGTGTAGCTCGAGGTTTCCAGGGCCTCGGCCCCGAATGGGCGATTTTCTTTAAAACGCCGAAGCGCGCTATCCCTTTAAATCCAGGCTGCAAGGCAGGCGGGTGGGGAGCAGCCAATAACCTTAAAAGATGCGAAAGTGTCAAAGGAGATACAGTTTATCTCCAACAATGGGAGCGGATCAGCACCACTGTTTACAGTAAAAACAGAAGGTGGGGCTGGGAGGAAGCCTGTCTCCGACGCGGTAATTAAGTCTGCGGCTTGGAAGCAGATTTGACCGAGCTCTGTGGAGCGCGAACAATGTCCGCAGGGCTCCAGGTTCAGAGAGGGACTCGCTTCTCCGCCTTCGCCCGCGTCCAGGCACCAGCGAGCTGCACTCTGCACTCGCTCTCCCTGGTCCACCCCTACACTGCCCGGACCCGAGGGGACTGGCCCTGCGGGCGCCGCCAAGGCGACTGAGAGCGCGGCGCGCGTCCCGAGCGCCTGGACTCCGCGCAGCCGGGCGCCGCGCACCCGGGTGCCGGGGTGGGAGCCGGGCCGCAGACCCAAGTGCGCCCGAAGCCGCCGTCCGCCGCCTGGCACGCCGTCTGCCGCCTGCTGGGCGATGTGTGCGCGAGCCCGTGGGGCTTGCGCGCGCCCTGCGGCGTGTGTACTCACAAAGGTGTGTCTGCTAACCCCACAGCCCGGGCTGCGTTCCACCCCGAGCTGGAGAAACCCCGGCCTGGAGCGGGGCCTTGTCCGCGCGGCCGCGGGGGCGACAAGGGCGGCCGGAGCTCCTCGACTTCTAGCGGGCGGGTCGGTTTCCTGGCCCGAGGGGCTGAGGCAGCGAGGGCGGGACGGTGGCAGCCGGCACCGGACGCGGGTCGCGCGGCTGCTGGGCACGTTCCGAGCGCTCTGCGTGTTTTCGGGCACAGCCCTGCAGCCGAGACAGAACGGACGCGGGGCTCGGGGATGGGCGCACTGCAGCCACGCGGGGTTAGCAGAGCGGGCGCGCTCCTTCCACACCAGGTCTGCAAAAGTGAAGTGGAAAGCCGCCGCCGAACGCAGCCATCCTCCCCCTTCCCCGCTGCAGCTTCGGCGGGTGGTGGGGAGAGCTCCCCTGGACCGGCTGGAGGGGAAGCTGGCAGGCGCTCGGGTTTGGCCGCGCCTCCTCCGCCTTCCTCTCCACCCGCGTCCCCCGGGGTCCATGCCGCATTTCTTTGTTTTGAAAGCGCCTCCTCCGCCCAGAGGCTTTTCCCCCGAAGGGCAGGGGGACGGGGGGGGTGGGGCATCGGCCCGTGGGCCCCGCCCTCCATTTAGCTCAGAACCCTCCCCTTCGCTCACCCCCTCTTCTCCCCTTTCCTCCCCCGCTGCGACCCACGAGGCGCATCCTCACTTCTCGGACTTCAAAGAGAAGCTGAGAACTGGAGGGGGAAGTGGGGTAGGCAGGGGGCGCAGAGACCCACCCACCTCAGGCCCGGCCCGGCGGCCCGCCCCCTCCCACGGGAACCCCGCCTGACCCCGCCCTCCCCCGCGTCACAGCAGCCTGACATTCTCACAACCCACCGGGCACCAAAACGGCCCGCCCCCGCCACCCCCGTGTCCGCCAAGCGCTCTATTTATGTTTCAGCCCAGCGATTTGCATAGGCCCCGCCCCCGGCCCTAGGTTCCCCCTATCAGAGCCCCGCCCCAGCTTCTGCGTCACAGCGGAGGCCCCACCTCTTGTGCCCATACAAGGAGCGGCGGGCCCTAGATGGCATCGTGGCGTCGCGACGGCGTGTGCGTGTCGCGCTTCCTAGTGCCGTTTATAGGGTCCCGGCACTTCCGCTGTCGGGTTAGAAGCGGCGCGGTCATGGCGGAGCGCGGACAGCAGCCTCCTCCCGCGAAACGGCTTTGCTGCCGGCCGGGCGGCGGCGGCGGCGGCGGGGGCAGCAGCGGCGGCGGCGGCGGCGCGGGTGGCGGCTACAGCTCTGCCTGTCGGCCAGGCCCGCGGGCGGGTGGCGCGGCGGCGGCGGCGGCGTGCGGGGGCGGCGCGGCGCTGGGGTTGCTGCCGCCGGGCAAGACCCAGAGCCCCGAGTCGCTGCTGGACATCGCGGCGCGCAGGGTGGCGGAGAAGTGGCCGTTCCAGCGCGTGGAGGAGCGCTTTGAGCGCATCCCGGAGCCGGTGCAGCGCCGCATAGTCTATTGGTCCTTCCCCCGCAGCGAGCGGGAGATCTGCATGTACTCGTCCTTCAACACCGGCGGCGGCGCCGCGGGCGGCCCCGGCGACGACAGCGGTGGCGGCGGCGGCGCGGGCGGCGGCGGCGGCGGCGGCTCCTCGTCTTCCCCGGCCGCAACCTCGGCGGCCGCAACCTCGGCCGCCGCCGCCGCTGCCGCCGCCGCCGCCGCCGCCGCCGCCGCCGCGGGGGCCGGGGCCCCGTCGGTGGGGGCTGCCGGGGCGGCGGACGGCGGCGACGAGACGCGGCTGCCTTTCCGCCGGGGCATCGCGCTGTTGGAAAGCGGCTGCGTAGACAACGTCCTGCAAGTCGGTGAGTCACGGGGCAGCCGCGAGCCGTCTGTCCGTCCGTCAGTCCCTGGGTGGGGGGGGGGTGCCCGCCTTTCTCCTGCGGACAGCCCCTAGTTCCGCGCGCGCCCGCACCCCTGCGGGTGTCCTCACTGGCCCGGACGGTCCTCCTGAGCGGAGCGCCCATTTCCTCCCTCCCTTCCCTGCCCCCCGTCGCCCCGGACGGGCCAGCGCGAGTGGGAAATGAATCAGCAGGACGCGCCCCTCCGTGGGCTCCGCGCCCCCGGCCCGCGCTCCCCTACCCGCCCTCCTCCGGGGAGCACATCCTGGAGGGCTGTTCGCCGGTTTCGGGGGTGGATGTGGACAAAGGCGCGGGCGGACGGCCGGCCTCCGGCGAGGGTGTGTGTGGCGGGGCTGTGCGGGGCGGGGGAGGGGGCGCGGGCCGCAGACAATGCCGGCCGCGGCCCGGCCGCTCGGCGCTCCCCCCCTCTCCCACTGCCTGTCGCTCGCTCCTTTTTCTTTCTGGCCCCCGCCCCACGCGATTTGAGGGGAGGGGAATACACTTAAAGCCGCTCGGCCGCCGCTCCTCCCAGGGCTCCGACGGGCGAGCGGCCGCGGCGCTCCCGGGTCGCTGTGGCGTCTGGCCCGGGCGAGCTCCACTGGCCGCCCGGGGTTTAAATGTCGTTTTCTTTGCGCCTCCTCAGTCTCCAAGCGGCGCAGAGGAGAGGTGGCGGCGGACCGGACTCCGTCTCCGGAGGGACATCTCGCCCGTAGGACGCTTACTAATTAAAGGGCGCGAGCCTGAGGAGGAGCTGCTAGCGCTTCCCTTTTCTCTGAAGCTGCCTCCAGACACCCCTGTGCGGGCCGCGGCGCAGCCCTTGTGCCCCGCCGCCCGAGTTTTGTTTGCGCTGTGTGGTCAGGTCGTGGTGCCCCGGGCGAGCCGCGGTCGGCAGTTGCGGATTTGCCGCTCGCAGCCAAAGGGGCGAGCGGGCTGCAGGAGCGCGAGGCAGAGGGCTCGGCGGCCGCTCCCGCGTCCCCGCGGCGCGGCAGCCCGGCACGACCCAGCACTTTGTTCTCATTTTCAGGTTTTTTTGTGCCCCTTTCAGTTTTCTGTCACCCTCCGAAAAGGAGAAACCAAACAAAAGAGTCTCTTTCTTTTCAGGGCTTGTAAAGTAGAATATATTTGACAAAGGCGAGAGAAGGACTTGTGATTTAGAGCTGCACAGCCTTCCTTTCTCTGACAGATCCTGAGAGTTTTCTCAAATACCTTAGTTTAAAAGTGTCTCCTGTTCCCCCTCCCCTAAAATGTTCTTTTTCCCCTGTCCAGATCTTTTTCAGCCATAGCGATGGGAATGTTTGAGCCAGACTGAAAAGAACAATGCTGTAGTGAAACTTCCCATTTTTTTCTCCTGATTGCAAATGGCATATTTTCTGACCCCCTCCCATGTTAGTGTACTTGAAATTGTAGCATGGTGAACCCGGCACCGAATGAATGGGGATAGATTTGGACGCATCTCTATCTCTTTGATTGTTAACTTAATCCTTTTTCTCTTTCTGTAGTCAGTTCCTTTTATCCTTCTTTTCTTTGGAAGTGGGGTGGGGGTCTGGATAGGGTCCCCAAGAAAGAATTAAGATTTGTTTTAATCCTGTCTGGTTAATTTGAATTCTAATGCCATCTGCAAACGTGGTTTTCTGCATGGTCATTTATTTCCAAAGGCAGCCCCCAGTGTTGCCTTTTCTATGTTGGGCACTCTTTCCTTCTGTCTAGAGGGGGTTTAGCTTTTGAGGCTATTCATCTATCCTTTTTTCCTTAAAACAAATCTAATTAACATTCTTCCTAGTTATACCTTTTTTTTTGTTTGTTTGTCTGTTTCCTGCCGGTTAGCGATGGATGGAAGCACATCTATGGCTTCTCAGTATAACAAACTAGAGTCTGCGAATTTTTATGGCTTGGCTGGCAATGTTGAGGGTTTTTTTTTTTTTCCCCCTCCCTCTCCCTGTGCTTGACTCCGCTTGCAAGCAATGAGGAATGACAGGAGAGCGCATAGGGAGGGTTTCTTGGCTGATTGCATTTAAGCCAGGAATTCACTGTGAAAATAAAGCCAAGGGGCGATAAATAAAAGAGGCAATCTTCTCTAGGAGACAGACACACAGCGTGGGCTTTGCCTGCTTTCATCAGTGGAAGAGGCCTGGGTGAGTAGTTGTAAAAGAAAATAGTAACTTTTTGAATAGTCCCCAAAGGGGAAGAGGCCACTGAATGGAATTGGCAGTGGTTGACGTGAAGTGGTGTGATGTTTCTCGTGTAGACTGAAGAGTTGACCACCACTTCAGAAACACATACGTGCTAAACAAGTGCTATACAAATTGTGGAAAATATTCTTTTTTCGCCTCTGAGTTCTGCCATTTGCCTTAACTTCGAAGTTGTATTACTTGTTGTGCCAGTCAGCTTTAGAGATGGAAGGCTGTTAAATGCCTGGCAGCTGGCACTGAGAGATAGAACACTTATGATCAGGGTTCCCCCCACCTCCCTTTATGGGGAACAGAGAGAGGGTGGCTAGATTAACCATTTAATTTAGCTTCAAGTAGTGGTTTGAATTGATATGCTAACTTGAAAGGCTTATTTTATAATTTTGATTTGAGGTAGAACGCTTTTGTTTGTTTCAGTTTCTTAAAATGGAAAAGAACAGAATACTTTGTTGATAGCACCATAAAGCAGTTTTCTGGTATTGCAAAATTACAAGTGTACAGAAAGTATTCATTGACTTTTGTAGAGATGACTAAATTATAGCTACAATAGGGAAAATCTAGTTGTTGGACTTTATTTTACATTTATGCTGTTGATAGTTTAAGGATTGAGGGGTTTGTTAGAAATTAAACCTATTGGTAGTTACTGTTTCTCAACTTCTATATTTTAAAAAGAAATTTAAGGGAAAAAAATAAACCTTTGTTATAGTAGTTGTAAGCAATATTTAATTGGCACAGAGCTTGCTCATCAGTTGATTATAGGAAAATTTTAGAGAAAGAGTAGTTGGCTTATTTTTGTTAAGTAATTTATATTGCCGGGCACGGTGGCTCACACCTGTAATCCCCGAACTTTGGGAGGTTGAGGTGGGTGGATCGCTTGAGCTCAGAAGTTCTAGACCAGACTGGGCAACATGGTTAAACCCTGTCCCTACCAAAAATAGAAGAACTTAGCCAGGCATGGTGGTACGCATCTGTGGTCCCAGCTACTTGGGAGGCTGAGGTGGAAGGATCACTTGAGCCCAGGAGGCAGAGGTTGCGGTGAGCTAAGATCGTACCATTGCACTCCAGCCTGGGTGACGGAGTAAGACTCCATCTCAAAAAAGAAAAGAAGAATTGATATTGATATTGGAAGGGAGCTGCCTCTATAGGTGCTGGTATATAAGTATTATCGACATCATTTAAGTAATGATTTAGAAGTTACATAAAAAAAAAATTTCCCCAAGTTATTTTCTGGCGAAGAGCTTCCCTGGTATGACCTGAAACTCAAACTTGGAAAAGAGATAAATTTAATTGGATAAAAATCAAAAGGGCCGGGCGCAGTGAGTCGCGCTTGTAATCCCAGCACTTTGGGAGGCTGAGGTGGGTGGATCATTTGAGGTCAGGAGTTCGAGAGCAGCCTGGCCAACATGGCAAATCTTCGTCTCTACCAAAAAATACAAAAATTAGGCATCGTGGCACATGCCTGTAATCTCAGCTACTTGGGAAGCTGAGGCAGAAGAATGGCTTGAACCCGGGAAGCGGAGGTTGCAGTGAACTGAGATCGCATCATTGCACACTCCAGCCTGCGCAACAGACTGAGACTCTGTCTCAAGAGGAAAAAAAAATCAAAAAGTTTCTGTAGGGCTGAAAACACTACAAATCAAATTTAGCAGTTAATTGGGCCAAATATTTACAGCACATTGGACCAAAGGTTGGTAGAAAACTTACAAAAATTGTCAAGAAGAGAGATGGATAACCCAATAGGAAAATGGGCAGCACATTTCAGAGAGGAAGACATGTAGATGGCCGGTAAACATACTCATCTTCATTCTTACATAAAGAGATGCAAATAGGCTGGGCGTGATGGCTCATGCCTGTAATCCCAGCACTTTGGGAGGCCAAAGTGGGTGGATCACCTGAGGTCAGGGGTTAGAGACCAGCCTGGCCAACAGGGCGAAACCTCATCTCTACTAAAAATACAAAAATTAGCCAGAGCGGTTGCGGGCGTCTGTAATCCCGCCGCTCGGGAGGCTGGGGCAGGAGAATCGTTTGAACCCGGGAAGCAGATGTTACAGTGAGCCGAGATTGCACCACTGCGCTTCAGCCTGGGTGACAGAGCGAGATTCCGTCTCCCCCCCCAAAAAAAACAAAAACAAAAAAAACGAGATGCAAATAAAAATGAGATGCCATTTTCTTCTACCACATTGGTGAAGACTAAAAAGACAATACCCAGAATTGGTTGAAGAGATTTGGGAAAAAGGATTCTGCCTACGCTGCTGCTTGACACCATCTTTTTCTGTCTAAGGAATTTATCCTATAGATAATACTGATATTAGTGTATAATGATGTTCTGTATAGTGATGCTCATTGCAGTGTGGTTTGCAAGAGTAAAAAGCTGGAGTTAACCTAAATTTCTACAGAAGGGAAGTGCCTAAGAAATACTCAGTGGAATACTATGCAACTATGAAAAGATGAATTAGATTTATATGTACTGACAAGGAAAGATGACCAGAATATTTTAAAACAAGTTAAAAACTTCATATAGTATGCTGCAATTTGTATTTAAAACAAAAATACTTGCATATAGATGCATAAAAACATCTGTAAGTCTACACAAGCAATCTTGGAAGTATGGGTATTTTTCGAGAAAAGCAGTTAAGTGAATGGTCAAGGTTTTTGGGGGGGACTTTAACTTTTTACTTTATACCTATTTTATGGTTGGGTTTTTCTTAAAACTAGAGGCATATATTTTTGTAATAAAGAAACTTACAAAAATTATCCTTGAGTTTTTAATTTATATTGTTTTGGTGTGTTCGCATATGTGTGTGTGTGTGTGCTTGAGTGTGTGTGAGGGTCCTTTCTGAAGGAAGGAGATACATTTTAAAAGGAATGGCCTTTTAAATGGCCTATTTTTCTATTTACTTTTGGGAGAAAAGAATATCGCCCAGCATTCCACATAACATTCTGGTAAACACATTCTTACACTCTTTTCATATTCATAACTTAAAGTTTTGTGTGTTTTTTTTTTTTGTGGGGGTGGCAAAGCAGTAAAAGAACATTATTAGAATTAAGATGGGTACAAATTTCAGTCAGATAATTTATTGGTTTTTGAATATTTTGATTTTTCTTTACAGACTAGAGATCACTAAATAAAGACGATTCTGAATGCACATTGAAAATTGGATGCTTGTTTATTGATAGTACATTTCATTGAATGCTTTTTCAAGGTTAATATAGAATAATTTTATGTCAGATCCTACCCTTTTTCTGCCTTTTGATTAATGAAATACACAATACATTTTGAAACCAGTTGCATAGGTATTTTTTATTGTTCTTTTGTGTGAGTTGAGATGTTTGATTTATGTAAGTGATTTTTGAAAGTATTTCAGTATTTGATAGGTCCTTAGTGTTGTTCTGAAGGAAGTTAAATTTTCAGTTTTAGGAATACTTGGAATTTGTTATCATACTTAGTTCTCTGAAGGATAATATTGCTCCATTGAGAAAATCTAAAATGTTCAAGAGACAGTGACAATAATGGAAGGTGAAAATGGCGGATTTGGGTTAAGCAAACATTTTCATTCTTTTTAAAGTCTTTAATTTCTTGCAACTCAGTTGTGTTACAAGTACACCCTGGGATTGAAAAGGCTATCCTCATTATTTTTTTTCCACTTTGCATTGAGTTTCATCTATTTTGCGGTTGTGAGACTGATGCCTGCCTTTTTAGAAACATCAGGATGCCCTTGGAACATGTCCTTTAATAGAATTATTGCAATTAATTGAACAGTTTAAGTCATTATTGTTCTAAGTATGTCCTCACTGATTTTTAAGATTTTTATCCTGGGCCTCTTTTTTTTCCACAAAAATGGATAATCAATTGCTGTCTCAATTCTAACCCTATGAATGTTTCATATGGAAAGATATGGACCAGCATCTCTTTCTGCTTACACTCATATTCACGGTTAAGAATGTGTGATTTCAGCTAGTAATGTGTTCAGTAATAGGCAGTGTAGGAATGACATGTTTTGTTTTATAAGAGTTGTCCCTTTGAAAAATCACATGAGACCAGCCTGGGCAACATGGTGAAACCCTATCTCTACTAAAATGCAAAAATTAGCCGGGCGTAGTGGTACACCGCTGTAATCCCAGCTACTCAGGAGGCTGAGGCGGGAGAATCGCTTGAACCTGGGAGGTGGAGGCTGCAGGCTGCAGTGAGCCGAGATTGTACCACTGTACTCCAGCCTGGGTGACAGAGCGAGAACCTGTCTCAAAAAAAAAATCACATGACTGGATCTGTACTATTTCCACATGCTTTATATTTTTTTGTGTTAGACTGTAAATTTTCTTCACTGAGGCAAAATAAATTTGGTACCTTTATTTTAAGAAGCTTACTTACATATACATATGATAAAACAAACTCAGTGTTAGAAATTTTTATAGGGGCAATCATTAAACTCAAACTGTTGTTGACTTAAACTGTTATATTTAAGAGCACAAATATCCTAAAAATGAAAGATTATAGGTAACTATAAATATCTTAGAAACAAAGCGGGTTATAGGCAGGTCTTTTTAAAAAGGTAGTAAACAGTATGAAACCCACAAAACCGTTTTTAGCTACCTTTCAAATTACTGTGGTATAATTTTTAAAATAGTGCTTTGTCACAACAAAAAGGCTAATTTAGTTTTTGTGATTTATTAATTTTTTAACATGTAAATATTTGGGGATTACTTTAAATTCAAAACCACGAACTGTTTCCCTCTTTAAGTGCATGTGCTTTGAAAAAATCAGTATCAAATGATAATTTGGAGAAAAGTGTTACTGAGTCTTGTCTTGTGAAGAGACGTTTTGTTTGTCAATCCTACCCAGATCTCAAAAGTAAAGTGTGTCTGTTAGATAAAAACCTGGTTGTCTTTTCAGTTTTTGCTTTCAGTGCCCTGTGTTCCTCTAAGAATATGCTTTGTACTTGCTTTTCAGTTCTTTAAAAATAGGACATTTCCTTATTTTTTTTCATCTAGAAAAGATCCCTAAAGCAAGCTTCAGAGACAATACGGTGCAAAATTCCTTGTCATTTTGAACTTTCAGCTGACTGAAAGATTGACTTTCAGCTGATAGTAAACTGTTGCTTGAGTATGCTAAATGTTTTATGTCTGCGGAATTCGCTTAACTAATTTTGTGTCAGCTAATGTATGTGTGTATATATGTCTACAAATATATATATGTGATGATGTCCACAGGTGAACAGAAAAGGAGACAAATTAACCCAGGTGTAATTTGAATGTTGTAACCACATGCATATTTCAGTGACCCCTCTGTACAGATCCACAGTTCATTTCTTCTTAAAATATGCTGAAAGAGGAAAGGTATTTTTGTAAATAAAATACTCTTGCATTATAGTTGTTATCTACTAGTGGAGCTATGGAGATTTCAGAGATAAAAAGATAACTTCAATTTCAGTTTTTCCCATTTTCCTGGTAAGAAAACTGAGGCCCAAACTCGTTGAGTAAATTGTTTAGAGTGGCATAGGAAATGGCAAAGCCGTGTTGCTTATTTTTCCTACTGTTTGGGCCGTGTCTTAGTTTGGTAGTCTCTGAAATCAAGCATATTCTTGAATGTAACTTGAACTCTTTGGAGGGGTTATTTGGCTAACATTTATTGAATGTTAATAAATGTATTCCTAGATAGCATTTTAGTTTCAGGCTAAATTCTAATGGCTGCAGTGCAGTAGTGGTTCTAGCATGCTCAGTTCATGCTAGTGTAAAACATTTGTGGATATTTGGAAATCGTAGTAATGTTTGAGATTAAAGTTCAGAAAAAGGATTGTTAACTACAAAACTGTATTACAGCTGTGTGATTATACAGCAAGTCCTTGAATAACATTGTGTCACTATGTCATTGATGAGAAAATAAAAAAGTCAGTTCTGGCCAGGGCCATTATCTTGGGTGGAGTTTGCATGGTCGGCCTGTGTCTACGTGGGTTTTCTTTGGGTACTCTGGTTTCCTCCTACATCCCAAAGATGTGCACCTTAAGGCAAATTGTCCCATCTAAATGGCCCCAGTCTGAATGAGTGTGGGTGTGTGTGAGTGTGCCCTACAATGGGGGTGCATCCCATCCAGGGTGGGTTCCTGCCTTTCTCCCTGAGCTGCTGGGACAGGCTCTGGCCACCTGCTACCTTGAACTGGAATAACTGGGTGAAGAATTACCTTGTTTTTATTAATCGTCGTAAAATGTATGTACATCTCACATTCATTTCAATGTTTAATATTAGAAGTGTTGTGGTCTTTATTTAGAAGTTTGGTGATGTTTTTGTGACCAGAAATATGCCATAGGAAATTACTGTTTATGTCAATTAGCCTATGATAAATTGGTTTTGTAATATGTCATTTTGATTACAGTCATTTTCCGAGAACCTATTGATGGCATTAAGTGGAGGACTTGCTGTTACATGAATGTATACATATACCCATATAATAAAGAATTTGCTGAAAGTTTGAAGTGCTGATACAGAACAACAGAAGTTTGCTCTCAACTTAGTGTATATATGAAAACTTCTCCAGTATTGTTTGTATTTGACCAGGTTTTTAAAATATAATTTATTGTTTTTGTCAACGTGCCTCCTCCTCCTTCACCGGTAAATAGTATACACATAATCCTTCAGGATGTACCTATACATATATGTACTTCTTTCACATAAATGATGTGGTCTCCAAACTGTAGTACTCTCTGTAACCTTTTTTTTTTTTTTTTTTTTTTTTGAGATGGGGTCTCCCTTTGTTGCCCAGGCTGGAGTGCAGTGGTGCAATCTCAGCTTACTGCAGCCTCTGCCTCCCGGGTTCAAGCGATTCTCTTGCCTCAGCCTCCTGAGTAGCTGGGATTACAGACATGCGCCATGACGCCTGGCTAACTTTTGTATTTTTAGTAGGGTTGGGGTTTCACCATGTTGGCCAGGCTAGTCTTGCACTCCTGACCTCAAGTGATCCACCCACCTCGGCCTCCTAAAATGCTAGGATTCAGATGTGAGTCACCACACCCGGCCTTTAAAGCCTTTTGTATGACTTGGGGCAGTTCTTCACTGAACCAGCTGGATGTGATTTATGGTGAGACTCTTTAACACTTCTACAACATTTACTAATAGTAAGAGTAATAACAACTAACATTTCATAGCACTTAACCAGGTGCCAAATACTGCCCTGGAATATAATCAGAAGAAGTGAGTAAGACCTACTGAGAGTATATTCCACTTCCCTCATTTCCTTTTGTGTTTCTTAACAGCCATATGAGTTAGGGACCATTATTGTTTCCGTTTTACAGATGAGGAAACCGAAACACAGGGAAAAAAGTAGAAATAACTTTTATTGCTGTTAAAAACAGAGCCAGACACATGCAGCCTCTTTGGTTGGTGCTCAAGCAATACTGTCCATGATGCATCATCATTACCTATTCCAGAAGGTTTAGCTTTACAGTGTGTTGCTACTTTCTAGAGTGACTTTCACAGTGGCCTGGATTTTAAATTGTGATCAAAGGTATCATTTTAAAATGTTATTTTTTTCCAATTGAGAGGATTTATTTAAAAATCATAAGGATATTTACACATATTAGGATTTAAAAAAATTTTGGTTGTCTTAAAATGGACATACTATAATATTGATCATCTTAACCATTTTTGTGTGTGTGGTTCAGCAGTGTTAAGTACATTTACATTGTTACGCAAATAATCTCCAGAACTCTAAAATTTTACTTGAAAAACTACTACATTAAAAAAAAATGTCTTTTAGGAATGAATTTCAGCTTTGGAGGATGGTTGTGTTGGGTGATTTTGATCATCTTCCATGAGATGTTAAGTTTTGAAAGAGAAATTAACTTGCAGGTTAGATCTAATCGTATATATGCAGCAAAGTTAGGTTTTCAAAATATATTTGAGAAATTAAATATCTCATTTTAAGGTCCTTTTAAAATGTTACAATTATATTATTTCTTGTTGCTGGTAAAGAGATTTGACATTCTTTGAAAGATAGGGTTTTATCTGTGCAATTCCTGAATGCTGATGTTAATTGGAAGGATGCAGTAGAACCTGTCAGTACATTTAAACTCTTACTAACTGAATAAGCTGATCAGATACTTTGGAAGCTCATTGAGTGAATTAATGTGCTTAAAACTCAGGTGACTGGTTCCCTATTCCTGCCTTGAGAGTCTGTTTACTTAAAGTATTTTTCATTGTTAGTTGGTATCAGATCTCTAATGTTGGAAGATTTTATAGAGAAAATATACATGAGAAGATACCATGTAGAATAAGTCCACAAAAGCAAGTTTTAAATTCTCTTACGTAATTACAATCAGTACAGATTAGAATTTTGTATACGCCAGGTTGTATGTGATAAATGTTTGCTGATAGTTACTAGCATTTTTATGAGTGTAGTACTGTGTAGGGATTCTGTAATTTAGGTATAAGGGGCATACCTGGAGTCTTTTCTGGTGTGGCTGTAGGTCTTTGTTGGTAGAGGCCTGGTCATGCTGAACCTTTACTCCTGCTGCTACCTTTTCTATTAACTCATTTCTACAAAGAATATTGTGATTTTTATAATAAGTACTTGTCATAAAATAAGATTCTAAAACCCAAATATCATGTTTGTAATCTAGTTGTTTTATGTGAGCAAACTTTTAAATATGTAATATGTTAGCCCTGTTCCTTTATGACTTTGTTTTTTAGTGTTCTGCAAGTTTCCTTATCCTTAGCACTTTGGACTTTTTTTTTTTTTTTGGTGAGACAGAGTGTCTCTCTTGTCACCCAGGCTGGAGTGCAGTGGTGCAATCTTGGCTCACTGCAGTCTCCAATCTCCACTTCCTGGGCTAAAGTGATTCTTCTGCCTCAGCCTCCTGAGAAGCTGGGATTACAGGCACGTGCCACCACGCCTGGCTAATTTTTTGTATTTTTAGTAGAGACGGGGTTTCACCATGTTGGCCAGGCTGGTCTGGAACTCTTGCCCTCAGGTGATCCATCCACCTTGGCCTCCCAGAGTGTTGGGATTACAGGTGTGAGCCACTGTGCCTGGCCAGGATTTTGTATTCTTGATGCCATTTTTACAGTTCTTTTTCCCTTCTTCCCCCAAATACCACTTGTGTAATTTTTGTCTGATATACGTTCAGCCCAGTGAACTAGCCAGTCTTTTCACGATTGTGGTTTATACTTTTCTCTAGACAGTGGTGAAGCTGATGAGTGAAATGACCAATGGCTGCTTTGTGATGATGGCAGGGTAGAATCAAGTGAGACTTGAGGGCAGCAGGTGCGGAAGACTGTGAACTCAACTTGCCTCACAGCTCCAGTTTGTTCTTTCTTTCTTTCCTTTCTTCCCTCATTTTCTTTCTTCTTTTCCTCTGTCCTTTCCTTTCTTGGGGATGGGGTGAGGGAAGGGAGGAGAAAGGAGTGTGTGGTAGAAAAGAAGACAAATCAGAAGAGATAAGTAATACCTACTGAGAGTATATTCCATTTCCCTCATTCCCTCCAGTTGTCCCCCTCTTCCTCCAATCACCCTTTAGGGAAATAAAGTTGAGGTCAGAAGGACCTATGTGTTACAGCTGCTGCTTAGCTGCTATTTTTAGCATGGCCCTACATCAGGCTGGCACCAGGCCACGACGGCACAGGGTCAGCACGTTGTGGGACTGCTGGTAAATGTCAAAAACTTAACTTTCAGATATCAAACAAAACTAAATTTCAGACATATTCTGTGCTGTGGTACTCTATTTGCTTTTATTTTTTCTGAAATAGGATGTACATGTTTTTAGAAGTGATTGATCTTTAATAGTAGCCATACATAAATCTTGGAATATGTAATGTATAGTTTATTTTAGGTAGGAGAAAGATTTAAGAATTGTCTTGTCAGGTCAGACGTGTAATCCAGCTCAATACTTTTCATTTTGCGGTGCCACCAAGAGGTGTGAAATTTGCCTGATTTATTTACTATGCCTCGGGGGTTCTTAAAATTGCTGTAGCTGTTGAAGTTGTGGAGTCTGAATTAGTTTATATAATTATAGGTGCCATCAGACATTAAAAAGAAACACATACTGTTTTTCCTACAGTTATCCCTGTTCTCTTGGCTAACTCATTTGTGTGTGTTTAGATTTGGTTAATACTCTAGTAATATATTTAAAACTTACTGTTCATTTTTGTAGGGAGCAGCTAGGTTTTAGTTGAAATATTAGTATCTGGGTCTAGATTCTATACACCCTAGAGCCAGTGTTATGTAGATTGTGTTTGCAAATTGAGTTTAAAGTTTTTGGATGCATATATGAATTTAAGAATGTGGCTATCTGTAAATATGTTGTATTTGTTCTTGAGTAATTTTGGAAAGAAAAATGTCACAAGGTGAATTTGTATCTTTGGAAGGGACTTTAGTAAGAATAGTAATTGTATTCTTTCTATAAAGGTACATAGAAAAACTGAGGGCATGTTGGGGATGATTTGTGTTGTACCATGAGCTACACTGAATACAAATGGAAACGCTGATGATTATTTGCTTATCCAGTGAGTAGTGGTGTAATGTTCTTAAATCCATCAGATGGCAGGATAACGTTTAGTAGTGCAATGATCTGACACCCTTCTTAAGGTAACACAAACTAATTGGCCCAAATAACTAGAAATGGAATCAAACTGATTTTCTTCACATTATCTTTAAGGTAGTTATTGGATGAATTCTGCTGAATTTACTCTTATGGAAATAAGAAAGCTTATGTTGAGGGATTTAGTGAAAGGTGAATTGCTTGGTCTAGTATACAACAGAAGGCAGATGTTTTAGAGTTTATTTACATTCTTACATCTTTTTGTTGAAACAGAGTGTCGCTCTGTGGCCCAGACTGGAGTGCAGTGGCGCGATCTCAGCTCACTGCAACCTCCGCCTCCCGGGTTCAAGTGATTCTCCTGCCTCAGCCTCCCGAGTAGCTGGGATTACAGGCGCCCATCACCACGCCCAGCTAATTTTTGTGTTTTTTTTTTAGTAGAGACGGGGTTTCACCATGTTGGCCAGGCTGGTCTCGAACTCCTGACCTCAGGTGATCCACCCATCTCTGCCTCCCAAAGTGCTGGAATTATAGGCGGTAGCCACCGTGCCTGGCCCACATTCTTAAATCTTAAAACAGATTCTTATATTTTGGATGACAGCAAGTTGGGTAGTTTGCTGAATTATTAGGAAACATAGTGAATATCTTGGGGATAGAATATCAAGTTCATTGAACTATATCATAGTGTAATCTTTCTGTAGTTAGAGGTTATAGTAGATAATTCAAAAGTGGCCTGGAGATAGATTGTCAGCTGACCTATTGATATCAATGTATCTCTCTAGATATGTGTATATGTATAATTTAATATGATGCATAGAACATTGTAGAGTACTGGATGTTAGTGGGTAAGAGACTACCTTTTGTATCTTTAATGCAATTTACGTTTTGTTTAGGTGAGTCATGTAAATTGATGTGAGCTCTAGCTTAACATGCCTTATTAAAACCAAAGCCCAGTAGGTAGTTTGATTAGTGCTGTTTAGAGTTTTTATAAGCAAAGTGCTCAGATGACTTTCCTTATTAGAACTTGTCAGAGCAGTTTCTTTGCAGTTTTCATGGATCTCCCTTAGCAACTTACTAAAGAGGCATTTTGTTTAAGCTGTTTCATAAATAGCAGGAAATTCCAAAGGCCTGGATTGTATTGCATTTTTGCTTTCAATAATGACTACTACTGTGGGGGAAAAAGCCGTTAAAATACTCTATTCATTTTAACAATTTGTAGCAAAGTACTTTTATTTTAAAATGGATGAATTTTTTAAAAAAGTACAGATTCAAGTTTCATTCAAGGTTTTCACTGTTTTCATTAAAATTTTTTGTAGTTTATATTTTAGATGTGTTAGACAACAATTAGTGATATAATAGCTAGTAACTATGAGTTTATTCAAAATTTACTGTTATGTAATTGGGTATGAATTTGTTTCAGTAGCTCATAGCTACTCCGTGTGGCATTTTGCTGAGTGAATTGTACCCATCCCTAAATTACCAAGTTACGCAAAGAGGAGCTGACCTTGAACAACATCTGGCAGTATTACGTGTTGTGCAAGAACAGGAAAGACAAATACCAAGCTCTGTGCAACATTTATGGTGGCATCACCATTGGCTAGGCCATCATCTTCTGTCAGACTCATTGAAATGCCAAGTGGTTGATCATGGAGATGATGCAGGCTGGCCACCAGGTGTCTTTGTTAAGTGGAGAGCTGACCATGGAGCAGTGAGTTTCCATCATTTGGAAGTTTCAGGATGAGAAGTTTCTCATACCAACAAATGTTTGCACTGGAGGGATTGATGTGAAGCAAGTCACCATTGTTGTGAACTTGGATCTCCCTGTAAACCAAGCAGAGGAGCCAGACTATGAGACCTACCTCTGGTGCATAGGGGGCACAGGACAGCTCTAGGAGAAAAAGGCCTCACCTACAACATTATTGAAGCAAATAAGCTGTGCGTGCTTATGAAAATCCAGGACCACTTCAACTTTAAGCATCTGGACCACAAAGATGTGGAAGAAATGGAATATATAGAATATTAAAGAGAAAACTGTATTGTTTGTGAAAATATCCTAATTTATGATAGAATGTCCTGGTGAGTTTTGAAGATAAGTTTTCATGCTGAAAACGTCCACTTTTCGACATGAAACTCACAAACGGCAAAATAAGTGTCATAGTACCCTTGGTTTTAAGACCTGAAGTATTTTTGAAACCAAGTTGATGTTAAGCATGTGATCTTTTTGAATTAAAAAAAAGCAAGATTTGGGCCGGGCATGGTGGCTCACGCCTGTAATCCCAGCACTTTGGGAGGCTGAGGCGGGTGGATCACGAGGTTAGGAGATTGAGACCATCCTGGCTAACACGGTGAAACCCTGTCTCTACTAAAAACACAAAAAGTTAGCCGGGTGTGGTGGCGGGCGCCTGTAGTCCCAGCTACTCGGGAGGCTGAGGCAGGAAAATGGCGTCAACCCGGGAGGTGGAGCTTGCAGTGAGCTGAGATCATGCCACTGCCCTCCAGCCTGGGCAACAGAGTGAGACTGTCTCAAAAAAACAAAAAACAAAAGCAAGATTTAAAAAAGAATGTAGTTTGTATTTTTAAAATAGCATACGTAGGATGAGTCTTGGTGGTAGTGGGTTAAGCCATGGTGGATTAAGCTCTGAAAAACCAAAAAATTCATGTAGCCGTATTTAGATATAGAGAGTTCTCACCCCTACCTCCATTCAGGTATTTGTACTTCATTGGGCTGCTTATTTAATATTCTTGTATAAAAACTTTTCACATCTAGATTTTCCCCCTTCATACTTCCTGTTAAAGATAGGAAACATTATAGTTCAGAATGTAATCTGTAAAAAGTTCAGTATATGACAGTCTATTTTAGGGTCGTTTCAGGGATTTATTGGCTTTACCACATTTAAACTGCTAGTTTAAAAATTTATGAGTTGCTGTTTTCCTCTTCGATCCTTTACAATTGTGCAACAATTAATTTTCTCTTCCTCTTTTGTTTCCCTTGTCTTAGAATTGAGCTTTGAACCCAACTCTTTCAGGAAGCCTTATTTAATAATCCTAAAACATTCTATGTCTTAGATTCATACTGTTTCTTCTTAAAAATCTGTAATAGTAAACCAGATCCATTTAGATAATCTGGCTTCCTTTCTAGATTGAGGGGCATTCTGTCTCTCCAGTGAATGTGGGTAGAACAATCCCTTCTGTAAGGGATTGTTGTGGAGACTGACCCTCGCCTGATTCACGGTCTTTTCCAAATTTGAGAACACAGCTGTGGAACTCATCGTTAATGTAAAAATCGGAGAAAATGAGGGACAGTTTTTTTTAATGAGAAATCAGAATATCCTTTGTAGGATTGTAGATTTCTAAGCATCTTTGATGAAGGAAGCATCAGTTGTCTAATCAAATTGAATCAAAATATGGAGTGCTAACAGATGTAAAAATACTCTACCATACACTGTTATGGAGTAGTCATTTTGAATTTATCATTGTTTAGCAGGTATTTCTAGTCTTGTTTTTTTGGGGTGAGAATTACAGAGCATTTAAATACAAAGTCTTTTTTTGGAGTGAAAGATGAATCTGCTAGTTTGAAAAAAAATTCTGGCAAATTTTAAATCTAGAACAGCCAACTACTGTATTAACAGTGCCAGTGCATTATATGCATAGTAGACATTGAAATGTCACTTGAATGAATGATAGCCTTAGAGTATATGCCAGCCCTGTGGGTGTCTGCATGAAATTCTCTTAATTGAAAAAAATAGCTCCAGTTTCTAATTTCTATTTGATTTTCTGAATGTGAATTGCTGTGGCATAGTCTTTGAGGGAGGTGAATAGGAATATGACTGCTGGATAAGTAGGCTGGTTTTCAGTACTGGGTTTGTCATCAATATATTTCTCCAAATACCGTGTAGGGTTTCTTTTTTTTTTCTTCTCATTTGACGAGACCTTTTCTTTAAGCTTGTTAACTTGCTAGTAGTAGCATCAGGCCAAAAGCTATTCTGAAAGCAATTTATTTATTAGATGATTCCAACTTCTAAACAGAAAGTAACTTGAATATTCCCATATAGAACAGTACTTTTGGGTTACCTAGAAAAATAATTTTGAATTATAAATGCCTTTGTGGGATTAAGTGATTGCTTTTTCCTTCTATTTGATGTTTCATTTTTAAAAGAAATTGGTATAACTAAGTTTAGTTTTTGAAAACTCTCCCTCTCACAGATGATATGCAAAAAAAACACATAACTTCAGAATATCCCACAAGATCTTACACATTGTGAAATGACACTGTCTAATTAATAGGAATGGTTTGCTACACTGGTCTCCAAAATGCTGATGACTTTCTCTTGAGGTAGAATTTGCTTAAGACTCAATTTGCATAACATGGGGTACTCCAGAGCAGTTTTCTGAACAATAATTTAACAATAGGGCTGTACTCTCAGTGCTTGGCCCCTGAGAGGGCTGGGTTATCCAGATATTGTGTGACCACCTGTTCCCATTTGTCCAGTCAGTCTTGGCTTATGTCTCTTTTCCTATACAGTCACCTCTTTCACTTGTACAAGTGTTCCAGTTTGGATAATAAAGTCTATGGTTACCCTAGGCATACATCTTGTTTCTCAGAAGGAAGAGGGCAAGATATAAATCAGTTTAGAATTGTGCGCTATGTGCACTTGTGTGTATAGGGAGAGAGTAAGAGAGGGAAGGTGGTGTTTTTTGGGATTGAAAGGTGACCTTTGGCTTATTTCTGGTCTCCGTCAGTGGGCTCTCCTCAATCTTTCATATATAGGAGATACATTTCTGTCTGTATCTCCTATTCAGACGAAAAGGAAGCAGTTAAGAGATTCTCAGTCTCCATGGGTTTGATGTCACCACCCCTGATTTTTTTTCTCAATTTAAAGATATGTAAATTTTATATTCTTATTTGAAGTTGTATTGTTTTAGCAATCTTAGATTGTTGTTCACAGGTACTGCTTTCATTTTAGGTACTTGCACTTAAGTAACGTATCATTTGCTAATCACATGGTCAGGAGCTTGGGGAAGATACCTGAGCCATTAGGAGGCGTCTTGTCTTACTATCCGTGTGCCTCTAGGCAGGACACTTACTGGCCCTGAACTTCCTCAAGTCCTTATAAAATGGGACTAATTATATCTTTATCACCTCTGTCGTAAGGCTGCTAAGAGGCTCACATGGGAATACATGAAAGTATTTGAATTCTAAATAGTACACAAAAGGGAAATAGATTGTTACACATCACTCCAGTTTTACCTAATTTCCTTCATTTATTCTTCTAGTTTTCTGTATTTTTCAAAAACTCTGTAATCATATATTGATTTCATAATTAGAGAAAGGAAACATTGTTTTAAAAAAATCTGTCTCATTACCATTAAAACACAAATTTCTCTATCCACAGATATATTTTTGTTAATAGTTTATTATAATTGTTGCCTGATCTAGTGCAGCTAAACAGAGCATGTTTTTTATTCATCGAGGTGTATCATGCCTTAATGTCCTAATTTCTCCCTTGTTTTTGACCCTAGTGACTAATGAATTTTTGTCTTCACTTGGAACTCTAGAATTTGCCTGAAAATGGAAAAGGGACAGCTAAAATCAATTCTATGTTATTCATGTGTAGAATGGACAGTTGTGGGCTGACCTCATCACTTAGGGTTTAGTTTCCAGGCTTCCCTGAATATGTACCATGGCAAGTGGAAGATGGAAGAAGATAGAACAACTCTTAGATTTATGTTTGTGAATTCCTTATGTCATATGACTGCACTAAGATCTACATTCCCTTCTTTTGGAAACTTTCATTAATAAATGAAGAGAGTTGGTTAGCATTTCCCCCAATTTAAAGATTTACAAATAAATTATTCAGAAAAATAATTTCAAATAAAATTTTAAGGGCTTATTATGAACTCAAATCTTACTTGTGGTTTTTTCAATTGTATTTTTGGGTATTCTCATAAATCCTTGCCTTGGAAAGTTGTGGTGATATGACCCAGACTACCTATTCCACATTCTATTTTTGCTATCACAGTTTAATATTTTCAGTGAAGTTTAGACTGGATTAGCCATCACATCAAGCATTTCCCCCCTTTCTGACCTGTTAGTGTCCTTTCTGCACTTCTAATTTGTACCATAGAGCGCCATTAAAAAAATTTTATATGCTATGTTTGTACACACATGCATGTGTAAGAGTGGACTTTGTGTATGTATAAGAGTGTTAATCAGCTTGCAAACTTTAGACAGGCAGGGCTCAGCTCTTAGAATCTATATTGCAGCCAGGATGGTGTTGTTCATACCTACCCTGTGCAGAACCTTCAGTGGCGTCCCTTTGTTCAGAGGCCTGAAGTCATTCATGGGTGTACAAGGCCCAGCATGGTCTGGCCTGGACCCTCAGCCACCTTCTGCACAATGTCCTCTCCTGCCTTTCAGATGTGTCTAGGCTGCCCTGCTACCTGCCTTTGCCTATGTTCTTTTTTCTGTCTGGAATGCTCTTCTGTGCTTGGTTCATGCCCTAATTGTCATCTTGGCTCAGAGAAATAATCCTGGCAACAAATTACCTCCTTTGAATCCTAATCATAGTTTTTTGTGTGATTTTTCTTTTTTGGATTGTCCTCTCCCATGAGATTGTAGGCTCCAGGAGAGCAGAAACTGTAAATATGTGTGTGAATATGTATATGTACATCTGTTTGTATCCATGGCTATCAGTATAACCATTTGCACATAGTTGTCTCTCAATAAAAGTTTGTTGAATAAATGGATGAAGGAAGTGGTGTTTTACTTTGGGAATATTTTCATAACTCTCCAGGAGGAGGCATTGCTTTTATTCAGTGGTTCCATCTATCTATTGCTTCACACCCATCACACAAAGAATATGCCAGTTTGAAAAATACAGCCTAGTTTTGTGTGTTTGGCTACTTTGGGCCACTCCCAGATTTTCCAAAGGTACACTTGCATTCACCTTTATGGTTAGAGGCACTTTCTTAGAATCTGAGTTTAAGAAACGGTATGCTATTTTAATTACAGTAAGTACTTTATCAAGGTCAGTTGTCTTAGAATGTGGATTTATATGACATAGTCTCTAATACATTCTGTTTGGCATGTATTACAGGGAAAAACCAAACAGTCCTGTTTGCAGCCAAAGATTGCAAGATGGTGGTAGGTGTGTAGTTAGAGCACGAGACTTTCTTTTGCTCACATGCATAGGTCAGTTCTCTTCTTTCCTGTCTTGTCAGTTCTCTTGGATGAGCAACTGTGTTTGGTCATGGGGGCAAGGCACTGACCTTGGAGCTCATGTGCAGGTCACTGTGGGCCATAGCAAGTCTGCCTGAACTTTTTTTTCCCCGTCTGTTGATCTGTGCATTCTTGCTTATGCTTGAGCTTTTTTTCAGTTTGTTTTTAATCTTTGCTTCCTCAAGTTAACATAAGTAGCAGGGTAGAATGATCTGCCACATGAAAGTCATTTCTGTCTCAAAGTGGTCTTGGAGAAACCTGAAATTTTTCAGTGTCTTGTTTGGGATGAGGATTGGGATGAGCTCTCATTTGAAACACATTTATTTGCCATTTTATATTGTTGCAGCTCAACATATTGACCACCTTTTGGGTAGTACCAGTTCTGTGCTTTACAAGCATGATTTCTAGCTCTCATAACAACTTTGAGGAGAAGGTATTCTCATTCTAAGGCTGAGGAAACAGATATGTTAAGTCACTTGTCAGGAGCATCTGGGAAGTCTGTGCTGGACTTGAACACCTAGGCCTCCCAGCTCTCAAGTGGGATCATGTTGTACTTTGTTTTCCAAGTGTTGCTAGAGGCAGCTTGTCTTTTTGCACATGTGTCATTCACAGTCCTCCTTGGTCTGTGATACCATTCAAATATAGTGGCCTGACCTCTGAGCAGTGTTTCACTACTTCTGAATGTATTATGTTTTATTTTTTTCTCTTTGATAAGTAGTAATGGATGTGTAACCCATTCACGATATAGTACCTTCTTGTTCCTTGGAGCTGATACTACACTCAGTTGAGGGTGACTTTTTCTTTGTTGGACATTTACAAATAATTTCAGTCACAACATTTAGTGACATAAATACTTTGACTTGAAACAATTACCATTTTCTCGATTTTTAGTGGGAGACTGGGGCAATGTGTGTAGGACATCCTTCAGAAACAGATGAGTATAACAAGCTGTGTGAGGCAGTAGAGGTGCACACACCTCAGTTACTGGAAGGCACAACTTCGAGTTCTTGTGGATTGTGTTGGCAGCCCTGTAGATAGATTCAGCAGATGCTGTAGACATTCTCTTACTACCGAATTATAGCTTAAAGACCTAACTCTTAGAGCAAGCCTTAAAATGTGCTTTCCCCGCTTTGTTTTAGGAAACTCTTCTGTTTGCTGATGAGGAAAGGTTATCTTTCCAGGCAGCATCCAGGAATGGTCTTTTGAATGTCTTCATGCCTTCTTGTGACCTCATTCCTGCTGCCATCGTACTTATCCCTGCTCAGATTAACTGCCTGCGTGTTCAACTTTATTCCATAGTTGGATCTACCTGTAGCATTTGCAGCTTTCTGTGTAGACTGGGCACAAGTTAAAAGCTTAGGAAGTCTATATAACTCACCATAATTTTAGCACTTTAACTTATTAAGGTACATGTTTTGGTTATCTGATTTATAGAAGTACCATGTAAAAATCCACCTATGCTGTACAATTGCTGAAATACTGAGTAAGCTCTGCATTTTATGACCAAGTTATAGGATGAATAATTACTCTCTGGAGTGAATGGTTCAAAATGAAATAACTGTATGCCTTAGGTGTGACGTGACACGAGATGTATTTAAGCCCCAAAAGTATGTAATTATCACACTACTCTTGCATAGACACACAAGTACATTTTTGCTTATGGCAAGAGTTTTATGTGCAAAAGAAAACTCACTTTCTGGTAAGCGAAGGAACAGTCCATTATTTTTGAGGGGTTCATAAGTTGTTTGGTATTAGAGGCTCCATTTCAATCCCCCTGCATTTCTTTAGGGTCTAATTTAAATTCATACATCACTTGATTCTAGAGTAAACCATTATCATACCCTGGATTTTGAATATTAAGGACAGTTGAGGGAGTTTCTCAAAGCACCATTTTATGACTTATAGTCTGCCTCTGTATTCAGTGACTTATTATATATTCCATTCTTAGACTGCATTTTGATCATCAACTGTATTAAGGCAATATATGTTGTACTTTATTTTACTTTCTACTGAAAGTAAGAGCTATTTTGTAGTCTATTTAGATTTTTAATTTTATAATCTGGTCTCATTTTACAGATCATGAGTAATTAAAGGTATCTCAAGCTGATTTGTCCTGTTTTTAATTCAGTATTAAAGTATTATTTTAATCACATTAAAAATGTGACTGATATTTTTTGTTTATCACAATTCTACTAGCCCCACTGAGTAACTGCTGCTGTTGAATTAGTGATGGGGTTATATCAGTTTCCCTTGTCAAAGGACCAGATACGTCAGCTTGGGTATTTAGCTTGGTAGTTGTGACTTAGTTTTCTGTTCTCAAGCCCAGGAGATGAGAATTCCTTATTCTGGGTGCCAGTGGAGGCCTACAGTGGCTCCTGGGTGTTCCTTTGGGCTAGAGAAAGTCAAGTTGAGATGCCCCCGGCTTTCAGACTAGAAAAATAAATAGCAGTGATGGTATTGATGTAGCTAAGTGATGTAGCTTACCTGTTTACAGTGCGAATCTCTTGAGAGACTTTAAAACACACACACACACACACACACACACACACACACACACACACACACACACACACACACACACACACTATTAGATGGCAGGAGCCAGAATGTTAACTTAGTTTTGTAACTAAGTGTTAGAGAACAATACATTTAAAGCTTTAAACTTTTAAAAAATATAATTTACAAGTAATTTGTAGAAAAGGATAGTAGATTGCTACCATTATGCTAAATATCAATCTGTTCAGTAAAGAGACTGGCAAATTTTAATTCATCTATAATTTTGCTGTCTGATGTGGTAGCCATGTGGCAGGCTGGAATTGAGATTACTGAAAGTGTAACACATGCACCAGAGTTTGAAGACTTAGTGCAATAAAAAGAATGTAAAACATTATGAACAATTTATTGAAATGATAATATTTGTGTTAAAAGTATTATTAGAATTAATTTAGCCTGTTTATTTTAATTTTTAAAATGTGACTACTAGGAAATTTAAAATTACATAGTGGCTTCATTATTTTTTAATTAGTGCTAGTCTCTAGGCCCTTTGGTCTCATAATAAGTTCTTTCTGTTTATGTATACAATTCAGTTATGATTTGATTACATACTTGATTTTAACTTTTTGCCAGCATAAATCTAAACACTGTAGTGATTCTTAAACCTTAGTTTCAAAACACTGTGTGTGTGTGTCTGTGTGTGTGTTTCGGCAGAGATGGAGCCTTGCTCTGTTGTCCAAGCTGGAGTGCAGTGTCAGAATCATAGCTCACTGCAGCCCCGAACTCGGGTTCAAGTGATCTTCCTGCCTCAGCCTCCCAAATAGCTGGGACTACAGGTGCACGCCACCATGCCCAGCTTCAAACACTTTTTTTAAGTTGCCCTTCACATTATTTGAGACTGTTTTTTATCTTAAATTTTAAGGCAGAAGAACCATCTGCCAATTGATTATTTTGTAGGTTTCAGACTTCATTGGCTGAGTTATTTACAATGAGTTAGAATTCATTTTATTTTCGTAGAAGTTCAGTGGGTTGGTTATGATATTTGGGATTTTATTTCTGGTAAAATACAATGAATGCTATTAATGAAATTATTGAAAGTAAGGGCAAAAACTGCAATTACTTTTGCACCAACCTAATATATTTACTTTAAAAAATCATTCCTTTGGACTTGGCTGTGAAAATTAAAAAAGAGAAAACCCTCATTCCTTAAAAACGTTGGCTTTTATAGTAATAAGCTGTCTTACAGGTTTGATATATATATAATATATATAACATAATATATAATATACATATTTTATATATATAATATATATAACATAATATATAATATATATTATATATATATATTATATATAATATGTATAATATATATATAAATATTTTATATATAATATAAATATATAATTGATAAATAAAAAATATATATTTTATATATAATTATGTAATATATATAATATGTATATAGTGTAAAGACAGAAGAAGTATGGGTTTTCTTGAGTTTCAGTGTTTCTTGGATTTTACTATCCAGTTTATAAAAAGGAGGAGAAACAGACCAACGTAAGATGGTCAATTCTTTGTTTTTTGTAGTATTTTTCAAAATGTAGTCTCCGGTTCAATAGCATCATCATCACCTCTTAATTTGTTAGAGATACACATTCTTGGGCTTCACATAGACATACTGACTGGGAAACTCTGGAGATGGGGCCTAGCATCTGGGTTTTAATAAGCATTCCAGGTGATTCTGATACGCACAGAACCACTGGCCTAATGTAGTGGTCAGGGTCCACCCAGGAAAAGAGAAACTACCCTTAAGTTTTTGAAACAGGAATTCAGTGCAGGGTATTGGTTATTCAGGTTATGCAGCTGAAACAGCAAGGTAGATTGAATGATGAGGGCTTTTAAAGCAGCACGAAAATAATACACAAAGATAATACAGTCACTAGGGTTAGGCTATGGGAATTTAGGAGCCAGGGTTCACCTCAGGAGACTGAAACCTCCTGGTAGGGGCAAGTAGGAGCTGGAGCCATGGAAGCAATGCAGCCATTGCTGGAAACACTACCTAAAGAAGAGATGGAAGGAGTGGGAGAAATGTTGTGAATCCTTCCTTCTCACCTTCCAGTTTTGCACCAGTGCCTCTTGTAGACTGAACCCAGAGAAAAGCCAGCTGATCTAGTAGCCTGAGAAATGGGGTCTGGCAGTGATCAGCTCACTTGAGATATAGAGCTCTCAGAGTGTATCTGTGGGTAAACACACCCAGAACTGGCTCATGTAGTAATTACAGTTTAAAACAAAACATTCTAATATAATTAAAAAATAATCTCAGAATAGAAGACAGTCTTCTTAATGGAATAATCATAGCTTTATGAAAACTAAACCATCCTTTTATAATTTCTCTGTTGGCTAGGGAAATGTTTTCACAAGTGTCTGTAAATTTGGAAACCTTACCTTACACCTTTGAAGGATTAAAAAAAAAATTTCCTGTTTACTCCAGGACCTGTTTTAGCCCTACTCTTCCTAGTTGATGAGTTACCAAGCTGTCCTTGGTTGTTAGCGCCATCTTATGGCAGACGTGGGAAAGTTGCCTCCTCAATTTTTGACAACTTTCCTGGAACATCCCTGGATGGTTTTTCTTATCTCTCCTCTCATTTATTGCTTAAAACTAAGTTCCACCATTTTGTATGTCTTCTTTGCCTCTAGTTATTTCCTTGCCCCCTTTACTTTTCCAGTGTTCTCTTTTTCCTGTTCTTTTTGTTTCAATTGTGATTATACATGGCTGATAAAAGTTACTACAGTGATAGCCCTGTAACAAGGAAAATGCAGCTTGTAGAATTTTAAAGTTAGAAATAATGTCTTGAACCTTTTAAGCCCTTGAAAGGATCTTGAAGATCCCCCAAAATCTGCAAAAAATCATGTATTTCCTCATTCTTTTAAGTTAATGTTTTTTTCCAGACAGTAGTATTTAACTGCTGTTATTTGAAGCAGTATTGTTTTAAAGTATTTATAAGAAATGGAAGCCTAAGAAGCTAACCACAATTTTCCCACTTGATAGGGAACTGTGTTCTGAATTCCAGTTGACTGTCTTAGAATCCAGTTATGTGTTAAATGGTCCAAAATAAAATCTAATATTTACGAATACAAATGAGTCTGGAACATATAGTCGTCTTATATTTAAAAGTTCTGTGTTTTCATTCATTAACTTTTATTCACTTTCCAAATATTAAGAAAATTGTAAATAGGTGAGGAACTGGTATGGTTTTACTTGAGAGCTTTTACCAGTACAAGGAAATGCTGCTAGTAAAAATTTGGAAATGGAGAAGGAGTTCTTTACATTTCTTGAGTTCTGGTGGAAGACCAGTGCTGTTGTTTTGGTTTAAGGTGCTGAGCCAGACGCTATAGAGCAGTGCTTCCCAGTCTCTTTTACCTCATAGCACACAGAAAATAATTTGTACTGCACTGGGGTAGGAGGTGATTTCTAATTGTAGATAAGCTGCTAACAGGCTAGTGATTGGACACTACTGGCTTTGGCTGGCTCAAGAGCTGAGGTTTTGCTGTCTGGGAACTTTAATCTCTCATATGGGGAAGCTCTGCTGTATAGAGGACATTTCAGGTGTAATGAACCTTAGTCTCATTAAGAGCGCAATACATATAACACACATAGTGGTAAATTATGATAGTGATGGTTTGGTGAAATGCTTAAGAAGAATAAGAGAAGTTAGCTCTCAATGAGATGGAAAGGATAAGGCTCTGCAGTGGGAGTGGATCAGAGAGGGCATTCCATCCAGATATGGAGGGACCAAAGGGGGAGTTTGGGGAATGTCAGAGATTTCTCATGTGGTTGGGGTGCAAGATTTGAGGATGCAAATAGGAGACAGGTATAGTGAGAACTACTGTTAAGAAAGAAGGCAGGGGTTCAGGAAGGCCGTATGTGGCTGAATGGACTTGTGACCTTGGGCATCACTGGTAGTTTTTATGCGGTGAATGACGTGATCTGACCGCTCTCCTCCCCTTTAAAAAAATATTCTAGGGCACCTGTAGAATGACCTGGAAGCTGCAAGCAGAGAAATCCCTGGGGAGGGGGAGTGCCTTCATCCAAGCTAGTTAAAGGCGTACACCAGGTGAATGAAGATGGGTGGACTTGCTAAAGAGGGAACCCGCAGATTTTGCTTATGATGTGAAGAAAACCACCTCAGATTTGGAGCCTGGGTGAGGGAAAGGATGATGGGACTGTTTTCAGAATTAGATTCTGTTTGGGAGACAAGGAACTCAATTTTGGATGTGGGTTTGATGCTTGAAGAGCAACAATTGTTAATATTGATAAAGTGCTTTCTAGGGGCCAGGTAGTGATCTAAAGTCTTTACTTTCTAAACTCATTTTATTTTCAAAACGACTGTAAGAAGTAGGT